>NC_000006.12:54579785-55225469 GCF_000001405.40 Homo sapiens
TGTGTATGCATGTAAACTTTACATACAATAAAATGTATAGATTTAAAACACACAATTCTATGTAACCAACACTCTAATCAAGAGATAGAACAATTCCACTACCAAGTTAATTCCTTCCTGTCCCTTTCTTGTCAGTCCTCACTACCCATAGGCAGCACCACTGTTCTGAATTCTATGGTCATAGATTAATTTTGCCTGCTTTTGTATGTCATCCAAATGGAGTATAGTATGTTTGGCTTTTTTTGTTCAGCAGGTTTTTATATATATCCATGTTATTGCTTTTATTAGTTCATTGCTTCCTTTATTGCTGAATAATGTTCTGTTGAGTAAACGGACCACAATTTGTTCTTCTATTCTCTGTTAATGGAACTCAGTTCATCAGGTTGTTTCTAATTTGGGACTATTTTTAATAAAGTTCCTATAAATATTCTTGTATTATTCTTTTTATGAATGCATACTTTCACTTCCCTTGGGTAAATACTTACAATTGTAATTGCTAAGTAGTAGGGTAGATGTATGTTTATAAAAAAACTTTGAAGAGTTTGGTACTATTTTACATTCCCACTAGCAGTGCATGAGAATTCCAGTTTTTCCACATCCTTGCCAATGTTTTATGTTGTTAGCTTTTAAAATTTTGTTTCTTCTAGGGGCTATGAAATGATATCTCATTGTGGTTTCAATTTGAATACCTATGATGACCAAAGCTATTGAACATCTTTTTATGTGCTTAGAGGCCATTTAGAAAACCTTGTTTTGTGAAGTGTCTTTTTAAATCCTTTGCTTCTTTTTAATTAGGTTGTTTGTCTTCTTATTACTAACTTGAAAATATCCTTTATATGCAGGAAACAAGTCTTTCATCAAATATGTGTACTTAGAATATGTTTTTCCAATCTTTTTTTTTTTTTTTTTTGAGACGGAGTCTCGCTCTGTCGCCCAGGCTGGAGTGCAGTGGCAGGATCTCGGCTCACTGCAAGCTCCGCCTCCCAGGTTCACGCCATTCTCCTGCCTCAGCCTCCCAAGTAGCTGGGACTACAGGTGCCCGCCACTACGCCCAGCTAATTTTTTTTGTATTTTTAGTAGAGACGGGGTTTCACCGTTTTAGCCGGGATGGTCTCGATCTCCTTACCTCGTGATCCGCCTGCCTCGGCCTCCCAAAGTGCTGGGATTACAGGCGTGAGCCACCACGCCCGGCCGTTTTTCCAATATTTAGCCATTCTTTTTTTATTTTCTTAACACTGGTTTTTGATAAGCAGAGATGTTTACTTTTGATGAAGTCTAACATATTATTTTTCTTGTAGTTCTTTCTTATTTTTATTTTTTTTAGAGACAGGGTCTCATTCCATCACCCATGCTGGGGTGATATGGCACAATCATAGCTTACTGCAGCCTCAAACTCCTTAAATCAAGCATCCTCCCACCTCAGCCTCCCAAGTACCTGGGCCTACAGGTGCAAGCCACCACACTCAGCTAATTTTTTTATTTTTTGTAAAAGTAGCAGTCTCTCTTTGTTGTCCAGGCTGGTCTGGAACTCTGGGCCTTAAGCAATTCTCCCTCCTTGACCTAAGTACAGGAATTACAGGTGTGAGCCACCATGCCTGGCCTATAGTTCTTTTTGTATTCTAAGAAAATTTCACCCAACCCATAGTCACATAGTTATTGTCCTATGCTTTGTTTTAAAAGAATTACAGCTTCCACTTTTGTCTTTACATTTGTGCTTCATACTGAATCAAATTGTGGATTGTATGAGTTAGAGCTGTCTACTTGTTCTAGAACCATTTGTTGAAGAGATTAATTTATCCTCTGAATTTGGGCCAGTACCTTTGTTGAAAATCAATTGACCATCATTATTTTTTCTCTTCCATTAGTCTATATCTCCATTATTTTGCCAACATCATGCTGTTTTAGTTACTACTGATTTTCAATAAGGCTTAAAATCAGAGAACATGAGTCTTCCAACTCTATTTCTCTTTCATTAAAAGTCTTTGTTAGCCTTTTCTAAAGTTTATTTTCTCTGCTGAGATAGCTCATCTCTTTATTTATTATGTCCATTTTTTTAAGTCCTGAATATGTCTATAATAGCATTTTGAAAAATACATGTCTGCTAATTCTAACATCTGAGTCATTTCACAGTATCTCTTTATTGACAACTCTTTTCTCTAATCATGGGTCGTCTTTTCCTGGTTCTTTGCATGTCCAGTAATTTTTACTGTAGACTAAATATTGTGGCTGATTCATTGAAGGGAGTCTAGATTGTATTGCTTTTCTTTAGTGTTAAATTTTGCTCCGGCAGGCAGTTAAATCACTAGAAAATAATTTTGATTCTCTTAGTTTGGATTTACTTGTTGTTGGGGTAAGTTTGTTTCAGTGCTTCCTAGTCCTTGGGTATTGTCATTGTTTCAGTAGGTGATTCTTACTCAAGGTATGGTCTTTCCAGGTTTTCCAGTGGAATTCCCATGGTGCTCAGTAAGCTCTGTCTATCCGAGCTGGGTCAGAACTCTAACATCTCCTCATCCTACAAGACTTCTGGTATTGTTTTTAGCTCCCAGACCCACTGCAACCACACTATGCTATGTATTGTAAACCTTTGTCCTGAATGTGTGCAATTCGGTCCTCAGCCAAGGACCTACAGGGAGTCACCTGCAGACTTCTAGGGTATCTCGTGTGAAGATTCTTCCTCCTTGATTTATACTCCTACCAATTCTCTAGTAGCCTCCTCCCCAGTCCTGATCTCTGATCTGTTCTTCTCATCATGAAGTGCTCCATTCACTGTTTGAGCCTCACCTCCCATTTGGGCTGTTTGGGAAATTGATCCCAGATGAAAGCTTGAGTGAATGTGGGCTTATCTCTTTTAATTCCTTTCTCTCAGAAGGTTCTGAACTGCCCATATTCAATGCCTGAAAACAATTGCCTCATATGCTTTGTCCAGTTTTATCGTTTTTCACACTGGGAGAACAAGTCTTTTACCAGTTGCTACATCCTGGAGAGATGAAGTCAATAAACACTTTAAGCATTTTAAGGGAATCAGTGCTGTAATTGTAAATGGAAACTCCAGAAGAAAGCAACCAAACTTCTATGAGCATCCGTTGTAAGCACATTTTGTAAAATAGCTCAGTGTCTGCTGGACTTTTGTATTACTACAAAACAATATTCCGTTTCCTTAAAAATACTTCATTTATCTAAAAACTAAATTTATAATTAAAATTCACCTTTACCTCAAAGACTTAAAGCTCAAAGTTTAGCTTCTCCACAAAGGTTCTCAATACTAATCACTTATGTTGCATTATTTTTATTTTTTTTTTCTTCCTTAGATGTCAAATACTTGCTTTTTATCTCTTTGTTTTGTATATAGGTTGCTCCAATTTTTCCTCAGTTTACAAGTTCCATTAGATAAATTCTTTTTGTGTAGCCTGCACTTCATTCAAGAAGTGGCCTTGTTTAGAATATTTGTGAAAAGGGCAGCTCTAACTCTTCTTCCATGCCTATGATCAATGCAATACTTTTGAATGCTTCATTAGTCTAGAAGCAAACAGAATCAATTCCCTGTTCTTAACTAATACTGACACTTGGAAAATTCATCACATGTTTTAATCTGTAGGTCTCACCTTTCTATAGGGCTGAAGACAGATTTTTAAATATCTGCTGAGTGACTTTAACTGGATGTTCTGCTGGCACTAACTCAAAAGTCCAAAACCAAAATTTCCTCTTTCTACTCTCCAAGATTTCCTTTCTTCCTATGATTTCTATTACATCCCCATGGAAATCCAAATTAGAAACCACAGAATGTTTTTTTTTTCTCATCTTCTCACTTACTTCTCACTTGCAATATGATTTATTCATTGTATTTTGGAATTTTTTTATCCATTATCTTTTCATTCCTATTGCCATAGTCCTATTTGAGGCCTTATCACTACTTCCAGCAGGATCATAGCAGTAATTTTCTGAATAAATTTGTACCTCCCTCCTTCACATGCTGCCAGGCTATGTTTCTAAAGTAGATTTATAATATCATCTTCTTACACAAAAATTTTTGCTAGCTCACTGTCACTTGTGGGAAAAAGACCAAGTTTCTGAACATAGCATTTTCACTTTTAACATTTCACTCATACCTCTTTTTCAGGGCTCAGTTTCCACTCTGTTTGTTTTTCCTCTCTATCTGGGATGGCATGTTCTTGGCATGCCTATTATCAGTTCTAAGTTTTGCTACCCAGAACAGGTATTACCCATCACAGTGCACATTGCTGTATTCTGGGAGTCCACTATCAGTGAATTAATTTGCTGCTTCTCCTCTTACTATAAGTTGCTAACCAGGCACTTCCAACCCATTCCTCAACTCTGATTAAACTGATCAACTTAATAATACAAATGCTCTGAAATCTTTGCTATTGTACTTCTACTTCTGCTATTTTCTTATACCAGAAAAGTCTTCTTTCAATGTGTTCTTCATCCAAAACCCTCATAGTATTTTTTAATGTAACTTTTTAATGTTTTCACTGTTTTCTTCTAAAAAATATTTATTACATTAATTAGGCTTCATCTGTATGCCAGGTAATATGCTAAATGCATCATGCATTTTTATTATTTCATGAAATTCTCAAAAGAATACAAGGTACTTGATATGGTGTGGCTCTGTGTCCCTACCCAAATCTTGTCTTGAATTGTAATCTTCAAGTGTCAGAGGAGGGGCCTGGTGGGAGGTGTTTGGATCATGGCGGGGGGACTTCCCCCTTGCTGTTCTCATGATTGTGAGTTCTCAGGAGATCAGATGGTTTAAAAGTGGCACTTTCCCCTTCGCTCTCTCTCTCTCACCTGCTTCTCTGTGGTAAGACATGCTTGCCTCCCTTTCCACCACGATTAGACATTTCCTGAGGCTTCCCTAGCCATGTGGAACTGTGAGTCAATTAAACCCTTTTTCTTCATAAATTACCCAGTCTCAGGTAGTTCTTCATAGCAGTGTGATAATGAACTAATACAGTACTCTTTACTGTTTTTTATATCTTATTTAGTTAGGTAAATGTCCTATATTTACTCCTAGATTAGAGTTTCTTCCAGAGCAGGATTCAGGTCAAGTTTATTTTTTTCCCTCCCATATAACTGTGACTTGCAATATACAACTTGCTGAACTAAATTTGTCTTCCTCTTTTTCTTGCTACCTTATTGCTTTCTCTCTCTTCCCCTGTATTTTTTTCCTCTATTTCTAGTGCATTTACTGTTTGGAGATTTTTTGGGTAATTTTAACTAAAGTTTCCTGGGGTTTCACCAGTCTATGAATACAACCTGTGAAACAAGTTAATAATCACTTTTCACCAGCTGTTATCATCATCGAGTTGATGTCACAAATATCTATGTATACCCAAGGTGACTCATTAGTTTTTGAATAGTCCTCTTATGTTCTTTGTTATTCTCTGAAGTTTTTTAGGGCCATCTTCCCACTAATGATGCTCCCGGAACACATTATTTCCTGGCTCTACTCAAACTATATACCTAAAGTACACATCCTATCCCTCAATGTACTGAAAATAACTGGTATTCTGAGGAGATGAGTGGAGAATATACTTACAATACCTGTTGTGACCTACCTTGTCACTTTTGACATCAAATTAGAACTGCTTTTACTTTTGAGAAAGTGTCCTGTTAACACAATTACTGTACCTTATACTTATTACTTCTCCATAGGGCATTATTTACAGACTTTTGTGTTTGCCTTTTCCAGCCTCCATTCCACAATTCTCTCCCAATAACCCCAGTTTTTAGATGAGCATCAGTTATTTAAAAAATTTTCAATATCTTCTGTGTAGGGCTCCATACCTCTGCTACCTGCTTGAGCACCTGACTCAAGCCAAAGTCAATCTAAACTATCCAACGTTATTGTAGTCACACTATCAGTTTCACATGTTAAAATGTGACTTAAGGCAGTCTAACTGGAATAAACCTTTATATTTCCATGGGGGCTACTAGGAAAGAGGCTTGCCATTTCCAGTGGGTTTAAAACTACAAAGATGGAGTTTCTGCAGCCATTTTGGCACCAAAATGAAAGTTTTTTTTAAGAGAAGAAGTCCAAAATGAAGTGAAGCCAAGAAATGGAGAGAGAGAGAGAGAGAGAGAGAGAAAGAGAATACTAGAAATTGATGATATGATGTTAACACCTTTGTATAGCTGAATCTAAAACTGGACTTTTCTGTAATGCTGGACAATAAATACCTTTTTGCCCAAGCCAGTTTGGTCTGAATTTCTCTTACTTGTAGCAAAGGAGGCTAACTGAAATGGATTTAGGCATGAATCCACCAGGCCATTCTCTAATATGGAAATCATTGCAACCACATAGTACGAATTGAAAATGCCATATTCTTATTAATACCATTTCAGACCATCCGACCATCTACTCTCAGAAATAGACCGTTGTCTCTGAGATTGGTGCTTACCTTAAATCAGACAATTATAAAACTTTTTCCAGGATCCAAAATTGGGGCCAGAGATAATGAGGCAAAGTCACCTCTAGTAGCAATGTTTTCAGCCATGTGGCACAAGCCTGTCTGATGGAATAAAACCTAGAAGGAGAAGAGAAGCAAAGTCTAGAAACATGTGGACTTTTCAATAAATTCCTTTTCCCCAAGCCAGCTTGAGAACAGATTAAGACAAACAACAAGGAAGTGATTAAGCAAGAATTAAATCCAAGTCTGTTGGATCCCAAGGCATATTACATCATTACTTTAATACAGTGATACTTCCTTATGTTTGCTTAGTGCCTGATATGGTGCTTGGTAAAGTGAATCATTTTTGTTAGATTTGTATGCTACACTTACATTTGATAAACTGTTTTCAAAAAGATTTATCCAAAACTGTGTAGGAATCCCTGGAACAAATGTCACTTGGTTATATTTCTGTTACTCACTTCACTGGAGAAGCACCCTGGCTATAAGGATGGCATTTGTGTCTGTTTCCTTTTGGGAATACCCTTTGGGGCCATATTGCACTCCCTGAACTATAAGCTGAGATCCTGCTCTCAGGTAAAATTTCATATATTGAACAGCATCAAGTGATTCTATATTGAGAAGTAAATGCATGATAATGAAAAGGAAAAAAAAGCTTAGAATGGGAAGAGTCTACCTGCTCTTTTGCAGAAAGGCCAACAACTTTTAATAGAGCAATTTTTTAACAAATATTTTTTTCTCCTCCATAATTGAAAAAGTGTCTTTAGTCTGAACTTCCAACACTGGCAGACTCTGAATGATATGTATCATTTTTATGACCAAAACTAGGTCCAGTGATAAGGTATAATATAATTTCTGTAATTTATTTCTTATTCTACTTCAGCCTATAATGATCTGGAGAAGAAAATTAAAAAGTTGTATTTACATTAAACTTCTAGCCTTACATGGTCTATTTAAGTTCCCTGGAGAAAGAAAAAAAAGTTCCTGAAAATGAGTGATTAATGCTTCCAAGAAAGGCATATTGAGGGGTCAGCTCACAAACAGGCATTTTTATAGAGAGGGTCTGAAATAAATTTTTAGAACCTCCTTCTGTCTCAATTTAATCGTTATGGAGTGGGTAAGTAGTATACTTTGTCCAAGAGGTTTAGACCTAGTTTTTCTTCATTTTTTGTAGCAGCTTATAAAAATATCTGAAGAGGAACTGAGTTACATTTTTAAAATTCTGTATCTCCTGCCATTCTGATTAGTAATCTTCACCCATTCTTACCTCAGGGACGGGGGTGTCTCTAAGGAAATCTTACTCCCGTTTTTCTCCATAAGAAGATTAGCAATCAGAGCACAGGGTCTCTTGGGAAAGCAGGTTAAAGTGGAAAAGCTGATGAGAATCCTCTGGATGGAGTTTCCTTTTCAGTGAGCTTCTCAAACATAAATATGTTATGGTTGATAATTTGGAATAAGTATTTAATGGAGCAAAAATTATCAGGGAGGAACATTCTCTAATGAATTTCAATAGATAATACACAGATTTTTCTATTCTATTTTTTTCTGCCATATCAACTTTCAGTAGGCCTGATGCAACAGAGAGAACATGAACAAAAAAAAAATGCTAACTTAATTTCACAGAGAACCAGGATATATATATGTAGTTTTAGGGAAATGTTCTAATTTCTCATGTTTTAGCAATCAATGTTAGCTACTTATTTAGCATCCACTTTTTTTTGACTCTTGAGATATCTCTATTAGAATAACTGAAATGAAATTATAAGGAAGTAGAAGAGCCTTTGAGTGTGTTGCAGAAGCTGTCTTTATCATCATATTTTTAACAGGGAATTGGAAAATAAAGATGTGAGGATCATCTTTTATGTTCTGCAATCTGAATATCTGAATCTGAAAGCAATTAATTTTTACCTAATTGTAGTTAATTCTGGTCTAGATTGTGAAAATAAGTTTTCAAACAAATTCCTTACAATAGTCTATGTTGCAGCATACTGGCTCAATCCTAACCTCTACTATTACTATTTAATACAAAAATACGGGCTTGGCAGAAAAATTAAGACAGCATCAAAAAAACAGGCATAGAACTCTTCTTTCACAATGCCTATATCCCACTGCCCCCACTCCCACTGACTGGATTCAAGCTCTGTTTCTCTCTGGAAATGGAAGGTTAGTATAAAAATCTAAGGGCACATATTTGATTCCTTCTCTTTCACAACTCCCTGTGAGAATGCTCAGCTGAACTTTATCACAACAGTGCAAGACACAAAGGAACTAAGGGCTTCTCTGGAGCTAGAGCAGGTGAGGGGTGGGGAGCCCATCTAACTCCTCACTGCCTGCCTATTCTCCTTGTCTGGAGCTTGGTCATGAACCTTCACTGCCACCTGTTTACCTGTTAAAAATCTCTTCTGGACCCCCAGAGTCCTTTAGGAATTTACAAGGACATAAGGACATGATGAAGTCACTCGTATGTGTTAATAAGAATTCATATCAATTTCAGTCTAGAAAGAGATGTTAAATATAATAATCATAATAGCTAACCCTTGTGTCGCTATTACTGTGGGTCAAGTAGTATCCTAGCACAAAATTATACATTTTAATAATGTGTGTGGGTTGTAATTAATTATAGAGTATGACTAAGGCTGATATAGTTAGCATTTATTCTCTTTTGTGTGTCTTTCTGTGCTATGGAGTCCAGAACACTAAAATATATTTTCCATACTCTGAAGCCATGGTTTTGGATAAAAGCTAGTTTCTACCAATTAGATGTATTCATATGAGATTTTGAAAGCAAAATAAAACTGCAGCTCTATTTTTGCTGCTGCTTCTACAGGCAAACAATGTTGTAGTGATATGGCTATTCATAATAGTTTTTCCTTTGATACCTGAATTGTTGTAACAATGGTATACCCTTGAATTCAATAATTATAGTGATAGCCTCCTGATTGCTACTTCTCTAGCTCTTCAAATGATAAGACCTGTTTCTTTGCACTAAATTCCTTTCTTCTTAAAAAAATTTAGTGTAATTTCTGTTTGAGTTAGAACTTGACTAATACCATATTAGATACCATGAATGTCTTCATGCAATAGACCTGTAGGAAAGGACATCTGTAACTGGTATCTAACCTGGTAGGATCTGAAGACAATGCTAATCAGCTTGCAGTTGGAAAATAAAATATTGGCCCATAGAGTGCAAAGGCAAAAAAGTTACTTAAATTATTGTTAGTAATTGCCTGTAAGAACATTCCCATGGAAGGCAGGTTAAGTGAGGGTAAATATAGGACGTAGTGTGAATGGGGATCACAGGTACTGTGGAGTGGGTAGATTCTCACAACACTGGCAAAATAAAAAAAAATTATTTGAAGAGGATGAAAAGAAAAGTCACAGACTGGGAGAAAATATTTACAAAATATATATCTGATAAAGGACTGTCATCCAAAATATCCAAGAACATTTAAACTCCAAGAACATTAAACAATAAGGAATCAAAGAACCTGCTAAAAAATGGGCAAGAGATCTGAACAGACACCCATCTCACCAAAAAAAAATACAGATTGCAAATAAGCACATCAAAAGATGCTCTATATCATATGTCATCAGAAAACTGCAAATTAATCAGCATAATATGTCACTCTACACCTATTAGAATGACCAAAATCTAGAACACTGACACCACCAAATGCTTGTGAGGATGTGGAGCCACAGGAACTCTCATTTGTTATTGGTGGGAATGCAAATGATACAACCACTTTGGAAGACACTTTGGTAGTTTCTTACAAAGGTAAATATATTCTTACCATATGATCCAGAAATCATGTTTCTTAGTATTTACACAAAGGAGTTGAAAACATACGTTCACACAAGAAAGTCTGTATATATGTTAATAGCAGCTTTTTTCATAATTGCGAAAACTTGGAAGCAACCAATATTTCCTTCTGTAGATGAGTGAATAAATAAAGAGTGGTGTGTATCCAGACAATGGAAGAATATTCCATCCTAAAAAATTAAAAAATGAATTGTGAAAGAAAATGGAGGAAACTTAAATGCCTATTATTAAGTTAAGAAGCCAGTCTGAATACATACTATATAATTCCAGCTGAATGTCATTTTAGAGAAGGTAAAACTATGGAGACAGTAAGATAAGCAGTTGCCAGGGGTTAGGGAGGAGGGAATGATGAATAGGCAGAGAGTGGAAATTTTTTAGGGCAGTGAAACTATTCTGTATAATACCAACATGGTGGATACATGTTCTTATAGATTTTTCCAAACCCACAGAATGTACATCCCTAAGAGTGAACTCTAGTGTAAACTATGACCTTTGAGTGATAATGATGTTCCGGTGTAGGTTCATCAGTTATAACAAATGTAACACTCTGGTTTAGGATATCCATAGTGGGAAACCTACGTACCTGTGAGGATAGGGGAGCATAATGGAACTCTCTTTACTTTCTGCTCAATTTTGTAGTGAACTTAAAACTTCTCTAAAAAATAGAGTATATTTAAAAAACAAAAACAAAAAGAAAAATTCATAACTCTTTGCCTGATCAGAGGACTAGGGATTTTCTATCGATGGTCTAAAGGAATCTCACAGCTAATATTTCTGAAAATGAGACCATCAGATACAATGGATTAATGAAACAATGTAAATTGAATTAATAGCTTCACTATATATTTTATGTGAATTTTTGGATATCTATTGCGAAGGATAGAAATACTAAGAAATTGAATTTGAGTATTTTGATAAATAAGTCTGAGCACTGTTAACCAAAATGTCCTATTGAGTCATCCTTGATAACAAGAGTGTTTTTTTTTTTCTTGTTGTCTTGGTATGCTAGTCTGACCTGCATGAAGGCTCTTCAGTGACATCAATTAATATATTTTCTTGAGGAGACATGAACTTTCCTCATGCCCATGTCTTACCACTCATAGCCTCCAACATGCTCCTCTACCTCCTACTTGGCCCTGAAGACCAAATACAAGGTATGACCCAAAACAATTACAAAATTTTTCTAAATTATGCGTGTAGAAACTTGAGAAATGTGAGAATCTATTCTAAGAGTTCCAGACCTAGGAAAAAGGAACATAGGTTTCAATTAAGTTGAGTTTAATATGGGAGCACATGCCAGAGAGATTATGGATTTGTTGTACTAGCCCAAGAGGGTGAGAGTGGCTCCATATGCTTTTTGGTTGACTAAAGTCTGCATTCAGTGGTGACCTGCACTAAGTACAGCTCAAGTACGGCAAGTCCCAATAGGAGAATTATAGGGCAAGACACAGGGTCATGAAAAAAAAAGCCATGACCTCTTTTACAGATGACTATCCTGTTTTGAGAAAGAATTCCTGGCTTGACATTGGTTCCTGATAGAAGCCAAATGCCTGACCATGAGATATCAAGTGATCACATGACTAAACAGGACCACTATCTGATCCACAAAGTCACAAAGTTAGGGATCAGCAGCAGCATTCCATTTGAAAGTGAAAATTCAATTAAAAAATGGTCAAATTCAAGAAATCATACAATACCAAACAATAACAATGAAACAAGCAGTACCAACAATAACAAATTAGAAAATTTTAAAAATAAAAATATAATAGATACATAATAAAAAAAATTACAAAAGCAAATAATTTTAAAAAGAAAAAGAATAACAATCATAACAATCAAATGCCTAGGAATAAAGATAACAAGAAATGAGCTGAGCCGATATTTTAAAAAAACAATTTCTTTGGAAAAGCTTAGTATTCAAAGACATTAGTTTTAAAGAAAAAATATACAGGCAAATACTAAGGTAAACATTGAGTAAGCTATCAATTTTTGTCAAATTCAGCTATAAATTTACTAGAATACTAATATGAATACAGAAGAAAGAGAATGAGAGAGATAGCAGGGAGAGTCATAAAAGGAGGGAATTAATGTTTCAGGATGAGAAGCTTCAACACCTTAATATGTACATTGTTACCAAAGGTAAACTAAATGAATTTCTCCCAAAATGGCAGTAGATATGAGTTCCTCTTTCATCATTCTTTCTCTATTTTTTGTAATTTTTGTCTTTCTTCTTTTGAGGTAAGGGATTTGACAAAGTGGTTATTTAGGTGAAGACATTCGTTGAGTAACCAAGTTAATTGTGAGAAAGATATCAATAAATATTATAAGGTGCTAGCAAGTAAATCACTGTAGTATATTGACATAGAAATAGAAACACATTAGCAAACAAAATGTAAAGCCCAGAAACAGGTCCAATATAGATATGAGAATTTAATATTAAATATATCTGACATTACCAATAAGTGGAATAAAAATGGATTACTGAATAAATGGTTTGAGGATATTTGACTATCCACTGGGGAAAAAAGTGTCTTTTGCAAATAAAGAAGAGATAAAATGAATTTCAGATAAATTAAAAATTTAGAGAAAAAGTAGAACTGTAAATGTCATGTACTCGAACTGTAAATGTTCAAGGATATGTTTATAATCGTAGGTTAGAAATAGCCTTTTTGTTCTGACTTCAAGGTGCACATTTTTTTAAATGCTGCATTTGGTTCATATTTTTAAATTATATTTTTCAGAAGACATGAACAAAGTTGAAAAATCAATGAAGAAGTGAAAATATGTATATTTATTTTAAGTGTTACAAAATGTGACTCTCCTTAGAATATGAGGAGTCTCTACAAATTATTAGAAGAATGACAAATAGCCCAAAAGTAAAACAAAGAATTTAACTTTGAGAAGATGTTTGTCCTTTTTTTTGTACAAATGAGTAAAAATAACAGAAGTAAATATAAATATCAAATAAAACAGATGAAGGGTTGCTATTAACTATGGGAATGTAAATCAAAATAAGAAAATATGACTTTGGATAAAATTGAAAATCTTTTTCATGCCTCATATTATTAAAAGTGATGGGAAACAGACACTCATACAGTTGGGTTGGGGGTACAAATTGGCTAAAAATTACAGAAGGACAATTTTGTTAAGTGTAACAAATGTAAAATGTGACTAATCAATTATAGATCTAGGAATTTCTTAAAGGGATACTAATAGAATATGTTCAAGATGTTCAGGACTATTCATCATAACACTGATAGCAATTGTTAAAAATTTTAAATATTCATCTATGAAGAATTAAAAACGTACAATACATCCTTAATATAAAGTAGTCTTTAGCTGTGAAAAAATAAGATACAGCTGTTCCTTATATACACAAATGGAGACATGTATGCAATAATTAAGGCAAGAAAACACGGTGCAGTATAGTAAATATGTGTGTATACACATAGGTAAATTCATACACATAGGTGTCATAAATATTTTATATATATAAAATTCTCATATGATATATATTAGACTGGGAATAGTAATTTATATTACTGTTGGGATTTGAGGGGAACATGTTACTCTATTACCAATTTTTGTAAAAATCTGTTTTACATATATAATTGTAAAATTAAAACAATTAAGTATTTTAGTTATTGGGAAATGAACCTCATTCCTAACTAATCCAGTACTGTTGAGAATAATGTTAGCTAACATTTATTGATATCCAGTTGTGAAGCACTCTTGGCAAGTTTTTGTTTGTTTTTTTGTTTTTGTTTTGTTTTGTTTGTTTGAGATGGAGTCTCACTGTGTCGCCCAGGCTGAAGTTCAGTGGCGCAATCTCGGCTCACTGCCAGCTCCACCTCCTGAGGTTCACACCATTCTCCCACCTCGACCTCCCAAGTAGCTGGGACTACAGGTGCCCGCCACCACGCCTGGCTAATTTTATTTCTGTATTTTTAGTAGAGACGGGTTTCACCGTGTTAGCCAGCTTGGTCTCTATCTCCTGACTTCGTGATCCGCCCATCTCGGCCTCCCAAAGTGCTGGGATTACAGGCTTGAGCCACCGCGCCTGGCCTCTTCTCAAGTATCTTACATGCCTAATCTTATTACTCCTAACAATAGCACTGGGAGTAAACTCCCCAGATTTCAGAGAAGAAAAATGAGTCACATAATACTTTAAAAGTTTGCTTGATCGGCCGGACACGGTGGTTCATGCCTGTAATCCCAGCACTTTGGGAGGCCGATGCAGGTGTATCACGAGGTCAGGAGTTGGAGACCAGCCTGGCCAACATGGTGAAACCCCGTCTCTACTAAAAAAAAAAAAAAAAAAAAAAAATTCGCCAGGCATGGTGGCGAGCGCCTGTAATCCTAGCTACTCGGGAGGCTGAGGCAGGAAAATGGCTTGAGGTTGCAGTGAGCTGAGATCATGCCACTGCACTCTAGCCTGGGCAACAGAGCAAGACTCCATCTCAAAAAAAAAAAAAAAAAAAAATGTTTGCTTGATCAAACAACTAGGAAGCTTGGGAGCCAGGATTCAAAACTAAGCAGTTCAACCCAAGAGTTATTTTCTAAACATCTATCTTGTATTGAGGGTGAATAAAAAATATCATACTTTATTTATAAGATGGAGTTAAGAGGTGTCCTGTCCTCACCCCAAAGATGTATCTTCTTTATTTAGATGATGGCACAACCTTTGTTAGAAAATATGCAGGAAACCAGTGCCTACATAGTCACATAGACTGACATAGGCCAGGCATGGTGGCTCATGCCTGTAATCCCAACACTTTGGGAGGCCGAGGTGGGAGGATTGCTTGAGGCCATGAGTTTGAGACCAGCCTGGGTAACATAGCAAGATCCCATCCCTACAAAAATAAAAAATAAAATTAGTGGAACGTGAGTGTGTGCCTGTAATCCCAGCTACTCGAGAGACTGAGACAGAAGGATTGCTTGAGCCCAGGAGTTTGAGGTTACAGTGAGCTGTGATTGTACCACTGCATTCCAGCCTGGGCAACAGAGCAAGACTCTAATCTCTCAAAATAATTAAAATTAAAAAGAACTGACATATTTAATTGTAGTGTAAGCTAGATTCTCCCTATAGTTCTCACCTATTGATCCAAGTTCTAATGTCTAAAACAACAATGAATCGAAAATAAATATACTCCTTCTTTTATATGGTAGTCTTTCAATCTCTGGATGAATAGATAAATAGATTTCTTCTTTGTCTTTACTTCATGCTAAATAAACATATCTTTATTTCTAATATAATATTGTTTCAAAATTGTACAGCCTGGTATCCTTCCTGGATATGCCAGTTTGTCAAGTCAATAATCTGGAGGAGACAATTCCTTTCCTTTCACCAGAGTCCTTAGGCTGAACAAAATGAGTGGAATGGCAAGTAGACAGAAAAAATAAATACAATCTCAGAGTCATATAAAAATACAGTTAGCCCTTTCCACTACCAAAATGCGCAGACACCAAAATTCACTGAAACATAATCATTAAAGTAACATCTGACAGCATCGGTGCACGTGAAGATTTGCAATGGATGTTTTCTAGAATAAAGAGAGACCAGTATTAAAGGAATTCATTTGTCTAAAAGCAAGCAAGCAAACAAATGGAAGGCACCTCCTGTATAGTGCAGGGTTAGTGGAATATACAGGAAATTAGAAGCAATAAAAAGCACAGTATATATGTGATGCTAGAAAGTATTCTTGTAGAAATTACTCATGTATTCACTATACATTGATCATCTTCCATGTGCCATACACTATACCAATATCCCAAAGAGCTGATAATCTGGTGGGAGCAGATGGATGCATATGAGTAAACCAAAGTGCAATGAAAGGTGGGAATACAAGTATAGACAAAGTACTGTTGGAGCCCTGGGAAGGCACATGTACTTGCCCAAGAAGGTGGGGTTTGTTGGTAGAGAAAAAAGAACTCATAATCAAGAATTATAATTATATTGAGAAAGAAGTTGAGAAGTCATTCCCAAGTTGTGAGCAATAGGGTGATGAAATGAAAATTGCAACTCAGGAAATATTTCTACGACTGGGTATAGGGATAAGCAGAAACAGGGAGACAGCTTGCGGCCTTTTGCAAAATAAACAAATGCTCACTAGAACTTAAACTAAAACTATGTGGAGAAAAAGTATAGAGTCAAACATCAGAGTTGGGAAAACAAAGTATATTTAAACCTATTTAAATTATAACGTAGAATTTTAATCTAAATGTTTACTTAGGCAGCCAAATTACCAACTATATTGGTTTTCTTTTGCTGATGCAATAAATGACCAAGTATTTAATGGTTTAAAACAGCACAATTTTATTATCTTCTAATTATGTAGATCAGAAATTTGACATGGATCTCACTGGGCTATGATCAAGGGGTCAGTAAGGCTATGTATTTTTCTGGAGGCTTGAGAGGAAAGTCCATTTCCCTGTCTTTTCTAGCTTCTAGAGGTCACCCACTTTCTTTGGTGTATGGCCCCTTTCTCCAGCAACAACTGGTGGAGTCCTCATGCTGCCACCCTCTGATTCTTCCTCTTCTGCTTCCCGCTTCCACTTTTAAGGACTCCTGTGATTATATTGAGCTCACCTAGATAAACCAGGATAATTTTCCTACTTTAATATCAACTGATTAGCAACCTCAATCTATCTACAACCTTAATTTTTCTTTGTCAAATAACCTAACATACAGAATAGGACTTGAATATCCCTGGGGGCTGTTGTTATACTTTCCATCCCAGCAAACCAATGAATCTTAATAGCTCTAATACAGACTAAATATACAATGATAACATTTATTTAAAAACATGACTTCTTTTTGTCAAACTGAAATACAATAGTTACCCCTTATCCACAGGGAATACATTCCAGGAGCCCCAATGGATACCTGCAAACTGAGAATACTGAACTGTATATATACTATGTGTTTTTCCTACTCATACATACCTATGATAAATTTTAATTTCTAAATTAGGCACAGTAAGAGATTAGCAACAATAACTAGTAGTAAAATAGAACAATCACAAAAATATGTTAGCATCACTACTCTTGTGCTTTGGGGTCATTATTAAGTAAAATAAGGGTTATTTGAACACAAGCACTGAAATATCATTATAGTTGATCTAATGACTGAGAGGGCTACTAGGTTACTCATGGAAAGAGAAAGTCTACAATGTGGATCTGCTGGACAGATAATTCATGTCCAGAGGAGGAGAGTGCAGGATAGCCAAAATTTCATCATGCTACTCAGAGTAGCACAATTTAAAACTTGTGACTTGTTTATTTCTGTAATTTGCCATTTGATTTTTTTTTTTTTTTGGACAGTGAGTGACTGAAACCATGTAAAGTGGAACCATGGTAAAGGGAGACAACTGTTTAGGAATATTTAAAATAATAGATCAGGCTGGGTGCGGTGGCTCACGCCTCTAATCCCAGCACTTTGGAGGCCAAGGCGGGTGGATCACTTGAGGTTAGGAGTTCAAGACCAGCATGGCCAACATGGTGAAACCTCGTCTCTACTAAAAATACAAAACTTAGTAGGGCATAGTGGCGCACGCTTGTAATCCCAGCTATTTGGCAGGCTGAGACATGATAATCACTTGAACCCGGGAGGCGGAGGTTGCAGTGAGCCGAGATCATGCCACTGCACTCCAGCCTGGGTGATAGAGTGAGACTTTTTCTCAATAATAATAATAATAAATTAATAGTTCAAATAATTGCAAAAGGCAGAATGAATTAAGTGGATATACAAATAAGATCATATAAGAATTTTGGACCTCCTGAAAGAAGTTTAATGCTCTAACATCTTCATTAACCAAGCTGCTTTTATTTCAAAGATTCTAAAAGCTACACATTAAAAATTACTTAAAAGAAACAGGGAAATAAAAGTCTGTGAGCACTAGAAAAAGGAACTTTATAATGTTAAATCTATTTCTCCATCAACACTGACAACTTGTAGTTATTAGAATATGGGTTTGAAAGATTAAAGAAAACAAATTTTAGGCTGGGTGCGGTGGCTCACGCCTGTAATCCCAGCACTTTGGCAGGATGAGGCAGGTGGATCACGAGGTCAGGAGTTCCAGACCAGCCTGGCCAAGGTGGTGAAACCCCATCTCTACTATGTAAAAATACAAAAATTAGCTGGGTGTGGTGGTGGGCACCTGTAATCCCAACTACTCAAGAGGCTGAGGCAGGAGAATCATTTGAACCCAGGAGGTGGAGGTTGCAGTGAGCCGAGATGGCGCCACTGCACTCCAGCCTGGGCGACAGAGTGAGACTCCATCTCAAAAAAAAAAAAAAAAAGAAAACGGATTTAAATGTAGACACTCATTAATTGCCAGAATTTTTAAAATGTGTCTTCTGAGTCATTCATCCTATAGAAATGGCACATAATTTTATTTAGATAAAAAATAAGCAGTCCAATGAACTTGAGCTATAAAATTCATAGTAGAGCCATTTCAACAAGCTTATTTTGAAATGGTAGTGTAAGATCCAACTTTATATATTTATAAAGATAGTTATTCAATTTTTATAATTTGATATTCTATCTAACGAAACCATTTCCAAGTCAACCTCAAATGAAATGAGGCTGAAGATATATTTAACGGATTTAAATGACAAAAGGTTTTCTCCTAAGGAAAATTAAGCTGAGTGATCTTATGAAAATGAGTTCATAATTGATGTTGTAGGCCACAGCGAAAAATTATAAGATTGACATATAAATATTTTAGAATTAAAAAGCATATTAGCTAAAATCAGATGTGATAATTAAAACTTGAAAAGTAGCTCAAGATAGAGAAGAAATGCAGTGTATCCAACAGAGGAAAAAACTTAGTTGGAGGAATCCCTAAGCAGAGTATAGAGGCTGGTTTGCCTTTACGGGCATTGGGATAGCAGTTTCCATTTGATGTAAAGTGAACTCAAATCTCTGCGCACGTGCTCTCTCTCTCTCTCTCCACACACATACACGCATGCACACGTGCATGCACACACACACTTTAATTCTACCTCAAAATATTAATGACCTTGGTGAATGTGAGTCTTGAGAAGCAGCCAGCTGGATACAGAAGAGTGAAACACAGTGTGAATGAAAGACATTGAACAATGCTTTGAACCTGTGCCCAGTAAATTGAGCAATGAGTGACTGTATTTTTATAGATCATCTAATCTCTCTTCTATAAATTATTTTGCAATCTATAATAATAGGCTAAGTGTGTGCTCTGTTCTTCAGTGATCAGGTGAGAGAAGATATAATCCCAAGACACTAAATGGGAGACACATTATGAATAATTAATATTTCTAACAATATTTTGGGATTATCAGCTTGTTGGGATATTAGTATGAATTATCATAATTTCTAACTTTCTGAAGAGTTCAGATAGTGTTAGTTCTGAAATTGATAGACTTATAAACATTCCTAACACCCATAGCATTTTTCTATCGATATTTTCTATGTTTGCATAGATTTTCATGATTTTAAAATGCTTTTATAATCAGGCTCTTGAGAGAACAAATTAGCCCTGACATTTCAAACTCGTACAGCAGAAAGTTCCTGAGAAAACCAATGATGAGAAATTTCTTGGGAAGTCATGAAAGAGACTTTCAGGGAATCATATAGTAAAATCACAGTGGACCTCAAAGTCTCCCAAACAAACACGTTCTTCATTCCACAGTGATCTCAGAGTTGTGATTTATCCAACATTTGGAGGTCATGGCCTCCTTGTCTTCCTATTTCTACTCTCACTATTCCCCCATCCCTGATTGTATGTCTCCCCCTTGATTTTCTAGTATATACTCTGAAGAATATAGTGGACCATAGGTTTTGATGAGGGGTCAAGTAAAAGAGGACCCTTAAACATACTTGGTGGAAGTATAAATTGATACTATTCGGTTGGTGCAAAAGTAATCACAATTTTTTGCCATTAAAAGTAACCACTATTACTTTTGCACAAACCTAATATATTTCTGAAAGACAATGTGTCAGTACCTATTGAAAATCTTATTTATTTATTTATTTGAAACAGGGTCTCACTCTATCACCCAGGCTGGAGTGTAGTGGTGCAATCATGGCTCACTACAGCCTCTACCTCCTGGAGTCAAGTATTCCAAGTAGCTGGGACCACAGGTGCGTACCACCACATTTGGCTATTTTTTAACATTTTTTTTGTAAAGATGGAGTCTCTTCATGTTGCCCAGGCTGGTCCTGAATTCCTGGGCTCAAGCGATCCTCCTGTCTCGGCCTCCCTATGTGCTGGGATTACAGACATGAGCCACCATGCCCAGCCAAGAGGTTTTTATATATTCACCCAGGAATTGCTATTCTGAGAATTTATCCCAAGGAAATAGAAATATGGACAGAGTATAGCTACAATGGTGTTCATCACAAAATTGCTTCTAAAGCTAAATATTGGAAAGCAGCCTAAATTTCTAATACAGGACAAATTAGAAAATAAAGAAGAAACCATGGTACATTCATACAGTTCATACTATGTAGTCATTAAAATTTTGTTGTGGTATAATATTTAATAAAATGCAAAGATACTTAAGATATTATAGTAAAAAATTCAGCTTAAAAATAATATGATTCAGTGGCTCCTTAAAAAAACTGTATATATGAAAGACACGAATATAGACAGGAATATTCTTAGAAGGAAATATGGCAAAATAAGTATAGAGTTCTCCAAAGTGATGTGTCATATCATTTTAAAGTTTTCTCCATGTTAATTATCAGAATTTTTCAAATTCTTTATGAATAATAACTGTAAATCTGGCATATAAAAGTGGGTATTGAAAAGGAATATAATAGAAAACCAATTTAGAAATGATAACTTTGACAGTACCAACCAACATTTCAACTAACAAGTTCTTTGAGGTCTATCTATTGTAGGTGGAGAGACAATGTTTTTCCATAGAAATACTAATACAGTTATTCATCAGTTCACTGAAGCAGGCTGACAATAAAATCTTATAAATATTATCAAGGTAGCAAAGCCATGACCAAACAAGTATGCTCACTCTTGATTGCTGATGACAATGGTGGAGATATTGAAGAGTTTGGTGAGGGTCTGGTATAGATAAAATATGAAGTGGTATTTTTTTAGCAAATGATACATATGGCCTCAATAGCAGCTACCTATACTCTAAATAAGGAATATTTGAGCAGCACATTTATCAGCAATTACATACATTTTAGTTAAATGAAAGATAGCTCTTGAATATTATTTTATTCATAATAAACTGCAAAATAAAACAGCACACACTAAGACTAAATTCATATTTTATTCTTAAGAAAAAAATGGAATTTTCTTTTTACCACGTTTCTCAATTGTGATTCACATGTATTCAAACTAATTTAAAAATGACTTTTTATTATATTTCTATATTCAACCCATTATTGAAAACAGTTAAGACAATTCAAGTTAAATTAGTAATGAGATGTCATATTTAAGATTTATCCTCCAGAATACCCATAAAAATAAGATTGTTATATGATCCAACCACTAAAATGTTGATAAATAAAATATAAATATAAACATAAGAGTAAGGTATTATTAGAAGCCAAAAATTGATTTAAAAGATTTCTTATCATTAACATCTAAGACAATATTTCTAAACATTAAGAAATTTTTATGGTTCTAAAAATAAGATTGACCCCCTTTCATTTGCATTCTAACTTTTGTAATATGTGTGACATATTGCTGCAAACAAGTCTGTCTGCTCAGAATAATCAGGAATGAATAATTCATCACAGATGCTGCAGATGTCGAGGACATCCTCTATTGTGCCCACCCTTTAACAAAAATAAACTCCAAAGCTGTTTGACTTGCTTCCAGTTCCTTCCAAACAGAGCCCAGCGAGAAACTGCCATTGATTTTTTTTAGAGTGAGTTGTGGAGACGGATCAATGCTAGGAAGAATAAAAACTGATTTCACCTTGAAGAATTCAGAAAGTGTTAGTTCTGAAATTAATAGACTTATAAACATTCCTAACACCCATAGGCATTTTTCTTACTAATATGCTACTCATTGTATAAAGCCAACTCTGTAATAGTAATGGGAATACTTCTTTTTCCAGCCAAGGCTTAAGAGTAAAATTCCTGCTTACTCTTTCTGAAATTCTTACAGTTATCTATCCCAGCTGCTTTGCTTGATTCTGTTTCTGCTATTGATTTACTTTTGGGCTCAATATTAACATGGGTAATAGGGTTTTGGCTTTTCTTTTATCCCAGGCACTCTAGCATAAAACACTAGCATAAGACATTTATGGGATAGGTGTTAGTTCACCCTTATCTAAAAGTCTGGAGACTTTTAGATTTAAAGAAATCACAAGCCCAGCTTCACGAGGCTATTAAATGGTAGGTCTGTATTTGCTTAAATTTAAGTCTTACTTACTATTTATTTATAGGAAGTAGGATTTATTGGTGGGCAGAAAGAGGAGAGGGCACAGTGGAAAGTCTCATGAATGTAGCATCTGCCACTGGTCCAGGAGGCCACAGTTGAGGATGTATTAGGGCGGTGCAAAAGAAATTACTTTTAATGGCAAAACCCACAATGACATTTGACCCTACAGCCATCTGGGATGAGCTGCTTCTCAGCCACCATGCCTTCAAATTCATCTGACTTGAACTTGGTAAAGCCCCACTTCTTTGAGATGTGAATCATTTGCTGGTGAGGCGACTTGAACTTGGCCCTGTATAAGGCCTCAGTCACATGCTCCTTGTTCTGCAGTTTGGAGTGAATGGACATGTGAATTGGCTCATGCGAACCCTGGCCACAGTGCCCTGAGGCTTTCCAAAGGCATCTTTCATACCCATCTGGAGCCTGTCAGCTCTAGCGCAGGACAACATCTTACTGTTCTGCATGACTTGGAAGGAGTAGAACCACACTTGGATATGAAAGCCAATTTTGCTGCAAGTTTTTATCATGTATCTGTTGGCCCAAATGTGGGCATCCTCCAGGACTTCAGAGAAGAACTGCTCATATTCATCTGACACCATGTGGCCTCAGAGTGGATACTCATCCATTTTTGCTTTCTTCTGTCCCAGGTCAAAAATGCAAATCTTGGCATCAGGGACACCTCTGCAGAAGCCAGACTTTGGGTATGTTTTGTTTTTACAATATCAGTAATACCTAGTGGAGTGTTCCATGGAGATACCAGAATTTTAAGTGGCATGCCAAATGAAAAGTGAGGAAGTCTTATTTAATATACACTTTTTAATTTTATTTGTGGCATCAATATATTTTATACACTTGAATTTACATAGTGTATAAAATAAGCCTTTTTGGGTATCATCTCTTTCTACCAATCTGCCAAATAGCAGAGGTATAGGTTGATTCAGTTAAGAACAGAATAACCTTGGTTAATAGGTGGTTGGTGGTATCATAGATTTGTATATTTCTCATGATGCCAGTATTTCTCTATTTTTTATTAACTACAATAATTAGAAAATACAGATTTTTGAGAAAATCCTAATTACTCTATGGATAAAGCTTGAAATAGAATCCTCTAAATAATGTAAACATAAACAAATTATTTTAAGTCCATTATTTAAGCAAGAATATCTCCTTTTAAAAATCATTAGTTTTCATTATTATTTTTAGAGAGAGGATTTTGTTCTGTTGCCGAGGCTGGAGTCGGTGATGCTATCATAGCTCACTGTAACCTCAAACTCCTGGATTTAAGAAATCCTCCTGTCCCAGCCTCCTGAGTAACTAGGACTGCAACAGGTGGACTGATGCATTCCTTTTGCCTGGCTTCCCAAAGTGCTAGGATTGCAGACATGAGCCACCTTACCCAGCCCGCTTTTTAAAAATTGATTTTATCTTTAGAGTAGTTTTAGGTTTACAGCAAAATTGAGCAGAAGTCACAGAAATTTCCTGTATAACCCCTGCCTTGACACATAAGCAGTCTTTTCCATTACAGCATCAACATCCCCTATCAGAGTGGCACATTTATTACAACTGATGAACCTACACTGACACATCTTTGTTACCAAACCATAATTTATATTAATTAGGGTTAACTCAGTGTTGTACATTCTATGGGTTTGGGAAAATGTATAAGGACAGGAATTCACCATTATAATATTATACAGAGTAATTTCACTGCCCTAAAAATGTTCTGTGTTCCACCTATTCATTCCTTCCACCCGTCTAGCCACTGGCAACCACTAATCTTTTTACTATCTTTATAGTCTTGCCTTTTCCAAAATGTCACATAGTTGGAATCATAGAGTATGTAGCCTTTACCTATTGGCTTCTTTTACTTAGCAATATGCATTCATTTCTTTCATGTCTTTTCATGGCTTGATAACTCATTTTCTTTCAGTGTTGAATCACATTCCATTGTCTTTATGGGCCACACTTTACTTATCCTTTAATCTACTGAAAGATGTCTTGGTTGCTTCCATGTTTTAGCAACTACGAAAAAAGCTGTTAGAAATGTTCATGTGTAGGTTTTTGTGTGGACATATGTTTTCAACTCTTTTGAGTAAATATTTCTAAGTATTGAGAAATTATTGTATAATTTCTTAATAATAATTAGCAAGGAGCATGATTGCAGGGTCATATGGTAAGAGTATATTTAGTTTTGTAAGAAGCTGCCAAACTGTCTTCCAAAGTGGCTGTAGCATTTGCATTCCCACCAGCAGTAAATGAGCGTTCTTACTGCTCCACATCCTCACCAGCATTTGGTGGTGTCAGTTTTCTGGATTTTGGTCTTTCTAATAGATATCTCATTGGTTATTTAATTTGCAGTTTTCTGATGACATATGATGTAGAGCATCTTCTAATGTGCTTATTTGTCATCTGTATATTTTCTTTGGTGAGGTGGGTGTCTGTTCAGATCTTGTGCCCTTTTCTGTTTGTTTTTTTCTGTCTGTCTGTCTCTCTCTCTCTCTCTCTCTCTATATATATATTATATTATATATATATAATATATATTATATATATATTATATTATATATATATAATATATATAATATATATATTATATTATATATATATAATATATATATAATATAATATATATATTATATTATATATATATAATATATATATATAATATATATAATATATATATATTATATTATATATATATAATATATATTATATATATATTATATTATATATATATAATATATATAATATATATATTATATTATATATAAATATATATTATATATATTATATATATATAATATAATATATATATATATTTAAGTTCTGGGACACATGTGCAGAACGTGCAGGTTTGGTATGTAGGTATATGTGTACCATGGTGGTTTGCTGCACCTATTGACCCATTATCTAAGTTCCTCCCGTTTCCCTCCAGCCCCCAACAGGCCCCAGTATGTGTCGTTCCCTTCCCTGTGTCCATGTGTTCTCATTGTCCAACTCCCACTTATAAGTCAGAATATGCAGTGTTTGGTTTTCTGTTCCTGTGTTAGTTTCCTGAGGATGATGGCTTCCAGCTCCTTCCATGTCCCTGCAAAGAACATGATCTCATTCCTTTTTATGGCTGCATAGTATTCCATGGGGTACATGTGCCACATTTTCTTTATCCAGTCTATCATTGATAGGCATTGGGGTTGGTTCCATGTCTTTGCTATTGTAAATAGTGCTGCAATAAACATACATGTGCATGTGACTTTATAGTAGAATGATTTATATTCCTTTGGGTATATGCCCAGTAATGAGATTGCTGGGTCAAATGGTATTTCTGGTTCTAGATCCTCGAGGAATCACCACACTGTCTTCCACAATGGTTGAACTGATTTACATTCCCACCAGCAGTGTAAAAGCATTCCTATTTCTCCACAGCCTTGCCAGCATCTATTGTTTCCTGACTTTTTAATAAGTGCTATTCTGACTGGCATGAGGTGGTGTCTCATTGTGGTTTTGATTTGCATTTCTCTGATGATCAGTGGTGTTGAGCTTTTTTTTCATGTGTTTGTTGGCTACATAAATGTCTTCTTTTGCGAAGTGTCTGTTCATATACTTTGCCTGCTTTTCAATGGGTTTGTTTATTTTTTTCTTGTAAATTTAAGTTCCTCGTAGATTCTGGATATTAAACCTCTGTCAGATGGGTAGATTGCAAAAATTTTCTCCCATTCTGTAGGTTGCCTGTTCACTCTGATGACAGTTTCTTTGGCTGTACAGAAGCTCTTTAGTTTAATGAGATCCCATCAATCTGGCTTTTGTTGCAGTTGCTTTTGGCATTTTCATCATGAAGTCTCTGCCCATTCCTACATCCTGAATGGTATTGCCTAGGTTTTCTTCTAGACCAGTGGAACAGAAAAGAGACCTCAGAAATATCCTCACACTTCTACAACGATCTGATCTTGAACAAATCTCACAAAAACAATCAATGGAGAAAGGATTTTATATTCAATAAATGGTGCTGGGAAAACTGGCTAGCTATATGCAGAAAACTGAAACTGGACCCCTTTCTTATGCCTTATACAAAAATTAACTCAAGATGAATTAAAGACTTAAATGTAAAACCCAATCATAAAACTTTTGCCCATTTCTTAAGCAGGTTCTTTGTTTTCTTATTGTTGAGTTTAAGTGTTCTTGGATATTTTGGATAACAGTCCTTTATCAGATATAGCTTCTGAAAATATTTTCTCCCAGTCTGTAGCTTGTTTTTTCATTCTCTTGACAGTGTATATTTCATAGAACATAAATTTTTAATTTTACTAAAATTTAACTTTTTCATGGATCATGCCTTTGGTGTTGTGTCTAAAAAGTCATCTCCATACCCAAAGTTATCTACATTTTCTCCTATATTATCATCTAGGGGTTTTATAGGTTTACATTTGTTGAAAAAAAAAACTATCTTTGCTATGTTGTTGGCAAAGATCAGTTGATTGTGTTTATATGGGTCTATTTCTGTGTTTTCTACTTTGCTCCATTGGTCTATTTGTCTATTCTTTAGCCAATATCACACTGTCTTTATTACTAGAACTTCATAATAAGTTTTGAAGTTGGGTAGTGTCAATTCACTAGGTTTGTTCTTCTCCTTCAATAGTGTGCTAGCTAATCTGGGTCTTTTGCCTCTCCACATAAATTTTAGAACCAGTTTGTCAATATCCCCAAAATAACTGCTGGGATTTTGATCGAGATTGCATTGAATCTATAAATCAAGTTGGGAAGAACTGACATTTTGACAATACTGAGTCTTCATACCCATGAACATGGACTATCTCTCCATTCATTTAGTTCAGTTTTCTGCATGTAGATCTTGTATGTATTTTGTTAGATTTATACCTAAGTATTTTACTTTTGTGCATACTAATGTAAATAGTATTGTATTTTGAATTTAAAATCCCACTTGTTCATTGCCGGTATACATAAAAGTGATTGACTTTTGTATATTAACTTTGTATCCTACAACCTATTTTAACTGTTTGTTATTTCCAGGAGTTTTTCTGGTCAATTCTTTTAGATTTTCTACATAGACAATAATGTCATGTGTGAACAAAGACAGTTTTATTTTTTTCCCCAATCTGTATACCTTTTATTTTCTTTCCTTTTCTATTTCATTAACTATCACTTTTAGTACAGTGTTGAAAGGAGTAATGAGAGGAAACATCCTTGCCTTTTTCCTGATCTTGTGGGAAGGATTCTAGTTTCTTACCATTAAGTATGACGTTAGCTGTATATTTTTTGTAGATACTCTGCATCAATTTAAGGAAGTTCCCCTCTGTTCCTAGTTTAATGAGAGTTTTTTTTTCTTTTTTATTATAAAAGTCATGAATGGGTGTTGAAAATATTATTTTAACAATTCTCTTTTCTCAAGACTTCAGTAGAAATGTCCAGACCTTAGCAACTAAAGTGTAGTCCACAAACCAGCACCATCAGCATCACCTGGAAGCCCATGAAAAAATGCAGAATCTCAAGCTTCACCTCAGACCTACTTAATCAGACCTGCATTTTAATAAAATGCTGCAGGTGATTAATATGCATATTACAGTATGAGGGGCACTGGCCTTGGTCATTTTCTTAATCTTACTGTCTAGATCGTTAGTCACCTTTCTTTATCCTCTGCTTTTTCAGTGGAAGGATCATTGACATGGAGCCATACTGACATTGAATTAGGAACCCAGCACTTGCCAATTACATAAGCTTTAACAATTAACTCATTTTTTCCAAGCCACGATGCCTCCCTTGTAGAATGAGAACAATACCTATGTTTCACAATTATTGTGTGAATTAAATGGTGTTATGTATGTAAAAATTCAATATAGTTAGTATTTGACAAATGTTACTTTCCTTTCTATCTGTCCATCATGTCTCTTATGCTAGAGAGACATTGTTTTATAAAGGTTTTGACTCTTTCATGACAATCTTTTATTCTTCCTTGTCCTTCTCTCCTAATTTTAGTTTACTAGTCTTTCCTTGTATGGTGTTTTGTGTATACTTTTTCTTTTGTTATGCAGGGTTTTGCATCGTCTTTCCCTACCTATTCCAGCCTCCAAAAGTAGACAGCTCTGAACACACTCCGATCTTTTCTGCTTCAGAATTTTCTCCAAATCTTGGCAAGACTGCTTAACACAACCTGCAGCATAGCCTGGGACTACAGCGAAGTTAATATCTGAAGGGGTAATGCTCATGGGGTATGGGAGTCAATGGGCTAAGTATTCTTGTCTTCTGTACTTTAGAGGGAAAATATACATGCATTCTACACATTTTGTCAGAGTCATAAATGAGATTGCCTCATTATGTACCACAGTAACCAGCTCCGTAGCTTCCCTTCTTTCCTTTCTTTTCTGACTCTACTCAATCACCTTGGTTGCTGGAATCACTTTCCATTAAACTATCTACATCGAAGTCCTTGCTTCGTGCTCTGCAGTTAGGAAGATCTAAACTAAAATAAATCATGGTTTTTTTGCTCTCAGCATATACAAAAAGGGGAATACTTGTCCATCAAAGTATTTGTGTTGGCTCTACCATAATACAAAAGTGTGATTTGGAAAGGCTGCTCAGCCAGGGATTAAATTTCATAGCACTTTCCTCAACTTGCATGTAGGTGGAGCCAAGAGGATTAAACCCAAGAGGGTTAAAAAAGAAACTCTGCAGCCGGGTTCAGTGGCTCATGCCTGTAATCCTAGCACTTTGGAGGCCAAGGCGGGTGGATTGTCTGAGCTCAGGAGTTTGAGACCAGCCTGGGGAACACAGTGAAACCCAGTCTCTACTAAAATACAAAATAAATTAGCTGGGCGTGGTGGCATGCACCTGCAGTCCCAGCTACTCGGGAGGCTGAGGCAGGATAATTGCTTGAACCCAGGAGGTGGAGTTTGCAGTGAGCCAAGATGGCGCCACTGCACTTTATCGTGGGCAACAGAGCAAGACTCTGTCTCCACAGACACAACAACAACAACAACAACAACAACAACAACACGAAAGAAAGAAAGAAGGTTTGCTTTCTCTACACTTTTGTTTTAACCATTTCTTCTGAATTTTTACAAATAAGCATAAACTCATGCCTGTAACCCCAGCACTTTAAGAGGCCAAGGCAGGAAGATCACTTGAGGCCAAGAATTCAAGACCAGCCTGGTTAGCATGGTGAGACTCCATCTTAAAAACAAAACAAAACAAAACAAAATAAGCATAGAGAACTTGTAAACTGTGTGGTAAACATGGCAGAGTCACAAAAGGCAAGGAAAGAACACCATTGGGAGAGGAGCTAGCTGCCTGTTAGGTACAGCTGTTTTGAATATTCCATTATTAAGAAATAAACATTTATTATGTTTAAAGCAGTATACATCTGGGAATTTGGGTCTGTTTATTACAACAGCTGTCATTATTCTGATTTGGTCATTAACATATTTTTATGCTCCAAACCATTTATAACTGCTTTAGTGGATGCTTATCACTAAGGGTATCTATCCACTCACTTTTCATAGTACTCCACACAGTGCTCTTTGCTGGATCTGTTATTTGCTTAAGAGTGAAAATTGTGTGGAATAGTTTCAAATTTCTGTTTTTACCAAAGCTAAACAAAGTCTTCTTCACTTCAACTAAAAAGAATAGGCTTTGTGACAGAGTTACCAGGAGCTCCACTTGACATCAGACAAAATGAGCCTTGATCCCTCCATTCATTCATGCATGCTTCATTCTATAAATAGAAATTGAGAATCTCTTGTATGCCAAGTATTCTACTATGCTCTGAACTCAAAAAATAAATAAGACATGGTTGGGTGTGGTGGCTCATGCTTATAATCCCAGTGTTTTGGGAGACTAAGATGGGAGAATCACTTGAGTCCAGGAGTTCAAGACCAGCCTGAACAACATAGTGAGACCTGTCTCTACAATCAACCAGTCAATCAATCAATCAATGTTGCTGGAAATAATAGTGTCCATCTGTAGTCCCAGATACTTGGGAGGCTGAGTGAGAAGATGGCTTGAACCCAGAAAATCGAAGCTGCAGTGAGCTGTGATCATTCCACTGCACTGTATCCTAGGTGACAGAGCAAGCCTCGGTCTAAAAAAAAAATTAAATTAAAATTAATTAAAGAATAAGACATGGTCCTTCCCTCAGAGAGCCTAAAACCTAGTATTTAAAGAGAACAATTATAATAAAGAGTTCTGGGGAGCCAGCACTATGAGTTGTCTAGTCAAAATGACTGAGTGTTATTTTTGGCTCCCTGATGTATTCACAGAGTGATTTTAGTAAAGTTATGTCTTTTCTGTGCCTTTTTGTTTAATACGTAAAAGGGAGATAATGTCCCTTTTAACATTTTGTGAGGACTGACTGAGATTTTGTAGAGTTCTTAGAATAGTTCTTAGTAACTTGCTACATATCAATAAATGTTAGCTTATTATTAAATATTGGGACCAATATACATGCAGGACCAGATCTTATAGGGTAGTGCACATCAAACATTAGGGTTTATATGAGTTACCTGGAAATCTTATCAAAGTTCAAATTTTTACTTAGTATCTCTGTAGTAGGACCCAAGATTCTACATTTCTAGCAAGGCCCAGGTGATGCTGAAGCTTCTGGTCTTGAGAGCACATTTTGTGTAGCAAAGACAGTGCTGCCCAATAAAACTTTGTGTGACGGTAAAATGTTTATATCTGCTATTCTAATATGGCATCTTCTAACCACATGTGGTAACTGAAATGTGGCTAGTGCAACAGAGGTACTAATTTTTTTAAAAATGTATTTAATGTTAATAAACATAAATTTAATTGGACACATGAGGCTAGTAGCTACTTGTATTCAACCTCATGGTTCTAGACCAGTAGCTTTTAAGACTGGTCACACGTTCAAGCAAGGATCAGTAACCCAGAATAATACTGAATATTGGGTTACATCATCAACATAATGAAAATATCTCTAGAAGTTTGAAATTGGATTGAAGACTACGAGGATAACTATTGTTCTTTAGAGGTTCCATTTACACTAGTTTTGCTTTAATAGTGGACAAGGTTAAAACCAGCTATATTCAATGTCAAACTATATCAGTTCAGCTCAAGGTAATTGAAAACCCAAACTGATGTGGCTTGAACACCACTCATCTCAAATAACAAGCATTTTAGAGGCTGACAAGTGATGATGCTTGGTCCAGCAGCTCAGCGGCCAGGTACTATGTTTTCTTCTCCAACATTCCTAGCCTGTTAGCTATTGTCTTCAACCTTCTAAGATTCAAGGCCCAAGAACACTGAATATGCTTGTGGTGTACGTATTCAAGAGAAGGTTGAGAGGGCCAATCAACCCGCATGTGTACTCTTTTATCGTACTACAAATATCTTATTATCTCAGAAAGTTGAAAAAAAAAATATTTAGCTGGGTACATCGCCATCCCAAACAAAACGAAAATTTTGGTGGCAAGTTAGAAGATAAAATAGATAATGGTTAGGTAGCCAAGAATGTCTGACACACAAACCTAATTATCATTCACATGTGAAGAAAAAGAAATACATTTTTCCAAATAAGCAAAACCTCAGTAAGATACATCAATCATTCATATTCAATATGAATTTAAAATATAAACTCATGAATAATAAAATTATGGCACAAAAGGATTGGCAGTGAGCACTGACTCCATTTGAATGATAGATATAAATAAATGAAATTATTATGTTATTACATTGAATACAAATGCTAAATTTTGTTGTGAAAAGCCTCGTGATATCAAATGATAATCACTATTAATATAATGGGTATAAAATTACAACCAGTTAATATCAGAATATTGGTAGAGTGGTGGTAGGCAGGAGAAATGTAGCTTGCTATTATGTTATGGTGAGAAATGTAGTTTATGTATTTAAGTAATTATTTTAAAGGAATAAAAGTAAATACAAGTAGAATTTAAACAGATTATGTACCTTCGAGATTATTGCAGGGACAGAGGGGTCTAATTTCAGAGATCAAGAAAATGAATCCAATTTTTAAAAAATAAATTAAGCAAGACAAAAAGAAATTAAGGAAGCATTTAGCAGAATGTTTGAAATAGAATGATAATATGCCAAGTATATCTGTTACAGCAATAAATATAAAAGGAAAATGACCACTGGAAAAAAACTCAGTTGAGTTTAAAAATGGAAACTCTATTGTATGTTATATGTAATAATCATATCACACACAGAAAATTATTTAAATATGTAGACAATAAAAAATAAGCAGAGAAATGCCTAGCAAACCTATACACAAAATAAGAAATAATACCGGTAAAATAATTTATAATATATAATAATATATAATATATACTATAATAAAATATTAACTAGGAGAAAGCTATTTTATAATTCTGAGATGACTTTGCAAACATTACAATAATACTGAAGATTTATGTGTCCTTTAGCATCACACTGAAATATAGATGAAAAACTACTAGAAATACAAGGAACTGTCCTTGCATCCCAGGAATAAACCCCACTTGATCATGGTGGATGATCCTCTTAATGCATTGAATTTAGTTTGCTAGTATTTTGTTGAGAATTTTTGCATCTATATTGAATAAGGATATGGGCCTGTAATTTTCTTTTCTTGTAATGTCCTTGCCTGACTTTGGTATGAGGGCAATGCTGGTCTCATAAAAAAAAAAAAGTTTGAAAATATTCTCTCCTCTTTGATCTTTTATGAAAGTGATTGAGGAAGATTGATATTAGTTATTCTTTATATGTTTGGTAGAAGTCAGCAATGAAGCCATCACATCCTAGGCTTTTCTTTAATGTGAGACATTTATTAATATTACTAATTCAGTCTCCTTACTTGTCATTGGTCTGTTCAGATTTTCCTATGTCTTCATAATTCTGGGTAGGGCATATTTATCTAGGAATTTATCCTTTTCTTCTGGGTTATCCAATTTGTTGGCATATAATTGTACATAGCAGTCTCTTATGGTCCTTTGTATTTCTTGGTACAAGCTTTCTTTTTCATTTTTTATTTTATTTATTTGTCTTCCCTCTTGGCAACATTTTTAAAGGACCACAGTTCACATTTTCTGCTCTCCACTATCGCATCAAATGCTGAGCCCAGACAAATTCTGTTGAGACTATTTCCAACCTTTTAAGCATTTCAACTATCGTGTATGTTTCTAATGCTATTTACACTTTTACAATTTCAAGTAAAATAAGGAATATTTTCTTTTGTTTGTTGAGTACTAAATAACACTAAGAAAACATCTAATGAAGGGATGGAACAATCGTAGCAGGGCACTATTTATCTAAATACATAGTTGATTTGTATGCAAACAGTTATTGCTGTGGTCAAATATGCCTGGGAAATACTGGCATGAACAGATTTCCTTACTGTAGAACCACTTAGAGATCTGAAATATTTTAACAGGTGTGGGGAATCCTCAACAGAGGGCTTTTATTGCTTGTCCTCATCACAAAACTTAAAAAATAATTTTTTAAAAAAGCAAGATCTTTTTTCCCCCTTAGATTCTCTGTGGCCTGGCTTTTCACTGAATAAGTGTTGAAAAATTATATACCAGGAATAAAAAGCCTGGAATACCTGGTGAATTCGTGTCTCAGCTAATTTGGTGTAACTTTAAGAGGACACAAGCAGATAAACAAATAAAAAGAAATAATGTCTTTAGGCAAGAAAAATACTCTTCAGTTCTTTACAGCCTTGACTGCTCTTGTTTACATAATACTCAGCCTTTTCACAAATTTGTTACCTAATTTGCTCTGAAATATGTGAATTTATAATTCTGACTAAAAACAAACATCATGGTTGATTAAAATGAAATATGATGCATGCTATTATCAAATGAACTACATGAAAGAACAGCTCATTATGACCTAATGGGTTTCATTCCAAGAATGTATACTGTAGTTCAAAATTGGAAATTGTACTGATAAAATGCATTTGCACTGTCTTTATAAGGGAAGAAAATTATTTCAATAGCCCTCAAAAAACTTTTGATAAAGTTTAACACCTAAAAAAAAAACTAAATAAACCCATGATTAAAATACAAATAAAAAGATGCATGCCATGGGTTGGGGGGGCCAGGGCCAAGACAGCTGACTAGAAGCAGCACCGTTTCGAGGCTTCCACCGAAAAAAACCATAATAAGCATGTGAAGCCTTCACCGGCAGCCAGGGTATCCAGATTCTCTCATCAAAATTGACTAGAAGGCTGGTGTGACCCACAGAGAGAAGGAAGAACAATGTGGTGTGGCAACCCACCTGAGAGCGACACAGGGAAGGGGAACCCCTCCCGACAGCCAAGGGAGGCAGTGACTGAGCACACTACCCAGCCAGGGAAACCGTGCTTTTTCCACAGAACTGTGCAACCGATGGATCAGAAGATCCCACTCACAAACCCACACCAACAGGGCCTGGAATCCCAATCCCAGAATGTCCACATTCTTACTGACTCTCAGCTGGAATCTGCTTAAGCCTACCAAACTCCCCAGGGGGAGGGGTGACCAGCACCTGCTGCCCCTGTCTGCTGTCTAAGCCTTTTGAGCTCCTTGTGGGAGGGACAGCAGCCAGCACTGGGACTAGCAACTGCCTGACACACTAAGCTTCCTGGGCAGGGGAAGGTTGGCACCCATTTCTGTAACTCTAGGCTGCACTTTCCCAATGCTGGAGCCAGGGAGGCTGGACTGCTTGGTCCCAAGACTTTTCCCCACAGCTCAACGCACTGGCTGTGGCAGTCTGCAGCCAGAGTGCCTCTTCAGGTCTAACCCTGACCCATCCTTCCTCAGTGGGTGGGGCTTCCCTGAAGGATCTCCAATAACTCCAACCAGAGGCTCAGAGAGAGAATTCAGATCTCCTTGGGCCTGAGCCCATTGGGGAGGGGTGGCCACAGTCTCTGCAGACCAGCAGACTTAGCCTCTCCTCCTGGTATTTCTGAGAAATCCAGGCAGCCCAGAGGAGTGGTTTTGCCCCAAGCAAAACACACTCTCTTCACCAAGGGACAAAGTGGTTCGTTAAATGGGTCCTGCTCTTCATGCCACCCAACTGAGTGAGACCCCCAACAGGGATAGTCAGACACTCTCTACAGGAGCAATCCTACTGGCATTAGGTTGGTGCCCCTTGAGGTCAGAGGTCTCAGAAGAAGTAGCAGGTACCCATCTTTGCTGTTCTCTAGCCTCCTTTAGTGACATCTCCAGGCACGGGAGCAAATCAGATGAATAAGACCTGAAGTGAACCCCCAGCAAACTGCAGCAGGCCTACAGAAGAGGGACCTAATGAAAGAAAAACAGACAAGCAGAAAGCATCAGCAACAGCAAAAACATCAACAACAACAAAAGCCCCCACAAAAACCCCATCCAAGGGTCAGCAGCTTCAAAGACCGAAACTAGACAAACTCATGAAGACAAGAAAGAATCAATGAAAAAATGCTGAAAACCCAAAAGGCCAGAGTGCCTGTTCTCCTCCATATGATCACCATGTCTCATCATTGAGGGCACAGAATGGAACGGAGAATTAGACGAGTTGACAGAAGCAGGCTTCAGGAGATGGGTAATAAAAAACTATGATGAGCTAAAGGAGCATGTACTAACTCAATGCAAAGAAGCTAAGAACATTGATAAAAGGTTAGATGAATTGCTAACTAGAATAACCAGTTTAGAGAGGAATATAAACGATCTGACGGAGCTGAAAAACACAGCATGAGAACCTTGTGAAGCCAAATCGACAAAGTGGAAGAAAGGATATCAGAGTTTGAAAACCACCTTACTGAAATAAGACATGCAGACAAGAACAGAGAAAAAAAGAATGAAAAGGAATGAACAAAGCCTCCAAGAAATATGGGACTTAATAAAAAGACTGAACCTATGATTGATTGGAGTGCCAGAAGGAGACAGGGAGAATGAACAAGCTGGAAAACACAGTTCAGGATATTATCCAGGAGAACTTTCCCAACCTAGCAAGGCAGGCCAACATGCAAATTCAGGAAATACAGAGAACACCATTAAGATACTCCACGAGGAGATCAACCCCAAGACACATAATCGTCAGATTCTCCAAGGTAGAAATGAAGGAAAACCTGTTAAGGGCAGCCAGAGAGAAAAGCCAGGTCACCTACAAAGGGAAGCCCATCAGGCTAACAGCAGACCTCTCACCAGAAGCTCTACAAGCTGGAAGAGATTGGGGACCAATATTCAACATTCTTAAATCAAATAATTTTCAACCCAGAATCTGAAGTTTGAAGACACTTTGAAAGACACTTTTAAGAAAGTGAAAGGCAAGCCACAAACTGGGTGAAAATATTGCCAAATATATATATATCCAGCAAAAGACTTGCATTTAAAATATATAAATAATTCTTACAATCCAGTAAGAAAAACATATTAACTTTGAAAATGGACAGAAGATTTGATGGGCCTTTTGTAAAGTATAATTTTAAAATGACTAAGAAAACAAGAAAATGAGCTCAGTACACAGTAGTTTTTAAAATGCAAGTTAAAAGCGGAATTAGATACTGCTATTCATCTACCAGAACGAGTAAAAGAACTAACGATATCAGATATTGGCAGGAATTTGAAGGAACTGGTATTCTTTTCTATTGCTGGTGGATTTATAAAATGATACACCAACTTTGCCACACAGTTTGGCAGTGCTTTAGAAAGTCAAACATATAGGTACTATATGATCTTGCAATTCCACTCATGGCCATTTATCTAAAAGAAATGTTCACAAAAAGACTCATGCCTGGACGTTCATAGCAGCTTTATTTATAATAGTCAAATTCTGGGGAAAACCTAAATGTCTATCAACAAGAATATGCAAACTGTTATATATTCGTATGGAATTCCTCAGCAATATATAAAGGAACAAACCACTGATACATGCAAAAACATGGGTGAGTCTCAAAAATATCATGTTGAGAAAAAAGTCAGATGCAAAAGAGTACATTCTGTATAATTCCATTTATAAAAAGTTCTGGTTTGCATAAAACTAATATATAGTGGTAAAAATCAGATAATCAGTTCTTTGGGGATGGTGATTAGAGTGGATTAATTGGAAAGAGCTATGAGAGAACATTTTAGGGTGATGAAAGTATTCGAGATGAGAATTGGGTTAGTGATTACACAGGTGTGTATACATTTGCCTTGGAATTTCAGTTGGGAGTTAGATGGCAGAAAGGTGGGCCTGACACTGCTGGGAAGATCGTGACTAGAAATAGTGGGTTTGTGCAAATATAGGTTCCATTGATTTACAGGTAATAGTAGAAAGTGAAGGAATAAATATTGCTGAAGCAAAACATAAAGAATGAGAACAGGGCCAAAGACAGAAGGCCCAGGAGCACCTCCATGTGAGAAGAAGGGGAAAAAAAATAGAGCCAGCAAACAAGAAAGAACCAAAGGTCAAGGAATTCTACTTCCCAAAGCGAGTAATCTTTCTTATCCCCTAGGATGAATCATTGTTTGAAGAATTTAAATTAGAATGCCTTTACTAAGTAACTTAGTAATCAGAACCATATTTGGCATGGAAAAAGAGCACAGGCCAGAACTCTGTTCTGCTTTTGTGATTCTGTATGAGCTATATCCAACATTTTTATCATAGTTAACAATCATCAGTAATTTGTTTCTGCTATTAGTAATTACAGCAGAAAAATCAGTGATGGAGATGTCACAGCTGGTGGGACAAGGGGATTCTTTTCCTGATGATTTTCTTCATCTGTCATGGAAAGAAGGATACAGAGTGATTCAGAAATAAATGGTGCTTTAAACATGATAAAGCTCTTTTTAAGTGTAGTAAAAAGTCATCTCACACAGGTGTCTCCATGAAGTTCTAATGAGTTCCATGAGAACAAAGAGAGTGTGCTTCATTCATCTTTGCCATCCTCTTAATAACTAGTATTGAAAACCTACTATGGGCCAGTGTTCTGATAGGTATTCAGCTAAAAAGATGAATAAAATGGTACCAAGTCTTCCATTGCTCCAAGTGTGAAAATCCAAAAACCCATCCAAATATGCCAGGACAATTTTTTACGATGGGAATAGTGCCAAAAATGTATAAAATATTGAGAAAATATTTCATTGTATATTCTTCTACACGACAATTTAGCCAGAAAGAAGACCCAAAATGATAAAAACCATTCTCTTCCTTCCTCTTATAGCAAAGAGATATATAAAAGTATTAGATTTGGTGAGATTTTCTTCTTGTTTGTATAGGTTGGAGAGGATTTCTAGAATTGTGGATGTCACATAAGATTTCATAAAGCAATTCTCAGTTATTCTATGCTTCAAAATAGAGCATGCAGTCATCACAAACTTAAGTAAATACCAAATTGTTGTTTCAGGAAAGATTTATTACTCTAGTTCACTGTAGCTGTTATTGTGACTTGTGATGCATAGCAGAGAAGTCTGCAGCCCAGTCCCCAGCAGACCATAATTGTTGCCTGTGCACCCATATGGGACATTAACATTAAGAAATAGCTCTGTCCTTCATAACACCTGCTATCATCTAATGATGAACATGCCACAGCAAAATTTTCCTTTACCAATACAACTTTATGAATTTTCATTGTTTTGAATTTTAATAAAAGATGCTTTTTTCACTGATTTTGAGCAAAATTTGTTCAATACTTTGGAATCTCTTGAATTGATCTTACAAATGAATTGCAGCAAACAACATGCATGCTAATTGATAATGTTGAGAAAATGACAATCAAAATGATTAAGTGAATAAAATGAAATTGTTTCATGTTTTTGTGATTAACATTTGACATATGTCAGTTGAGATATCTGATATATGTCAACAAAACAATCATTAGACTCCTCTCAGCAAAGTAATGCCACAAAGTACATCATGCTATTATAATTCTGCCAATGTATTCAGTGTGATTTCTAAATATAGAACACTCTATAGGGCACTTGCTGTTCAAATCACTATGTAGCTTCCTTTGGTTCTGTATCCAGAGGTCAACACATGGTGGAACGAAGAAACCCAGTTTCTAATTCCAAGCTTCCATTTACTCCCTGGGAAAGTCTATTTAGAACACACAAGTAGACTTTTCCCAAACTATGGCCCTAGCACATGCCCCACCGATTTCATATTTATCCTTGGGAAAGCCACATTATCCGTCTTTGTGATATTGCCTGTGTTAGTAACTGGAGTTCATAACTATTGTCAGTGTATGTGTATTAGTAAAGTAATTTGTTTGTTGCTGTGCGCAGGCAAGTTCAGCTCTTTGGGATGAATATGCTGCAAAGCTGTGTTCTATGGACAAGTATTTCTATTAATATACATTTTTCCAGTAATCCAATATGAAAAAATTAACACTATTTATTTGTATTCATGTTCCCAAACAGACTTGATTTTTGTAAGTGATATGGGGTTTAATCACAATGTAGGAGAAAAACCATCAAGTCTAATGTCAGAAGTCTGAATTCAGCCTCAATTCCACCAATTAGTTCTGTGAACTTTCATGAACTGTTAAGCAGTTTGGGCCTCATTTTCTTTATATATAGTAACTAAGTAATACTGTTAACCTTCTTATTTCTTTATTACATATTGGATTTTTTAAATGTAATATGGTATACAAAATTTTAGGAATTATTATTGCCATTGTTGCTTTCGTTGGTAATAGCAGTAGAAACTATTGATGGCAGAACACTGGTATTGAATGTTTTGTTTTGTCCAAATAAGACTATGCTGTTAAAAAATCTCAGCCTAGTTCTGTATAGAATATAACACTGAGGTAAATTAGATTTTAATATCACTGTTTCACAATCTTTTTGGGTCTTACCTATAGAATTAACAGTCCAGCCTGCTTGAAATGAAGCTTTTCAGCCTGAGAGAAATGATTATTACTCAAACTAAGGATTTTTTTTTTATCAGGAGTGAGTGTTCTACATTAGTTGCTGGATCTTTTCTCACCTAGGCTGAGAGATTACTGGCAGTGGTGTGAAACAGGTGGAGGAAGTGAAATGAGGGAGTAAAGTGGGTGCTCTTGGCTGTGCTTTGAATCAAATGTTCCTTAAAGTCTTTTAAAAAGCAGAGAGGAGCTGGTTTGCAGCTTGAGTTCTCTGCAGAACAAACTCTGAGTTGGAGTTTAACTAAAAGTTGTTTATCAAAGTATCCTTTGGATCAGTCTCTGTAGAACAGAGAGAGGAAAGCAGCATTGAACAGAGCAAGACATTGAGTTGTGATGCAGGCCTAATGAACTTAGGTTAAAAAAAAACTTATGATAAACTTATTATAAAAGAACACAGATGAGTTTGGGAGCCAATCCTATCAAGGTTTTAATACTGACTGCTTTTGCAGTCTCCCCTCTTGTGGTGGATTGGGTACTGGTTAATGATGTGAATTCTGCACTAAAGCCACCTTTCTTTGTCCACCTTCTAGCTGTGTGATTTAGTGAAGGCTAGCTTGCTTCTCTGGACTTCAATTTTCTCATCTGTAGAATAAAAGTAACCACCTGCACACATAGAGTGTGCCTCAGAGACCCCACAGAGAAGCTCTGGATTTAGAATGACCCTTCAGAGTGACAAGGATGTGGGCAGAGATGGCCCAGCCTCTGCATGCAAGGAGTGATCTGTCATTTAGAAGTGGACTGCCCTGGGAAAGGGTCTGACTTTTATTAAAGCAGTTGGCAGTATCCAACGCAATCGCTGGAGGGGCTGGCAGCTGAAGGCTCTCTACCAATGCACAACCATAGCAGGGGCAACAGGTGTCTTCCTGAGAGGTAGTCTAGGCACAGTGCATGGCCCACAACAAGCCCCTCCGAGCTGAAAACTTTCATAGCTGGAGGGAAGGCAAAGGAGAAGTAAAGGAGTGGGGAAAAAAGAAAATGAATGCTTATTTAATATTTGTTATGTTCCACACACTGGACTAGGCACTCTCTTGGTTATCCCATTTAATTCTTAAAACTCTCTCTGTGTGCAGGTGGTTACTTTTATTCTACAGATGAGAAAATTGAAGTACAGAAAGCAAGTTAGTCTTCACTAAATCACACAGCTAGAAGGTGGCCAAAGAAAGGTGACTTTAGGGCAGAATTCACATCATTAACCAGTACCCAATCCTGCCACAAGAGGGGAGACTGCAAAAGCAGTCAGTATTCAAGTCTGAACAGGATTGGCTCCCAAACTCATCTGTGTTCTTTTATCTTAATATAACCTAATGCCCTATCTGATCTATTTGACATGAAGATTATCATTGAATATTGAACAAATGTTTAATGGCCATCCAGCTCAACATGCATTCTAGAGTAGCTTTAGTGTTTTGTTTTGTTTTCTTATAGTAGTTGTTGTTTTTCTCTGTCTGTTTACAGTGCAGAGAATTTCTAAAAATGTGAAAACACTTATCAGAGAAATGTTGTATTGTGTTACAAATCAGGATAAATACCTTGGTTTTTTGAGTAATTCAAGCAAAATCTAATGGAAAAATGATGGAGAAGAGAGTTCATTCAAATACTCCCAGTCCAAAAGCCAATTAACATTGTTATCCTGATATTATTCACTGTTTAATACAGCAGAACAGTTTTATATTTCTGAGTGAAGTTATGTTTTGTGAAATGAAAAAGATTCTTATCAGTTAAATCAAATGAGTTCCAAATTGCAAGCTGCTGATATTATGGCTTTCATAATATGTCTTCAATAACACAAGGAAATAGGAGAGGCAAATATTTCCATGTGAAAATTGCAGTAATGTTCAGCAACTTGTAATAATTAACTCTCTCAAAATCTGGTGCTGTGCCAGATAAATTATTTCAAAACCACACTTTCTTTTTTCATTTATTTTATTTAAACTTATCATTTATCACGTTAATAAAGCATTTTCACTGAGGCTGTTCTTTAAAACACTAAAACAAAGATTATTAACCCAAATTGTCCAAATGATAGATTTTAAAACATGTCCTGAAAGCAGACAAAAATAAATAAAAATAAAAGCACCTCTTCAAGATTTTAATAAGGAAAAAAAAGGAATGTTCTCAATATTTCTACAGCAATTCTACAAACTTAGAAATAGGACAAAACCAGCACATTATCTAGGTAATAAAATGTAGCATCTTTACATTCATTGCATGAAATAGTGACATGCATTGATGTACAAAACACATGTGTTTCAAGGTAAGTCAACTCTGATTAATGAAAATGTAACTGAACTTGAAATTCAAAGTTAAGGGCTCTATACCAAGCTATGCCACTTACTAGTTATATGACCTGACTGGATAAGGCATCTCTCTAAACTCTAGGTTTTTTATTTTTAAAATGAGAATATAAAATAACTAATTCTTGTGGTGTTGGTAGTATAAATTTAGGCAATATATGTAAAATACACTTTATAAACATTCAACATTAAATCCTAATGCCTGTGTGATATTATGATTCATTTCCATCTGTGGTTCCTAGTTCGTAACTTTCATAATCATTGTCACAATCTTGGTTATAATGTTGGAGAAATTTAGGGCTCAGAAGCAAGCCTGAGGAAACAAAAGCTTTCTCTCTGAACTTCTGTCTTCCTTTTACCCACCCGAGATAGGACTATAGTCCAATTATAGGTCATAAAACCCTCATTCTAGAGAGGGTCCTGCCCCCTACTCCAGAGGAAGGAATGCTGTACAGAGAGATCAAGAAGAATCTGAATGGACAAGGCTTGCTGAGTTTAGGCCACATCCTTTTTGTCCAATCACATTTTGACATAGTTGTCCATGCTTTAATCATTGACAACCAATGAATTCTCCATAAAAGGCCCAAAGGATGGAGTTCCAGGAGCTTCTGGAGAGCTGAACACATTGAGCATGACAGGAAGGTGAAAAACTCTTTCACATGCCAGGAAGTTGGTGCACCCCAACTCTACAGGGACAGAAGCTGCTGCACTTACAAATCCTCCCAGACCTCACCCCATGTATCTCTTCATCTGGCTGTTTATTTGTATCTTGGAAAATATGCTTGATAGTAAGCCAGTAAATATGATTCCCTGAGTTCTGTGAGCTGCTCTAACAAATAAATCAATCTCAAAGATGGGATCGTGGGAGCGCCAACTTGAAGCCAATTGGTCAGAAGTTCCAGAGGCCTGGAATTGCGACTTCAGGGAAGGAGAGGATGATCTTATGGTGTTGAGTATTAACCTGTGGGATCTGACACTGTCTCTGGGTATATAGTATTGGTACTGAATAGGAGGACACCCAGCTGTTGTCCACTGCTTGTTGTATGGTTAAAAACCCCTCACTTTTGGTCAGAGAAGTCTTCTTCTGTGTTGATTATTATTGTGGTGGTGTGAGAGCAGAAGAAAAACCCATTTAAGAGAGTACTTCCCAAAGCACTGTGTATACAGTAAACTGTGGTCCAATGGGAAAATACAAATTAATATAGCCAATAACAGTGTATGAGAAGCTCTTTCTCCCAAAACTCTTGCCAACACAGTACATAGCCAAAAATCATCTTTTTATTTGATAGAAGTATGACATATTTTGTTTTAATTCATATTTCAATAATTTTGAGTGAAATTGGACAACTTTATACACCTTTAAAATATCTTTCTGTTATGAACTGCCTGCTCTTCACCTTTGCTGGATCGATGTATTTTACATATTAATTTATAAGAGCTCTTTAAAAAATAAGGACATTAATATATTTAATATGTCCGACAAATATTTTAGACATTTTTTTCTCTTCTCATTTGACATTATTATTGTCATGTAGTTATTTTATGTTTTATGGAGTCAAGCTTTCTTTATGACATCAAGCTTTCAACTATCACTTAGAAACAATTTCTCTTATTCTGTTTTTACAAAATATGTTCTACATTTCTGTCTAGTACTTTTATTGTTCCCCTTTTTAAACTTATATTATTGACAATATCAAGGATTGGCAAAGATTTTAAAAAACTGGTCTGCTCATATATTTCTGGTGGATTTATAAAATGGTACATCAACTTAGTAACACAGTCTGACAGTGCCTTATAAAGTGAAACACATACTTTCTAAGTGATCTAAAATTCCACTCCTGGTCATTTACCCAAGATAAATGAAAGCCTATGTTCACAAAAAGACTTATGCATGGATGTTCATAGCAGTTTTACTCATAATAGCCAAATCCTGGAAACAACCCAAATATCTATCAACTAGAGAATGGGCTTTTTTGTGCTACCCAGAGAGGGGTCCATATGGCGATGTTCTAGATTCCTGTTGTAACTTAAAGGGAAACTTTTACAGTGTACAGAGCCCTTGATGTCCTGCAAATGGAGGAGGAGGATGTCCTTAAGTTCCTTGCAGCAGGAATCCACTTAGGTGGCACCAACCTTGACTTCCAAATGAAACAATACATTTATAAAAAGAAATGTGACGGCGTCTATATCATAAATCTGAAGAGGACCTGGGAGAAGCTTCTGTTGGCAGCTTGTGCCATTGTTGCCATTGAAAACCCTGCTGATGTCCGCGTCATATCCTCCAGGAATACTGGCCAGAGGGCCATACTGAAGTTTGCTGCTGCCACTGGAGCCACTCCAATTGCTGGCCGCTTCACTCCTGGAATCTTCACTAACCAGATCCAGGCAACCTTCCAGGAGCCACAGCATCTTTTCTTTACTGATTCCAGGGCTGACCACTGCCTCTCACAGAGGCATCTTATGTTAACTTACATACCATTGCTCCACGTAATACAGATTCTCCGCTGTGCTATGTGGACATTGCCATCCCATGCAAGAAGGGAGCTCACTCAGTGGGTTTGATGTGGTGGATGCTGGCCTGGAAACTTCTGCACATGTGTGGCACCATTTCCTGTGAACACCTGTGGGAGGGGATGCCTGATCTCTTCTTCTACAGAGATCCTGAAGAGACTGAAAAAGAAGAGTAAGCTGCTGCTGAAAAGGCTCTGACCAAGGAGGAATTTCAGGGTGAATGGACTTCTCCATCTCCTGAGTTCACCGCTACTCAGCCTGAAGTTGCAGACTGGTATGAAGGCATGCAGGTGCCCTCTGTGCCTATTCAGCAGTTTCCTTCTGAAGCCTGGAGTGCTCAGCCTGCCACAGAAGACTGATGTGTGGCTCCCACCGCTCAGGCCACTGAACAGGTAGGAGCAACCACTGAATGGTCTTAAGCTGTACTTGCACCGGCTCTTAAGCAATATGGAAATAAACATTAATTTTTTTAAAAAAGAGAGAGAATGGATATGCAAACTGTGACACATTCACACAATGGAATTACTCAGCAGTATAAAGGAACAAAACGCTGTTATATGCAAGAACATGGGTGAATCTCAAAAACATGAGAGAAAAAAAGACACAAAGGAGTACCTCCTGTATAGTCCCATTTATATGAAATTCTGGGATGGGTAAAAACTAATATAAAGTGGTAAAAATCTGACTTCTGTTGACACCCAAGATAAAGGAAGCTCTCTATAGCCTTTCTCTCTCACCAATGGTCACCAAAAACTCTAGAGAGGATACAGAAAACAGCTACTTAAAGACTGAAGTAAGCCCAATGGGAAGGGAGTAAAATCTTGAAAACCAACTGGTATCATGGGGAATTTCCTGAATTCTTGTTTCCTCTTTTATCTTCTGGCTATGATGTGAGGGCAGGTGGGGTCCTAGAACTGTGCAGCCAGCATACAGAGTAAAAATGGGAATAAATACCTTGCATCAAGCAAAAATAAACAGCATGGCAGACATCTAAATATAAAGTACAGTTAGCCCTTGAATAATACTGGTTTGAACTGTGCTGGTCCACTAATATATGGATATTTTTTAATAAATATATTGAAATTTATTTTCAAGATTTGCAATAATTTAAGATAACTCACAGACAAACCATGTAGCCCAGAAACATAAAAAAAAGTGGTGTAAAAGTTAGGTATGTTATCAATGTGTAAAATATATGTAGGTACTAGCCTATTTTATTTACTATAAAATATACACAACTCCATGATAAAAAGTTAAAATGTATCAAAATTTACACAAACACAGACCATATATGGCACTATTTGCTGTTGAGAGAAATGTAAACATAAAAATGCAGTATACAATTATAACTGGATAAAATTACAGCACATACCATACTACTGTAATAATTTTATAGCTACCTCCTATTGCTATCGCAGTGAGCTCTAGTGTTGCGAGTTTCCACTTAAAATGCTGTGTGATGCTAGTCATCTCCACATGAGCAGTTTGTCTCTCCAATAAATTGTGTATCACACTAAAAAGTGATCTCTTGTGGTTCTTGTGTATTTTTCATGTTTACTGCAATACTGTAAACCTTGAATAACACCATGAGACCTATACAGAGTGTCACTAGTGATGCTAAAAGTGCTCCCAAGAAGCAGAGGAAAAGTTGTAATATTACAAGAAAAAGCTGAATTGCTTGATATGTACCACAGATTGAGGTCAACAGCTGCAGTTGTCCACCATTTCAAGGTAAGTGAATCCAGTGTAAAAACAATTGTTTAAAAAATTTTAATTTTAAAAAAAGGAAGTTTGTGAAACCATCCCTGCAGCTACACCAGCAGGTATGAAAACATAGCACTTTTTGTGAAATATATTTTATCTCGTATTGAAAATATAGCTTTTATGTGGGTGCAGGATTGTTATAAGGCATACCTATAAACTCTAATATGATTTGAGAGCAAGTAAAGTCATTATATGACTACTTAAAGCAAAAGGAAGGTGAAGGATCTAAAGCTGTAGAATTGAATGCCAGTGAAGGGTGGTTTGATAATTTTAGAAAGAGGTTTGGCTTTTAAAATGTCAAAATAAAAGGAGAAGAAGCAACTAATGACCAAGAGGCTCCCTGGAAACCAGGGAGTTTCCAGATGCCATTAAGAAAAATCATTGAGGAGAAAGGATATCTGCCTGAGCAGGTTTTCAATGCAGATGAAAGATAATGCTCTATTCTATGGGGAAAAAATGCCACAAAGGACATCATTTATTAGTAAGGAAGAGGAGTGATCACCAGGACTTCAGGCAGGAAAGGACAGGCTAACTCCACTGTTTTGTGGAAATGTAGTCAGGTTCATGATCAGGATTGTCCTTATCTACAAAGCTGCTAACCCCCAAGCCTTGAAGGGAGAAAATAAACACTAGGCAACAGGAACACTTCTTCTGGATGGGATACATCGATGCTTTGTCCCTGAAGTCAGGAAGTGCCTTGCCAGTAGGTGACTGCCTTTTAAGTTCTTATTTGGCAAAAATACCAATAAATTGATAATGAACAATGCCCCCGGACACCCAGAGTGTCATGAGTTCAACAGCAAAGACGTCAACTGTTCTGCTTGCCCCCAAACACAACGTTATCTAATTCAGCCTCTAGATCAGGAGGTCATAAGGACCTTTAAGGCTCATTACACACAGTATTTTATGGAAATGATTGTCAATGCTATGGAACAGAATCCTGACAGAATATCATAAAAATTGTGAAGAATTACACCAGTCAAGATGGCATCATCTTTATGGAAAAAGCTGTAAAAGCCCGTTAAGCCCAAAACAATAAATTCCTCCTGGAGAAAACTGTATCCAGATGTTGTACATTACTTAACAGGACATACAACAGAGCCAATCAAAGAAATCATGTAAGAGATTGTGGATGTGGGAAAAATGATGGTGGGTGGAGAGGAGACAAAGTGTTGTCTCATATATGAATCTTGGAGCTAATAGATAACCATACCAGAGGAATTAACAGAAGATAATTTGGTGAAGATGAGCACTTCAGAACCAGTGCCAGAGGATGAGGAAGAAGACATAGAAGAAGCAGTGCCAGAAAACAAATTGATATCAGGTAATCTGGAAGATGGGTTTGAATTACTCAGCACTGCTTTTTATTTCTTATATGATATTGAATACTGCATAGTATTTTTAGAGAAATTTTGAAAAAGCAAAAAAGTCAGTTAGAAATTATAGTGTAGTTCCATAAAATTATACTGAATATGCCTGCCTCTCTTGCCTCCCCTTCTACCTCCCCCAGTTCTTTGGCCTCTGCCACCCATGATACAGCAAGACCAACTCCTCCTCTTCCTTATCCTCCTCCTCAACCTCCTCCTCAACCTACTCAACATGAAGATGTTGAGGACAAAGACCTTTATGATGATCCACTTCCACTTAATGAATAGTATATTTTCTCTTTCTTATGATATTCTTAATGGCATTATCTTTTCTCTAGCTCACTTTATTATAAGAATACAAAATATATAATATAGCATACAAAATATGTGCTAATCAACTGTTTATGTTATCATTAAGGCTTCTGGTCAACTGAAGGCTATTGACAGTTAAGGTTTGGGGGAATCAAATGTTATACACAGATTTTTGATGTATGGGGGTTGGTGTCCATAAACCCCACATTGTTCAACTATACAAATTTTAAAAATACATCTCAAGATATAATCTTTGTGACCTTGGGCAAGACAAACATTTGAGCTCTAATGAGCAAACTCATTCAAAATCAATGGAATGATTCATAAATAAAATGAATAAACTGGACTTCATCACAATTAAAAAGCTCTGCTCTTTGAAGAGTTTTAAGAACTTTTAAAATACATTAATTTTTAAGCCACATCGGAAGAAAATATTTCTGAATTAAGTAGCTAGTTAAGGACATGTGTTGAGAATATGTAAGTGACTCCCAAAATTAATAATAAGAAAACTTAAAACCCAATTGAAAACTGGGAACAGTTTGAGCAGACATTTTACCAAAGAAAATTCAAGAATGGCTAATAAGCCCATGAAAAGGAGTTTAACAGCATTTGTCATTAAGGAAATGCAGCTCAAAAACACAATGAGATATCACTACATACCTCTTACAATGGAAATAAAAACATCCAACAATACCAAATTCTAGTGATGATGCACAGCTACTGGTACTCTCATACATTGCTGGTGGGAATGCAAGATACTACAGTCGCTTTTGAAAACAGTTTTACAGTCTTATAAATTAAATACATCCTTACTATATGACTCAGCAATCCTACTCCCAGATATTGGTCCAAGAGCAAAAAAAAAAAAATATTCACACTAGGAAAACTATATGTAAATGTTTATAGTAGCTTTGTAGCATAATCATAACAAAATTCAAACAGCCCAAAGGTTCTTTTGCTGCCAGATTGATAAACAGATGATGGTACATTCATTCATACAATAGAATACTATTCAGCCACACAAAAGAATACATTATTTATAACTCACAATAGGAATGAATCTCAAGTACATTACTTTCAATCAAAGAGTCTGGACTCATAAGGTTACATACTGTGTGATTCTATCTACATCACTTTCTGCAACAGCCAAAACTATAGCAATAAAGAAGAGATCACTGGTTATCAGGAGTTAGCAATGGGAAAAGTGGCTACAAAGGGCAACCTGAAGGAATTGGTAGGATAATAAGATTTGTTGATTGTGATGTTGGGTGAATATGGGCTTACATGACTCCGCATTAATCAAAGCTCATTGAACAATACATCACAAAGTAATTATTTTGGTATAGATTAATAAGCTAGTGATCCAAGTTAATTTCTTCCCCTATGACTATCAAATCTCAAAAAGAACAAATGGTCTGGGCATGGTGGCTCATGCCTGTAATCCCAAGACTTTGAAAGGCGGAGACAGGTGGATCACTTGAGATCAGGAGTTCGAGACTAGCCTGGCCAACATGGCGAAAGCCTGTTCCTACTAAAAATACAAAAAAAGCCGGACATGGTGGCACACTCCTGTAATCCCAGCTACTTGGGAGGCTGAAGCAGGAGAATCAATTGAGCCCAGGAGGCAGAGGTTGAAGTGAGCTGAGATCGTGCAACTGCCCTCCAGTCTGGGCAACAGAGGGAGACCCTGTCTCAAAAAAAAATCATAAATGAAATAATTATATGTAAATTCTTCAAACGTAAATTTAGAAAAAAGTTAATTATTTTACATACTGTGTACTACAGCTTTAAGCAATGCTTGTATTTCTTTTTAATGAGATGAGGTCTCACTCTGTCACCTAGGCTGATAACAGCTCACTATAACCTCGAACTCTGGGGATCAAGCAATCCTCCCACCTTAGCCTCCCAAAGTGCTGGGATTACAAGTGTGAGCCACTGTGTCCACGTATAGAATGCATTTTTTACCTATATATTTTTTTTTATGTTTTCGATTTTGGAATAAAATGTTTTTCAAATGTGTCATTGACTGAGCTAAGGGATGCTCAGATAGCTGGTAGAACATTTCTGGATTTCTGGGGTGTGTCTGTGAGGGTGTTTCTGGAAGAGCCTAGCATTTGAATCAGTAGACTGTCAAAAAGATCACTCTCACTTTACTGGCATCATTCAATCTCTTGAGGTTCCAAATAGAACAAAAAGGAGTAGGAAGGGCAAATTTGCTCTACTTTTTTGAGCTGGGACATTCATCTTCTTCTACCCTTTGACATTGGAGCTCCTTATTCTCAGGCCTTCGGACTCCAGTAGTGCATCCCTCCTGCTCTTGTTCTCAGACCTTCTCCCTTGGACCTAGAGTTACACCAATAGGATATGAATCTATTTATATAACTAACACACACACACACACACACACATAAACTGAATTATGTGTGTATATATATATATTTTCCATTGGTTCAATTTCTCTGGAGAACCCTAATTAATATAAATTAGTCTCAGGGCTCAAAGAAAATAAATCATTATGAAATAGAGAAATGAAATAGAGTAAGATGTAAAATTGTACGTATGTGTATGAATCACATATATTATTAAAAAGTTCTTGTTAACTTTATAGATTGGTATATTAAGAGCAGGGGGAATAGTCACTGAAGAACATAAGATCGATATAGCTTGCATATTTCTCACCATCCAAATCTCATGTTGAATTCTAATCCCATTGTTGAAGGTGGTGCCTAGTGGGAAATGATTGAATTATGAGGGTGGATTTCTCATGAATGGTTTAGCACCATCTCCTTTGTGCTCTTCTCATGATAGTGAGTGAATTCTTGTGAGATCTGGTAATTTAAAAGTGTACAGTGCGCCCCCTTTGCTCCCACTCTGCCTTGTGAGACACCTGTGCTCCCTTCACTTTCCACCATGACTGGAAGCTTCCTCAGGCCTCCGCAGAAGCAGATGCCATTATGCTTCCTGTACAGCCTGCAGAACCATGAGCCAATTAAACCTCTTTTCTTATAAATTACCTAGTCTCGGGTATTTCTTTACAGCAATGCAAGAACAGCCTAATACATATACTGAGTTTTAGAATATATATTATGTATATAAATATGTACCATTTACTTCTTGGGCAATACTTCTTGACATTAAGAAAGTATCTTGGTTATGCATCAGAAAGGCCTGATATGACATGAGGAAGGTAGACAATAAAGTCTACCTTGAGAACAGGGCATTACCATTTCTTAGATGTTCAGGGCTATCCAAAGCAAAATAGTAGGATAATTTCTATGTTTTGTGTAGTCCTTGGCATATTACTACATTGTAGAAATATGAAAATGTTTTGTAGTAATCTAGTTTATCCATCCCAAGTGGAATATTTTAAATTTCTCTGTTTATAAAAGGATTGTAAACTGACTTTATTTGCAAACATTTGTGGGAAAATAAAGCCAGATCTTCTCTTGTGTTGGAGAAAACTCCTGATTGTCATTGAAAAGGTGACCCTACTTAATACACAGTGTTCCGTTCAGCTCAAACAGGCTCTCAGAAAGGTAACTTTGGGTCAGGAATTTAAAAAAAGTCACATCATTTATATTAGTGCTCTTCTTTTTAGAAGAACTTACTGGCATGTCTTCTCATTGTTTGCTGTGGGTGAGGTTTAATATTTAGAATTTCAAGATATAACTATGCCATATCATATATATATATATCATCATACACTTTATATATACACACATATATATATAGCATCATACATTTTACAAAATGTAAAGATTAGTTTTTCAACACCCAAATCCCATGTAAAATACATACTGCACTGAACACTCAAGGAATTAATTGTTGAGTAATTAAATTCTCAGTTCCTTTATTTTCCATCCAGAACTCTTTCTCCCCATTTAGTTTGCAATTTCTAATATATTATGAACTAGGAAATTAGAAAGCAAAGCTTAATAAAATTTTTGATAAAATAAGAATAGATAGTCTCTGAACGCTGATCTAAATGAACTATTCTATAAGTGAAACACACATGTATTTAAGACATCTATTATCTGCGCAGAGGAATTTCAGCACTATTTTCAGATTCCCTGGATAGGTTCTTTGTGGTTTTACCCTGCTACAGGACAAACACAATTTGTGCTTGAATATTTGATTGTAACTATTGTTTAGCATTTTCTTGCCCTTAAAGTCATTTTTTCCAGCATATAAAAAAATTAATTTTGTGGTAATAGCTATACTTCATTTTGTACCTGATTCTATACTGTTCAGCTATAATTTAAGGGGTGACTACTATGCCTAATCTTATTCTAACACTCACAATAATTCTGCAAAATAAAAATATTTTCCTCTCTTAATACATAAGAAAACTGAAGTTAAATTATTGAGTAATTTTTCAAACAGGATACAACTAGGAAGTGGCATTGTTGAGATTCATACCCTCTGTCCAATCCAAAATTCACAGATTTCTTAGCATTTAGCGCCGTGCTGTCTGACTGTTTCTTCTGTATTTGGAGAGAATGCTGTAGTCTTTAATCAGCCTCCTTTTTGTCAGTATCTACTAACTGAGCAACATTTCTAGGGAAATCTTTAGAGAGCCTATTCTCATTTTCCCTTCAAAGGAGAAAGAAGGGAGGATAGAACATCCCCAGTGCTGGCCAAGGCTGCAGTCTGCATTCTGTGCTACCAGACCTGGAGTTGCACATTCTTGCTGAGACAACCTAGGAAGCTCAGAATAAGAGTGACAGACAAGTTGGTTGGATCACAAGGTTCAAATACCACTGATGCAAAGTACTATTACTAGATTAGGCAACATAAACCATGAATCTAGTGGGTAGCTCAGGATCAAGAAAATGAAACCAATAAAGAGATTAGGTGAGGGCAGATACGGTCAACACTGAGTAGGAGTGGGATTCGGGGTATTATTAGTGCAATCACAGGCATTTGCAACTGGCAGTAAGATCCTAGAGGGAAGAGATTATGTCTCATTTTTTCATAGACTCCTCAGCACCCAAGAGAGTGTCTTTTTTGTTAATTGCTGTATTTAAGGGTAATCATGGAATTGGACTGGACTGCAAACATGCAGCAAAGGTCTACTCGTCTTAAAATAGATAAGATAAGAACTAGAATTCCTGTGCAGGGGTGGAGTGGGATGAGAACACACGGCTAAGACATTTCCTTCCATTTTTAGGCTGTCACCCTCGGAAAACCTGGCAAGGACTCTGTCACAGTGACACTCGCAGTAACTTACATACCAACTCTTGGTAGCCCTGATCAGACATTTTAAATCCTCCCCATTTCGTCATACCTAGTTTCTCAATGAATATTGATTTTTTTTTTGTTTGCTTTTGTTTAGTTTTGCTTGTTCTTGATGGACAAATACAGTAATTAGATGTCTAGAGGCTCTGCAAAGGTTTGCCTGTGCATGCAGTAGAAAGAACAAGTGGAGAGCTTTTTTCTCACTGCAGTGCTGGTGCCTTTGGCTATCATTTTTATTTCTGCTAAGACTATCATAATTCTTTTTTATTTTCTCATCTTAGCCCTGGACTCTCAGGCCTTTTATGATATATGTAACTCAATGGGATAGTATGAAACAAATGCATCTGCATGAAGTCACTCAGCTTTGGTTCTAGTATTCTATTCTACCTGGAGTAATTTGCTGAAGTGTAGAATTATTAACAAATTTGTGAGAGCTAACAAATATGATTCCCCAGATTCAGAGTCAAACACTTCTTCACCGTAAACCAATTCTTCACGTAGGTCCTGGGCCAGTGTACTTTTGCAAGATGTTCAAGGTATAAGATGTCATTTTTGATAGCACATGTTGATAGTTAGCAATGGTCAAAAATAATTGTCTCCCTCAAAGCACAACTATTGTAATGTACATGCACCTTTTTCTGTCAACTATAAATTTGAAAACAAAATTACACTGCTTTGCAAGTGTTGAAGCTCTTTACGTTGCACTTTAAATAAATGATATTTTATGAGGAGAAACTGGATGTTTTCTTATCATACTGAATGAGTTACCAGGGTGTTCCCTTGTCACTTATTATATCCCCTATACAGTGATGATATGAATCGTCATCATTATAATTTTATTTTAGTTTTTATAGGTTTTAAAATTAATTTCCCTTAATTTGTATTTTTCTTTTAAAAATATAATTAGTTTTCTACATGAATTTGTTCATATCTTAAAATGCTAAGAATGCCTATAAATGAAGCAAAGTAAACTTTCTCTAGTCTGCCATACTAACCTGAAGACTTTATCTAAATTTACAAAGAAGAATGCTGTTTCCTTCCAAAATCAATCACATCATTAGGGTGAAGAAAGAAAACCTGGAAAGGTTTTTCTACAATTGTATCATTAGTACCACATGGAACTAAAATAGTTGTGAGAAAGCTGCTTCTCTCTGCTAGAGGAGGAAACAGATGTGAGATTTAAGAGGACAAAGGAAAAAGAGGTAGGTGCTCTGTGCATTAGGTGTGATTGCTTCTGTATTAGATCTCTAACGCTTCATAACAAATTACTACAAACTCAGTGGCTTATAAAAATACTCATATATTATCTCATTGTTTCCCTGAGTCAAGAGTTTGGTGTTTTAGCTAGGTCCTCTGTTCAGTGTCTCTCAAGACAAAGTAAAGATGATGGCTGTCTTCATCTGCATTGGGAGACTTGACTAAGGGAAGATCCACTTCAAAGATTTCTCAAGTTGTTGGCAGAATTTGTTTCCTGTAGATGTATGACTGAGGTCCTGTTATCTTGCTGACTTGCTGCCAGGGATTAGGATTACTCTCACCACCCACAGACCTCTATCAGGTCCTTGCCATGTGGCTCTCTAACATGGCAGATTGGCTCCTTTGAGGCAAGCAGGAGAGTTTCTCTCATCCTTTGAATCACTTCTTTCAGCAATGCCCCTGCTCTCTTTTAAAGGATCACTTCATTAGATTAGGCCCACCTAGGATAATCTCCCTTTTAATGAACTCAAAGTTAACCGATTTAGGACCTTAATTATATCCAAAAAATCTCTTAGCCTTTGTCATAAAGTGTGACCTAATCGTGGGAATGAAATTCATTGTATTCAGAGTCCTGTCCTCACTCAGAGAGGGGATGATACAGAGAATGGACATCAGGAGGCAGGAATCATGGATGTCATCTCAGATTCAGCTCACCACAGCCTCTTTAATTTAATGCTTGTTCTAAAAAGAGCAGTATGCATTCTGCTGATTGCTATCCTTGAAGCACATAAGTTTTTTTTCCTAGAAATCAGGGCTGCTACTTCAAAGCTGAAGTAAATGTGTGAGATAAAGGACAAATGAGAAATAGCACTGTGGAAACAAATTATCATTTTACTTCCAGTTGTATGGTGACCCTGGCTAACCCTCTAACTCCCCCAAAAAATAATACCTAAAAATGCACAGCATTTAAAAATACCTCTAATGCATGAATTAGCTATCAATTTAATAAGAAATACTTAAAGGCTTAAAGCTAAATGAAAACACACTCCCATGATGGTAAGCTAGGCATTGACATTGGTGTTTATTTGCAGATTGTTGAACCCAGAGACTGAATGTACTTGAAAGCAAGGAGACAATGAATGCCCAGGAGCTTCAAAATGGAAAGTCAAATAGAAGACCCTTCACATAAAGCTAGAATCCCGCCATGTAAGAAGCTTTTTTTTTTCTTTTGTTGGAATTCTTCAGAGAAACAGAACCAACAGGATAAGAGCAGAAAGAGAACTAGAGAGGGCGAGAGTTATCTTAAGGAATTGGCTCATGTGATTGTAGAAGTCTGACAAGTCCAAAATCTGCAGGGTAGACTGGAAGGCTGGAGACCCAGGTAAGAACAGCAATGTGAGTTCAAAGGCAGTCTACTGGCAGAATTTCTTCCTACTTAGAAGAGGTTAGTCTTCATTAACACCTTCTACTGCTGTGAGGCCCACCCACATTATGAAATGTAATTTGCTTTATTAAAACTTCATTGATTTAAATGTTAATTTCATCTAAAAATACCTTCCCAGAAAAATCTAGAATAATGTTTGACAAAATATCCAATTGCTGTGGCCTAGCCAAATTGACACGCAAAAAGTTAACCATCATGTCCCTTCAGGTTTGTGGGAACTAGAATTAAACATGCCAACTTAAGGGAGACAAAAAAAAATTGTCTCCAATTCTGTCACAGAATAGAAAAAAGACAAAACATTTGAGTATAAGATAATTCATAGGCAGGTTTGTAGTCTGTATTAGTCCGTTCTCACATTGCAATAAAGAACTACCTGAGACTGGGTCATTTATAAAGAAAAGAGGTTTAATTGGCTCTCCTGGTTCTGTAGGAGGTACAGGAAGCATGGCTGGGGAGGTCTCAGTAAACTTACATTTATGGCTGAAGGTGAAGAAAAAGAAGCCACATCTTACTTGGCCAGAGCAGCAGGAAGAGAGAATGAAGGGGAAGGTGCTACACACTTTTAAACAACCAGATCTCATGAGAACTCACTCACTGTGATGAGAACAGCAAAGGAGAAATCTGCTGCCATGATCCAATCACCTCCCACCAGGCCCCTCCACTACATTGGGGATCACAATTCGACATGAGATTTGGGTGTGGACACAAATCCAAAACATATCTTAGTCCAACCAAATTTACCCTAGCTTGGTGTACTGAAAATAACTCAAAAGTTTAAAGCAACCCCAGGTACCTGATAGAAACGAATACAAACCATCCCCCTACTCTTCAAAGTAAGAAGAGTACCTTCACATAGGCCTCAAAGTATATTACATAATATTCCCCAAAATATGAGTTCACCATCGCAAATCACACACACACATGCATGTACCAAGAAGACATCATGAAGAAGAGTGAGCAGAAAAAAAACCCAAAGTAAAATAAGAGTTTCTGGCCATCACTGTAAGAGGAGTAACTGAAATAAAACAGGTACAGTTTGGAAAGAAGAATCACAGCTTTCATTATTTTGGGTTATATGATTGTCTATATAAAGTACCCCAAAGAGTCCACAGATAAATTTTCAGCACCCATAGAAGAATATAACGAGTTTGCTGGACACGTTATCACTGCAGAAAATTAATTGAATTCCAACTGAATTTCCTGTCAACAAAAAGGTAGAAAATATAATCATAAAAATGCGTTACTTACATTACCATAAAAATATACATATCTAGGAGTAAATCTAAAAAGATGTATAAGACCTTCATGAAAAAATATAATACTATAATAAAATATATTAAAGTCTAATAGCAAGATATAACAAGTTCATACATTCAAAAATTAATGCTGAAAGATTTCAATTCTTATCGATTCAATGAAATTACAGTAAAAATTCTAACATTCTTAGAGTTACTTTAATAAGATAGTAATTAAGACTGTGGAGTATATGTGCAGAGATTTAAGTTATAAATGAAAACAGACTGGAGAGTCTCAAAACAGTGCCCCAAAATATACAGAAACTTGACTTATGATAGAACTATACTGTAGATCAGTGATGGAAATATTTATATGAAATTAAAAAATAAATTGATCTCTAGCTACTTACCCCCAAACGAATTCATGAGTGATTAAAATCTAATGTAAAAGGTGAAACCATAAAACTTTCTCAGCAGGAATATAGGAAAATAATTTTGCTATAGGAGACATATCTTACAAAAGATATAAATATATAAACCATAAGGAATACTTAAGAATCTTCTGCTCTTCAAGACTCCAGAAAGAGAATGAGAAGTCTACCAACCTATGGGAAGAAGATGACTGCAATGCAAATAATTTACAGAGGACTATTATCCAGGATAAACAAAGAACTCACATAACTCTACAAGAAAAAGATAAGCAATAAAGGTAAGCAAAATATATGGATTGACATTTAACAGAAGAAGCACCTGAGTGATCAATAAACATGTAAGATGATATTTAAAATCACTGGTAACCAGGGAACTACAAATTTAAAATGCACACCTCCAAGATTTATAAAAATTTAAAACCATCCAAGTGCTGGCAGAGATTTGGAACAAGTACATTTGAACTTTGCTGCTCGGAGTGGAGTGTAAATTGGAAAACAATTAGGCATTGTCATTTAAAGATTATGTTCATGTCGTTTAACCCAGAATTTCTATTTCTAAATACATACTGTAGCACAATGCTTCCCAGGTTTTCAAATTATGACACATGTAAACAATGAGAGTATGCAAATAATGTATACTGGTGTAAACTTTAGGGATTATGAGAGCACTCATAATGAGGCACAGATTTTAAAAGGCTATTAGGTTCTCTTTGGATTATACAATTAATATTTTTAAAGTAAATTTTTAAATATATGGAATTCAATATTAAATTTATCTGAAAGTTCTAAATATGATTTAAAATATTTGAGAATGTTCAACTTTTTCATGATTATAACTTTATCAGACTTATACTTGAAATTGCCATATGCAATCTTTTATCATGACTCCTGCATAATGAACACTATACATACTCAAAAACCAGCATCAGCAATAATTCACTCAAATAGGTGGTAAAAAGTTTAAAATTAATTTCTCAAAATCAATAAACATGCACAACAGTTCTAACTATATTTAGAGTATAAAACAGATCTTCCTTTTCTTCCAAGGTAAAGTTGCAAATAATTCAAAAATGTGAACATATTTTGAATTCAATTGGTCTTTTTCATGTCAACAATTTCAAAATCATACAGAAGTATGAATATGTATAAAGCCAATTGTAGCAAGCCCTTTTTCTTAATAGAAGTGCACATTTGTCATAATTAAACAGAATTATCTGTTATATTTGAAGGCAGGAATTCAGGAATAACATCTGGTGGCCCCAAAACCCAAGTCTTGACCAGTCTCACCTCTGCTTTTTTGGCTGTGTTTTTTAGGCTGTGCTTTTTGGCCATCTGGAACACAAGCTCTCAGCAGTTCCTAGGGCCCCTTATCCACCATGGGCAATGGTTCACTTTGAAGCCAACGTTTAAAATAGATGTCCATGTGACAAGCATTTTAGCATCTCAGGACACTTAGTGTGCTCACAACTGAAGGAGAACATGGAGTACCATATCTGACTCCATTTTGCTCTGGTAATCCTCTGAGAAGAGTGTAATGAAGCAGCCAGTGTTTGGAGCAACTTGTCCAGGGATTCTAGCTAACCCAGGCCTCACTAGATAATCTCAGGATGGAGACCACTATTTTGTAGCACAATCTGTAACTTAACATGGCACAACTCTTGAAAAGCTCTATTATAGAAAAACTCTTTCACATGTCATCAAGCATGTGTACCAAAATGTTCACTGAAGTAGTAAAAGCAAAAATTATAGGAAACAAACCAAATGTCAAACAAAGTAAAAAATATGAGACAATGGAATAGTTTACTCCATTGAAAATGAACATATTCTAACCACATGCAATAGCATAAGCCAAGAGTATAATGCAGAGCAAAGAAGCAAGTTAAAAATATAGACAAATTAAGCAATATATTATAGACATTTACTTGGATTTTATAATACAATATACATAGTACATGTTATAAGTAAGAATAAATTTTAAAAGAAAAAAACACAAAAATTTATGATCATGATTCATTCGAGAATGGAATGGGAAAGAATCAGAAAGTGACACAAGAGGGACTTCAAAGTTAACCATAACGTTCTTCTGTCCCCACAAAATGGAGGGTGGCTACTCAAGTGATCATTGTGTTCTTTATGTCTTACTATTTATGTCTTTATGTCTTACTATGTCTATTGTGCTTTGTCTTACTGTATTTTATGTTATTTTATTCATAATCTAATAAAAACAAACAATGATAAGACATATCCTGGATATTTTTAAATCTAAGTGGTTCCTAATATGAAAGCAATTATGTAAGTAAATGCAGCCATTACACTTAAAATCTCTACTATTTATTATAACTGGAATACAGAACTGTACAGAATGTTGTTTTGTTCTTCTCAAGACGGTAATATCTCTAATTCTTATGAAGAAAATGCTATTTTTTAATTTTTGTATAAAAGTATCTTCTCTATTATTGTATCCTAATGCTTGGATGTCCACACTCACATTGCTAATTAAGACTGGATCTGTCACACTGGAGTAAATGTACCCCCAAGATGTAAAAAAAATAGGCCAGGGAGCACTCAAATCCATAGGCCCAACATTTATCTATTTCTTCATTAACTTTATGATTGACTAATATTAGCTTATCATGAGGCCAAAAGAGGTGACCAAATCTAACAAGATCTCAGCCTTAGGAGAGCTCATATTCCAAAGGAGGGAGAAAGCATAAACAAACATTGTGCATAGGAGTGAGCTCCTATCTACACAGTAGACCCTGTAAAACAAAAAGGGCTTCACTCTTAAAATCTTGAAAGTCTACATAAGAGTTGTGTAGCCCCCAGATGAGGAATCAGATAGCTGGAAGGAAATTACAGACCACCAGGAACTCTTGGTGAAAAAGGTGTAGCTCAAAAGCAGTTGGACACTCAGGTTTGTACTGTATGTGGATGTGAGATCCAATTTTATAATACTTACGAAATGTGGGAACCCTAAGACAAGAAATTCATATAGGAATATATGAAATCAATGAAGCTCTAGGAACTCTGCCATGCAGAGCTGAAAGGGAGATTGCCCTGTGGCTATGTTTCCTAGCACAGAGTGTGTGGGATTCTCATGAAAAGTATGATAAACTTACAAGGATTACAAAAGATTCAAGGAATAAAGCTTTATAAAGAGGAGCTGTAATATGGTAACAAACAGAATTTGAACACAAGGAAATAGAAAATGAGCTTAATAGGTAAGTTTAAAATGCTCAAAGAAATTTAAAAAGAGGATTTTTAAAAAATAAAAAGGAAAAACATAACAAAAAAGAAGCTAGATTTTTTAGAGTTGTATGACATGAGTTGATCAGAAAGACTTGTTTGAGGCATTGTTAAAAACTAAAAGAAAATGTTGATGGTAAAGTAAATAATCACATAATTTAACTTTCTTTATTATAAAGTTCCTTTGGAAAGAATTTTGCTAAAATGGTAAAGGAAATCCAGAGAATCTTCTAGGCTGCTGAGGAAATCAAATGATTCTACCTCACTACAAAGTAATGCATTTACTAACATTTTCACCAATATCACCTTAAAAAATTGCAACACATTTTTTCTTTTGGTATTTAGAGAATCCCTCTTCTGTGGGTCATAAGTTATAAAGCAACTAAGCTACCACTGGTACTTGCATGTTGGTCTGAGTGTGTGTTCATTTAATATTGTGACACCAATACAAATCTCCAGAATGCTAAATGTCAACTGCATTGTTACTCTTTTCAATTTATTATGCTTCTCTGAAGCTGTTATTAATTATTGCTACCATATTTTAGTATGGCTTGACTATCAGGAAATGAGATAAATACTTTACATTAATCACTTTATTTAAATCTCCTACAGTGCAAAAAGCAAGTATGATTCTCATTTCACAGATGAGACGACACTGAGAAGTTAGTAACTTGCCCAGACAGCTGGAAAGAGGTAGGGTCAGATTCAAACCTGTAAATTTTATGTCCTGCATCCTAACACTATAAAGCAAGAGGATCTCGATCTCTCTCTCCCCCTCCCTCCCTCTCTCTCTGTCTGTCTGTCTGTCTGTCTTTTAAATTGAGACAGGGACTTGCTCTGTCACCCACGGTGGAGTACAGTGGTGCAAGGCTCACTGCAGCCTCAAATTCCAGGGCTCAAGCAATCCTACCATTTCTGCCCGTCAAGTGGCTGGGACCAAAGGAGCATGCTACCATGCCCACATAATTTTTAAAAATTTTTTTGTAGAGATGGGGTCTCACTACGTTACTCAGGCTGATCTCAAACTCCTGGGCTCAAGCAATCTTCTCATCTCAGCCTCCTAAAGTGTTGGGATTGCAGACCTGAGCCACTGCACCTCCCAAATGATCTTTCTCATCAACCCCCGTGACTTATTTCAATAGTATTATTCTCATTGTCTGATTAAAATCTTTTGTTTTTATTTTTCCCTCTCTTTAAGTAACTTAAAACATTTTTCTGTTGACATAGCATGGATGCAGTACGAAGCAGAATACAAATTTGCATCATTTAAAAAATAATTCACGGGTCTTCTAAAGAATGTTGGGTCTTTGGGAAACTGCCTTGCACTATGTCCCCAGGCAGCTGGAGGAGAAGTGCCATTCACTCTCCTTTGGCCTCGGTTGTCTTCAGAGGAAGCTTGAGGATTCCCATGCTGCGGTGTTTCCTACAGTCCTGTGCATGTAGTGCTGTAGGCATTATGGTCTATCAGCTAACATAGGAGGACAGGTGAGTTTATTTCTTTACGTTGCCATTCAACATCCCCTCAGAATAAACATGGTGGGCTCTGAAGAAGGCATTTTAACCAATGAGTCCGCAGCACTATGAATCCTTGTGAGTTAAGACAGACCTAAGACTGAGGAGTCCCAAAGTGGAATGTGGAGAGTTACTGAAAAACAAACAAAAAAAAACCATCTGTCTACCTCACTCTTTTGATTAGCAGTTTCTGATGGAAAAAGGTCATTTTATTTTTTTCTTCAACAGTGGGTATATTGTGGCCAAAGAAAGAGGTGGACAGTTTTTGTTTTGTTTTTTTATACATTCTCACTGTGTAAATCAGGCTTGTCCACTTACCTTGCTACTAACTCCTAAACTCAGAGTCCTTATTTATTTTTATTCCCTTTTATATTTATATTTAATTTTATAAATTTATTTAAATTTGAATATTTTCTGTTGGAATAAGACAGTAAAACTATTCCCCCTGTGGATATTGTGTGGGGGTAAAATTAATATTTAATGCAAAACAATATTGAGAGAACACTCTTGAATGTAAAAACACCACTTAAATGAAATTCAATTTCCATTCTCTTTCATTTGTAAGTGTCTTTAAGTAAGACATTAGATTGTTTTCTTCTCTTAAATTTATTTATCTTAAAATTATTCTAATAAAAGTTCTTCAAGGGTTAGCCTCTTTATATACTCTTGGTGATTTTATTTCTTTGTTATAAATACTCACTTTTAGACTACAAAATATGTAATAGTTTAAGAAGATAAGTGAAAATTGCCCATAATGCTCAATAAGAAATAATACTATTTATGGTTTCTTTCATGCCATTTGTAATTTTGTATATACTACATATGTACACATATGCTTTTACAAAAATATTTTCAACATCAATAAACATAGTTACAGCACCATCTTAAATGACTACCTATATTCCAGTATATAGATAGGCTTTGCTCCCAAATTTGTATTATTATAAATGTTTTGATAAATACATGTATATAACATATGCATGTATATATATTTATCACATTATTTATATAATAACATAAATGTTCCAGAAAGCATAAATAATTATTTGACAAATAAGATATTTCATAGCTAAGATAATAAGAAAAGTTTGTGGGCTAAGCAAGCGACTGGATGTCTAGCAGTGCTAAATGTGTGTTTCAGTTGGGAATTAGCCTACCTTTTATAGTAGAGTTGGGTAACCATGTCAGTATGCTTCATAGATTCTTTAACAGGATTACTTTTTTCTAATAACTGTAAAACATTAACTTATGCCATGCAAGCCATAGACTTTATTATTATTATTATTATTATTATTATTATTAATATACTTTAAGTTTTAGGGTACATGTGCACAATGTGCAGGTTTGTTACATATGTATACATGTGCCATGTTGGTGTGCTGCAGCCATTAACTCATCATTTGGCATCATAGTCTTATGCTACTTACCTGTGAGCCCTTCAAAAAAAGGTAGCAAACATGTAATGTATTCTCATTATACATCTGCAAGAAAAATAGGACATAGCAATCATAGTCCTTGATTTTCCTGCCTAAAGTTGACAGCTGATTATGTGAAAATTTAACTTTGGGCTTAGCATTCTTGATGTTTGCATCTAGAAGAGTAAGATTATGGTTGAGACATGAGCTATTTATAAGAAGCTTCTCAGAAACCTGACATTGGACCCCTCCTTCTATTCCCATCTTGTTTACAATCAAATACATTTGCTTCAGGAGAAGTCTAGGCAAAATGCTAAGGAAGGTGAAGTTCTGGCCTTCTGCATTCTGAGCTTTTCCTAAGGCCCTTAGGAAAGGCCTTTGGGGTCATTGTATGGGATAACTAATAACAAACTTATCCCATACAATGACCCCAAACAATCATACTCTTGCCTCAGAAGCCAAGGCCTCCCCCAGCAACTCTGAGAGAATATGTGGCTGTTCAATCAATTAATCCATGAGAGTGTGCAGAGGGAAAAGTCCTAGGAGCTGTAGCTTATTTGCAAAGAAAGGTAAATTTTAATGGTGGTTTTCTAAAACAAACAAACAACAACAACAAAACACATCCAACCAGGAGGTAAGGCCTTTTACATGGCCCACCAGAGTACAGAAGGAAATAGATTCAGCCCACTTGAGTTATGTCATACAGAAACCATCTCCTTCACCTAAGGCTTCTTGAAGATACATCTGTGGGCCTAGCTGCTTCTGACAGAACCAACATTTTGATTGAGTGTATCTGAGTGCTTTTGACTCTATTCCAGGAGTATCAGCTGTGGGACTTCAAGCATGATTCTAACCCCACTGCTTTACTACGTCTTAGTCTCTCCTTTCAGCTCTCTTTGGTGATTAGCACAATAACTAACATGTCATAAGCAGTGTTGAACATTGAGAGCTTTCTGGGATTCTTCTTTTCCCAACCCCTTCTATTTTTAATTAAAATAACTCTGATTGTATGTGTTCAGGCTAAAAATGGTATTTCTAAGCCATCCTTGCAGCCATAGGTGGATATGTTACATCATTCCAGCCAATGAGATATAAGTAGGCACTTGCTGAGGACTTCTGAGAAAGTTTTACTTTCTAAAGAAAAGCATCATCCTTTTGTCTTTATTATTACCCTCCTCTTCCCTGAAGGTAAAGTGGCTATACTGGAACCATGACTGTGAAAGCTACATGCTAAAGGTAGAAATAGGAGCCTAGGTCTCTCATATTACTTTGGCACAAGCCCTGATCTATAAATCATACATATTTCTTATTGCCTGGAAAACACACATACACACACACACATGCACACACACTTGGTTAAGCCATTGGAGTTGTTTTTCTGTTTCATGAAGCCAAATGCAATTCTCTTGCTTAGAACACTTACCCAAGGCAATTGAGATGCATGATTCTCCAGACTCTGCACACTCAGGAAATACAAGATAAAATTTCGTAGTTGCTTAATCAAGAAAATTTAGGAGGTAAGCCTCTTTCTAAATTAAACACATGCATTCCAAAAACAAGTTATTTTATTTTTTGCATTTTCTGTTTCAATCTCCTTCAGCAGAGAAGATAACATTTAGTTAGCTCTGAAATCTCAAATATATAATTTGTACAACATTTGAAAACTGAAGTTACATTTGATGCTGCATGAAGAAGCATTAAATTATAAGCCAATCACAATTTGAAGTGGTGTGTGATTCTCTTAGAATATTTGATTAAAAAATAGATGCAGGTGTAATCAATAATGCATGTATATTCAATCAGGAATCTTGATTTTTACTCAGTTATTTAATTAAAATTTCAGAAATTAACACATTTTTAAGTTCTGCTATGCTAAGAAACTGGTTATTTCTCCATAGATACCTATTTTTAATGTCCCTGAAAATGTTCTCCTAAGAAGAGAAACGTTAAAAAAAGTTTACCCTTTTTAAATATCCATGTCTCTGGGCTATAGCAATGGAGTGACGGCAAAACTGAATGTTCTGTTTGTTCTCTGCCTCTAGTGTTAGTCATGTTATTCAAGGGACAAGAAGCAAATATAACTAGAATGTAAAAGAGAAAAATACTCAGGCAAGAGAAAACTCAAGAGCACATAAAACCAATATTGGTAGAAAAGGCTTACACTCAATTTTCAGGTCAATTACCATATAGTTGATACTTACACAAAGTGAAGTGTGATGGATGGAAAATCTCTATTCTTTCCCATACTATAAATGCAGTCTATTTTAAGGAACTATTCCCTCCACATTCTATCCCTGCAATTTTGTTAAAAGAGGCCAATCACAATACTCTGCCCTCTGGTCTCTGGCTTGTGTAAATGTGAAAACTGGGTCACTTGAAGTTTCCAGCTTCTATTTTTTAACTACAGCTCAAGGAAAACAGATCCATTATTTTCTTTCTTTCATAAGGTTGTGATTCTAGAGATGTTTGTGGTAAGGTCTAGGCCCCTAGGAATAGCCATCTTGAGAAAAGAACCACAGAAAGGACAACAGAAAAGAAAGAAAGATATGTTCAAACTGAAAAAGAATGGTTGGCTTTTCATGAATAATGACGATCTGAATTCACATTCCTGACCCCACCCCAACCCCTCCTTTCTTTGCCAGGACGTTGCTTTTTTTGCCAGGACATTTCAACACATAAAATAACCCCATTAAATGAATCTATAGGAAATCCCTTTGCTGCCAAGACTTGAGCTCCTGAGAAGTAAAAGAAAAAAAAAAAGGCTTTCATTATTTGTGAGGATAGCAGAACCTGGAGTGAAGACCAAAAATTACACTACTTCCCTAAAATCGGTTAGATAAAAGGGGAGCTGTGCCTTCCCACCTGTCAAGTCCTGGAGGAGGTTGCACAATATTCTTGGTGCCAGTGGCCCAGGAAAGAGTCTCCCCTAGTGGGCTACACAGATAGTCCGTGTGGTTGGAAGAAGATAGTTCTCCCCAAGAGCACTTAGAAAAGTCTAAAACACTAAGCAGTCTCCATCACGTGCATACAGTCTTCATCACATGCATGCTTCAGTAAAAGGGGTCCCAATTTTTCAGCTGACTCTATACATTGTCTCATAAGGAAATGACTCCTATCTTCCAGTTCCTGCAGTTTTGCCAGTGACTAAAATACCCCCACATCCTAGCCCTATGCTAGGATGTGGGGTTATCTTAGGCATTAGCCAACAGGTACTGGTCAGTGACCAGTTGGGAACCAGGCTACACAGCAGGAAGTGAGTGACCGACGAGTGAAGCTGAGCTCAGCTTCCTGTTAGATGAGTGGGGTCATTAGATTCTCATAGGAGCCCGAACTGTATTATGAACCACTTATGCAAGCGGTCTAGGTTGCGCACTCCTTATGAGAATATAATGATAAATATAGTGTGCTTGAATCATCCTGAAACCATCCCTCCACCTCCCCGCTGTCCGTGGAAAAATTGTCTTCCATAAAACTGGCTCCTGGTGCCAAAAAGTTTGGGTACCGCTGTCCTAGCATATAGGGCAGTAGAGATAACTTAAACTCATAAGAAGGCAAAGAGAAGCAGTGATCCATTTTGAAAAACACTCACTAAAAAGAGGGAAAGAGACTTAATTGAATAATAAGAACAGGAAGTTTCTATTAAGGTAAAATAAATGAAAAAGATAAAAGCTTGAACAAAAAATACAGCTTTTCAAGAGGGTGCAATTAAAGCACAAAAAGAGCTTTCTGGAACCAAGGAAACATTATATTTGAATTACAAAATTTAGTACAGCAATAGAAAAACAGAACACTTGCTTTAGTTTTCTGAAAAAATAATGGAATAACTATCTAACAGGCCAACAACAGCAACAAAATGTGGAACTCACAAGGGAAAAGATCTAGAGTAGGGAAGAGAATTCTAATGCCTATAGGATCTTGGCATATAATATAATTTTGTGGATTAGTTTAGTAATAAGACAATAGGAAGGGGTATAGACTGTGACTGAAATGGAGACCCAATACCCTACTTAAGAGATATTTAAGTTTTTTTTTTTTTAAGCACTCAACTGGCCAAAAGTATAATTGTCTCCTGGTAAAAATCTGTAAAGTATATCACATTTTAAGACCAGTAATATAGAAGATTTAAATAAGTACAGTTCACACACACACAGAGTACTGTGTTTATATATATAGAACATATACTCATTATTTATAAAAATATTCATATATGTTTATATGTACTTAAAAGCATACATTTGAAACTATATTCTATATTGTCTAACCAAATCCAATAAACTGGAAATTAACAAACAAAAGTACTAAAAAAAAATTGAACAGCTTGAAAACACCCAGCCTAAGTTGAACCATATGAAACTGCTGATATTTGACATTTTAATCTATGTAAATAGTAATTCATATGGATCAACCTGATAAAACCCTTCATCAAGAAGGTAGGACATTCCCTTGTTTGACTTCAATTGGGAACATATGTGTTGGGTGGCCCAAATTTTACCTTGACAGTACTCTGTTTTTTAGGGTTGTAAATAAATATTAGTGAGTAAGCTCATACACACAGTCAAACCTCCTTATTTGTGGATTTTGTGGATTTTGGATATATATAGAGAGAGGGAGTAATGTTTATATCTTAATTAAATCAAGTTTATTTGTGTTCAAATCTTCTATGTAAATCACATTACTAACAGAACATTTTTTAAAACTACCATTATGATGATAAATTTATCTATTTTCTTATTTAATTTTGTCAATTTGTTCCTTATATAATTTGAAGGTGTGTTATTAGGTCCATACAAAACAGGTTTGTTATATCTTCCTGGTGAGATAACTCACAGTTATACTAAAAGCGGTCTCTATCTCTCTTGCCTAATGTTTACTTCGCTTATTCTGAGGCACATAAAACCAAAGGCATGATCTATGAAAAGAAGAATTGATAATCTATACCTCATTAAAATTAAAAATTTCTGCTCTGTGAAATACACTGTCCAGAGAATAAAAAGACAAACCACAGACTGGGAGAAAATATTTACAAAAGTTATAACTGATATGAATTGTTATCTGAAATATATCAAGAACACTTAAAACTCAGAAATAAGAAAACAAAAAACTTGAATAAAAAATGGGCCAAATACCTTTGGTAAGGGTAACAGACAGAAAGCCTGAGTGTTTACCAGGGCCTTTTATTCTGGGTAGATGCTGATTTTCAATATTTTTCCCAAACAATAAGCTGCTATAAACTTTGCTCCACTTCTCAGCTTCTCAACCATTGCTCTAGAATTGGCAAATGTCTCAAAATCTGACATTTCTGGGACATCCTTTCTCTATGAGATTTTATACTCTCCAGTCCTTGACACCTTTGTAACTATCTGATTTCATCAAATAGGATATTTTAAAATATTGTAGTTTTTAGAGTAATTTTAGATTCACAGAAAAATTAAGTAGGAAGTACAGACATTTCTCACATAGCCCCTAAACCCTCACATATATAGCCTCTCCCATTATGAACATTCCCCACTAGAGTGGCATATTTGTTACCATTGTGAACCTACATGGCACAGTATTATCATCCAAAGTTCATAGTTTACATCAGGGTTTATCCTTAGTGTTATTCATTCTATGGGTTTGGACCATGTAAAATGACATGTATCCACTACTATGATTATCATACCAAATATTTTCACTGCTCTAAAATGCTCTGTGTACCACCTCGCTCTTTCTCACCCTCAGCCACTACTTTCTCAGTAGTTCTGCCTTTTCCAGAATGTCATATGATTTAAATCATACAGATGTAGCCTTTTCATATTGACTTCTTTTCACTCAGTAATAACATTTAAGTTTTCTCCGTATCTTCTCATGGCTTGATAACTGATTTGCTTTTAGCTCTGATTAATATTCCATTGTCTATATTTACCGCATTTTATTTACACATTCACCCACTGAAGGACATCTTTGTTGCTTCCAAATTTTGGCAATATGAAGAAAGCTGCTATAAACATCCATGTGCATATTACTGTGTGGACATAAATTTTCAACCCCTTTGAGTAAATACTAAGGATCATGATTGCCAGATCATATAATAAGAATATATTTAGTTTTGTAAGAAACTGCCAAACTGTGTACTAAAGTGGCTGCATCATTTTTGCATTTCCACCAGGAATAAATGAGAGTTCTTATTGCTCCACATCTTCATCAGCATTTGGTGGTGTCAGTGTTCTGGATTTAGCCATCTTAATCGGTGTGTAGTGGCTTCTTATTGTTGTTTCAATTTCCATTTCCCTGGTGACATAAGATGCAAAATATTTATTCATGTGCTTATTTACCATCTATGTGCTTCTTTGGTAAGGTGTCTGTTACCCTTACCAAAGGTATTTGGCCCATTTTTTATTCAAGTTTTTTGTTTTCTTATTTCTGAATTTTAAGTGTTCTTGATATATTTTGGATAACAGTTCATATCAGTTATAATTTTTGTAAATATTTTCTCCCAGTCTTTGGTTTGTCTTTTTATTCTCTGGACAGTGTATTTCACAGAGCAGAAATTTTTAATTTTAATGAAGTACAGATTATCAATTCTTCTTTTCATAGATCATGCCTTTGGTTTTATATCTCAAAAGTCATTGTCAAACCCAACGTCACCTATATATTCTCCTATGCTATCTTCTAGGAGGCTTATAAGTTTGTGTTTTATGTTTAGGTCTGTAATCCATTTTGAGTTAATTTTTGTGAAGAGCATAAAAACATAGATTTATGTTTTTGCATGTCGATGCCCAGTTGTTCCAGCACCATTGTTAAAAAAATCTATCCTTATTCTATTGTATTATTCCCTTTGCTCCTTTATTGGAGATTGATTAGCTATGTTTAGTGGCTTTCTATTCCATTGATCTCTGTCTATTTTCTTCACGTATACCACGCTGTGTTGATTACTGCAGCTTTTTAGAAAGACTTGAAGTTGAGTAGTGTCAGTCCTCCAGCTTTGGTCTTCTCTTCTCTTTCAATATTGTGTTGGCTAATCTGGGTTTTCTACCTCTCCATATAAACTTTAGGATTAGATTTTTTATATCTACAAAAGTATTTGCTAAAGTTTTGATTGGAATTTCACTGAATCTACCATTCAGATCAAGTTGGAAAGAACTGAAATCTTGAAAGTATTGAATCTTCATATCCATGATTGTGGAATATTTCTTCATTTATTTAGTTTTTTTTTTATTTCTTTTAACAGAGTTTTGTAGTTTTCCTTATATAAATCTTGTACATATTTTGTTAGATTTATACCTAAGTATCTCATTTTTGTGGATGCTAATGTAAATAGTATTGTATTTTTAATTTCAAATTCCACTTGTTCAGGATAGACTGGATTAAGAAAATGTGGCACATATACACCATGGAATACTATGCAGCCATAAAAAATGATGAGTTCATGTCCTTTGCAGGGACATGGATGAAGCTGGAAACGATCAGTCTCAGCAAACTATCACAAGGACAAAAAACCAAACACAGCATGTTCTCACTCATAGGTGGGAATTGAACAATGAGAACACATGGACACAGGAGGGGGAACATCACACTCTGGGGACTGTTGTGGGGTGGCGGGAGGGGGAGGGATAGCATTAGGAGATATACCTAATGTTAAATAACGAGTTAATGGGTGCAGCACACCAACATGGCACATGTATACATATGTAACTAACTTGCATGTTGTGTACATGTACCCTAAAACTTAAAGTATAATAAAAAAAATTCCACTTGTTCATTACTGATATATAGAAAAGAGGTTGACTTTTGTATATTAGCCTTGTATCTATCCTGCATCCTTGCTATAATCATTTATTAGTTCCAGTAAGTTTTTTGTTGTTGTTGTTGATTCTTTTGAATTTCTACATAGACAATCATCAAATAGGTTTTAAAAAAATTGGGCCAGGTGCAGTGGCTTACACCTGTATAGGAATATTTAAAACAATAGGTTAGGCTGGGCACGGTGGCTCATGACTGTAATCCCAGCACTTTGGGAGGCCAAGGCAGGTGGATCACCTGAGGTCAGGAGTTCAAGACTAGCCTGGTCAACATGGTGAAACCCCGTCTCTACTAAAAATACAAAAAATTAGCTGGGCATGGTGGCAGGCACCTGTAATCCCAGCTACTGGGGAGGCTGAGGCAGAAGAATCGCTTGAACCTGGGAAGCAGAGGTTGCAATGAACCGAGATCATGCCATTGCACCTCCAGCCTGGGTGACAAGAGCAAAACTCCATCTCAAAAAAAAAATAAAAAAATTATTTTTTAACCTCCAGTTCTCAGTGGGAGATTTTCTCTGATATGAACCAATGACCAGAGCTGGGAATAGAAAGCCATTTTCAAGATATATTTGCCTAATTAATTTGTAGCATGAATTAAAGAAGATAATGGACATAAAATTCTCAGTGTAAACTTGGCTATGATACTCACTAAATAGCTGGTATCTTTTTCAAAATTATTCTTTCAGAACTTTGATTAAGATGAAAAGGAGAATAGCTGCATACCAGGGAAGGGGATTCAGTGGAGAGTTTTTAAGAGTCAAGGATACATGAATAATTGTATGTCCTCAAGATAAAATAACTTTATAGAAGGACAAAATGAAGTTACAAAGAGATATGTAGGAAATGTATGAAAGTTCTGAATCACAGAGATGAAATTTTAAAAATATATGTAACACCAGTTATATCTTAGAGTTCTGTCAATGGAAACTCAGACTGCCCATAAATAACTTTTATATCTGGAGAAAACTGGCTGATTATTATCTCTGAAGGGGTCAGGAAGAGTTATAATCTTGAGTAAAAATGAAGAAGTGTAGTTTTAGAAAGAACTGTGCATACTTCTTATACTGAAATAGGTAGGAGAAGTGCTTAACCTAAATAAATAAATAATAAATAGCTGAATTCCAGTTAATTTCTTGGACAATAACTTGATTGAACAAACAGTATAATCTTTACTCATTTACTTGCCAAAAAAAGGGACACAAGGAAATAGAGTAGTGTTTAGAAGCTTAACCTTTAGAAATACCAAGACCTGAGATTGAAACACAGGCAAATTTCTTACTTTTTCTATATCTCATTTTTTTCATTATTAGGGAGGAAAAAAAGTAGTATTCTTTACAAAAAAGAGTAGTATTCTTTACAGTGTACATTCTAGAATTGCTCTGAGAATTTCTCTGTGCCCTAGGATTTAATTTCCTGAACTATCCTACTTCAGTTTCTTTTTCTAATTCATTCCACAGCTTGTCCTCTCTCATTGAAATTATACTCTCATATCCCTTAGGTCTTTTCTGGTTTTCTCACTGTTTCAGGGCTAGAGTGTTCATGGAATCCACTGGGAAATATCCATTCTTGTCATGTCTCCTCAAACTTGATTCCAAGGACACTTCTATCTTTGAGTTTCTTTTGTGGGTGTTCTCACCCCAACCCAGTTTGGCCTGAGTATCTGTGTGGGTCACATATAACCAATATTCCTTTATTTATCTATCTTTGTCAGTTTTATCTTTTAAAATGTTTTGTCTATATCATATTTCTAGACTAATAATTCATGTATTAATAAAAGACAACTAATTAATAATCAGTATTTGTAATTACCATGAGACAAATAGCATAAAAGCATTCAAGTGGTGTAATCCTAATCAAAAGAAAGGAAACAAGGTGCTTGGTTTAAACTAGTAAGGCTCATAATATGGGTAGATAACTTAAGTTTGGAGCTTAAGTTTGGAGCTCTCCGTGGTAAAATACAGTCTTTATACTTGGAATTATTGGAATAGATGACCATAAAAAAAACTCTCACAAGTCTAAAAAGTGGGTATTTAATACTTATGATAACAATACCAAAAGAAAAAAAAATACAGATAGCACTACGATTTTATTGTTTGATCCTTGCCTTTCAGAAAGGCTTATAATATACTTGAAGTGACTAGATCTACAGAAAGATACATATTACATTGCTATAAAAACTTTTATGTCAAAAAGAGTATAAGACAAGTGTATTTAGAAAAACTATCCAGCAGGGGATCATGTAGCAGGTGAAGTGAGTATTGAAAGTGAGCTGAAATTAGGATAAGCAAAAACAGAGGGAAAATACAGTTATTTAAGGAGAAAAAGTGATGCCAGAAATAAATGAGCAAAACAAGGATTAGGATCTGACTAGGGGTCATTTTAAGACTGAGTTGTGCAAATATATTTGACCAGTGGATTTGCTACATAGAAATCACTCATTTAGTATTTGCCAAATGAACATGGAATGAATAAAATGCATTTCATTAGACTATCTGTTACTCCTCCTTACTGAAAGTTATTTATTAATTTTTTTATTGTTGTTATTGTTGGTTGCTCCCCTTCAAGTACTTGACTTCATGACTCACTGGCTTCTTTTCAATCCTTTTCTCATCTCTTTTTTTCTATTAAATCACTAGGTGAGCTCCTGCAGACTCCTGGCTTTAGATACCATCTTTATGCTGATGACTTCCAAATATTATTTCCAATCTGACCTCTTTGTCTCTCTCTGTCTGTGTGTGTGTGTGTGTGTGTGTGTGTGTTTACTACCTCCTTAGCATCTCCACTTGGATATCTGATATAGACTTTAAATTTGACATGTTCAAAAGAGAACTCTTGATTTTCATTTATCATTCCCACAAAAATTTTTTTCTCCCCCAGTCTTCTCCATTAGTAGAGAGTACTGCCATTCATCCAGCTGACAAATCCAAAAACCAAGGGGTTGTATTCAATACCTAATTCCCTTAAACTCCACAATCAATTTATTAGTGAATTCTGTTGACTCAATTTTCAACATGTATATAGAATCTGATAGTTTCTCATCATTTCCAACACTATTTTTCTATCTTCTCTAGACTAGAAGATTGCAGTAAACTTCCTAAATACTCTCTCTGTTTCTATTCGTATATGCTTCAGTCTCTATTTCTTATTTTACACATTATAGCCACAGTGATCCTTTTGCAATTAGAAGCAGATCAGTTCACTTCTGTAGCTCAAAACTTTTAATGGTTTTCCGTCTACTTAGGATAAAACTCAAACTCATTTTCTTGGCCTTAACCAAACAAAAGCCTGGCATGATCTGGCTCCTCTCCACCTTACAACTTTCCCCTTGCTTACTCAGTTCAGGTTCACTGGCCCTATCATGTTTTACTAACATACCACAAGTTGTTTACACACCTCTCATCTGCATCTTTAAATAGCATGCTCCTTTCACATGCTGGTCAAATCACTCCCTATTCAGGTATCCCTTTCCAAAGCAAATGATCTGAAACAGGACCCCTTATTGCTATGCATGTTCTCTACCTTCTTGCTGTGTTTATTTTTTGAACTATTATATAAACTTGTATTATCCCTTTTTATTTCATTTACTTATTACCTGTGTATCAAACCCTCATGGAGACTCTATCAAGGTCGGTGCTTCTGCTTTGCTCTCAACTGTGTTCCCAGCGTCTAGAACAGAACAATGTAAGTGCTTAGTAGATACATGTTCAATACATGAATAAGACTAAATATTGCTTATTTTCTTGTATATTATCTCCTTTGGTAAGTTGGGTAAGAGAGCTTTATCTGTAAAGCAATAAAGTAGGGTTAGTATAATCATTGAAATTGTATGCCCTAGAGTCCAACTGCTTGGATTTAAACAAATCCAAGCTCCTTCAGATGTGATCTTACATTATCTTGAATACTTGCTTAAGTTGCCTATGCCTTAGTTTTATTTCAATGTAAAAAAAAAGGACTAATAATGATGCCTGTATACAGAGTTGTAAGAATTAAATGAGGAACACATCCAAAGCATTTAGAACAGTGTCTGACATGCAGAAGCATTAAGTAGATGCTAGGTTTTATTTCCCCTTAATTTGTTTTATTCTAATTTGACATCCTCAAAGGTATGGTTACAGATATTCAGTATTTTTTTTTCAGATAGGGGACTCACTCTGTTGTCCAGACTGGAGTACAGTGGCACCACCACAGCTCACTGCAGCCTCAACATCCCCGGGCTCAAGCGATCCAACTGCCTCATCCTCCCAAGTAGCTGGGACTACAGACACACAACAGTACACCTGATTAATTTTTATTTTTAGTTTTTGTAGAGATGGGGTCTTCCTACATTGCCCAGACTGTTCTTGAACTCCTGGGCTCAAGCAATCCTTGCATCTCGGCTTCCCAAAGTGCTGGGATAACAGGTGTGAGCCACCATGCCTGGCCCATCATGCATATTAAAATCCCTCATTGAAAGGGAAGAGCACGTTTTTTTCTCTTTTTCCCTGACTTTTTCTCTGGCTGGGCCACTACTAAGCAATTATCACTGAAGTTATAACTCCTGCTCTTCCTATGAGGACATTCAGTGGATCCCTTGATTTGATACTTTATCCTTTTATTCACTTGGTTATGATATAAGTACATTAGAAGAATCTGGCTTCCTTTTTGCTAAATCCTGTTCTTCAGTTCATCTTATTATTTGGCCTTCATGAAGGTAATTTAATTCATAAGACAATTTGACAGGGCCAATACACATTCTTTTATCACATCCAACAGATTCAGATAATTGAATGCATTAAGCAAGGCTTTATCCTTAGAGTCAAGATTAATCCAATCCTCATACAGAAACTTTGTGATAGCAAAAACTTGCAAATCAGGTTAATTAAATTAGTAAAGTTTTAGAACCACAGCACTTTCTGTAGCATGTCAATCTACTAAAAATATTAAAAATTACTGGTTAACGGCTGGGCACGGTGGCTCACGCCTGTAATCCCAGCACTTTGGGAGGCCTAGGCGGGCAGATCACGAGGTCAGGAGATGGAGACCATCCTGGCTAATACCATGAAACCCCGTCTCTACTAAAACTACAAAAAAATTAGCCGGGCGTGGTGGTGGGCTCCTGTAGTCCCAGCTGCTCGGGAGGCTGAGGCAGGAGAATGGCGTGAACCTGGGAGGCAGAGCTTGCCGTGAGCCGAGATTGCACCACTGCACTCCAGCCTGGGTGACAGATTGAGACTCCATCTCAAAAAAAAAAAAAAAAAAAAAAAATTACTGGTTAACACATAGGACAATTTGAATAATTCATTAAGCATTGTGAAGGAAATGAAGATAAATAGGTTTATGAAATTTTTCTTCAAATACTTAACCTCTAGAAGGGAAAATATATAACTACATTTACAATAAAAGATAGAAAAAAATAGATACTTAAAGGAAATGTCTACAAAGTACTATAGGAGGTGAGCTGAAGCAACAATTATTTCTGAATGATTGCATTATGGGAAATTTCATTGATAGGTAATGTTTAAGGAGGTCCTTGAAGGAAAAATTATTTTGAGACATGAGAACATGATCTGGGAGAAGGAATAACATTCCAATATGGAGGAGCATCATAAGCAAACCCATCAAGGCTGAAAATTTTGGTACATATGTGAGGCAAAGGAAGAAGTTATTTGGACTGTAGCCTTTAAATGGATTCCTAAATAAATTTGGAAAAGTATGTTGGTATATATTATAGCATATTAGGAGGAAAGTTTTGGTTTCATAGTCAAAAGAAAATGACTGCAGTTGAGGAAAATTGGTCAAGAATAATACGTAAGGTGCTTGTATGTGGGAAAGACAGGAGGCAGAGTGACCAGAGAAGGGAGTATTCCTATCCCTAAGACAAAAGAGTTTGAACTAGGATTTAAGCAGTGACGATAGAAAACAAAGGAAATAGAAGTAAAATCAGTGAGTCTTAGAAACTGCTAACTTCTGTAGGGTGGGCTAAAGGAAAAGATGCAGTGATCCTGAGGGCTTAAGGCTGGGAAATGGAGTGTTGGCAAGGACACTTAAAGAGCGGCCATTTGGACAGGCGAGTGAAGAGTTGTTTTTTTACAGCCTGGGTTTGGGCATCAAGCATTCATCTAGACATACTTAATTGGTAGTAAGCTTCTGAGTCTGGTAACATAAAGCAATGGTTAAAGCTGAAGGGTCTTGAAGTCTGTAGGCAGTAAGAGCTGAATTAAGGATGAAAGTGATTCTCAAGGGAATGTGGAGAAGAAAAGCTAGAGACAATCCACAAGAAGCAACCACATATATGAAGCAATGGAGGAAGAGAAGACAAAGAAAGTAGTCAGATTATTTAGAGACAGAGAATACAGCCATTAGTTTTGTAAGTAACAATCGTCTGATTTCCACCTATGAGACATGTAGGAATCCTGTACCAATGGGGATTGGTGTGTGGAGCCAGAATGAACAATTCAAAACAAATCCTAGAAGGCCAATCTAGTTAGTCTTCTATCCAATCTGATGGGGTGAAACAGAAAATTATAATAGAAGGTAAGAGAAAATTGAAACCAATGACATCCAGTGAATACAGGAGGGCTCAGAGCCAGGTGATTAGTCTAGAAGCAGAGGTTTGTTTTAAAGGGAGTTTTACCATGAGCTTGGGCAAGAGGAAAATCCCTAAGTACATAGTCCTGATCTGGATGGTGGTGAATAATCTGATTATAGATAGAGAATACCACCATTTTAATCACATTTTTTTCCACTTGTGACCTCAGCTTCAGCCCAGGGTTTGTCTAAGGCCAAGTACATGGCTGGGAAATCAGGAGATGTGATGAGGTGGTCCAATAAAAAAACATTTGAATGAGGGTTCAAACACTTTCTGAAGAACATCCCAAACTGCATTAACTGCAGGAGTTCATATGGAAACAAGTATGCTTGGAAAATTATTGGCCCGAGGGAAGACTTTCTGCAAGACTGAGGAGCCTTCTGGGGAAGAACTCACCCCAAGTGAAGAAGCAGCCTATAAATAGATGCTATACACTTTAGTGGTTGAAGGCAAGTCGTGATTCAAAGCACAAAATCATAAATAAAAGAGTGATTTTACAAAAATCTCTTAAAATAGTCAAGCTCAATAAATACTTTAAAGGACTATGCCCAAAGTGAAGGAAGGAATTGCCTTCCACCTCTTAGATACATAAAGTGGGCAGCATGACAGCTCTAGCACATCAGAGCTGGTGCTCTGTAGGGGTGATACTGGGTCAGAGGAGAGGTTGTGGAGCACTGTGGGCCAGTGGCAGTAATTGCAGTTCCTATAGGAGCAGCAAGGGTTCAATGGAAGTGGGTTTATTTGTGAATACATGTGCAACACTTGTACAATATTCAATACTAAAAGCTGCCCTCCCCCAATCCCAAATTCTAATGTGTATATGTGTATGTGCATGCTCACACACATGTGATCTCATGGGTTTATTACATAATCATTTCAAAAATAGATACAGATGCAGCTTCATGTAGTAGAATCGATACATCAGTGAAATTTGAATTATTTCCATTAATGTGCCGGGTTTGCCACACAGATTGGTAAATTACATGTACAATTAAATAAATGTTCTCAGATTTTCCAACAACTCCTGATACACAGTGGAACTAGGTTATAAATGATGATAACTGCCTTTTAAAAAATATATGAACTATAGCTGCAGCTGCTGTAAGGATTCTGGAGGGGTTTGCAACTACCCACTCATTTCCTAAACTAACTATTTGGCTAAAGTTTCAAATTCAGAGAGTTTGCTCTAGCTGTCATCTTGAGTTTGTCTCTGATATTGCATTATCTTTAGTTCAATGAAACCTCTAAATCACAATCCTTTTTGCTTAGATCAAATTGGACTTCCAGGAATTATGTGTAAAACAGACATAGCATATAAGCATTATATAACTATAAATTATGATTCAATGCATGTATTTATTACATACACAATTCAATACATGGCACACAAATAAAAATAATTTGAGAACCTCCTGATATCTTCAGGCCACTGGCAGTCCTACTCCTAAAAATAAAAATAGATTATTTTTAGGGAAAGAGGTTAGAACAGCTACAGGAAGTAATTTATGAAGAAAATAGTTTAAAGTGGAGTGGACTACCTCCAGAAGGCAATTAAGCATTTGTTCAGTGACTTTTGAAGTGACCTGCTTGTTTTGCCCTTTTTCAGATGAGAAGAGAACAGCAATCACACTATCCACTACATCCTTTGTAAACTTTTCTGTGGTTGGCTTTGTAAAAGTTATCTGGCCTGTGTAAAGAATCAGGAGGCCAGGCATGGTGGCACACCTGAAGTCCCAGCTACTTGGGGGTGCTGAGGTGAGAGGATCACTTGAGCCCAGGAGTTCAAGACCAGTCTGGGTAATATAGCAAGACCCTCGACAATATAACCAAGAGGACATAAAACTAAGAAAGTATGAATCTAAGTTAATGTGTCCCTATGTGTATCCCTGAGAACACTAGTGTCAGATGCTAATTTGGATATTCTTGCAAATCGGTTTCATGGTCAAATATATGTGAGAAATAAAGTGAGTCATATTTATTTACTGAAGCTTTTTTTCAGAGTCTTTCATATGCTAATTGTTAATAGACTTTAAGGGTACAATATGGAGAGTTCCAAAGCTTTGGCAATTTCAATCTTTGTTTTATAAATTGTAAATTAACAAAATATAGTTGTATATGTTTATGGGGTACAAAGTGATATTATGTTTATGAATGCAATATGGAATAATTAAATCAAGCTAATTAACGTATTTGTTACCTTAATTTTTTTTTTTCGTGAGAAAAAGTACTCTCTCAGCAGCTGGAATGTGCAATCTAACATATACACCATGGAATACTATGCAGTCATAAAAAAATGAGTTCATGTCCTTTGCAGGGACATGGATGAAGGTCAAAGCCATCATTCTCAGCAAACTAATGCAGGAACAGAAAACCAAACACTGCATGTTCTCACTCATAAGTGAGAGTTGAACAATGAGAACACTTAGACACAGGGAGGGGAACATCACATACCGAAGCCTGTCGGGAAGAGGTGGGAGGCAACAGGAGGGAGAGCATTAGGACAAATACCTAAAGTATGAGAGGCTTAAAACCTAGATGATGGCTTGATAGGTGCAGCAAACCACCATGGCACATACATACTTATGTAACAAACCTGCACATTCTGCAAATGTGTCCCAAAACTTAAAGAAAAAAAAAGAAATATACCTTTGTAAAACAAAAAATGTGCAATCCACTATGATTTACTACATTCACCCCCACTGCATAATATGTCTCAAAGAAAAATTTTATTCTTTCTGTCTAATTGAAGTTGTGTATCCTTTGGCTATAATTTCCCCATTCCCACCACTCCTCCCACTCCCCCATTGCCCGCCTCTGGTAACCACCTTTCTGCTTTCTGCTTACTCTAAGTGCTACTGCTTTAGATACCACATATAAGTGAGAACATATTTGTCTTTCTGTTCCTGGTTTTTTTCACTTAGCATAATGTTCTCCAATTTTATCCATGTTCTTGCAAAGGACAGAATTTATTTCTTTTTAAGATTGAATGGTATTCCACTTTGTATATATGGTACTTTTTTATATTTATCTGCTGATGGACATTTAGGTTGATTCCATATCTTGACAGTTGTGATTAATGCTACAGTGAACATGAGAGTACAAACATCTCTTTGACACTCTGATCTCAAATCTTTTGGGTTAAGACCCAGAAATGGGGTTGCTAGATCATATAGTATATCTATTTTTAGTTTTTTGAAAAACCTTCATACAGTTTCCTATAATGGCTATACTAATTTACATTCCCACCAGCAGTGTGCAAAAGCTCCCTTTCTCCACATTCTTGCCAACACTTTGCCTTTTGTCTTTTTAACAATAGCCATTCTGACAGGTATGAGATGATATATCATTGTGGTTTTAATTCTCATTTTTCTAATCATTAGTGACTTTGAGCATTTTTTCATATATTTGTTAGCCATTTGCATATCTTCTTTTGAGTAAGATCTATTCTGGTCCTTTACCCATTTTTAAATCAGGTTATTTGTTTTCTTCCTCTGAAGAGTTCAGTTCCAATGAGAACACATGGACATAGGGAGGGGAACAACACACACTGGGGCCTGTTGTGGGGGATGTGGGGAGGGAGAGCATAAAGATAAATACCTAATGCATGTGGGTCTTAATACCTAGGTGATGGGTTGATAGGTGCAGCAAACCACCATGGCACACGTTTACCTATGTAACAAACTTGCACGGTCCTGCACGTGTATCCCAGAACTTAACATAAAATTAAATTAAAATTTTTTATAGAAGAGTTGAATTCCTTATATGTTTTGGATACTAACCCCTTATCAGATAAATATAGCTTACAAATATTTTCTCACAAATATATCTGTTCACTCTGTTGAGTGTTTCCTTTGTTGTGCAGAAGTTTTTTATCTTGATATAATCTTGTCTATTTTTACTATTGTTGCCTGCACTTTTGCTATCAAATTCCAAAAAATAATTTCCCAGACCAATACGTAGTTTTTCCCCTATGTTTTCTTCCAGTAGTTTTACAGTTTCTGATCTTACATTTAAGTTTTAAATCCATTTTGAGTTGATTATTGTACACGATGTGAGGTAAAGGTCCAATTTTATTCTTCTGCATATGGATATCCAGTTTTTCCAGCATGATTTATTGAACGGACTGGCCTTTTCTCATTGTGTATTCTTGGTACCCTTGTCAAAAATCAGCTAGCCATACACGTGTGTACATGCACCTACATGACCATACATGCCTGACAGTGCTGGTTTAATTACTATATCTTTGTAGCATATTTTGAAGTCATGTAATATGATGTCTCCAACTTTGTTCTTTTTGCTCATGGTTGCCTTGGCAATTTGCTTCTTTTGCGGTTCCATATAAATACTAGGATTGTTTTTCTATTTCTCTGAAAAATGACATTGAAATTCTAATAGGAATTACAATGAATCTGTAGATTATTTTGTGTTGTATTGGCATTTTAGCAAAATTAATTTTTTCTAATTCATGAACATGAGCTATCTGTCCATTTATTAGTGTCGTCTTCAATGTCTTTCATTAAACACATTATAGCTTTTAGTGTACAGGTCTTTCACCTCCTTGGTTTATAGAACATTTCAAGGAACTAGTTTTCCACAGAATAGTTTGAGAAATGTTCCTCTAATTAGATGTAAATTACCTTGCAGAGAAGGCTGCCTGCTGTTCTTTAATTCCACCCCCCAAAAATCTTTAATCAGAGTGCAAGAGTGGAGAATGGTAGGAAGATAGAAAATTTTACAAAGTAAAATGGGTAACATTGAAATTTAACTAAAAGAGAGCACTAAAATTCAGGAATGTTCAGAGATGAAGAAATTTACTATAAATAGATGCCATATACACAGTAGGTATGCAATAATACTTGTTGATAGAATATATAAAATTGTACAATGCTCAAATATTGTTTATAGGATCTTATTCATTGGAACTTGTAAATATTATTTCTGTTGTCTATTTATAGAAAAAGTAGAATTAAATATCCAATTTACAGATTGTAAAATTAAGACTGATAAAAAGCTGTGTAGATCATGAATCAAAATGAATTATGAATGAACACAGTGGCAGATAATGTTATTGAGTATTCTTGAAAATGGGTTTTATGGTAAACAGAGACAGAATAAAAAAGAGTTTTCTCCTTCTGATAACTTTATTTTATAGGGCTTTCCAATCTCTTCATATTGGTTGTTCACATTCTCCTCTGAGAGATAGCTTCATTATTTTCCAATGAACTAGCTTATATAAATTGGATGTTTTTGTTACCTGCAACCAGAATATCTTTAATTAAGACAGAGCTGTGATGGATAAACATGTCACCTCCTTTTCTTATTAAGAAAGGTCTCTTAAGGACACAGCTGAATGACTATAGTTGTTGCTTTCCAGGCACTGTAGCAGACTGGCAGGAGGGCATCTTGAGGCTTTTCGAATTTCACTGTGTAGGCAGCTGTCTTTTCCGTTTCCACCTAAGTCTGCTGAGGATTATAAAGAATCAGATCCAGGCAGTCCTCAAGCTGCATAAAGGGCATATAGGGTAAACATGACCAAATATGCCCTTCCAGAACTCAGATTACATATGTGAGCCTATAACATCCATATTTTTTATGGTCCTTCTGTCTTCCTCTGCACAGCTTACAGAGCCCCTGAAATTGTGATCTCATCCCCAAAGCTAAGACAGTCTCCTGTGCTGAAGTGTATTTTAAAATATTTTAAGCATAACTACTAATTGTTGAGGAAATGGTTAGGCAAGAGATGCCATGGGCATCTCAGGAGACTCAGGATTCTAGAAAACAATGGATCCAAGGAAACCTCAGGCGTGGGCAGGAGACAGAGAGTAATCTGGATGTATACGTAAAGCGCCCACACTTCAGGACTTCCAGTTATTTTCTGTTGGGTACTTCCATGAGGATGGAGGTCATTCACTGGTGTCTATTGAGGCCAGGGCCCTAGATTTGCAGGCCACATCATGGACTTTTCTTCCTTCTGAAGTCCAGAATTGAATGCCCTAATCAATGATGCGTACTGCCTCCTGACATCTCTGTATTGTACTTTACTTCTGTATGTAGGCTTATTTAGCTTCCTGTACATAGGCTTATTCTCTCAGAATCAAATTATGAGAAGAAAATGTGTTCATCAAGTTTCTTTTAAGAGATAATCGGGTCAGAATTTTGTCCCAGGCTACTGATCAATTAGATATTAAATGTTTTAATATATTAAAATAATATAACACATAACTTACCTCATGCACATTTTAAGTGCTATCCTGTCTCCAAAATTATTGCTTCCCCTTTTTTCGCCCTCTCACACCCATGTTCTCCCCTTATTCAGCCTCAGATACCCCTGAGAAGCTCACCTGTTGCCAAAGGCCATTTGGTAAGAGAGATTAAAGAAAACATGGCCACACAGGGGGTCCCTGCGCCTCTCTTTCTCCCTTCATCTGTGGATTTGGGAAGTATTTTATGAACTCTTAATTTTATTTTTTTTCTTTTTAGTATTAGATACCTTGTTTGGTACTTTATTAATGTTAATCAGAGACTCTGACAGATTGTTATTAGATCCTCCTTGGTGCCAAGCACTGAGTTAGCACGTGAACAAATAACTGAACCCAGAAGTATTACAAAGGAACAGAGAGAAATATGTTACAAAGTAAAATTGAGCATCGTTATTAACATTGTCTCTTGCACAGAAATAATTTATACACTTTTTATTTCATTGACAGGGAAAACAAGAGAAGGGGAAGAGAGCAGAGTTTAAAAGCAATTTTATATCTTTAGACAAATGGTATCTTTTCTTTCAGAATCATCTGACCTCTGCCCTGTTTTCTCTGTCTCAACAATGAAATTGCTTTGCACTTCTCTTTAGCCAGATGCCACAGAAAGGAACTAATTCAATAGTCATTGCAAAGGGAAAGGATTTGCACTACTTAGCTTGACAGCCAGTTACATGTAAATAGGTCAGAAAACTTCAGCAAAACTTGAGCAAGCCCCAAACATCAATGGACATATCACTGTGCTGGGAGGAAATGAAGACTGTGGGGTGTTGGGAGGAGAGAGTTCCAGAAAGGGAATGTAGCCTGATAATTTAATTCAGAACTGCATTTTTCATGGCAGTTCATGAATGAAGCAAATGTAAGGCAGTGCTGGGCATGTCAGAAGGAGATAGCAGTAAGAAAGTATAAGAGAAGGAGCATTTATTGAATATCAAGGCTCTTCAAGAAAATCTTAACTGAAGTTTGTCACCTAAGCTGTGAAACTCTGATGAAGAAAACAGAATTTAAACCCTCTGAAATGGTAACTTTTTTTCCAATAGAATATTATGAATGTTGAAAGAGAAAGTAGCCAATGAAAATGTTTTAAATAAATGATGAATTTTCAGCATATGTGATAAAATGCTTTAGAATTTTTTTATTTTAGAATAGAGGGCTACTTATCAAAGCCTGCTTTTTATGGTCCAGCAAGTTCATTGCATCAAAATGGAGGAAAGTGATTTAATAATCCTAGATTTAATCATTTTGTTCCCTTTTAATTTGCTTTGACCCATTTTGGAATTCTTTGACTATTTTCATCAAACTCCTATTTTATGTTGTAATATAAGGAAGCTCTAAGCACGTAATCCTACTGGGTAGAAAAATAAGTGAGTGAAGAAGAAAAGACAGTAATAATTTCAAGAGAGAAAAAAATTGAAGGAGTAAACAGGTAGGAAATTGCTCCAAAGGCTGGTAACTTTATGTGATGTTCAAGCATTGTGTGAAGAGTTTGAGAACAATATTGAAGAATGCAACATGAGAAATACAGAAGTCAAGTTATCTGCCTCTGGCAGTGGGAGAGTTATAGAACCTTGGACTGAAAACATCTTTACAAAAATTACAATTGAGAAGATTATTACAGTGAAAGAGATCTGATCTAACCAACCCCCAACTTGCCTTTAACCTCCAGATTGCCTTTGGTCATTCCTGGGCTTGGGCCAAGCTAACGTGGGAGAAAATTTAGCCTATACTTTAAATGATAATAGCCCTTCCCCAAAACTAAACCACTTTTATAAAACTAATGAAAGGCCACCAGATTAGGAGGATGAGAGGAGCCTGAATTCTGCTAATATATAGCATAGATAAATGATTACCAGCCATTATTCTAGAGGTAACAAGATTTGGAACTTCCCTAATTCACTATTGTAGAACTTAAGATTGGCCTTTTGAGATGCCTTCTCAGGCTTTTGCATTTCTGACAATCAGATGGCCCTACCTGGACTCTCAACCAGTCCTGTGGCCCCCAGTTGGAAGCAAACTCACTGTATGAGGGCCATTTTCCCCACACCATGATGGCATCCCCTACCAATCAGCAGTACCCATTTCCCTGGCTTCTGCCCACCAAACTAGCCTCAAAAAACCCTGGCCTCCAAATTTTCAGGGAGATCAATTTGAGTAATAACTTTATATCTCCCACATCTCAATTAAACTCTTTCTTTATTATGATGCCATGGTCTCAGTAAATTGGTTTTGTCTGTGCAGTGGACAGGAAGAACTCATCAGTGATTACAGCACTTGTTAAAAATCAATTAGATCAGAGGCTATAGCTGGCTGTCTACAGATATGTTGAATTTAATCCTCAGATATCTTTGACGTTTTTCTGAATGTGAATGTCTCTAGACAGAATAGATGTGCTCCAATTCCAGCCCCACCAGCACTTACAATTCCATACCTAGCTGGCTGTTTCACTTACTTTTATAACCTGTTCTCTGAAGACATTTGAATTTGTGATTCTTGATCTATCCCAACCCTGTCATTTTTAAATTGAAATAAACAATGGCTAGTGAGAACAAGTGCTTCTCAAGATTGCCCAAATGGAAGCAACATGAGAAGTAGACAACTAGTGACCTAACTTTCTGTGTACTTGGGTGTGAGTATAACAGGTCCACAATCCTCCTTCAACAATTCTTTAAACTTTTTTTTTTCTTTTTTTTTTGTAACACACTTAGGATAGCAACAGGAAGCAGCCAAATGCCTAGGCAGATAGGGGTGGGTCCCCTGTGAAACACCACCTTCAAACCAAAAAAACAGCCTGAAGGCAGAAAGAATGGACTACTGGTCCCAGATGAAACCCACGACACAGAATGAGAACTTCTGTTCCTGTTTGCCTGCCCTTCTCCTATTCTGAGCCCATAAAAGCCCTGGACTCAGCCATATTATGGGGACTTTCCCACCTTTGGGTGGGGGACCACCCCCATGTCCCCTCTCTGCTGAAAGCTGTTTTATCACTCAATAAAACTCCTGCCTTGATCACTTTTTGATTGTCAGTGCATCCTCATTCTTCTTGGGTGTGGGACAAGAACTCAGGAACGGTGCATAGGCCAGACTTGGCCTGGGTGGGCTGATTGGGCAAGGCACCTCCTGCGGCCAGTAGCATACCCCAAGCAAGGCCAGAGGTCCCCAACTGGCAAAGGGACCGAGAAAAATCCTGCATCATTTAGACACAAACCTATCTTGAACAGATGCTGCCTATTAGTGAAAATACTCATATCTCACTGCAAAAATTTATATATAATGAATTTTGGGAGTAGGTATGCTTAAATATAATATTGATGGTGTTATACTTTTCTAAAATCTTTAAGTGATGTACTTTTGAAGTAATTCTAGCACCAAAGTTTAAAGTAGAAGGCTTGCACTAGACACACAACACAGAAAATTGAAAGCCAAAGGGATGAGTTAAAATTCATTTTTTCCCCAAAACTGTAAGGATAGATTCAGCAACTAATATATATCATATATTCTACTAGGCTCTAGACTGGGTGAAGAACTCATTTGTAAATTATTTTTGTTGGCTTAAGAAGTTACTTAAGTTCATGGTTTGAATACAGAGGTATAATGATTGACCAAACTTTTTACCTGTAGTTATTTAAAATATGAAATTTAAATTTTGAGTTACTTTTCCATCACCGTTAGATTTTTCTCAGAAAAATAAAAATTAGAAAAATTTCTGAGTACAATATGATATTAGATGGCATACGCAAGAGTGATTATTAGCTGTCAAGATCTCCCATAGACCTAAGATGATTTTCTGCCACAGGTGGAAGTTGTATAAATCATTACCAACATTTATATGTCACATAATAGTTAAACTTCTATTGCTTCTGTGAAGTATATTCAAAAAATGAAACAAGAAACAAGTACAAATAAAAAGCTCTGGAGATCTGGATGGAAAGAGGGCTTTTGTATATCTAGTGATAAGTGGGCTGGGCCATTTCCAGTTTGTGGAAAGAGTATTTTCTGGTAGCTTGGAAAGGCGAATATGATGTGTCACTAATCAGTGGCCTCTGCGATTGAGGATAACAGATGCCTGAAATAGAGGAACTGTGGTAACAGAGTAAGAGACAGAATGATACATGGAAAAATCTATTTCTCTCTTTTTCTTGATTACACAGAAGTAGTTCTTGATCATACAGCTCTTGAAACTTAAAAAAGGACATCATCAGAATAACCAAACGGGTGTTACTGATTTGGTCATTGATGGGCCAAGAAGTGAATGTGGGGATTCAATCCAAGGATGAGCAGTTTGTTTTTTTGTTTTGTTTTGTTTTTTTTGTTTTTTGTTATTTTTTTTTTTTTGAGACCGAGTCTCACCCTGTTGCCCAGGCTGGAGTGCAGTGGCGCGATCTCAGCTCACTGCAAGGTCCACTTCCCGGGTTCAGGCCATTCTCCTGCCTCAGCCTTACGAGTAGCCGGGACTACAGGCGTCCGCAGGATGAGCAGCTTTTTTTCATATATGGTTGAGAGTTTCAGAATCTTTTGACAGCTCCATGGAGAAAAAATCAGAAAAGAGGCCAGGCTCATGGCTGTAATCCCAGCACTTTGGGAGGCCTAGGTGGGCGGATCACCTGAGGTCAGGAGCTGAAGACCAGCCTGGCTAACCTGATGAAACCCCGTCTCTACTAAAAATACAAAACTTAGCTGGGCATGGTGGTGCATGCCTGTAGTCCCAGCTACTTGGGAGGCTGAAGCAGAAGAATAGCTTGACCCGGGAGGTGGAGGTTACAGTGAGCTGAGATTGTGCCTCTGCACTCCAGTCTGGGTGAGACTCTGTTTCAAAAAAAACAAAAAAAAAAAAACAAAAAAAAAACGGGCCAGGCACGGTGGCTCACGCCTGTAACCCCAGCACTTTGAGAGGTTGAGGAGGGTGAATCATGAAGTCAGGAGCTCAAAACAAGCCTGGCCAACAACGTGAAAACCCGTCTCTACTAAAAATGCAAAAATTGGCCGGGTGCAGTGGCTCACGCCTGTAATCCCAGCACTTTGGGAGGCCGAGGCGGGCGGATCACGAGATCAAGAGATCGAGACCATCCTCGCTAACACTGTGAAACCCCGTCTCCACTAAAAATACAAAAAAAAAAATTAGCCGGGCATGGTGGCAGGTGCCTGTAGTCCCATCTACTAGGGAGGGTGAGGCAGGAGAATGGCATGAACCCGGGAGGCGGAGCTTGCAGTGAGCCGAGATCACACCACTGTACTCCAGCCTGGGCGACAGAGCGACACTCCGTCTCAAAAAAAAAAAAAAAAATGCAAGAATTAGCCAGGTGTGGTGGTGGACGACTGTAATCCCAGCTACTCAGGAGGCTGAGGCAGGAGAATTGCTTGAACCTGGGCAGCAGAGGTTGCAGTGAGCTGAGATTGTGCCACTGTACTCCAACCTTGGCGACAAAGTGAGACTCCGTCTTAAAAAAAAAAAAAAAAAAAAAAAAAATTCAGAAAAGAAAGCAGAGCCACTAATTCAATCATTCAACACGTGTGTGTGTGTGTGTGCGTGTGTGTGTGTGCATGTGTGTGTGTGTGTGTGTGTCTGTGTGTGTGTGTGTACCAGGGGGTTACCTGCTATGTGCCAGGCCATCATGAAGTCTCATTTTCACAGTGATCCTAGTTGGCTACAGTTTTCAATTTCAGACAAGAGATATGTGGAAGCAAGAGAAATTATGGTGAATATCAAGTTATTAATCTTCTTTTATAGCAATTAATTACATATGGAATATGCATTTCCCAGAACCCAGAAGCAGGGCATTATATGCCATTTGTGAGAAATAGTTTAAAATTAAAAACTCAATAGAGCTGTTACCCTTAGTATGAAAACTTTACTAATAAAATTGATTTTTGAGATTCTTATGAAGAGATAATGGGTAGTTTTCCTTAAATAAGCAAATGAGTATAATTTTCCTTTCCAACTAATTTTTCAAGAAGTAGAACTTTAATGCATTTGTAGAAGACTTTAAAGTTATACTTTATAAGTTAAAAAAGAAAAAAAACTGATGCCATTAGGATGCTGATTATTTTATCAATAGTACTATAAATTCTGCCCTCCTGAGGAGAATTAAAATAGTCATTCCAGATTGCCCTTTTAGGAAATCATAATATATGTTCCCTATGGAGCTAGGGAAAGATGTCCAACCCCATGAAAATCCCCTAGAATTAAAAATATTTTTTCCTAGTGGCATATTGCTTTTAATATGTTATGGCCTTTGGAGTGGAGTAGCAGAAGTATCTTTCTTTCCTTCCTTGCTTTTTGTTATTGTTGTTTCTAGATAGTAATGAGTCTACTTAAATGAAACAAAGACATAAAATAGAAATCATTATTCACAGAAGCAACACTGTGTAAATTTAATGCATATCTTTTTTAAAAGGAATTTAATATGGACTCTAAAAAATTCCCTAGAGATAAACAGAACTCTGTCTTTTCCCCATTCTAGCTGTCAGAAAGAGCAGTAGGTGAAAGCAGACTGATTTCAGTTTAATTTGCTGTGTCCTCTGCAGGATAATGGTAGTCATTTGCAATTAGAAAGACCACTGATATTTTCTACTCTACTAACTCTAAAAGGTGAGCCTGGCTAGAATTAATATAATTTCATTGAGAGAAGCTTGTATCAAATTATTGACATAAATAGCAGATAGAGGTTACAAAGTTTCTAATTAGGACTAGAAAGGACTTGGCCAGGTGTGGTGGCCCATACCTATAATTCCAGCACTTTGGGAGGCCGAGGTGAGTAGATCACTTGAGGCCAGGTGTTCAAAACCAGCCTGGCCAACATGGGGAAACCCTGTCTCTACTAAAAATACAAAAATTAGCCAGGCTTGGTGGCGTGTGTCTCTAGTCCCAGCTACTCAAGGGGCTGAGGCATGAGAATCGCTTGAACCTGGGAGGCAGAGGTTGCAGTGAGCCAAGATCGCACCACAGAACTCCAGCCTGGGTGACAGGGTGAGACCCTGTCTCATAAGAAAAAAAAGAAAGAAAAAAAGAAAAGACTCTGTCATTTTACCCATGTAGAATTTCCTTCTGCTGTGTTTCTATCAGATAATGGTACAGATTCAATCAATTTATTCAATATATGAATGCACACTTTTTTGGGAGCGTGGGAACACTGTTGAGTGCTAGAAAGTTCTTCCTGTATTGAACTGAAATGTCATTTTTAATAACATGTTCCATTTCTGGTTTTGGAAGAAAGCAGAGCAAGTCACACTCTTCTGAGAATACTTGAAAATGGCAATCAAACAACGCTCAGTTCTTTCCTTCTTTATGCTAAACTGCCTTATTTGTTTACATTTTCCTTACAGTATCCGGGTCTCAAAGCCTCCTCACCTTCCTTGGTTTCCTTCTGGATTTACATTAATTAGTGTGTCATAATAATGGGAGACTTTAACACCCCACTGTCAACATAAGACAGATCAACGAGACAGAAAGTTTACAAGGATACACAGCAATTGAACTCAGCTCTGCACCAAGCAGACCTAATAGACATCTACAGAACTCTCCACCCCAAATCAACAGAATATACATTCTTTTCAGCACCACACCGCACCTACCCCAAAATTGACCACATAGTTGGAAGTAAAGCACTCCTCAGCAAATGTAAGAGAACAGAAATTATAACAAACTGTCTGTCAGACCACAGTGCAATCAAACTAGAACTCAGGATTAAGAAACTCACTCAAAACCGCTCAACTACATGGAAACTGAACAACCTGCTCCTGAATGACTACTGGGTAAATAATGAAATGAAGGCAGAAATAAAGATGTTCTTTGAAACCAACGAGAACAAAGACACAACATACCAGAATCTCTGGGACACATTCAAAGCAGTGTATAGAGGGAAATTTACAGCACTAAATGCCCACAAGAGAAAGCAGGAAAGATCCAAAATTGACACCCTAACATCACAATTAAAAGAACTAGAAAAGCAAGAGCAAACACATTTAAAAGCTAGCAGAAGGCAAGAAATAACTAAGATCAGAGCAGAACTGAAGGAAATAGAGACACAAAAAACCCTTCAAAAAATTAATGAATCCAGGAGCTGGTTTTTTGAAAAGATCAACAAAATTGATAGACCACTAGCAAGACTAATAAAGAAGAAAGGAGAGAAGAATCAAATAGACGCAATACAAAATGATAAAGGGGATATCACCACTGATCCCACAGAAATACAAACTACCATCAGAGAATACTATAAACACCTCTACGCAAATAAACTAGAAAATCTAGAAGAAATGGATAAATTCCTCGACACAAACATCCTCCCAAGACTAAACCAGGAAGATGTTGATTCTCTGAATAGACCAATAACAGGCTCTGAAATTGAGACAATAATCAATAGCTTACCAATCAAAAAAAGTCCAGGACCAGATGGATTCACAGCCGAATTCTACCAGAGGTACAAAGAGGAGCTGGTACCATTCCTTCTGAAACTATTCCAATCAATAGAAAAAGAGGGAATCCTGCCTAACTCATTTTATGAGGCCAGCATCATCCTCATACCAAAGCCTGGCAAAGACATAACCAAAAAAGAGAATTTTAGACCACTATCCTTGATGAATAATCGATGGAAAAATCCTCAATAAAATACTGGCAAACCGAATGCAGCAGCACATCAAAAAGCTTATCCATCATGATCAAGTGGGCTTCATCCCTGGGATGCAAGCTGGTTCAACATACACAAATCAATAAATGTAATCCAGCATATAAACAGAACCAAAGAAAAAAACCACATGATTATCTCAATAGATGCAGAAAAGGCCTCTGACAAAATTCAACAACGCTTCATGCTAAAAACTCTCAATAAATTAGGTATTGATGGGGCGTATCTCAAAATAATAAGAGCTATCTATGACAAACCCACAGCCAATATCATACTGAATGGGCAAAAACTGGAAGCATTCCCTTTGAAAACTGGCACAAGACAGGGATGCCCTCTCTCACCACTCCTATTCAACATAGTGTTGGAAGTTCTGGCCAGGGCAATCAGGCAGGAGAAGGAAATAAAGGGTATTCAATTAGGAAAAGAGGAAGTCAAATTGTCCCTGTTTGCAGATGACATGATTGTATATCTAGAAAACCCCATTGTCTCAGCCCAAAATCTCCTCAAGCTGATAAGCAACTTCAGCAAAATCTCAGAATACAAAATCAATGTACAAAATTACATTAATTAGTGTGTCAGGGCCTCATCTAAATCATTTAATGTTTCTCTTAAGTTGAAAATAATTTCAGTTCTGGCATGATAAGATCTTCTTGCATGTACATGTCTATGTGTGCAAAATATTTTAAGTGACTAAATCCTTTAGGAAACAAAGTTGAATATGACGAAATAGAGACATAGCACTGTGGTTTGAATGTATTTTCCTTCAAAAACTTATGTTGAAATTTTATTGCCATTGTTAGAGTATTAAGAGGTGGAATTTTAGAGAGGTAATTAGGCCATGAGGCCTCCACCCTCATGGGTAGGATTAATGACATTATAAAAAGGGAAGTTTGGCCCCATTTTGCCTCTTTGCCTATCTGCCTTCTGCCATGTGATGATGCAGCAAGAAGGCCCTGACCAGATGCTGATGCCTTGATTCTGGACTTCCCAGTCCCCAGAACTTTGAGAAAATAACTTTCAGTTCTTTACAAATTACCCAGTCTCATGTGTTCTGTTGTAAATGCACAACATGGACTAAGACATATAGACACACAGATAGGCAGATATAACACGCATTTTATTAGCATAAAATATTCTTTGGAAAAGCATTCGACTCCCCAGAAGGATAAAAGCTTGCATATAACTCTAATATGTTGCAACATATCCTGAGGAATAAATAGAAGTTCATTGCATTGGACCAGAGTTTAGAAAGCAAAAACATAGGCCAGGCGTGGTGGCTCATGCCTGTAATCCCAGCACTTTGGGAGGCTGAGGTGGATGGATCATGAGGTCAGGAGTTCAAGATCAGCCTGGCCAAGATGGTGAAATCCTGCCTCTACTAAAAATACAAAAAATTAGCCAGCCTGGTGTTGGGCGCCTGTAATCCCAGCTACTCGGGAGGCTGAGGCAGAGAATTGCTTGAACCAGGGAGGTGGAGGTTGCAGTGAGCTGAGATCGTGAAACTGCATTCCAGCCTGGGTGACAGAGCAAAACTCCATCTCAAAAAAGAAAGAAAGGAAGGAAGGAAGGAAGGAAGGAAAGAAAGAAAATAACATATATTCTTTAATTCTCAAATATTGTACATAGCTCCAAAATATTATTATACAAAATAAATTTTTAGACTATATCAAGGGCTCCATACTAATAATCAACAATAAGATCATCTGTGTTTGAATACCTTATCTTTTACAAGAAATTATTTCTATAATTCTTCTTTATTAAAATGATTAATCACAAGTACTAAGGTAGTTTGAATACCTTATCTTTTACAAGAAATTATTTATATAATTCTTTATTAAAATGATTAATCACAAGTACTAAGAATACACATAGAAAAATTGGTCATTCGCCTTTTATTATGCTGCCTCTGTTTTATGTCAGCCATGTACCCAGTTGTTGGCATTAACTGATGCAAGACAGTAGGTCTCGGTTCAAACAGTCTCAGTGCTAACCTTTCAATACAAATATTTTCTCACACCTTCTTTATCTTAAAATGAGAATTGCCTACTCATTTATTCAGAAAAAATTGATATAATGCTTTAACTGTAATGCAAAGGATAAAATAATGTGATTTTTAATACTACAATATAGGGTTCAATACGTAAATGTTCAGTCTCAACTAACCTAGAGACGTACTCAAGTAACTAAATTGTTATGCTATTTTAAAATGAATAAATTCAAATTTAAGAGAAGTTAGAAGATGAGAAGCCATTCCATACAAGCAAACTTGTAACTTAAAGCAAAACTATTGTTAAGATAAGTGATAATGGGTGGGTAGCAATTTTTATTATACATAATTTTCTGTACAAATGTCTAGGAGGATATTAGAATGTCTTGCAGAACTCTCAAAAATTCTTCCTTATGAAGGATTATTTTGTGTATGACTTTTAGCATCTTTCACCTTCCCCTACCCTTGCTTACTAATGCCTGTAATTCTATCAAATCATCAAAACAGTTTTTTTAAAAAAAGAAAAGCTTCTTCAAATTTCTGAAAGGGTTATTCTGCTTTTGCTGAGATTCATTGATCTAAACTAGTCAAGGTTAATTTAATCCCTTATAAAGGGGAATTAAATCAAGCATCCCAGTCTAAATCCATGGGTATGTGAATTCTCATGCCACAAGGATGATGGTGCTGAGTCAGTGCTATCTTCAGAATTTTGTTAGCCTGCTCTCTCTTCTTCTGATTGGCCAGTATATGTAGCCTGGAACAAATGCAGACAGTTTGCTATCATTAATGAAGGCATTCTAAATTTGAAGCACATTCACATGATAACAGATTAAAAAATATTGCAAAAAAACCAGATATAAAGTCAAATATGCCTGATCTACCCTACCTATAATAATCTTGATTCTTGAGAAAAAAATTCTTTATCATTTAAACTTGTTGGAGTTTGGTTTTCAGTCATTTTCAGTCATCCTCACTGATACTGAAAATATTATTTTACAGTCCAAAATCATGGTTATTAACCAAGTTCAGATCACATTAATGATTTTTGGGTAAACTTCCGAGCTCATAATTGTCTACATCATCATCTTATTGTTATCAACCCCTTATATCTAAAGAACAATCTATTCTTCTTATCAGTTATTCTTACCATATTAATTTGATGTGCCTTTTCCCATTTTATACTAAATTAAAGTTGTTGGTAAAGTTTAGTGTTAATTCTTTATTAACAAATGCTGTCATTCTGGTAGTAATAGCGTATTATAGCTTCATAGTGCTTTATAGGTTATAGATCACTTGAATATGCAGTAGCTCATTTAAACTTCATAAATTTTATATGTGGTATCATCTAATTATTAGTAACTAGAAACAGGGTCATAAAAGTTAATTTTCTGGATCAATGTCACACTGCTGGATAAGAAGCAATTCTCCTGATTCTGAGTTCTGTAATCTTTCCACAGTTGCTCCACTGAGTCTGCTGTTCCTGTAGCTTTTTCCCCTAATGTGTTCCCTAAAGGGTATTAAAACCTGCTTGATATTTCATGCCCCTCTTCCAGAGATCTTTTAAGTGAGCTGATTGGCTTTAACAACATTTCTTTCCCCATTATCTTTAGTAATCCATCTATATTGTTCTATCATGCTACTTTTGCCTTCCATCTGAGGGAAAGAGCTTACACAGAAGATTTGCACTAAGATATGTGGAAAAACAAGATGCCTAGTGAGCTATTCCTTATTGATCAACTTTTTTTCTTATAATCATAATTTCTCCATCAGTAATATAATTTTAGCACTTCATATTCTACTTCTTTTTCAACACATGAAACACCTCCTAACAGAAGTAGATGATATGGATATTTAATGTTTGGCAAAAGAAGAAATAAGCAATAAACAAAAAGGCAAATCTATTCCCATGACTCAGTTTTTTAAGCTCCAGATTAAAAAGGTTAAACTACATTATTTTATAGCAATGTCATAGGTCTCTGGGGAAGACCAATGGCTGTGATAAAGTATTATGTTTCTGAAGTTTGGAAATATATTTAGGCCAACCAATAATGCAATAATAAAAAGTGAAAATAAAGACATCTAAAATCTATTCTTTTTTTTTTTTTTTTTTTTTTTTTTGAGACAGTCTCACTCTGTCGCCCAGGCTGGAGTACAGTGGTGCGAACTTGGGTCACTGCAACCTCCACCTCCGGGATTCAAGCGATTCTCCTACCTCAGCCTCCTGAGTAGCTGGGATTACAGGCACCCACCACCATGCCCAGCTAATTTTTGTATTTTTAGTAGAGACTAGGGTTCTTCCATGTTGGCCAGGCTAGTCTCGAACTCCTGACCTCAGGTGATCTGCCCACCTCGGCTTCCTAAGGTGCTGGGATTGCAGACATGAGCCACTGTGCCTGCCCTCAAAATATTCTTAATTAAAGGTAAGACATTTTAAATAAGGTATTCTTAATTGAAATTCTTTTAAAAATCAACTTTTTATGAATAAATGTATGTAACCATTAAGTGATTCAAGTTTAAAATTTTAAGGTGCTATTTGTTTACAGGAATTAGAGGGCCCCTTTTGGCATGCATACAGGACTTCACCAATAGAATGATGTTAGTATTCAGAATATCTGACCACAAAATATCAAAGTGCATTTAATAACTCAAGATGAGTTCATTTGATATGAAAACTAATATCCAATGAATAAGCTAAATTAAAATGTAACACCACTAAATATAAAAGGCTATGATATTAAACAGACACAATGCAAGAGTAAAATCAATAAGATAACATTGCAGTTGGTTAAACATGACTCAAAATCTCCTCAGAAGCTACAGAATACATTGCCCAAATCATCTATGACTACAATATTGTTATTCTGAGATCATAAATTAATAGTGTCAAAACCTATGTAAATGAAATTGGTGTCTGATGTCAAATGAGAATAGCAGTTTTAGATGCCAAATACATTTGTGTCATTTGTCAATGTTGTTGTTAGCTGTGTAAAACTAAAAAAAAAAGATTGACACTATCCTCAAGATAATTGCTTCAACTGTTAATATCAATCTAATTAGAAGTAAACAAGATCGAAGTAAGGCAATCAAAAGATACTGAATGACTGGGGCGCTGATATGAAGAAGAATGGCAAAGAGCCATCGGTGCAAATCACTGAATAGTCTAATAGTCTGATTAGTTAAAATGTGCAAACTGCAGAGGAGCCACAGCAAGCAATGAATAATAGAAACAACTTGTGTAGCTGGATCAAGAAAATATGAATGATCCCTGCTGAGTGTGTACCCAAGTACCTTAGGAAGCAGCTTGTTATTTTAGAAAGAACATGGAATTTATAGTCACTAGTTATTAATATTGACATTTCCACCTACTACCTGTGTGACCTTGGAAAAATTATCTTACCTCCATAAGACACATTTTTATCAATTTTATACTGGACATAGTGATATCAGCTGTTCATAGGGTAACTCAGAAGAGATCACATATGTCAAAACAGTGTGAAATCTGTAAGGTGACACTCAAATGATGGTTTATTATTATTTCTTTGCAAGTGTTCTACATGATTCAGACATTACCTTTGTCCTAACTAGGGGAAGTACAGCGTTGGAATCCTGTCAACCAGCATTGAAATCCCTACTCAGTTCTTTAGCCACTACGCAGCATACATGTCTTTCTTAGACAGAGAGGAACTCTGAGAACTATAAATCATTCTTCTATAATTTGATAATTACTGGACTTCTTCGTTGCTATAATAGAAAAATCAAGTAGCCATTTCTTCCACAATGCATAGACATCATCTCTAGGTCAGTTAGTTCAGTGCATGTACTAATAATTATTGTGCCTTGTACAAGGGGCTAATTTAGAAAGGAGGGAATTAATTGTTTTTTGAATGTTCCTTTTTTATGCCTCATCACGAATTCCTAAGGTTTAGGATTAATGTGTGTAAATTCCAAGCGTAAATAAACCATTGACAGCCTTAAAAACATAATTTAAAAACTTTTTTTCCTAAAACATGAATTGTGAAATGGCCAAATAAAACCCAATGTTTTCTTAATTCTACCATGAGGTTTACTTAATATTCGTTCTTTTTCTTTACCAATAATAACACTTTACTTATTCTTATGGTAAATTCCTAGTTTATTATGTAGAAGTACTTTATTTGATATTCTAGCATATATAATTTTTTCATTAAGTGACTCTTTTCATTAAGTGATTCTTTTTTACAATAGCAGTCCCTTCATGAAAATTGCTGTTGTGAATTATCCCATATAATGTGTTTCTATATTGAATTCAACTAAAGAAAATGTTGTCAATTTAATTAGTAGAAATAAACAACGAGGTCCCACCAATAAAATGATCCAAGAGATTAAATCCTGAGGGGAATAGGTAGCATAAAAATTAATAACTATTTATATTCATTAACCAGAGGATTGTCTAAAAGTAATTGTTTAGAGATCATCTAGTAGACAAAAGAAAACTACATTTTAAAAACAAAATGGTATATTTACCATTTGAATAAAAAATATTTCTCAAAAATAAAATTTATCTTTACTTCCCCTAACTCTCTAGGTCAAATTATTTTCAATCAACCGATATTTATGAACGCTTGTGTGTGGCAATAAATTAGAAATTTTAAAGACACACCTCTGCCTTCAGATAACTAATACTCTAACTAGAGAAGCATGACATAGATGGATAATATCTTAAAAGTTAAGTACGTTCATAATAATGTAGTATCTTTGCACAGTGCTTAATCTCAAAACTCTCTGTGAATATAATTATTTTATTTGACCATTGCAGTCTGCAATTATTACTAGATAAATGTTCAATACCAGTAAGGATATGCTATGATTCAGAAAAGAATCTCTTGCCAAATGAATGATATTGGCAAATGGTGCTTTAAGCCAAAGGAAGGTATTAAAATGATAGTGTCTACCACAGAAATGAAGAAGCAACCTGTGTCAACTGGTTTTAGGGAAGATGAATTCACATTTAGACATGATGAGATTGAGTTGACAATAGAACATATAATAGAAAACATGCAGCAGGTAATACTATGCATTCATTTACAATAATATGGATGAACCCAAAGAACATATGTGAAATAAACCAAGAACAGAACGACAAATACCTCATGATCTCACTCATATGTGGAATCTAAAAAGTTAAACTCAGAGAAGTGGAGAGTAGAATAGTGGTTAACAGGAGTTGAGGGAGGAGGTTGGGGAGATGTTGAACAAAAATACAAAATTTCAGTATTAACTATCAATTTAATTAACTATTAATTTAATTTAATTTAATTAATTTCAGAATTAACTCTGTCTCACAAAATTAGGTGAGACAAATGGTAAATTATTTATAAAAATTAGAAATGAGGAAGGATACAGGAAAGGGCCCATTTTCGGTGGCAGAGGACTGTTGCTTGATGAACACATTGATGGAGCTCATTCCCAGTTATATGAGCTTTTATTTGGACTTTCTTTAGAGTATTTCTTTCCTCCAAAATAACAACTGCAAAAAAAACAAGTATAGTGACAATAATAGTTTGATCTGATTATCAGTCTGAAAGCTGAATTTAGAGTACATGAGGAGTCTACTGTGAAAACCCCTAATTACCTTAAGCAACTATATTGACAAAAGAATCTATTATTTCATTTAGAATTCATCGAGTGCTCAAATCCTTTCAAAAATATTTTATTCACTGCAGCACTAGTGTTGTAGAAATTTTAGCATTTCCTCAAACATTGCTATATTCATCTTTAAACTTTTTAAAAACATTAATTGAATTTTATATATAATGTGTATAAAACCTGCACATTATATGGTAGTCATATAATTTTTACTAATAAATTTAGTTTATTTAGTTTACACAAATACCTTCTGACAATACCATTTTTTTTAAATTAGCCAGCATTGAGGGTTACACTGGGCCTGAAGAGTACGATGGCTATTTAGTAAATCTATCCTTTTCTTTTGAAAGCTGAAAGGTGGACAAAGAACTTGTATTTCATTTGTTGTTGTTGGAACTGTAGAGAACTATTCACAATCTTAGTTATACTTTCGTTTTCATTTCTGCTCATGCTTTTAAGTAAGAAAATAATATACATATATGGTTTTAGAATGATTGGTAAACATCTTTTGGTGTTTGGAGAAAAGACACAGAAAGCCCTAGACAACCTCTTTATTTCTAGGTAGAGAATAGCTCACTACAATGAAACAATAAGAAATTTCCTCAACCTCCAGCCTCCTAGGTTCTTTGAAATGTGTCGTATGTCAGCTAATGTGATGAATAAAATGTACTTTTGACAAATGAGTAAATTTTTGCTATTAACAGCATCACAAACTTTAAAACGAGTGGTGATTTATTGGAAAGTGGGTATATTTGTAAAAGCTGAGTATTGTTGGAGAAAGAATGGCAGAGTCAAAATCTGTAGGACCCCTACCAACTCTGTAGCACTGCGGTTTTAAAAAGTTACAGGACTTTTTAAATCTCTAAGATTCTTTGAATATGTAACAATTTAGTATTATTCTCTTGAGGAAACTCATTGAACTTTTTTGTTAGAATTACAGTAGTCCCCCTTATCTAAGGTCTTGCTTTACTCAGTTTCAGTTACCTGCAGTCAACCACAGTCTAAAAATATTAAATGGAAAATTCCATGAATAAACAATTCATAAGTTTTAAATTGCTTGCCATTCCGAGTAGTGATGAAATCTCACGCCCTCCTGCTCTGTCCAGTCCAGGCCATGAATCACCTCTGTGTCCGGCATATCCATGTTGCAAATGCTACCACACTATTAGTCACTTAGTAGCCCTCTTTGTTATCAAATTTAAAAACACAGTGTATATATGGTTCGGTACTATCTGCAATTCCAGGCTTCCACTGGGAGGCTTGAAAGATATCCCCTAAGGAAAAGGGAAGATTATTGTACTTTTCACCTTTCTTTCACTCAATTTCCCTTAAACTGAAAAAGTTTATTTTATAGCTGTCTTTATGGTGAGAATTAAGTGAATTGTAATACATAAAGCATCTAAAATAGTGCCTGGCACACAGTAGGTACTATATTGGTGCTTATTTTCTGTATAAACTGTACGAGAGGAGAGACTTTATTTTATATATCACCATGTTCCAAATCTAGAGCAGTACTTCTAGAAATACATGAATTGGGCCCAGAGAAGCTCATGCTTTCCTATATTGGTTCATTCACAGGTGGCATCTTGATGCAGTGTATAAAATGGTCATCATTCAACTGAGTATTATTAAAGACTTTCTTACTTAACTATGAATTGCCCATGAAATTATTTAAGTCACTTAGCAGGCCCAGGACTCAATTTACTTGTGTGTAAAATTAGTTGACTAAATTAGATAATCTGTAATGTCTCTTGCAGCTCTACATTTGTTTTGAGATATAAATTGTATTTTCAGAGAAAATTTTTAGTGAGGACAGAGGACATACTAGAAATTTTGTCTTATAAATAAAGCTTCAGACTTAAAATATTTGTATCATGTCTGCCATCAGTTTTCCTGTGAGCTTAATATTGTCTGCAGGGTATTATTTCATCTTTAGGCCCTGATTGACAGATACTTCATTCTTTGATGTTGGCAAAGTCCAGGCAATTGCCATGAAAGAGTGACTAACTTTGGATGGGAGGAACTAACAATTATCTTTGTGTTTCTAGGTCTCTGTGGCCTTTTGATTCATCTTTAGTGACTCTGAATTTCCTGTGAGTTTTAATGGGTCGTAGCAAGATATTGGTGTCACATCCAAGGTGGCCTTAAGAATAACAAGCTGATGGATTCTCAGAAGTGCAGTCACTCCTTAAATTCTTGGCACACTTGTGATTTCTGTTAAGAAGATTCTATTTTTCATTAAGATCCATTTTAATGTGTCTAAGAGCTTCAATGAGGGAGTAAAAATACAACTGAGAATCATGAGGAGACAAAAAAGAAAATAAAGGTGTCAAAATTTTTTTCTTTTAGCAATCTATTTGGAAAATCTTAAGCTAAAAAATCTATGTATAATTTAAACTCTGCACATCTATATACTCTTACATGAGTTTTTTTTAAATTCCAAAGTTGTGTCTAGCAATGAATTAAAGAGAGAAAGATAACTTGTTAGCTCAGAGAAAGGGTCAGCAAACTATTTCCTGAGGGCCACATATAGCCCACCACTTGTTTTGGTAAATAAAGTTTTATTGAAATGCAGCCATGTATTGCCTGCAGCTGCTTTTGCCCACAAAAGCAGTGTTGAATAATTGTGACAGACTGTACAGCCAACAAAACCTGAAATATTCTTTATCTGACCCTTACCAGAAAGAGTTTGTTGTCCATTGGCTCAGAACATTGCTTTTGTTTTATAGCATGAGCTTGGAGGGCTTAGTGCTACATCCAGATACATGCAAAATTCCAAGGAATCTTATTTTTTCCAAGGCTGCTAAAATTATTAATAAAATTATTGTTAATTATTAGTGAAGAAACTCTAACCTTTTCTATTTTAATTATAATGTAGAAATAAAATATAGTAGAATTTTTTTGTATCAAATAGGACATTAAGATATTAATGAGTTATTCAAAATCCCTAAAAAAAGGTGTAAGATGGTATTTTAAAGTATTAATGGATTGCTTTTCTCTAATATTTGTTTTTCTTCCATGGCCTTTTCTGGTACTCAGTCTACCAAGGTATTCTATAATTCTGCATATTTGCTTTATTCTTTGACCTTCCAAAGAAGTTTCAATCCTCCTATATTTTATATCATAAAGGTATCACTTTTTCCCACTCAAGAGAGAAAGCTCTTGTTCGCTCTTCATTAACTCCCTCTCATTTTTGCCTGTTGGTTTCCATCAAATTCATTTCTCCACCCTTTTACTCTCTTTGTTTTGGTCAGGTCTCCAGGCTAGTCTCGGGGTAAATCTTCTCCAAAGTTGCTAAAATTTTCTTCCTAAAGCTTAGATCTGATCATTAATTGTCTATTTAGAAATATCAATGGTTCCTCGATGGTTATAAAATAAAATATATGCTTTTTTTTTTTTTTTTTTTTTTGAGACAGAGTCTTGCTCTGTTGCCCATACTGGAGTGCAGTGGCGCAATCTTGGCTCACTGCAATCTCTGGCTCCTGGGTTCAAGTGATTATCCTGCCTCATCCTCCCAAGTATCTGGGACTATAAGCACCTGCCACCATGCCCAGCTAATTTTTGTCTTTTTAGTAGAGGCGGGTTTCACTATGTTGGCCAGGCTGGTCTGGAACTCCTGACCTCGTGATCCACCCACCTTGGCCTCCCAAAGTGCTGGGATTACAATTACAAGCGTGAGCCACTGCACCCGGCCAAATCTATCCTTTTTATTGTGATTTTTTGTTTTAACTTCAATAACTGGATCTCTGTCTGAAATGTTATTTCCTTTTTCTTGGCCCTATTAATTTCTTCTTATAACACATGTCAGGCATCAGTTTTCCTTGGGAATTTTTTTCCGGTCACTTGTCCTCATCTAAACCTGCATTAGGCATCCTTATTTTCTATTCTCCTATAACACTTCACACACCCCCTGCTTATGCAGCCCGTTGCTGTGGGAGCACTCTAAGCTCCAGTGGAATAACAGCAGGAAACAAAGCACTCTCGGAACCAAATTTGTCATCTCATGGGGAGTCTCATGTGACAGTCAACAGACACAACTTGTGAGAAGTGTGAGAAATGTCCCTCAACTCCACAGTGTTTAGAGGAGAAGGTGGGAACAATAATCTGAAAGTTACTCAGAGACCAGACGCCAGGGACCTAAGTTTGAGTTTTGATGCTAAGGAGGTCATGGTCACCTTTATACCTACAAGTCGAAGGGGCCTAAGAACATTCAGTTTACATTTATATCCCACACTTCATACCTCATCTAAAAATGCTACATTTAAATTAGCAATCTGGCTTCAAACTACCTTTCATCTTCACCTCCCATTCACCCCACCTTTTTTTCTCCCTGTGCCCTGACCATTCAAAATCACATTGAATGACTTCCGTAATGCACAATTTCATGCCTCTGTGCTTTTGGTCCAATCTAACCTCTCCTGTAATACTTGACTTCCATTTTTTTACCTCTCAAAACCTTAGTTGCTTTATAAAGCTTAAATAGTTCAAATGTCATTTATTCTCTTATTCTTGAAGAAAATGGCCTACTCCTCTGCATTTATTGGCCACTTAATCCTTTCCTGGACAAATCAATTAACAGGTAGTATTTTAAATCATTATAGTCTCATTTTAAATCATCATAAGTAACACATCACATGATGATGTGTTACAGATATTACCCCAGTGACTGGCACAGTGCTTGATATATAATATAAGCTCAATAAATAATATATTATGTTATGTTATTAAACTGAACTCTACTAAGTGTAACTTAGTACTCACACAGCACTTATAGGTAGTGTCATTTTTCCCAACTACTTCAAGTCATTTTTGTTGCTTTGTTTTGTTATTTTTTAACTGGAGAGATTGTAAATTTGCTGTAGTTTTCCTGTATGTACTCTTCAATTTCCTGTCATAGTTTTTCTGTGCATTATCTTTCAAATGAATCACAACATAGCAGCCCTGACAATATAGCAGTCCTCTGAGTGACTGAGACCAAATGGGTGTTTTCATGTGCTCACAGAGAAGTGCTTCGCTTTGGCTTACTACCGACAGTAAACTCATTCAACGCTTTTGTAAAAGGTACTCAAGTTTTATATCTCGGTAAGTTATTTTCCTTTCAGAAATATTTATTATAAGTGCCCAAAATATTAGTGGATGCTGTATATGGCTTAATTAATATCATTTTATAAGCTGCTTATTTTCAGCAGGAAATAATGTTGGTGATATTTAACTGATTTTAAGTTCCTAATACAAAGCATATTCTCACAAGTCTAGTGAGAAAAAAAAAAAATTGGACGTGATCTTACCAAGCATCCTTCTTTCTGGATAGTTGTGGCATAGAAGTTGTACCTGCTATCTAAATTCACCTTGTTTTTCTAATGATTTATTGCTTGTGTGTTATGTCTGTAATTAAAGCTTGAGATGACCTTCTCTACAAAGCAGCTCCATGTGATTGCCAAATGAAATGCAGTGCAGATTAACAAGATTAGTTCTGAATTCTCTAGCTGATATAGATTGGATATTTATTCCTCCAAATTTCATGTCGAAATTAGATCTTCAGTGTTGGAAGTGGGGCCTAGTGGGAGGTGTTTGGATCATGAGGGTGGATCCCTTATTAGTAGTTTGGTGCCATACTTGCAGCAATGAGTGAGTTCTCACTCTATTAGTTCTCTCCAGCTGGTTGTTAGAAAAAGAGCCTGGCACATTCCTCCTCTCTTGCTTTCTTCCTCTCTCACCATGTGATGCCTGCTCCCCTTCACCTTCCACAATGAGTGGAAGCTCCTTGAAGCTCTCACCAGAAGCAGACACTAGCACAATGCTTCTTGTATAGCCTGCAGAACCGTGAGCCAAATAAACTTCTTTTCTTTATAAATTATCCAGCCTCCAATATTCCTTTATGGCAACACAAAATGGACTAAAACACTGGCTTTCTTGTATCTGCCAAGACTGATTTTGACACGTATTCAATTTGCCTTTTAAAATTTGGGTCTTCCCTTTGTACATTTTCAATTTCAAAAAAAAAATTCACACAAATCTGTTAGAAATGAGCCTTTTTGAAGTTTCTGTTAACAGCTGCCAGGAGCAGCTGTGCCCATGGGCAAGTTAGAATATGCACATCACCTTGATTTCTTTTGACCTTGAAAGCTGACTTGGCTTTATAACTTTCAACAGTCACGATCAGAGTTAAAATAGAATGGATCTAATTCAGTTTTTTAAATGTGAAATACCTCCATTCATTTTATCATTCACTCATTTATTCATTCACTTAGTATGTCTATAAGATAGAATGATAACAAATGCCAACTATAAATATGGCATTAAGATAAATAAGAAAACAGTATCAGTTTGGGTGGTTGAAAAAGGATAGGTTTCATTGAGGAGCTGAATCTTGAAAATTGGCCAATTTTCACCCATTCAAAAAAGGAAAGTTGGGCATGATCAGGTATGCCTATAGTCCCAGCTACTCAGGGGGCTGAGGCAGGAGGATAGCTTGAGTCCAGAAGGTGGAATCCAGCCGTGTAAACATAGTAAGGCCCCATCTCTAAAAGAAAAAAGGAAATAATTGAACACTTATTTCAAGAAATATTTATACATGAGTAACAGGATGCCTCTTGTTGTATATATATGCCACTTTATTTTAAGCCACGACATTCATTTTACTATTTTTTTTTAGCTATATGAGTATTCAAGACATTATTTTTCTTCTATAGAAACTGAAGTATCCCTTACATTGTTAATACATTATGATAAGAAGAAATGCTTTCTTTATATGGGCTTACAAAGTGTTTAAGGAGTTCAATATTTTAGATTAAATTGCACATGTCCAGGAAGGGAATTTGACTTCAATATTGACAAAAGCTAAGTAACCATTTGCAGACTTAATGAAGGGTGTTTTTGCCTGATGTAAATACTAAGATTGAGACTATCATGTTTAATAGGCATACAAGATTATAAATGATTTATTGGGAAATTAATGGAGGCAATTCCATAAAAACAACCATTTAATCTTGCGGACTTCAGCTATTCATGAAGTGAATTATTTCTGAATACACAACTTGAAAGGGGATACATTCGTTTGACATGGAAACAAAACACACTAAAATGCAGAATACTTATTTTTCTAGTCTTATGCTAAAGGCTATAAAATGAGTAAAGATAGGGGAAAGCATCTCTTCTTCTGGGCTTTGTAGAATCCAGAGGGATCAGAGACAATGAATAATGATGTTTCAGGCATGACATTGTATGAACCATTATTAGAGAGATAAAAATATATACATTAATTAGGATAAAATAGGATCAATGTTATAATGGCAGTGCTAAATAGACAAAGGGAGTATTTAGACAAGTAAGGGGGAAAGAAAATTAGGACACACAAAGTGTGTGAATGAAAACCTGGAGTTCAAGCATAAGCATGATGTGTTTGAAAATCAGTAAAGAAGAGTTGGGTTTGAGCTGAACAATTATGCTGATGTGAACTATACAGGACGATCAAGTTAGCTTAGGATGGTGTCAAACTATGGAACAAGTTTTTCTTACAGTTCTTAAAATCGATGATCAATTTTGAACAAGGGTGGTTATATGTGAAGATCACTTAGGGGAGTAGAAGTGTAGAGATTAAAATAAAATGGGAAATGGGAAAATAAATAAAATGTATAAGCTGTTAGAACCCCAAAAAACACTTTAAGCCTTGAGAGAGATGTGACTGTGATCTAAGTCGTGTAACAATTCTGCTTCTTAGATTATAGCTTAACTCTCTTTCTTATTGTTCTTGTTCTATAAATGACTAGGAAAGATGAGAGACCAGAACTCTCCCATTTCAACCACTGATCTTTGTTATAGATTAACAGCATCCTTTATTGTCCTGTAACTAACTCAAAGCAGATGGAACCCCAACAGGGATGCCATGAAAGTTACAACTTCAGTGTGGAATGTTAAATATACCTTTCCTGAAAGAAAAAGACCACCTTAACTAATCAAATCATTGTAACTATGCACTAAGCCTTACATAGAAAGATGTTGAAATTCTGTTTAACTTCCTTAACTTTGTATAAATGATCCTAAACTTCTACACTTTGGAACACTAACTTAAGTTCTTTGGAATCTGTGCTTCCCGGGCAGGTTGTCCTTAACTTTGTGCTTGAATAAACTGTCTTTAAACTAGATTCTGACATTTTTTATTATTTTAGATTGACAGAAGGACATGTAAATAAAATACCAAGTTAGTACACAGTTATATACTCTAGGCAAGAAGTAAGGCTTTAGCTGTGGTAGTAAGCTGAAAGAAAGAAGAAAAAGTGCAAGGGAACAATTGATAATTTAGTGTAGATTGAACATGGAGAGTGAAAGAAAGCTGTTTCAAAAATGACTCTGAAATTTCAAGCTTGAGTAATTGGAAATAAAGAAAAAATATGAATAGAAATAAAAAAATCAAAAGTGGGGAATCTGGATTGGAGATAAAATGGTAAACTTGAATTTTCAGGTATCTCATTTGATATAATGGAGACACACTCAGGGAGTGATACTATGGAAAAAGCATGTGTAAGAACAAATATAAATTAAAAATAAGAGGCCTAATTATCTCTGTTGAAAATATGGAAGACATTTTCCTCCTTTTTTTTTTTTAGAGCATCTATCTTAGCAAACTTAACGTTGTAAATACTTTCTTATCTCTTTAAAATGTATATAAGCCTTTTCTAAAACTAAATAGGTGCTTTGTCAGTTTTAGGACCCAAGCTTGTCCTTCTCAAGTACTTGGGAGCCATCTCTTTTAAATGCAAACACCAAGGGTGATAACACCACTATCTCCCAGTTTCTATAGGGAGGTAGGAGCCTAACATGCAAAACTGCCTTGTGTAATAAAGAGATGAGAATAAAGTAAATTCGCTAATACAGAGGGACATCTCAATCACCAGGCAAATTTAGGATGATTTATGTGTGACAAATGGTGCTGTCAAGTCCTCTTATTTGAGGGCTGGTTACTGTTTATCTTAAAAACATGTATGTAATGAATTATATCTGCTTGCCTGTATAAAAAGGTGAATTTTTTTTTTTTGGTCTTTGCAACTGCTTATCAGATTGCCTGTCATGCACATCATGTTCTGGTTTAATACTTACTTATTAAGAATTTTTTTTTTCCCTCTTCTACCTTCACGGAAAGGTTTCTGGGTTGGGAGATTTTTGCTTTTAGGTGTGTTTTTCTAATGAATGATATAGGCAAAAGGTCAGAGTTGAAGAAAAGAGTTATCTTCACAGAGACAATTAAAAATGATGAGAGTAAGAAGAGTTAACTAAGAAAAGTTAAAATAAGAACAGCTAGGACCACATTTTACATACAGTAGGGCTACAGGGTTAAAAGAAGTGAAGGGAGTAGGAATGGAAACCTTCAGTGAGATAGTAGTAGAACTTTTCTGTACAGTGCAGTTATGAAGAGGAGAAACATTTTATGGAATAAATATTTAACTGTTCATTCTCCCAAGACATCAATGGTAATCATACATTGAGAGTCTGCTTGTTTTGATCTCAGTGATATTCCCCTTCCTGTACTCTCCTTTCTCCACTTCCTTCACTAAGATAAGCACTCCTCATTTTCTAAGGCTAAGTGTAGACGTCTTATCTTCTAGGAGGTCTGCCCTAACACCTCCCTCTTAACTAGGCTGGATGGAGCATGAGTCTTGAGTGCCCCATAAAACCCTATGAAGCTTTCATTTACAATATTTTATGTGATTTTTACGATTACCTTTTTTCGTGTAAATGCATCTGTCAATACTGTCAACTCCTTTAAAAAAGAAAGTAATGATGGCTTATCTATGTATGCACTATCGGTATTCAACACAGGGCCTATTGCATTAAAATGTTTGTATAATTAACCAATTAACTACGGAAGTATCAAGAGGTCCTAATGAAATGTGTTGGGGATTTTTGTTTATTTGTTTTTACTTTTTTTTCTCTCTCTCTCTTTTTTAAAGACAAGGTCTCGCTCTGTCACCCAGGCTGGAGTGCAGGGGCATGATCATAGCTTATTGCAGCCTCTGCCTCCTGGGCTCAAGTCATTCTTCAGTCTCAGCCTCTGCTGTAGCTGGGACTGCAGGCGTGTACCACCAGGCCCAGCTAACTTTTATATTTGTTGTAGAGACACGGTTTCTCCATGTTGTCCAAGCTGGTCTCGATCTCCCGGCCTCAAGCAATCTGCCCACCTTGACCTCCCAAATTGTTGGGATTATAGGAGTGAGCCACCACACACCCAGCTGGGATGTGTTTTTGAAGGACAATTTAATCTAAATCTGTACTGTTCAATATAGAAGCAACTAGCCACATGTGGCTATTGAGCACTTGAAATGGGCCTATTCTAAATTGAGATGGACTACATGTATAAAATATACATGGCTTACTGAGAAGAAAAAATGTTATATATCTCAATAATAATTTTATATTAATCACATGTTGACAAATGTAACATGATGAAATGCTATTCTGGATATATTGGTCTAAATAAGCATTAATTTTTTTAACTTTTTAAATATGGTCACAAAAAATGTAAAATTACATATGTGGCTCATATTATATTTCTATTGGACAGTGTTAGTCTGAATAAAAGAATGTCCCAGGGCCGGGCGCGGTGGCTCACGCCTGTAATCCCAGCACTTTGGGAGGCCGAGGCGGGCGGATCACGAGGTCAGGAGATCGAGACCATCCTGGCTAACAAGGTGAAACCCCGTCTCTACTAAAAATACAAAAAATTAGCCGGGCGTAGTGGCGGGCGCCTGTAGTCCCAGCTACTTGGGAGGCTGAGGCAGGAGAATGGCGTGAACCCGGGAGGCGGAGCTTGCAGTGAGCCGAGATCCCGCCACTGCACTCCAGCCTGGGCGACAGAGCGAGACTCCGTCTCAAAAAAAAAAAAAAAAAAAAAAAAAAAAAAAAAAAAAAAAAAAGAATGTCCCAAAATACATTCAAATATGAAATCATTAAAATCAATATGCTTAAGTCTCCTCCACCCCAAAATCTAACAATGTTTTCTGATACGTCTAATTCTACAGATAGTGGCTCCTGTGTCAAAACTCAGGTTTTCATTGGGTATTTAGAATGAAATGTCTGGAATAACAATTTGCTTCCTGAGGAAATTTTATAGAAGCCATTTGCTAGAATAAATAGGCTTAATCTTTCCCCTTCAATAGCCTACAAGAGTTCCCAGCATACTCAGTGTATGGGTTGTTCTAATAACCTCTTCCCATCATCCCATTGCCTTCCAAATGTGCTAAGGATATATAAAGCAGAATCAAGTTCATTCGTGTACATTAATTTGAATGTTTCTATGTACCATGTGCTGCTAGAAAGCAGAGAATACCAAATGAAAAAAAACAAGATCTCTACTCTCATGTAGCTGACAGTTTAAAGGACAGAATATAAAAAAGAACCATGTACACAAATGAATAAATAAGATCATTTTACATTTCTTTGAGAATTGTTTTTAGCCACAAATAACAGAATACCAAAACAACAGTGACTTAAACCATAAGGATGGTTTCAGAATAAAGAATCTAGAGAAATGCAGCTTCAGGTATCTTCAGGCAATCAAACAATGATCTCAGAGCTCAGCTTTGTTGCTGTTTTGTCTCTTTCCACATCTGTCCTTGGTATAATACCTTTTAGTTTTTATGCTTTTTATTTTCAGGTGTTAAGATGAATGCTACACCTCTAGACATCTCATCTGAGATCGAGGGAGCTCTTTGCTTGTAAGTTTACTTTTAGCAGAAAGTTAAACGAGCCCTCAGCACCCTCCTACTTACTGGACAGAATTGGGTCACAGGGACATGTTTAGCCGAAAGGGAGTCTGGAAAAGGTAGTAGTCAACCCTCAGTATCCACGGGGAATTGGTTCTAAGACCCTGGAGGATACCAAAACCCACCAATGCTTAAGTTCCTTATATAAAATGGTGTAGTTCCTTAATATATTTTATATATTATATAATTATATAATATTTTAATATTTATATTATATTATATTTAAATATAATTATGTAATTTTATATATTATATAATATATAAGTATTAAATAATATTTAATATAAATACATAAGTTCCTTATATATAAATGGTGTATTTGCATATAACCTATACACATCTTGTTGTATACTTTAAATAATATATAGAGTATTTGTAATATCTAATACAATGTAAATGCTATTTTTAAAATTTCAACAGGAGTTTGGTTGTATATGTACTTTTATTATTTTTTGTTGTATTGTTATTATTTTTTATTATTTGCAATTTACGTTTAGTTGAATCTGGAAGTGTGGAACCACAGATACTGAAGGCTAATTGTATCTATTATCCAGGCGCTGTGGTGAGGCAATAAGAGAGAAGGGGATTAAATACAAGCTACAGTGTTGTTTTTCTTTCTCTTTTGATAACATTTCAGATAGGTCTTATGAAGAAAATACAACAAAGTAATGGGATAGAGAACAACTGGTATGTAGGGCATATTTATGGAAGGTAATTTGAAAGGACCTTGGTAAGGAGGTGATATTTGAGCAAATAATTCAGTGGCCTGGTGCGGTGGCTCACACCTGCAATCCCAGCATTTTGGGAGGCTGGGGTGGGTGGATCAGCTGAGGTCAGGAGTTCGAGACCAGGCTGGCTAACATGGTGAAACCCCATTTCTACTAAAAAAAAAAAAAAAAAAAATACAAAAAATTAGCTGGGTGTGGTAGCACACGCCCATAATCCCAGCTACTCAGGAGGCTGAGGCAGGAGAATCACTTGAACTCAGGAGGCGGAGGTTGCAGTGAACCAAGATCACGCCATTGCACTCCAGCTAGGGCAACAAAAGCAAAACTCCACCCCCCCAAAAAAAAAGAATTGAATGACAAGAAGATCACCATGTAAACATTTCGGAAAGGAGCTCCTGTCTTACTCATGTGGATATCGTCAGGTCATGAGCAAATTCAACACTTCTTGTTCACAAAGAGAATTCTATATTATTTTATATTTATCCTTTATATCAGCCATGGCTTTGCAGAGAAGCTGAATTTGGCCTCTGTATCAGTCATTATTTTCCCTATCTCTATGTGTATGTATGTCCATATATAGATAGATAGAGAGGGAGAGAGACATACATACAGAGACAGCTATTTCAAGGAATTGGCTTACACAATGATGGTGGCTGGCAAGTATGAAATACATAGGGCAAGCCAGGTGGCTGGAAGCTCTCAGGCAGGAGTTGATGTAGTAGTCTTGAGGCCGAATTTCTCCTGTAAAAAACCTCAGTTTTTGCTTTTAAAACCTTTCAGATGATTGAATGTAGCCCACCCACATTGTTGATGTTAACCAAATCTGCAAAATACCTTCATAGCAACACCTGGATTTGTGTTTGACTGATATTAAATATTAAATATTTAGGTACTATCACCTAGCCAAGTTGACACACAAAGCTAACTGTCGTAGCCTCCATAGCTAAACTCCTAGAGAGCCTTGTTAAGTACAACTAACAGCGTTATGTCTGCTACATGCACAACTTACAATGATTTGAAGATATTATATTTGGTTCTGTTTTATATTATCATAAGTACATAATAATCTCAATTTTTCCCAATCAAAAAATACCTTAAATGTCACAATTTTAGAAGGCAAAACCCTAGTTAAATAAAATTGAAAATGTTAATTTAGACTATTTAAATGGCTTATCTGAATGCCTTACACTGGGGTTGGGCACAGTGGCTCACGTCTCTAATCCCAGCACTTTGGGAGGCCGAGGTGGGTGGATCACCTAAAGTCAGCAGTTTGAGACCAGCCTGGCCAAAATGGCAAAACCCTACCGCTACTAAAAACACAAAAATTGGCTGGGCCTGGTGGCAGGCACCTGTAATCACAGCTACTTGGGAGGCAGAGGTTGCAGTGAGCTGAGATCACACCATTGCACTGAGTATGTGTTCACACCATCCAAAAAAGTGAATTTCTTATTTATTTAATACAATAGTCTAATGCAAAAGAAAAATCTGAGGCACAATAAAATTTTATAGTTTGAGCAAATAGCACTCATGAATTGGGAATCACCAAACTGAAAGAGGTTTCCTGCTCTGATGATGAAGCATTAGAAACAAATATTTATAGGGTGAGTATGAAAGTGAAATAAAGAAATTATTTGATTGGTTGCAGTTATAAAAATGCCCCTAGTCATATAACCATATGTTAGTTGAGTACTTATGACTGGCTAATGTTAAGTTTTGTTTGTTTGTTTGTTTGTCTAACACAAGTGTTTACCAGAAATGACTCAAGTTTTGCTTATGTTTGCATTTAAGCAAGATTAAGGCAATTGCTTAATGCCTAGTTAGTTTTGTTTGCTCAGGAATTTTTCAGGCCTGGTCTTTATTTTAATTTTACTTCAACGCTAGAAACCTATATGAATAGTTTTCACGTAACAAATTCTATATTGCTATGGTAGTATATATGGTTGAAAAATGATTTCTTAACACGCTCCTCACAAAACTTTTTGACACTATACTAGTTCTTTTATTTCTTTAAAAACAAGAACATTTCAAGCTTTACCAATATTTTTAAATGAATAATTCAACGATCATTTATTTCAACAATATTCCAGCTAATATTTAAAAAAAAAGCAAAGGCTATTCCTAAATAAGACATTAAATTGACATAATTCTAAACAGAGAGTTGGAAATATAAAAAGAGCACCTGACACTTCACTTTCAAACCATATTGATACTAAAACAGTGAAACATGAGTAAAAATACTAGAAGTCATTAAGCAAAAATACTAGAAGTCATTACGTGACATTTGACGTCATCATCATGACAATGCTGGAAAGGAACATATTTGGTAGGCTGAATATAAAAATATAAGTTAAATGGAAAATATAATTGAAAAGACTGTCAGCTTTGCAAATTTCTGGTCAAAAAGTATTTTCTTCTTTTCCCTACTTCCTCTTCCTCTTTCTAGAAACCCTCATTCGTTTCTAGTTCCCTCCATAAAGAGTCTCCAAACATCTAAGTGTAACAAAAACATTCAGTAACACATATTCCCATCAAACAGAAAGGCACAAAGAAGCAGTAGATAGTATAGTTCTTGTATCATAGAAAGTAGGTGCCTGATTTATTGTACAATTGCTGTAGGCTCCAAATAGTAAGTGGATCAAAAAGACAAAAGCAGCTGTGATGAGAAAAGGGAAGTCAAACACAAAATGAACATTAAAAAAGACATAAACCTGAGCTTGCTGAAATATTACACTAACACTAAATTGAGAGTTAAGAAGGGCCAGTAGTAAAGTATTAAATGATTTATGCTTTGCTTCAGTTTCAAGTTAAAATATTATCTACATCAGAATAATCAAGATAGTAATAATTAAGATCAATAACTATAATTAGAATTTAGATATTTGTCATTGAATATTCAATTTTACTTTAAAAATTATATATATAATATATAAATTACAGATATACTTTTTATTGTACTAGGCACTGATAAGTCACAAATCTACTGATTTGTTTGCAATCAAAGAGATTATAATCTGATTGGGAGGTTGAGAGTAAGGGCCATGATGATAGACAAAGAACAAAAACTACAGCAATATAATACATGCTCTAAAAGAAATATACCCAAAGTGCTAAGAGATTTCCAACATGGTGAAACCCCATCTCTACTAAAAATACAAAAATTAGCCAGGCATGGTGGGGGGTGCCTGTAATACCAGCTATTCAGGAGGCTGAGGCAGGAGAATCGCTTGCACCCAGGAGACAGAGGTTTCTGTGAGCGAAGATCACACCACTCCATTCCAGCTTGGGCGACAGAGTGCTAAGTTTTTTCACATAAGGGATCAAGTAATGTTTTACACAGCCAGTATCATTTCTATTGCATTCTTAAGGATGGTGAAGTTATTAAATATACTCTAGGTTGATTAACTCCATATACATTTCCACATCATTTTTGCAATGTCACTTTCCCAAACTCCCTTGCATCTAGATGTGGCCAGCAACACAATTATGGTCAATGAAACATAAATAGAACTCTAATGGGGATTTTTGAGAAAGTCTGCTGTCATATTTAAGGCTCTATCCTCTTTTCCACTTTGGCTTATTTATACATCTTTTTGCCTGGACTGTGGAAGGGGTGGCCAACATGCACCAGTCATCTTGGCTAAAGGAGAGAAATTCACTTTGACACCTCAGATCTCTAAGGAACACCAGCAACTACCTATCTGATTTAGTCTTGTTGCATGAGAAGAAGTAAACCCCTACTTAGCCAAGCTCCTGAACTTTGTTAGGTCTTTTTCCTTGCAGATGAACATTGCTAACTACTGCATAGGAGTACATGAGCTCACTTATCAAGGATATGTTGTGAATGTAAAAATAAAATCAGCCATAGGGAATCCACAAATTAAAGTCCATAAGGCCAGAGCTGGTAGTAGAATCTGAGAAGTCCACAGGTAGATTGAAAGGGGAAATATTTGAGAGCAGTTTTTTGGACAACAAAAAAGAAATGGCTTTTCAAGAAATAAATGTTCTCATCTGTCAATTGCTCTGAAATGTGGGTAAAAGTAGACTCTATTGAATTTGACCATTAGAGGGCATTGGCGTTTTGGAGAGAGCAGATTTCGTGAAGTGTTGACAATGCAAGCCAAATTGCAGTGGGAAGGGAGCAAGCAGATGTTGAAAACAATGAAAACAGAATGATGAGGGTACACTTTTAAAACGGCAGAAAGAGACAGGATAGTGGTTTAGAGAGAGAAGCAATGTTGAGGGAAAATTTTTTTTCACTTTAGGATAGAGCAAACTTTAGAAGAAAGCTTCAATGGAGAAATAATAAAATTTTAGGGACACGAGGTCATGGAGGGAGTGGAAGACAAATAATGGCCAAAGGTTCTATGGGACAACCAGAGGAATATTCCCATAAAAGAGGGATATCCATGTCCTTTGGAGAGAAAAGAATGACTATGGATATAGGTGTGTGGAGATAGGAAAAAGGGACACAGACAGAAACTACTACTAATAGTCTTTGTGAGTTTTTTTTTTTTTATTGTTGTTAAAATGTTCAGTCAGCTTCTCTGGTAAGTGGGTGGATGTAAGGTATAAGATTTTAGGAATAGATAAGGGTTTAGAGCAACCAAATGAAGAATAAAATTGGACAAGGAGTCCTGGAGGACCCAGGAAAGTCTTGCAAAGGTGAGCTGAGCAGCCAGCTAAGACTGTGACCTATTGGTTCTTCAATTATCCCTAGCTTCCAGAGACTGACAGTTCCTCTTTCTACACAGGTGTGGGCATGGGGCAGATTATTACATGTGGCTTCTCCTTGTTTGCACCCAACTGAAATTTTTATAAAATGAAACAGTTACAATAAATATCAAGGGAAATTTGGAAGAAGAAGTTAGAAAAGAAAACAGAGAGCCTGAGCGGGTTGGAGTGTGGCAGGTAGAGGAAGTCGTTCCTGTCTGTTTTGCCTTATCGAGGGAGTGATTGTGGATGGATGATACAGACTTCCCACCGTTTTGGGCTCTAGATCTTGCTGTTCTTATGTCTCCCTACCGCTTCTTCAGAGTCACACAATCCAGTGCTTAACTTTACAGTATCTCTAGAAACATAATACCATGATTGTAACCTCAGATTTTCTCTCTTAGGCATTTGTAGATGTTGCCAAAGTTGTATAGATTCTAAATAAATAGCACTTTCATCCACATCTGCTTATATGACACACATATCTATATGCGCATTGTATTTTTTTTCTAATTTATGATTTCATCATATTGTAGAGAAAAAATGATTCTAAAGTGAGATTGGCACTGAGATTTTAATTTTCAAGGGAATCTTTGAAATATTATCAAAGTGAAAAATAAAAATAAATATTTCAGCCTCAGAAAGATATTCAGAAAGTATTCAGAGTCCATGATAAGTAAGGAAATTCTTTCTTTTAGTCAAATATGTTCTTAAAATGCTATGCCATCACAGCTTTTGAATCTCCCTCTAGGATTCCCCGAGGCAGATGATTATTCTGCTGAGACAGAGTATCAGCATTTTGCTGTGGGTTTCCCCTCAGTGAATAGCAGGGGACTTTTTTCAAAGACAAAAAGACCTCTGAACTGTCTCCCCAAAGCTGTGATTCTATCAGACGTGGGCAGGGTAGGAATTTCCTTTGCTCAACTCAGAATGAGTGAGACAGCTGTCAAACCTGCTATACCTGCCTACATTCTCATGCTTAGGGCGTCCTTACTTCATCATTCCACCCTCTTAAAAAAAAATCTTCCAAAAAAGCAAGCAAGCATGTGACTAAAGCCACATTCAGCAGCACTAGAGGTTTTGCTATCAGCCCAGGAAAAAATTATTATAAATTCTCAAAGTATCAACCTCAAATAAAGTCTTGAGTTGCCATTATGTGAAAGGTTCTACGTTTCCTTAGAGGAGTGACTTTGGAATGATTGAAGAATGTTAAAAGAAGGTTAATTCAGGCACATAATAAAAAACATGCTTTCTTTCTTCTAATGAGAACTTTTTAGCTGTGGAAGGGCATGTGTCTACGTGCCTTTAAAAGCAGAAGCTGATTAAACTCCTGTGAAAGAATCCTATAGTAGTAGAAGTTTGAACTAACACAATTCTAAATTTCTGTTCAATTTGGAGTCAATAAGTAAATATATTGTCCAACATTTCTCAAGTTTTATTTCTGTGAGAAGTTAATAGGTGTGATTATAGAAAAACAGTTCTCTGGTCAATTTATGTTAGGAAAACACAGCAAACTATATTTACTTTTTTAGGTATATTGTTTACATTAATATATTAGATCTTTGAGTAGGTTCATATTTTAACCAAACGCTTTACAAGTGTTTCTAACTACAGAACTGGCTTTGTTTTGTTTTGTTTTCCAGGTTTTTAGAAGAAAGTTTTGTTTTGTTTCACTTTGAATTCTGGCTAATTTGACACCAGGCACATAATGCATAACATAAAGGCTTTAACATGATATATTGCCTTAATAATATATATATTTTAAGCCATATGCCAAATTTTGTATCCAGTATTCAGAAAACAAAAGATCTGCTCTTGAAGTATGTTTTTAAAAAGAATATCAAGTTATTATGACTTATGTGAGAATTAGATCTCACATAATATTTATCTTCTAAGCTATGATACATAATTCAAAATTCTTTACCGTAAAGCCTGTAACTACTTGAGGGCTGATGTGTGGCTTAACTAAATAATTTGCTCAGAGGAAGGGTGATGCTGTTGCCTGCCCAGAATCATTGCACCTGAGAGAAGGGAGGGGTCATTATCTCAGAGTAACCACACACCCTAATATTGTCAATGCTACACATGAGTGCTGGTGAAAATCATTTCCGTCATAAGGCAGAAATAATGATTAACTTCATTTTAAAAATCCTATGCTGATGTAGCTTTCATGAGTCAGCTACTTCCTTAAAAATAACTCTCTAAAAGCAATGTGGTATCCTGGATTGGATCCTGGAACAGATCAAAGATATGAGTGGAAAAAAATAGATATAATCCAATTAAAATCTGTTTTTGTTGTTGTTGTTTTGAGACAGAGTCTCACTCTGTCACCCAGGCTGGAGTGCAATGGCATGATCTCGGCTCACTGCAACCTCCCCCTCCTGGGTTCAAGCGATTCTTCTGCCTCAGCCTCCTGAGTAGCTGGGATTATAGGCGCGCCCCACCATGCCCAGCTAATTTTTGTGTTTTTAGTAGAGACAGGGTTTCACCATGTTGGTCAGGCTGGTCTCGTTTAGTTAATATATTGTAATAATGTTGCTTTCTTAGTTTTGACAAATATGCCATGGCCAGGCGAGACGTTAGCATTAAAAGAAGCCAGTCAAAGAGTATATATGAACTCTAACATCGCTGCAGCTTTTCTGTTAATTAAAATTATTCCAAAGTAAAATATAATTTTTAAGCATTTTAATAGGAGAAAAGAAGTGTTACTTTCCTTTTAGTGATCCTAAGAATCATGGTTTCTGCTTTTGAAGCTGAAAGATGAGCATGCATGCTCTATGGATTAAATATGAGAAAGTATACTATATTTAAAAAACACCTAAAAAATTACCTGAATGAAGTGTAATTTTTAAATCTTATAGATGGGGAAAGGTAGGTAATTTTGTCCTTGACACCAGAATATCTTTTAGGGAGAGTACTCTCTTTATTTAAAAGTATAACTTGTTAGGCTTTGTAGGAGAGACCCTAGGAGCAAAATCAAGGCAACAAAAATGAATTAAATGACTCTGCATGGCATTAGTTTTTGGTTCTTAAAGGAGGGGGAAAAAAAACAGAGAGATAAGAAACAGAGAAAGGAAGAAGGAATGAAACGATCCAGTGATACAGCTTGGGGCAGCAATTTTGAACAGCCATTTAGGTGTCTTTATTTTCACCAGAAAATATGCTGTGCTAAATTAATATAGGCTTGACTGCTGATCTTAATAATCTTTCTTATAATGAATTAGATTTTATAGTGATTTAGAGTAAGGCATTTTTTTTCATATTATTCACAAAGGACAGAAAAGAGCCAATCATATGTGACCAACCAACATGATTTCTTTCGCTTACATAGCATTTTAAAATAATTTGAATTGGTTTTCAAAAATGGAGAAATAATACTTTTACTATTAAGATCTTAATTTCTTGCTTCCCTTGAAAAATCAGAAGGGCAGCAATATTGAGCCCATAATTCCAGGTGCCGACATAGGCTGAGACTGTATGAAGGATTCTGCCTTAGGACTAGGCAGGCAAGTGCTTTCCAGCTCTCAACCATCTGCACCACTCCCTATAATCTGCACTGAGGCCCACTTCACTCATTGTCCTGCCTACCGAATGTCAACTAGCAAACATAGCTGTATTGTAGTAACTCTTCCAGTGAAGCAAACAAATATTATATTAACAATTTGCACATGGTTCTGTACTTAGAAGGATATATTGCATTATCTAGAAACCCTATCATAGAAAAAAAGAAATTGGTTTTAGATTTAGACAGATCTTGATATCGAAATCTTCCACTTACAGTAATTTATTATTTTATTTTATTTTATTTTTATTTTTTGAGACAGGGTCTTATTCTGTCACGCAGGCTGGAGTGCAGTGGCGCAATCTTGACTCACTGCAGCCTCAACCTTCCCAGGCTCAGGAGATCCTCCCAGCTCAGCCTCCCAAATAGCTGAGACTACAGGCACACACCACCATGCCTGGCTAATTTTCGTATTTTTTGTACAGACTGGGTTTTGACGTTTTGCCCAGGCTGTGTTCAAACTCCTGAGCTCAAGCAATCTACCCACCTTGGCCTCCCAAAGTGCTAGAATTACAGGTGTGAGTCACCATGCCTGGTCCACAGATCCTTTTTCTACGCATTACACACACATACACACACACATGTGTGCATGCGTGTCTAAATTATGAATATACTGAATACACAGTTTTGCATTTTATTATTTTACTTATATAATTTGCATAAACCCCCATTTTCTTATCTGTATGTAAAAGGGGATAATAAGCCCAACTTTGTAGTGCTTTTACAAGGATTAAATAAGATTCTGTATGTGAAGTCATTGACACATAGTAAGTACTTGGCATGTAATCCCCTATCGTTAGTTTTCATTACTGTCAGCTACAATGACATATGTGCTCTATTTTGGTCAATGGTTTTAAAAACAGACCAATATGGAGGAATATTTTCAATGTAACTGAATTATGATGTTTTCCTATATTTTAAAACTGACATTTAAATTCCTCTGATAGGTGAAGTTTCAAATAACCTGAGTCATTATTACATTGCAATCTAATGCAAGTGACCCGAATTCATGACAAAATTATTTGTTTGAGTGCTGGTCCAGTTTAAAAATCTTCAGTCTCAACCACGTTGGTTGAGGAAAGAGAAAGAAGTCAGTGGGGAAAGAGGATGTTGCAAAGGATTAAATAAGTTAATGCTGACTAGTCATTCCTACTGACGCTAACCATCACATTTCTTTAGTTTAGCTTTATTCTGCTATTCTTCTGTGGCCAGAAAGGAACAGTTAGTTAACTGGCTTTCTTTTCTTAATCCCTTAAAGACTTTTGCTGGTTTATGCAATAAGAACATATTAGATATGCACAATGTGGTGAGATCCCATCTCTCCAAAAATAAAAATAAATAAGCCAGGGACAGTGGTGTGTACCTGTGGTCCCAGTTACTTGGGAGGCGGAGGTGGGAGGATTGTTTGAGCCTGGGAGGTTGAGCTGCAGTGAGCCGTGTTCACACCACTGCATTCCAGCCTGTGCGACACTTGAGACCCTGTCAGAAAAAAAAAAAAAAAAAAAAAAATAGATATAAAGGTAAAAGTGAAGGAAAACATTCCCACATTCCTAATTGCTTTTCTTAAAGTGTGGTGGGATAATAGAAGAGATATTTAAAAAAAGAAGAGATATTCCAAATGGAAATTACATGAGTAAATAATTATTCAGTGAACAGTTTTTGATATGTTCTCTGTGTAAGACACTGCATAAGAGGCGCAGACAATTTAACATTCAATAAGACAGATCACAAGGTCAGGAGATCGAGACCATCCTGGCTAACATGGTGAAACCTTTTCTCCACTAAAAATACAAAAAATTAGCCAGGCGAGGTGGTGGGAGCCTGTAGTCCCAGCTACTCCAGAGGCTGAGGCAGGAGAATGGCATGAACTCGGGAGGCGGAGCTTGCAGTGAGCCAAGATGGCGCCACTGCACTTCAACCTGAGTGACAGAGCGAGACTCCGTCTTAAAAAAAAAAAAAAAAAAAAAAAAAGACATGCTCTTTGCCCTCCAGGAGCTTATGTTCTAGTAGATCAAAGTACACAAATAAGTGTAGTGTAGGAAATATACAATACAGATCACACATGAGGTGTGAAGAAACAGAAGAGAGAACTTCCAGCAGAAGGGATCACAAAATACCACAGAAGAGGTGGCATTCAAGTCAAGTTTATGTTTTGCTGATTGTAAAGGCAATGTGTGTTTATTAGATAAAATTTGGAGAATGCATAAAAATATTTTTAAAGTAATTTAAAATAATTGTTATACTCAGAGACAACTATTGCTGACATTTTTCAGCTTTGTATTTTTCCTTTATAAATTTTTTTCAGAGTAATGAACCTATAGAACACACAGTTTTACATTTTTAAAATTTACTTAAAACTATACTCTGAGCATTTTTCATTACCATTAAGTTTCTATAACATGTTATTTTGAATCTCCAGTAAGACATATCCACATCCTTTACCTGCTTAACCTCAATCTTATCACAAGGGAACATCAGACAGACCTTAACTGAGAGATAGTATTATATCCTAATCGATTAGGATATAATACTAATAATATATAGTATACACACACACACACACATTTGGCAAATATTCTTCAAAATGTCTAGTCAAAAACAAAGAAAGACTGGCATTAGCAGTACAATTGGTGAAATTTGAATATGGTCTGTAGATTGGTTAGTTTCCTGGTTTAGATAATAGTACCATAGTAATGTAAACTGTAAACATTAAAGGAAGCTGAGCTAAAGGTATATAGAAATGCCATGTGATGTTTTTACAACTTTTTTAAAAGTCTAAATTATTTCAAAACAAAAAGTAAAAATGAAAAAGACAGAAAAGAGTGAATAAAGCATGCACCTTTAAAGAAAAGATGATTTTATGGCTAGATAATATTTTCTGTTATGGGTAGGCCTTAATTCAATTAATTCTCATATTGGCATTGATTTTCTTTTTCCTTTTTTGTTATCATAAGTAGTAATAAGATATCCTTTCTTATACATAAATCTTTGCCTAAATGAAAGATATTCCAATAACAAAAAAGTGATGTAGATGAGAAAGTAAATTTATACGTGGAAAATAAGTAGACTGAGAAAATGTGTGAAGAAGAAGCAACCCAGGCATGACCAAAGCATTATGTGAAGTCAGGTTTAACAAAAGAATAGGGTCGTCTCAGGAGAGAAGTTCTAGATCAGGTCAAAGTGGGAAGATGGGATCATGCTGCAGTGGGCCTCAAGATTGAACAGTCACACTTCAGTTGACAGTTGCTGGGTTGAAGGTTTGCCTACAGATATTCTTTTTTTCTGCATGACTCCTCGAATATCTAGCATACTATTTGTGATTTTATTTTCAAGTGGATGTTTGGAGGAGGGGTTAGGAATGCAAAAATGTTTATGAAAATAGTAACATAAAAGAAACTCTGACTCAAGACCATTTACTAGGATTGTGCAAAAACTAGCAGCTACCCATTTTGATTTAGAATGGTAAATGTTTGAAAATTTTGACCTTTAGCAAGCTGAGAACCAGCTGAAAGTAAGGGACAGAAATAGATCTGCAATCATTTGACATTGACAGCAAGTCCTGAAAATTACACACTTTTTACAATAATTGAATGTAGATAGATGAAAGGATAATAGACAAATGCTCTTTACATAGATGAGATAGGTTTCATAATATTACTTATCTTTGGCCAACACCTTACACATGATAGATCATAAATTTGAAATGTAACCCAAATTTTAAAGAGAAATAAGCTCCGTGGCAGCTATTTTCAAGCCTATTACTCTAAAAGCTTAACCTTTAGTTAAAATTCTTTGAGCCTAGTTTCAAATCATTAAAGAGAATTATATCTATTATATAAATATTACATAAATTACATTATCTCTTTCACTGGGTTACTCTTCATTGAATTTCTTAATATTACAACTTGATTTCCTAGTCAATATCAACTTCTGAAAGATAAAACAGGAAATTAGTCTATTAGTATTCATTATAGAGTTAAAACTTCAACAGTAAAAAATATGAAATCTCTATATTTAAATTTAATTACTAGTTCCCCAATACATACATTTACCTTTAGCTGAGCAGTATTCTGTGTATAGGTTGTTTGAAAATCTAATTAAAACAGAAATTAGGTGAACACCTCATGTATCTTTCCTAAAGTTACCTCACCTTTTTCTTCAGAAAGACTTAATATTTAAAGGCGTGATTATCTTCAAGAACAAATAAATTAGATGAGTGCCTACTTAGCTAGTTTTGAAGGCCTCTGTGTAAAACTGCTGCCACAGAACTATTCCCATCATTAATAAAAAATAACCTTTAAATATCTATCAGCAAACAGTAAACTGAGGGATAAAAAGGAATTTTAGCCTGATATCAGTGTTAAAATCCTCCAGACAAAGAGTATAACAGTGTGTGTGTTCTCCCTTAGTGCCACAAGTACCAATAAACTCAACTATGTTGACTTAAAGGGGGTGGGTGCTCCTATTGCCTTTGATTAGTGGGCATATGCTTCTGCTAGTAATTTATCAGCGATTAGTTGACTCGCAGTCTAGACTTACAGAGACAGATAGAGAGTGAGGGGAAATGGGAAACCCAAGTTAAACTTCAATATAACTTGGCCTATGGCTGTCCTCGTATAAAGAGGATTCCTGAGAAAGAGAGAAAATAAAGGAGCTGTAACTCTGACTTGGATTGGGATATAAAACACATTGTGCTAAATTAAGTTGTGGCAATGTTTGAGAAATGTTTAAAACAATCACATCATGGTTCTCCAGACATTCCTCTGCAACCCAAAAAATCTGATTTAGCATGATTGCATGGTATTAGTACAACGTCATTGTATATAAGCAGAAACAAGTCACCGTCAGTCTGCCAATGGCAAATGGCATAGAAAAATAAAAAGACACTAGCTTGGGATTCAGAAGAAAGTGATTTTATTTCAGTCTTTGATATCAACTATTATGACTTATATAACTTGGGGCTAGCAAATTTCCCCCTCTCAACTTCTCTTCTATATAAAGGGGTAAGAAATTGATCTTTACTTTTCTTATTAGTAACAAGGTTTCTTCCCTCTAAATATTACATATGGGGTGGCAATGCACAAAGATGCAATTTTAAATAGCAACTTCATGGAATACAAAAGACAAGAACCACCTATTGATATTCTTCCTTTTCAAGTCTGAGGCAGAAGGAGAATTGAGTGCTGAAACAAAGGATTCTCTTCTCATGCTACTCAATGTGTGGTCATTGACATGGAAAGTTTCTTCAAAATCTAGAATCTCTGGGCCTTCCCTAGACTTCTGGAATCAGATTCTGCATTCTAACAATATCCCCAGGTGATTTTTGTACAGAATAATATTTCAGAAGCACTGTCCTAAATCACAGCTAGCATAGAAAACTCACAAATATCACCTCAACCTATCATCGTTCTTCATTTTCAGTGCCTGATCCATTGTAGGGAGGCTGTCCAGTGCAGGGAAAAGAGGTCGCAGCAGCTGATGCATCACAGCAGCAGTTCATAGCCGATGCATCATCCCCATTTCTGATGTTTCTCTCCATATGGAAATGTGATTCTTCTGATTTCTTTCTCACTTACTCCTCGCCAGGAGTGACATAATCTCATTGGTTAAATTAAAAACAAAACAAAACTGGGAATTTTTAGTTTAGTTTCTGCCTTTTTTCCTTTTGAAAGTTAACTGCTCACAGCAAGCATACATTGATCACTGTCCTTCAAGGTAAAGTGACCAGGCTCATCTCTCTTGTAGGAAGGTCTGCTCTGGTCCAGCATCACCTGTACCTCTGACTAGCTGTTTCAGACCACCCAATTCTGGGATAACTTATGCAGCCCTTCTTGGTAAGCTATATTCTCCAACTTAGCCATTAACGGTAATAAAGATGATACTGTTTGTCTTGTTTTACATTTTGTTCAGAAACCAAGTGTGGAAAAGATGATGTTATTATTTGGATCCCCTCAGGAAACCTAATAGTTGTCAACAGACCTAAATCAAATCATGGTGGTTCAGATTTTTATTTACTGGAACTCAATTTCTTCCTCTGTAAAGGGAGATGGTTGGATGGTTCCCAAACCTGAATGAGCTTTGGAATTACTCATGGTTTTGAAAGTGCCTTTTTTTTTTTTTTTTTTTTTTTTTGAGATGGAGTCTTGCTCTGTCACCCAAGCTAGAGTGCAGTGGCGTGATCTCAGCTCACTGTAACCTCCACCTCTGCCTCCTGGGTTCAAGCTGTTCTCCTGCCTCAGCATCCCTGGTAGCTGGGATTACTGGGGCATGCCACCATGGCTAGCTAATTTTTGTATTTTTAGTAGAGACGGGGTTTCATCATGTTGGCCAGGCTGGTCTCAAACTCTTGACCTCAAGTTATCCACTTGCCTCGGCCTCCCAAAGTGCTGGGATTACAGGTGTGAGCCACTGTGCCTGGCCTGAAAGCGCCACTTCTGATTTAAAATCTCTAGCAGTGGGGACTACAAATCCACATTATCCAAAAGTGACTCAGGTGTTGCCAATCTGAAGACTCTTTTTAGAATCCCCTGCCCTTGCTACTGAAAGTCTGGTCCACCTTCCAGCACCACAGGCACTGTTTGAGAGCTTCCTGGAAATGTAGAATTCTTGACCCTGCCCCAGAAGAACGGAATCAGGATTTGAATTTTTACAAAATTCCAGGCTTTTTCGTATGCACATTAAATACTAGGAAGCCTTTCCTTGGACTATGTTATCTCAACAGTATTTCCCAAGCTGAAACTGCTATGATTCTATTTCTTTTTCATTGTTCTATCTCTGGCATATAGCAAGATGCTCAATAAATATTTATTGAGCTAATTAATCCATTCTCTGCTCTGTTCAGTGGAATGTGACAATGGCTTAAACGTTTGGTCACAATCCCTGCATTTATCCCTTAATAAACAGAGCAGAGGCACATATCTATCTCTCTGGTTACTGATAGTTACTCAGAACAAGCATGGATCTAAAATCTGTCTGTTTATATGCTCCCCACCTTTTTCTGAATTCTGATAGTAATTTGGTGAGAAAAATCTTTTAGGAAGTTAAGTTACTCACTTTATAATTATCTCCCTTTTTGTTCTCCTGCCAAATTCAAAGGGCTTCTCTCAGGTTGGTACTCCCTGGTCTCATTGATCTCCCTGGTGTTTAACAGTATTCATTACTCTCTCTTTTTGGAAGCTTTCTTCATTTGAGTTTCAGGATATATTATTTCTTAATTCTGCTTATGATCACTTCTTCTCTTGTTGTTTTACACTCTCTTCTTCTCAATCTATTCTTAAGAATAACTAACCATCCTTGGCTGGGCGTGGTGGCTTATGACTGTAATCTGGTGAATATTAGATTAGATTCACCAGAATCTAATATTCAGAGGGGAGGGGCTGGGAGGGCAAAGGATAGGGAAGGGAAGGGGGAGGGGGGAGGAGAGGGGAGGAGAGGAGGGGAGAAGAGGAGAGGGGAGGGGAGAAGAGGAGAGGGGAGGGGAGAAGAGGAGAGGGGAGGCGAGGAGAAAAACTAACCATCCTTTATGGCACAGCTTAATTATCACTTCCAGAATTAAGTTCTGAAGTTTTACCATCTCTAACTAAATTAAGGGCAAACCATTATTTAGTTTTTATTTATTCATTTTTATGAGTTAGACAAGACCAAAATGAAACCATCTTACATTCTATGACCATTGGTTTTACAGGTCTAGCACAATTTAAAAGACATAGTCAATGTTTCATTAATAAATATTTATGTAATTGGGCTATCATTGTTACATGGGAGGGGGAGTTTGTCACTAGGGATGGCTTAAGGCAGGGAGTTACCCCAATGGGGCATTAAAGAAACTCCAGATTACTGAGCTCCTGCTGCAGATATTAATTCTGCAGGTCTGAGAATGAGAACCTCAAATTTATATTTAAAAAGAAAATATTCCTCAAGTGAGTCTAAAGCATAGCAGTGGTAGTAGCCACTGAAATATGCAATTTTGTAGATACAAATGTCTGTCCATACAGGACAGATTTAAAAGCCTATCTAAAGGCCATTACTGAGAAATATTTTCTATCTTACCCTGTTAGTCAAGCATTGGACAACCAAACATAATATCTGATATTTTGTCAGAAAGAGGAAAAATTAGAAAGATTCAAAGCTGACAAAAATTATGGAGGCACAGTCCAATGACAGGCTAATAACTCATATGGCAAACAATACATGAACCAGCGCTTGATAGCACAAGTATTGGCTGTCCCTTTGCACTGATCAGAAATGAAATTTGCATTAAAAAGTTGGCCTGGCCTGAAATAAGTAAGTTAAAGACGTTTCTGCCATTTTTGGAGATAATTAAACTGTTGTAGTATGTAATAGGTGTCGTGAATGAAAATAGAATTTTCCTCCAAGTGAAAAAGGTAAGAAAATGCCTTAAACCTCATAAAAAAAATCTTCAGTTGGATTATTAGACTTTATTTCCGAAACAATGTCAAGTCATATCATTAATCAGAATCAGTCTCAGCACATTATTAAATATTAATCACATGAGATAACTGGAGCTTAAAGCTGATGTCTCCACTTGTCTGCAGAGGCCAGTGAATTTATAAGGCTCAAGCCAGGTGTCCTATTTAATTTCAGCAAGCATTCTCAAACTTCCTTTTTCAAATTTCTTATCAAATAGGATATCTTTGTAATGTCAATTTGTATACAAGAACTGATACTGTTGTTCCTTGTGTTTGAAGAAGCAGTGGGCACCACTGCTTGGCATGTGTAGGAGAATGAAATGTTTTGTGATAATTGCTGCAGGACAAGTTGTGCCTCTTTACTGAAAGGCCAGTGTAATGTCCTGGCACTCAACCAATCCTTATTGACTATCTTCCCAGCTGTTTGTTCCCACTGAGTTTCACTGTAAGAAATCATGCCTCATTGTGTCCTTCTGTTCATGTCAAACTATATTGTTCCACTTCTGCACTTAATTCAATATTCTGTGGGTCAACCCCATGTCATAACAATAGCTCTGAGGGAAAAGCCAAACTCGAGTATACGTTCTATCTGTGATGAGCCTTTAGTTCAGTTAACTATAACATGATGTCAGAAGAAAGGATTGACCCTTCCATGAGCCAGCCAGCATTGCATAGAGCAAAGGCTCTCAAAAAGTGCTCCTGGACCAGCAGCATCAGTGTAACTTGGGAACGTGTTAGAGATGCAAATTGTTGAGTCTCACACCAGATATACTAAATCATAAACTCTGAGAGTAGAGTTTGATGATGCCAAAAGAAAGGATTGACTCTTCCACGAACCAGCCAGCATTGCATAGAGTAAGGGCTCTCAAAAAGTGCTCCTGGACCAGCAGCATCAGTGTAACTTGGGAACTTGTTAGAGACATAAATTGTTGAGCCTCATACCAGATATACTGAATCATAAACTCTGACAGTAGGGTTTAAATCAGTGATCTGTGATTTAACAAGCCTCCAAGTAATTCTAATGAACACTCTAGTGTGAGGACCATCAACAGAGAGAAATATTTCTTGACCCATTCTTCTGATCATTCTTCTTCTTTTTTTTTTTTTCTTTTTTTTTTTAGATGGAGTCTCACTCTGTCACCCAGGCTGGAGTACAGTGGTGTGATCTTGGCTCACTGCAACCTCCACCTCCTGGGTTCCAGCGATTCTCCTGTCTCAGTCTCCCGAGTAGCTGCAATTACAGGTGCATGCCACTATGCCCAGCTAATTTTTGTATTTTTAGTAGAGATGGAGTTTCTCCATGTTGGCCAGGCTGGTCTTGAACTCCTGACCTCAGGTGATCCGCCTGCCTCAGCCTCCCAAAGTACTGGGATTACAGGCGTGAGCCACCGTGCCCGGCCTGATCATTCATTAATGCACATTTTTAAATTCATATTAAAAGTCAGGTACTGCCAGGGGCATCAAGATGCTGGAGACAGAAAGGGAGTAAAACAAAATCCCTCAATAGTTATTCTAGGTCCCAAGGCTTCTACACTGATGCCAACCCTTCCCTCTGAACTAGAGCTGGCAACCAAAAAAAGTGAGAGAATTTGTTAGTATGACTGGCTAAAGACAAAAATTTTTCCACTATAACATTTGACCCAAAAGTATTATTTTCCAGGAAGGAGAACAAAATGCTTTTCTAAATTTTGGTGGGAAAAAGTAATGTCCAAGTGGTCATATGTAAGATTACATTGCACATAGTTTTGTCAATAAAAATACATGACGGTTAATATTTTTGTTAAGAGGGCTGTCTTTCATTTTATAACAGTTTCAAACCATACGTGTGTGTGTGTGTGTATGTATAGAATATATACACACATATATTCTACTTTTACATATGAGGCACAGAGAGAATTCAGAGGCCTGTTGCCTTGGGTTACACATTGATGATAAATCAGGCTCTGGAAAAGCACTGCAACTTAGGAGTTATTCCTAGAAGATTAGTGCTTTTTAAACAATGTGCCTCTCCATCTTAACATCCAAGCCAATGGAATTACATCCATAGACAAGGAAATAGTCAGGCCCCCAAAATAAAGATATAAATGACCCAAGGAACTTGTATCAGTTTTATGAATTGAGGTTCTAAGATAATGTTTTATTTGATACTTTTCTTTCTGCTCAAAAGTTAAAACCTCACACCATCATACTGCCTTGATTTGGGAAGATTTCTACCTGCCATGGTTTGAAATTAATTTTGGCATAGACTATTAAAAAATAATAAAACTACAATCACAAGTATGAAAATTCATGCACAAAGACAATATTTAAAATAAGACTTGAAGGGAGTACATGTTATTCTGCTATCTCTTTTCATTGCCCTATATGACTTTGGAATGAATTGTGCTGTGGTTGTCTCACGTGCTGTTCACACAGCTCTCAAAATAGTGACAATTGCTTTTAAAAAAACTTGTTAATCTTTTGCTCTAAGTGCTGCAACTTTGAACATTTAAGCAATTACCTTGGCTTTAAGTAAATCCCAAAACTTAAGAGGGCTCCTTACAATTTTTACAATCTTTGTAAGTCTGCATGAAACCTTTACAATTATTTCCACTTATTTAGTTTTCAATTCATAATGAACACATTTCTGTTGCAAGTTCTGTATGTGTGGTAGAGTGCTCTGTGTTAGGACTAATAAAAGCTAAATTTAGTGAGCACATGAGAGTATAAACTCTCCAGAGGCAATATCATTTAACCACCAGAACAAGACTACAATATCTATGTTCCATTTTACAGATGAGCAAACCAAGATTCTTAGAGTTTATTAAGTTTAGTAACTCTCCCAAGGTGAAATATTTTATAAGTGACCAAGCTCTCTGAAACCAAGTTTGTTTCATACAATTATGTACACTTAACAATTGTTATATTATTCATTTTAGATTCTGTTGAGTGATACAATTTGAAAGATCAGTAATCTAGGGAATAACATGGGTGAATGACAGTTTTCCCACCATTCATTATTGTAATGTAATCAGGATGTCTCAGGCACTTACTGTGTAACAACAACAACAATAAAAATGGGAGACTCAAGGACAAACAAGGGCCCATCCCTCAAGATGCTTTTAATCTAATGCAGAGTTGTCCAATATAACCACCAGTCACCTGGGGCTACCTAAGTTTATGTTTAAATAAATTAAAATTAAACAAAATTTCAGTTCCTCAGTCAGACTAGCCACATTTAAGTTGTTCAATAGTGACATGTGGGGGCTACCATGAACAGTACAGACAGAGCATTTCCATCAGTCAGAACTCTGTGTAATTAACTATAGGAGTAAAACTATGGCAAATGGTGCAATGATTTCTGATTTGACGCAACTGATGAGAGACATTCGCTCTGTTATACTGAAATTTCTTTATGTTTGTTAACGCTTCAAAGTCCATACAGTAGCAGAGAACATCATTATTAAATGTACTCTGCTCAAAAGAAGATATAGATATGCACTAGAATTCAGATGCAGGCCATTAATATTGCAATTCAAATTTTCATAGTAAAATTACAGTGAAGAAAAAAAGTAATACCTACCATACATTTCAATTCGGGGGGGGCACAATCTCCTTTGTAGAAGTTTATAAAAAAATGGTTCATCTCAAAGTATTGTAAATTAAGGACGTTACTCTAAACTAATCTTAAACAGCTATATGAGGGCTAAACAAGGAAAACACAGCCAGGAGCTATTTAACTTTCACAGTTCCTTATTTAGGAAACCAAGGAGCATAAAATCAAGTTAAAATGTATCATGTCTGCCACTATTGCTTTCAGTGCCATGCTTTCTGAAACTTTCTTTAAGCCTGACTTTTATTGCTTCTTTGTGCATAATAACCAGTTCATTTAACCAGAGGTTAATTTTAAGGCATATTTTGTAAGGTGCATTTTATTTATTTATTTATTTCCCCCAATCAGTATGTAAAATATAAAAAACGTGCTACATGAAGCAGATATATCTATTATAATGAGTGGCTTTTTGTTGTTGTTGTTGTTATTTCTGCTACTAATGAACTGCAAATTTGGCTGAAATAAGAGTGAAAAAGGCTAGAGCTAGGGAAAGCTTACCGAAATTGGAGATACCCTGTTCACTTTTTTTTTTTTTTTTTTTTTTGAGATGGAGTCTCGCTCTGTTACCCAGGCTGGAGTGCAGTGGCGTGATCTCTGCTCACTGCAAGCTCCGCCTCCCGGGTTCACGCCATTCTCCTGCCTCAGCCTCCGGAGTAGCTGGGACTACAGGCGCCCGCCACCATGCCTGGCTAATTTTTTGTATTTTTAGTAGACACGGGGTTTCACCGTGTTAACCAGGATGGTCTCCATCTCCTGACCTCGTGATGTGCCCGCCTCGGCCTCCCAAAGTGGTGAGATTACAGGCGTGAGCCACCGAGCCCGGCCACTTTCTTTAATTGTTAACAGGTTACTAAGTAAATACTGGGAAGAGTAGTGTCAACTCTGCATTAAAATGTGTACACATAAGCAAAATAAAGTCTCCTAAATATGCTTACGGTTTCAACTTATGATGAAATGGGCCTGCCTAGAAACAAGAAAGTGCTTTCACTATGTTTCTTTCTATTCAGGTTGCCAATTCATGTCAGCCCTTCTCCATTAGGTAGTTCAGGTTACTGACAGACTAGGCCAGTGTTAGCATTTAGCAAACAGATCAATTTAGATTTTAACTCTGGTAGTAACATCAGAATAGGAGCCACCGTTATCTAGCCAAGTAGGCCACCGCTATGTCTGTTCTGCTAGTTTTTTTTTTTTTTTTCCTTTTTTTTGGTTAGGCCAGTAGTTTCCTGTTGTTGCTCCTGCTTTGCTTGTGGAAATCTGCTTTTGATCGATGTGAATACCTTTTGCAGGGATGGGCTCTTCGAACAGTTATTTTTCCCTTCATTGCCATCATTTTCACACCCAGCCACTTCATGCATTTATTTGTACAACTTACCAAGCCTCTGAAACATTTTGAGTTTTCAACCCTCGAATTAGATGTTTCTTCACATGAAAATAGTTAGGAGTCTTACACAGAGATTTATGAGAAAAACATATTTGCTTGAAAATAATAATCTTTTAAGTATGTATAACAATTAAATTAAAAATCCTAAGAATGGAAAATATTCTGTATAAGTATGTATATTATCATTAAACATATTAACAATTTAAAATTATAATTTAAAAATACAAATTCATGAGAATTAGGTTTAAAACAACAATCTCTGAGTTAGCCATGTCTCTAGATGAGAATGATTAGCTGTCTCTAATTTACTATTTTTATCATTGTTTCTTGTCTATCATCCTTTTTAAAGATGCATTAGGCCTGGCGCAGTGGCTCAGGCCTGTAATCTCAACACTTTGGGAGGCTGAGGCGGGTGGATAACCTGAGATCAGGAGTTCAAAACCAGCCTGGCCAAAATAGCAAAGCCCCGTCTGTACTAAAAATAAAAAAAAATTAGCCAGGCATGGTGGTGGGCACCTGAGTCCCAGCTACTCGGGAGGCTGAGGCAGGGAGAATCACTTGAACTCAGGAGGCAGAGGTTGCAGTAAGCCAAGATTGCACCACTGCACTCCAGTCTAGGCAACAGAGCCAGACTCCATTTCAAAAAAAAAAAAAAAAAAGATGCATTAGATTCTTCCTCCTTCCTTTTTAATCAGTGTCAAACAACTAGTATTTCTATAAAGATTTTGCTGTTCTCTCTGCAAATCTTTATAATTTCCCTTCTTTGAGCCCTTTTCTTAGTTCTGTTTTCATGGCCACATCACTTCACACTGCTTGGTGCTTCCCTCCCTTCCAGTTTCAGCTTTTCTTGCTTGCTACACTTGTTCTATTCTCATCCTGCCCACACTTCTCAATCTTCACACACATTTTCTGCTGTACCTGTCACTATCCCTGAGTTCACTCTCTGCAGTTGCCCTCAAGCTAAGTGGACTGGTTTCAAAGTTCTCTCTTTCACTATTTTTTTTTTTAGACGGAATCTTGCTCTGTCTCCAGGCCGGAGTGCAATGGTGCAATCCCAGCTCACAGCAACCTCCACCTCCTGGGTTCAAGCGATTCTCCTGTCTCAGTCTCCCGAGTAGTTGGAATTACAGGCGCCTGCCACAGTGCCCAGCTAATTTTTGTAATTTTTAGTAGATACGGGGTTTTGCCATGTTGAACAGACTGGTCTCGAATTCCTGACCTCAGGTGATCCACCTGCCTTGGCCTCCCAAAGTGCTGGGATTACAGGTGTGAGCCACCACGCCCGGCCCTTAACTCTTTACAAAGCCTGGGAGAAGGTGTTTATCCATCCCTCCATCTGAATAGCCATCACTTTCCCTATTCCCTCTTCTTTAGCCTCCAAGGAATATAAAACAGCTGGTGTAGGCCGGGTGCAGTGGCTCACACCTGTAATCTCAGCACTTTGGGAGGCTGAGGTGGGTGGATCACGTGAGGTCAGGACTTTGAGACCAGCCTGGCCAATATGGTGAAACCCCATCTCTACTAAAATTACAAAAATTAGCCAGGTGTGGTGGCGTACGCCAGTAGTCCCAGCTACTCAGGAGGCTGAGGCAGGAGAATTGCTTGAACCTGGGAGGCAGAGGTTGCAGTGAGCCGAGATCATGTCGCTACACTCCAGCCTGAGCGACAGAGAGAGACTGCGTCTCAACAACAAGAACAACAACAACAACAAACAACAAAAACAGCTGATATTTTTAGTCCTAGAAGCAAGTTGTCCATATGACTGAGGAGAAGAATAAGGAGAGTGAATACAAAGCATATGAGTAATGTAGTGAAACAGCAACATATGGTCTCTATCTGTGCAGAGCATTGCATATAATAGTTCAACTCTTCTCACCAGTAAGAATTTGGAAATTTTCCAATTCTGCATGCCTAATAAACGTAGCTAGTAGTTGATTTAAAAAGTAATACAATAAAGAGAAAGATGAAATTTATTTTTTTGTTGTACATATACATTCTGTAGTTCCTGGTTGTTTAATTCTTCAGTGCTTATATTTTGTAGTAGGTAATATACTATTCCTAAATTGTTAATAAGAGATGCTTACTCAAGATCATAATCATTTCAGCAGCTGAAATATTTTAAGTCTCTTGACTATCTCCTTTCATATTTTTACAATTTTGGATTAAATTGCCTTATGCTACACAGTCATATTCCCTATGTGTTTTTTTGTTTTGTTTTTTTGTTTTTGTTTTTTCTTTTTGCTAGAATATAGCACGAAGCAATATTAGTGTTAAGGTAATTTCAGGTTGTGTTTATAATTCTGAGACTAGATAAAGAATAAACATGTGACTAATATGTATCGGGGGAACCAGCCCCCAATATTTCAACGTAGGTTCTTTTCTATTTTCCCTAAGTGTTGGCCGGTCTGAGAAATAAACAAATGTCCATGACATCTTCACAATTTATGTTCTTCTGCCGTGGCTTCAGCCGGTCTCTCCGTTCGGGGTCCCTGACTTCCCACAACAAACATGTTAACTCTCAATCTAATTTTTACAGTTTATTCTATTTAATTATAGCTATTGTCTTAACACAGATTTATTTGTAATTTCAACATAATGACCAGGAAAGAGGTAAAGAAATTGTTGTACGGATCCAAGTAGATACCATTTCAAGTTAGTCATTTCTTCATAACGATTGTTGTTTCTGACCTATACTTATAAGCTCATCATAGTCATCCCTGTGAATTAGCTCAGAGGTTCATTGCAGACTCTTCTCAGGAATGTGCAGTCTACCTGTACACATCCCATACATAGCTGCAGTACAGGCATTCCAACACCAGGTGGCACTAGTAGTAATTTATAGCTGGTTAGTCTTGGGTCGCGCAGGTACCCTTAATAAATTCAAAGTATTAGTCAAAAAGTATCTCTTTATTTAGGGCACCATGGGATACTAATCATTTTCTTCTAATTTTATTATTTTCACAAATAATATTTTCTCATGTAAATTTTTAAATGATTTACATTATATAATTCACAGTGTCCATATTTCCCTTTGTTTAGACGTTTGCATCTCTTTGTGTCTTTCTGCTATGCTTCCTAGCCTTACTCCATGAAAACTAGCCTTACTCCATGAAAACATGTTAGGAACACAGCTAGAACTGTTTTTAAATTAATAAAATTGAGCCATCTTCTTCTACTTTTTGAGTTAGCACATTCTTAGCCATTTCTTTCTTACAACTCTGCTTTCTCCCCCTACCTTAATTTCACATCCAATCTTTAATTAACTGAACCAAACTGATTACAAAACAATCATTACTTTCTCTTTTTACACTCGAATGGTCCAAACAGAAGAAGCTTTTGAGCAAGATTCCCAACTGACTAGAAGAAGCCTGGGCAGTTTAACGGGCTTATTGAGAACACAATGGGATAATTGTTTAATAAGCCTTACCACTGGGCAATCAAAAGCTGTCAGTTAACTTAGCTTTCATAGATAATATTGAAATCTAGTTCTCTAAAACTCTCTAAACATTAACTAAGATAAGCAACCTGTTTTAATATAATGTAGTCTCTAAGAGGCCGGGCCATGGGAAAACGATCAGACTTTCCCAGGTCTTACACATCCAGGCAAAATATAGCAAAGAGAACAGAGCAGCGGAGGGGGTTGGCTCTTAAATTCATATCCACTACTATATACTCAACGCTTAATTGCAGTCATAGTGATTCATAAGCACTTTAATTGTAAGGGTTAAGTTACAGCAAACAAACACAGACGGTGGTAGCTGAAGACACACATTGGTTTGTTCCTTCACATGAAGACTAGCTTGTTCCTTCTACACAGGTTGAATGAAGAAGAAAGGTGCACAGAGATAAACAACAATAGGTTAATAAAATACAATCCATTTTGAAGGTAACTAGATTCTCTCTCTCTCTTTTTCTCTGTTCTTCATTTTTCCTGCCTCTTTTTTCCATTCCATGCTTGTCAGGAGGATAACCTCAAATATTCAATTTATAGGAGAGTGTGTTTTTAAATATCACAGGGAAATCCATATTTGTTTTGGCTGACACTCAATAGCTAATTAGTCTTAAACAATCTGGTAAGAGCTTGAACAGAGACCATCTGTCCTTGAAATTCCCTCTGTGGCTTTTCCAAAAGACCCAGCTTTTCCAAAAGACCCAGCTTTTCCAAAAAACTTTGGACAAATTTACAGTAGTTTTAGACTCCAAGACATGGAGCCAAATGCTTTCTTTTTTTTTCCTATTTGCATTGAACTGTGCTAAAAATTGTATCTGATTTATACCATTCAATATGATAAAATAATGATAGCTGGCATTTATTGATGACTTCCTATATGTTAAACCTTTATTCTCAGCTCTTCATTTAAGTTATCTCATTTAATATTCACAAAACCCTGATATTATGTTTATTTTTACAGTTGACAAAATTGAGACAGAAACAGTTGAGTAAATAGTAGACTAAATACAGTATGTGGCAGCAGTTTGTATTTCTATTAAGTTAGACAAAGCACAATCAGAATGGAGGGTTTAAGCTCTGATTGATTTGTAGTGAACACATGCTTTACTTGGGGAAATAAAAAAGCTTGATTCCCTGGAGAGACAGCGTTCACATAAACAGACACTCTGACCTCACAGCATGTAGAAGACTATGCTAATCCTCTGAAATGTAAAGAAGTGGCTTTGATGTTTTTTATGATTCACAACTAAAAATTAAAACAATTTTCATCATGACAAAAGTCACACAAATACACACATGTTCCTAAATATTTTCATTTAATGATATTCTTACTGCATATAATAAAAACTGACATTTCTTGTTATGCTATTTTTTGTGTGGTAGAGACTCATAAATTGATTCCTTGAACCACCAATGGGTTATAACCTGCATGTTGAGAAAAAAGCTGGTTTGTAAAACAAAACAATAAAGAATATCAAAATCCAAATAGATGAAGAGTCGCCTTACACTTTACCACACTATTTGACATCTTCTACGTATGATTAAATAAAGAAAATCCTCTATAATAATATTTCTTAGCTGGATATGAATTTTCCTGTGGAAATGTAAAAATGTGATCATGTGTTCCTTTTGGTAATGGGCAGCACAAAACTATGAAAGCCTGGCTGCTGGTGCTAAAAAATAGACACAAAAGGCACAGAGCATCCAAACATTAGAATGGCAAGAGAGACAGAATAATCAAATTAAAAAGAGAAGTGAGTTGGGGTAAAGGCCATCAAAAGGCACATGGGAATTTCAGACTTAGGTCAGCAGAAGCTTTGACAGCATGGACTAGTGGGAAGAAAGGAGAAGGCAGGGCTGGCCAGAAGGGTCAGTGGGTTGACGGCAAGATTATAGATAACATAGAAGAGCACAGATAATTTAGGATTGATTTTAATGAGTGTTCAGATCCAGAATCCAAGGGATCATGCTGATGGATCCCAGTAGAGAGACTTCAGACACTGGTGATGTTCAATGTTAGACAAACCATGGAATTGTGGCTCTGAGGTAATGGTTTTCAAACTGTAGAATATATGTGAATTGCATGATGTATTTGCTTAAAATTCAGATTCCTGAGTGTCACCCTCAAAAATTCTGAATATGTGGAAACCCAGGACTCTCCATTGTAACAAAAGTATAGCCATGCCTTGAGAAATAACCTCTTTAGTATTTGGAGAAGGATCTAAATGGAGCTGGGGAAATGGTGCCAGTGGATTCCTGTAGGGACTTGGCCGGTTCTGTCTTTGAAAAGACTAAAGTTTAGTGGGAACTCATGTTCAAGCCTTACCAGGCAGATGGGATGCTAGGCTTGAGTTGCAAAGTTGACCCTACAGAATGCTGCCTTGAAGGCCAAGAACAATCCTGCCTAATATAGGGGTCAGAACTGCCTCTGAAAATTGTTGTCTTGCTAGGTGATAGATATTGGTGGCTACATGGGCCAGAACCATAAGCAAACATAAATGAGTCTTCTGAAAACTAGTAAGAATGATTTTCTGAGGGCATAGAATGAAATTTAGAGAAAATTCTAGATGAGGTCAAAGGTGGAAATAGAAAAAAATTTGGCCTCTTTGGGGCCAGCAGGGAAAGGACATCAGATAGAACAAAGGTTCTCTAAGATAGGCGTAAGTTCCCTAATGAACTAATTCTGCCATGTCTCATGTGTATATGTTTTGTCTTTGTAAATTCTCATCTTGACATTACCAGTAATCACCATCAACAAGTATACATGAAATGCTTTGTTTTATTCTATTATTAGTAGTTAAAATTTAGCAAATGTCTTTGATTTCCCTTAACCACAAAGCTCTTATAAGGTTACTGGTTGATAACATGGAATTTGGAATGACCCTTAACTTTAAATTCTCACTCATTCATTTTCAACTATTTGACCTTGAGCAGGTTACGTGGTCTGGACAGGTCTTAATTATTGAACATGTGAAATTAGATGAGATAAAAACATGTATTTCTCTTTTTATATATCATCTCTAATTCTCATAATAACATGGCAAAGTGAATTATTGATTCTATCCTTCAGGTGAAGAAATGGAGGCTTCATAGGTTAAGTAACTTGAAGCCATCGAGCTGGTAATAAGTTGACCCACAACATATTAACAGCAATATCTACCCCAAAGTTTAGCATTTTCTTACTAAGTCACACTTCTACCTTCACTGTCCTCTAATATGGCGACTTCACCTTTGTTTTATTTCTTGCCCTAGCATCTACATGATCTGAGATATCAGTAGAGGAAAATTTATCCTCATTCCTTTCACTAGTTGAGACAAAGTGAAGAGGGAGAAACTGCCTTCTCTTTCCCTCAAAACATGTATTTTATAAGAATGAGAATGGTTCAACAAAACCCACCTAATGGTTAACCATTTAAAGTTATTTCCATAAATTCAATAAAGCATCTCTTAAGTATGAAGGTATGGAGAATGTTGATACAATTAGAAAGAATCTCTGCAGGTAGATAAATTCCCAAAGGAGTCATAATATAAATTGCCACACCTATTCTACATGGGATTTGGGGGCATTACTATAAACAAGAACAACAACGACAACAACAAACTTTATCTGTTTTGTTGTTGGGAAGGCAGAATCAGGACTTTAAATCCAATCTTTGGAAGGTTTGCCTCCACCTGACCTGGGATACTTGAAGTTCAGAGCAACATGATATACTTAAGTGGGAATGTGGAATTCCACTCTTTGATTCATTTGAGCACAATATCGGAGCCAACATTTTCTTTTCTCTTTTCAAGTTCTTCTCTACATGACTGAACAAGTGATCTAGGTGTGGTTTTGATGATTATTTCTGGAGCTCGGAGCCAAGATAGAGAGAAACATAGCATTGCAGTTTGGCTTTCTTGCCTGTCTATAAAGGAATGCAGGAAAGGTGCCAATTTCATTGAGTTTAAGCCCAAGGACTCTTGCAAAACAACACTTTATAAATGTCTGCCTTTTAAAGAATATCATGTGTGGCCAGGTGCGGTGGCTCACACCTGTAATCCCAGCACTTTGGGAGGCCAAAGTGGGCAGATCATGAGGTCAGGAGTTTAAGACCAGCCTGACTAACATGGTGACACCCTGTCTCTACTAAAAATACAAAAATTATCCGGGAATAGTGGCATGCATCTGTAATCCCAACTACTCAGGAGGCTGAGACAGGAGAATCGCTTGAACCCGGGAGGTGGAAGTTGCAGTGAGCCGAGATCTCACCACTGCACTCCAGCCTGGGTGACAAGAGCAAGACTCAGTCTCAAAAAAAAAAAAAAAAAAAAAAAGAAAGAAAAAAAAAGAGCATTATTTGTAGAATATGCCATCATGTTAATGTCATAGTTTGATAAATTTAGGAAAACTAAACTTACTTTTTTCTGAAATGTTATGGAAATTTAGAATTGAATATTTTTAAAAGACAACATTTTCAGGTTAGTCATTTATTCTAAACCTAAGAAAATTATCCATTATTAAATGTTCTTATATTCTACGTATCTTGATGTTGAATTGAAATTGGGTAGATATTTTTATCACAGGATTCTCTGCACCCCTAATTGGAGGAATGGATATGTTTTATATGAGAATGACAGAGTGTCTTATTATTGCTTTTTTCATGGGTGAATGAAACCATAGCAGGGTACCAGTCCAGAATACATTTTTGCTTTCTCCCCTTTCCTCTCAGTTTAAAATTGAACTTGGGACATGAATAGAAAACAGCAACTACATTAAACTCTTTAAAAAGCTTTTTCACATCTCTTGAATCAAAATGCTGTTTTTCACAAGCCAAGTAGGATGATTGTGGCTGGCATTAAATCGATCTATTGAATGCTAAAGTTATTTTTCCATAACACAAACCCAGCGTGTATAGCTGTGGCTAAGCCTCCATCACCCTCCCCTACTGAGGAGCCTCAAACCAAATTCACAGGGAACCTCCTTTAGCAATTTCTGAGTTTTTATATTCACATAATTTTTAGACTTTCATCCTTGATCATCAGAAAGATATTTTTGTCAGTTATGGAAACTTGTGTTTTAAACATACAAAGAAAATGAACTACAGCATTTTGCCCAGACAACTGCTGACAGAACATCTGCTAAACAATAATACTTTTGATTCCCACTGACCTAAGTCAGAACATACATTGGCAACCTGCTTCAGACTTAAGATTTCCTAGCTATTTTAATAAAAGTCCATTAATCAATTCCAACCTGTTTCTCATAATAGAGAGTAACCTCAGGAGAAAATGATATGACACCGAACAAATAATTCCTATTTGTAAAATTGTTTAGACAAGTATTCACATGAGAGATTCTTGACCCAGAGGGATTTATATTATGTAGGTTCATTTCTTTAAGGGCAAATAATTACTTTTCAAGATAAGCATTAATAATAAAGATTTGCAAAGACATGTTTAGAGTTTTATCTTAAATGCATCAAGACCAGTCCTTCTCCTGTTGCATCAAATTATTCTTCTTTGACAGAACTTTTTACCTAGTTCTAAGGGAGCTTACTTGCTTTGTCCAGTTGCAACCCGGCAATTGCATATAAAATTGAAAATATGCTCTAAGGACACCATGTAAAAAAAATAGAAAACCCTTAACTCCATACGTTACTGTTAATAAACTGTAGGTTGTGGCCTTTTCATTAGCCAAAGTTTCTAGAGGGGATTTAAAAATAGTGTTATGTTTTTATATAATTTTTATTTTTTATTTTTATTTTATTTCATTTTTTAAATTTTTTCATACAATTTCATTGATGGAAATTCAAGATCTGAGTAGACTTGAGATTTTTGGAGTTAGGAATATATGTTCAAAATCTTTAGTTTGACAATGGGTCTCAATTTATTATTTATATGACCTTGGGTTGTCATATAACCTAAGTTTAATTTTTCTTTTCTGTCAAGTGCAATTTATAATAATTTTATTTACCTCAGAGTTATGACGGATAACCTATGATATAATGTTTCTAAAATATTTAGAAATGGCAAAGTTCTGAAAGTATTGGAAGGGTCAAACCCCTCACCTTAGACATGAGAAAAATAAAGCCCAGAAAAATTGGTAGGAAGGGCTAAGACTAAAACCTGAGACTCTTAATGAGATTGAGGAACCAGAAGAATATATGTTTCCAAATCTAGACTTTGAGTTTATTATAACCTATTGGATTTCATGCAATAAATAATGCACAGAATGCATCATATATTACTGACATACAATAGTCCCACAAAGAGTGACCAAGACCCTGAGAGACCTGCCGGGCTTGGATATGAGTGATATAAATCTGTGGCTTGTTTTTGAGTGATATTCCCAAACTGTGTATGAGAATGGCTACCCAACAAATTCCTTGAGGATGAAGAAACTGCAGATCCCTGGAAGTTCTCTCTAATGCAAGACTTATTGGAGAGCCAGCCAGTGAAAGAGAACTATTCAATATTATATCTGAGGCCAGTGGGGGAAGAAGGTTCCGTCATTGTGGAGTATATGGTTTTAAGCTCTTTGAAGTGAGAAAATTTGAAGAGGGGCCATGTTATTAAAATAAGTGGGCATTGTCAAATCAAGGATGGCTTTGGGTAGGAAGTTATAAAATTCAAGAGTGTTAATAAGAGATATAATGCTGTAATATGGGGGAGCACATGGACTTTGGAGTTAGTTCTGGGTTTGAACGTCAGCTTTGTGAATTTCACAAGTAATATAATTTCTTTCTGGGTCTTAGTTTTTATAAATAGAAACTGGAGATAATGTTATTTGTTTCTTAGGACTATTAGCAAAACAAAAGAGAAAATATTCGTGCAATCATTTGCATATACTAAGGTCTTTAATAAATGCTACTTCCCTTGAGATCTATTTATCTTCCTAATTATCTGTGTTTGTATATTCATTGGATTACTTCTATTCATCATCTTTTGTTCTTGGTTCCTTACAATGACCACAGGTTTATTGATAAATTAGGTTAAATTTTTTATTGTTCTATTTTAATGAATTTTATGTTACTTCTGCAATAATTATTGTTGATACATCATGATGTTATTTAGTAATTTTAGAGCAGTTTTAAAGTAAATGCGTTTTATTTTTCTTTGAAATTTTCCAAAATTTAAAATTAAAATGATTCTACTAATCAGTGAAAAAGAAAAGTAAGTAATAAAAGTACAAGGTATTTTCTATTTTATCTCATATTTTAGGTAATATTTTTCATGTTTTCTGAGTATCTATAACAACTATTTCTACCCAAGTGAGATTGTGCTACTAAGTGACCATATGGCATTTGAAAAGTACTTAGGTTTTTCATTGCCTCAGTTTTCTGGGTATCTATAACAACTATTTCTACCCAAGTGAGATTGTGCTACTAAGTGACCATGTGGCATTTGAAAAGTACTTAGGCTTTTCATTGCCTCAATTTCTTCAGCTGTAAAGTAAGGATAATAATTTTCCTACCTGCCTTCTAGGGTTGTTGACGATCAGATGAAATAATAGTTGTGAAAGTGTTTTAAACATCTTCATGTATTACACATTTAAGGAAAGTTTTTATGCTAAAGTGCCTCTATCTTTAGGAAATTCCACTCTCTTGCTTAATGTTTTGTAATTTATTAACAAGAGCAAAAATATCTCTATTGTGGTATTTTAATATCTTCTCTGAACGTCTTGAAGATTTTCACTACTTTTTTTAAACAATTTTTAATTTCTGTGAAAAATTTTAACACTACCAAAATGAGAGCCTTCTAGAATGAAAGATTATGATGCTAAGATTTCTACTTATTTTATCCTACTAATAGGAAGAATTAGTCTCTTAGAGATATTCACGATATGAACTAGTCTGTAAAAATTTTAAGTGAAATATGTTCAAAGTTACTCACTCAAATACAAGTGGCAAATATAAGGTGTAAAGAGTTGTGTTTCTGCATGATAACATCAAGGGAATGTAAAGTGCCAGTTATGGCAAGTGAAGAACTATAATTAAATTTCTCACTATGTTAAAAAATTATGTTAAAAACATGTTAAAAAAATACCTCTCCTTGTAAAGTTCGTGTAGATGGGAGTTTCTTCTAAGACTGTGGCTATCCAAACAACTCTAGTTCCCTACCATGTGCCCACTATCTTTAATCAGATGCTTATATAATGGAGTGCTATACTGGTATTAAGTCCAAAGTGATCATCAAGCCACTTCCTGATTATTTTCTTTCTCTTTTTACTTTCTTTGACACAATGAATTTCAACTCTAAGAGTTGTTTTATGTATTCATTCAGTAAATATCTACCATGTAACTACTATACAAGTATTTCTCAAGAAGTTTAACATTGAATAGAGAAGGTATATATAAAAAAGAAATAATGGATTATAAATATCACAAGAAAATTACAAAGTAATAAAGTAGGCTAGGGAAGTATACATAACCTTAATAATTTTACTGTGGGACTATATTAAGGGAGTATACTTAACCTCATAATTTTACTAAGAGGATCATAATCTAAACCACATGTATTTGATGAAAGACCTGACCTCTTTGTTGTTCAGAGTTGGTAGCATTTGCATTTGGCCTCATAGATGGATGAGACCTTGATAAGTAAAGATGAAGGAAAATTATTATAGATGTTTAGCAAAACACACATGAAGGTATAGAAAAAAAGAGGAGGATAGTGTTGTTTCTGCAATTAAAAAACAAAAACAAACAAACAAAAAACCCTCATCAAGTCTAGCCAGAGCACACACAGTAACATGGAGCAGGGTACAAGGACATACCTCTGGCCAGTTGAGTCTGTAATTGTAGAAGGTCTTGAATGTAAGCCAATCAGTTTGCCTATGAATTTGAATAAAATGGAGAGCCACTGAAATTGTTTAATCATAGTATTGAGATAACCAAACTATAGCATCTCCAAAGATTAGAGAGATTAATTTAACAGATGTTTACAGGCTTGGGCCTGCTTCCTATTTCCACAGTGGGAAGATATTAGGTAGGGTGAGCAGAAAACTCACAGATAATTTTACTATGAGGAGCAAAATCCAAACTGTATGTACGTGATGAAAGCCCTGAACTCCCTGTTGCTATATGGTGAAAGTGACTTGCTGACAGTGAACCCATAGCCTACTTGGACTCGAAGGCCATATACAAATTTTTGTCAGATGAATAACATGAAAAACAATTCAGCAGGAAATAAAAGCATTCCTTATTTTTAAAAACAGGGATTCTCAAAGAGAACAAAGTAGGAAAAGAGGCAAAGGACTGGTGATATTTATATAAATAAAAACCTTCATCTGTTATTTATGATACATCCCCACTTTCAACCCACTTTTGTTTAAGAATAATTGATGTACCACACATCTACAACCATCTGATCTTTGAGAAACCTGACAAAAACAAGAAATGGGGAAAGGATTCCCTATTTCATAAATGGTGCTGGGAAAACTGGCCAGCCATATGTAGAAAGCTGAAACTGGATCCCTTCCTTACACCTTATACAAAAATTAATTCAAGATGGATTAAAGACTTAAATGTTAGACCTAAAACCATAAAAACCCTAGAAGAAAACCTAGGCAATACCATTCAGGACATAGGCATGGGCAAGGACTTCATGTCTAAAACACCAAAAGCAATGGCAACCAAAGCCAAAATTGACAAATGGGATCTAATTAAACTAAAGAGCTTCTGCACAGCAAAAGAAACTACCATCAGAGTGAACAGGCAACCTACAGAATGGGAGAAAATTTTTACAATCTGCCCATCTGACAAAGGGCTAAGATCCAGAATCTACAAAGAACTTAAAACAAATTTACAAGAAAAAAATCAAACAACCCCCTCAAAATGTGGGCAAAGTATATGAACAGACACTTCTCAAAAGAAGACATTTATGCAGCCAACAGACACATGAAAAAATGCTCATCATCACTGGCCATCAGAGAAATGTAAATCAAAACCACGATGAGATACCATCTCATGCCAGTTAGAATGGCGATCATTAAAAAGTCAGGAAACAACAGGTGCTGGAGAGGATGTGGAGAAATAGAAACACTTTTACACTGTTGGTGGGAACTGTAAACTAGTTCAACCATTGTGGAAGACAGTGTGGCGATTCCTCAAGGATCTAGAACTAGAAATACCATTTGACCCAGCCATCCCATTACAGGGTATATACCCAAAGGATTATAAATCATGCTGCTATAAAGACACATGCACACATATGTTTATTGAGGCACTGTTCACAATAGCAAAGACTTTGAACCAACCCAAATGTCCATCAATGATGGACTGGATTAAGAAAATGTGGCACATATACACCATGGAATACTATGCAGCCATAATAAAGGATGAGTTCATGTCCTTTGTAGGGACATGGATGAAGCTGGAAACCATCATTCTCAGCAAACTATTGCAAGGACAGAAAACCAAACACCGCGTGTTCTCACTTATAGGTGGGAATTCAACAATGAGAACACTTGGACACAGGAAGGGGAACATCACACACTGGGGCCTGTCCTGGCTTCGGGGGTAGGGGTTAGGGATAGCATTAGGAGATATACCTAATGTAAATGAGGAGTTAATGGGTGCAGCACACCAACATGGCACATGTATACATATGTAACAAACCTGCACGTTGTGCACATGTACCCTAGAACTTAAAGTATAATAAAAAAGAAATAAAATAATAAAATTTTTCGAAAAGAAGAATTGATATAAAAGCAAATGCTCTCATAACAGAAAACTCAATGCAGTTCTAATCACAACACCAGAGAGATATATCAAAGTAGAAGAAAACAGTTTCCATAGAGGACAGATAAATATATGAGTGAAAGGGACTTTTAAAAATTGACAATCTTAGATAACGAAGGATTTTTTTAAAAAGGCATTTGCTTAACCTTACCAAATTATGAAGGATATGGATAACATGCCTAAAGATTTGTTCACTTGGCATACCAGAATCATTACATGGAGTGCTCTTCCAAAAGCTTATAATGGAAGGATCAGGGCAATTATTTCAAAGAGAGCTCTCTACACCCTCATAGTAATACAGACTGACAATATTAGGAGCCATGTGAAGGCTATTAAATAAATTTTATAGGTTACAGAACAACAATACACTACTAATCAAAGCGAAGATGTTTTTAGTAAGAGAGCCATAACCTTCTAATCTTTCTTGGAATCACTGTTAATAGAGGGAAGGGAAGAATGTATATCCTGTGAGAAGAAAAAGAACATAACAAGACAAGATGATTCTGTGCTTGTTGTGGCTTGTGCATTCTACTAGGTGGTTTCACAGAGTCATTTCATGTACTCCTCACAGTAACTGTTGCAGAGGTAAAATATGAAAATAAGTAACTTTTTCAAGTAAACACAAGATGAAGAAATAGATCTAAGATCTATAGATGTCAACGCTTTTTTTTCCTTTTACTATGCCGAAGTATTTATTCAATGACTACTCATTGAGCACCTACCAAGTGTGCCTTGCACTGAGAACACACTAGTGAACAGGTAACAATTTTCCTGACATTGTAGGGTTTATGTGTTAGACATAAGTAAATCTATAGTCAAATAGGAGTTAGGGTAAATTTCTGTGAAGAAATATAAAACTGCTGTGAAGAAAGCAGGGTGAAACAAACAGCAACAAGATAGAGGATGTGGTGGAGGTACTATGGTATGCAATCAAGGCTTCTGTGAGAAAGGGATGTTTCAGAGATCTGAGCAAAGTGAGGAAATGAGACACAGGACTCTGCCAAAAATTCATTCCAAGCAGAATGAACAGTAAGTGCAAAGGTAAGTGGGCAGAAATGAAGAGTGATCTTGATGTCTTCAAGAAACAAGAATGTGACTAGAGAAGAGCAAGCAAACTGGGTTTGTTAGCAGTCCAAGTTTTCTACAGCGTCAAAAAATAATTGAAGCCATGGGTTTAATTATCTATAAAAGGCGGGACTTGAATATTTAAAGGACATGCAAAGGAGGGTATGCTGGGAACAGAGATTGAAAGAAGTCAGAGATGTGGGAGTAAAACCAGCAGAGGATGAAGAAAGAACAATGGAGCATTTCGGGAAGAACAACAGGAGCAATCATTTTACATGCAGCTGAGAGGTAGGATGAAGACCAAAAGATGCCCACTGTGTTGCTCGACATGGAGATTCTGACTGTGGTGATTTGCCAGCAATTCAAAAGAGGAAGAATAGCCTTTTCAACAAACAGTGCTGGAACAATTGGGCAGCCATAGGAAAAAAAAAAACAAAAAACAAAAAAAACCTGACTGGACCTAAGGCTCACACCTTCTATAAAAATTAACTCAAAGTTAATCATAAACTTAAATATAGCACATAAAACTATAAAACTTATAGAAAAAACATAGAATATATTTGGGGTCTGGAGATAAGTAAAGAGTTCTTAGATGTTACACTAAAAGCCCAACTCATAAAAGAAAAAATTGACAGATTGGACCTCATCAAAATAAAAAATTTTGTTATTTCAAAGACCCCAGACTGGGTGCGGTGGCTCACACCTGTAATCCCAGCACTTCGAATCACACCTTCGATAAAAATTAACTCAAAGTTAATCATAAACTTAAATATAACACATAAAACTATAAAACTTGTAGAAAAAAGCATACAATAGAATATATTTGGGATCTGGAGATAAGCAAAGAGTTCTTAGATGTTACACTAAAAGTCCGACTCATAAAAGAAAAAATTGATAGATTGGGCCTCATAAAAATAAAAATTTTTGTCATTTGAAATACCCCAGGCTGGGAGCGGTGACTCACACCTGTAATCTTTCTTGGAATCACTGTTAATAGAGGCCGAGGCAGGTGGATTGCTTGAGGTCAGGAGTTCAAGAATAGCCTGATCAATATGGGAAAACCCCGTCTCTACAAAAAATACAAAAATTAGCTGGGCGTGGTGGTAGCACCTGTAATCCCAGCTACTCAGGAGGTTGAGGCAGGAGAATTGCTTGAAGCAAGGAGGCAGAGGATGCAGTAAGCCGAGACTGTGCCACTGCACTCCAGCCTGGGCAACAGGGCAAGACTCCATCTCCAAAAAAAAAAAAAAACAAACAAAAACAAAAAAAACAAAAGAAGCCAGGCATGGTGGCTTATGCCTGTAATCCCAGCACTTTGGGAGGGCAAGGTGGGTGGATCACCTGAGATCAGGAGTTCGAGACCAGCCTGGACAACATGGTGTAACCGCATCTCTACTAAAAATACAAAAATTAGCCAGGTGTGGTGGCACATACCTGTAATCCCAGCTACTTGGGAGGCTGAGACAGGAGAATCGATTGAACCCGGGAGGCGGAGGTTGCAGTGATCGGTGGTCATGCCACTGCACTCCAGCCTGTGCAAGAGGGAGACTCCATTGCCCTCGACCCACCCCCCCCGCCGCAAAAAGAAAGACCACATTCACAGGATGAAAACACAAACTAACTATACGCTGGAGAAAATATTTCTGAGTCATGTATCTAACAGAGTATACGTAGAGGATTCTTAAAACTCAAAAACTAAAAAAAAAAAAAAAAAGTTCAACTTTTTCTTTTTTCCAGAAAGAGCTAGAATGTAGTGGCACAATCTCAGCTCACTGCAGCCTGTCTCCTACCTCAGCTTCCCAAGTAGCTGGGGACTACAGGTGTGTACCACCACACCCAGCTAATTCTTTTCTGTATTTAATTTATTTTTTTTTGTAGAGATGGGTTTCCTCCATGCATCCCAGGCTGGTCTCAAACTCCTAGGCTCAGGCAACCTGCCCACCTCAGCCTCCCAAGGTGCTGGGATTACAAGCATTAGCCAGTGCATCTGGCCAACAGCTCAATTTAATAATGGACAAAACCTCATTTCACCAAGAAGGAGAGATGGATGGTAGATAAGGAGATAAGCACATGAAAATATATTAATTATTATTAGCCATCAGAAAAATACAAGTAAAATCCACAATGAGATGTCACTACACACCTATTGAAACAGCTAAATTTTTTTAAAATCTTACTTTGGTTCTTACCAGGTATTCAGTAAGCATCAAGTGTTTATTAGTATCAATATTTATTGACAGGTTTTTTTAAGATATAAACATGGTTATAAAAATGAATTTTGATATTTGTATACATTATATTTAGTATTATTTTTAAGTCAAACATTTAGTATAAACTGTCTTATTTGGCAAGTAACCACTACATAAATCACATTTTGTGAAAAGAAATGTAAAAGTGGCAATTTAGAAATGTTTTAAGATACTTAGAGCTTCATGTGAAATTATGTTTTAAACATTGTTTCCCTAGTTAAAAAGATGGGAAGCAAGCATTAAAACAAATCAATAGTCTAATATAATTAAGCTATTCAAGAATATTGTTTTTTTTTTTTTCATTTGCTAATGCCTCCTATACCATGTATACAAACTGTAGACAATTCTACCAGGGTATACTCAGTGATCCAACCTATGACAGAATGAAGAGTTCTGTTGTAATTTAAAAATGAAAACGTTTGATTATGTTGTGCCGAAATATCCTGTGATACTGTGTTACTATATATAGAAAGCACATCTGTATTAGTCTGTTCTTGCATTGCTATAAAGAACTACCTGAGACTGGGTAATTCATGAAGAAAAGAGTTTTTATGGACCAATAGTTCTGCAGACTGCACAGGAAACATGGCTGGAAGGGCCTCAGGAAACTTAAAATCATGGTGGAAGGTGAAGGGGAAGCAGGCATATCTTACATGGCCTGAGAAGGAGGAAGAGAGTGAAGGGAAAGGTGCTAAACACTTTTAAACCACCAGATCTCATGAGAAACAGCAAGAGGAAGGTCCACCCCCATGATCCAATCATGTCCCACCAGGCCCCTCTCCAACATTGGGGATTACAATTTGACATGAGATTTGGGTAGGGATTTGAAGTTTGCCATTACTATGCATACTTTTGTAAATGTATTCTATATATATCTTACTACACATACTTTTGTAAATTTATTCTATATGTATATTTCTCTAAACTAAATATAATAATTTTTGGAACAATGCTTTTGCATGCTTTTGAACTATATTTACAGTGATAAGACTGTATATATTGCATAAGACTCTTTTGTGAAAAAATTAACTTTGTAATTTATCTATTGTTGTAAATGTCACTAATTTCTAGCAATCTGCTAGATCTTTATTTCAATCGTCTCCTGTTTTTTTCTTTATTAGTCTAGCTAGTGGCCTACCAATATTATTTATTCTTTCAATGAAGCAATACCTGGTTTTGTTGAATCTTTTGTATAGTTTTTCACATCTCAATTTCATTCAGTTCAGCTCTAATTTTGGTTATTTTTTGTCTTCTGCTAGTTTTGGGGTTGGTTGGCTCTTGTTTTTCTCATTCTTCTAGGTGTGGTATTAGGTTGTTAATCTGAGATCTTTCTAACTTTTTGATGTGGGCATTTAGTGCTATACATTTCCCTCTTAATGCTGTCTTAGCTGTTTCCCAGAGATTCTGGTATGTTGTTTCTTTGCTCTTTTTTTTTTGAGATGGAGTCTTGCTCTGTCACCCAGGCTAGAGTGCAGTGGCGTGATCTCAGCTCACTGCAACCTCTGCTGCCTCCTGGGTTCAAGCGATTCTCCTGTCTCAGCCTCCTGAGTAGCTGAGATTACAGACACACACCACCATGCCCAACTAATTTTTGTATTTTTAGTAGAGATGGGGTTTCGCCATGTTGGTGAGGCTGGTCTCAAACTCCTAACCTCAGGTGATCTGCCTGCCTCAGCCTCCCAAAGTGCTGGGATTATAGGTGTGAGCCACTGCACCTGGCCTGTTCTTATTAGTTTCAAATAACTTTTTGATTTGTGCTTTAATTTCATTGTTTACCCAAGAGTCATTCAGAAGCAGGGTGTTTAATTTCCATGTAATTGTATTGTTTTGAGTGATTTTCTTGGCCTTAATTTCTACTTTTATTACATTGTGGTCCAAGAATGTCATTCATATAATTTTAGTATTTTGAATTTGCTGAGAAGTGTTTTATGGTTAATAGCATGTTCGATTTTAATGTATGTGCCCTGTGCAAATGAGAAGAATGTATATTCTGTTGTTTTTGGGTGGAGTTCTATAGATATTTGTTAGGACCATTTGGTCAAGTGTAGAGTTCAGTTCCAAAATATCTTTGTTTGTTTTCTACCTCAATGATTTGTCTAGAATGTTGTAGAATGTTGTAAAATGTTGAAGTCTCCTACTATTATTGTGTCGTTATCTAAATCTCTTCGAAAGTCTATAAAAACTTGCTTTATGAATCTGGGTGCTACTATGTCAGGTTCATATTTGTTTAGAATAGTTAACTCTTCTTGTTGAATTGAACTCTTTACCATTACATAATGTTCTTATTTGTCTTTTTTGATCATTGTTGGTTTAAAAATCTGTTTTGTCTGAAATAAGAATAGCAATCCTTGCTTTTTGTTTTTGTTTTGTTTCTTTGTTTGCTGGGTAGATTTTTCTCCATCTCTTTACTTTGAGCCTAAGGGTGTTATTGCATGTGAGATGAGTTTCTTGAAGACAGCATCTAGTTGTGTCTTCCTTCTTTATCCAATTTGCCACTTGTGCCTTTTAATTGGGGCATTTAACCTGTTTACATTCAATGTTAATATCAATATGTGTGGATTTGATTTTGTCATGGTAGTGTTGGCTGGTTGTATATAGACCTGATTGTATAGTTACTTTATAGCGTCAGTGGTCTATGTGATTGTGTTTTTGTAGTGACTGTTGACAGTCTTTTGTTTCCATATTTAGGACTCCCTTAAGGACCTCTTGTAAGGCAGGTCTGGTGGTAACAAATTCCTTTAGCATTCACTTGTCTGAAAAGGATCTTATTTCTCCTTTGCATATGAAGCTTAGTTTGGCTGGATATAAAATTATTGTTTGGAGTTTGTTTTTCTTTAAGGATGCCTAATATAAGGGGATAGAGATTATCCCCTAATCTCTTCTGGCTTGTAGGGTTTCTGTTGAAAGGTCCACTGTTAGCCTGATGGGGTTCCCTTGGTAGGTGACCTGCCCCTTCTCTCTTGCTGCCTTTAAAATTTTTTTTTTCATGTTGACCTTGTGAAATCTGATAACTGTGTGCTTGGGGATGGTCATCTTGTATAGTATCTTGCAGGGGTCTCTGCATTTCCTGAATTTGAATGTTGGTTTCTCCAGTGAGGTTGGGATAATTTTCATGGGTGATATCCTCAAATGTATTTTCCAAGTTGCTTACTTTTTCACCCTCTCTTTCAAGGACACCAGTGAGTTGCTGATTTGGTTTCTTTACATAATCCCATATTTCTTGGAGATTTTGGTTATTATTTTTCATTCTTTTTAAAATTTTTGTCTGATTGTGTTATTTTGGAGAGCCAGTTTTCAAGCTCTGAGATTCTTTCTTCAGCTTGGTGTATTTTGCTGTTAATATTTGTGATTGTGTTATGAAATTCTTGTAGTGAATTTGTTATCTCTATCAGGTCAGTTTCTTTCTTAAAATGGCCATTTTGTGTTTCAGCTCCTGTACCTTAGGTTCTTTAGTTTGGGTTTCAATTTTCTCCTCAATCTCAATGATTTTCATTCTTATCTATATTCTGAATTCTATGCCTGTTTTTTTTTTTTTTTTTTTTTCAGCCATTTCAGCCTGATTAAGAAGCATTGTTGGTTCTAGTGTGGGAACTAGTGTGGTTGTATATAGGTGAGAAGACACTCTGGCTTTTTAAGTTGCCAGAGATCTTGTGCTGGTTCTTTTTCATCTGTGTGGGCTGATATTCCTTTGGTATGCGTTTTGTTTTATGTTTTTTTGTTTTTTTGTTTTTTTGGCAGAGTCTTACTCTGTCGCCAGGCTGGAGTGTGGTGGCACCATGTTGGCTCACTGCAACCTCCGACTCCCTGGTTCAAGCGATTCTCCTGCTTCAGCTGCAGTTGGAAGACAGGCCATATCCTTGATGTATAGGCCTTGCAGTGGGAGGCACACCCCACTCCTCCATTGGCCTGAGAACACGGGAGTCTTACCTGTCTCAGTTATCTGAGAGTGAGGGGTCCTCCCTGCTTGGGCACCACCTGAGCCAGCAAGTCCCTCTTGACTAGGAGCTCTGGGGTGTGTGGGGTCACCTAATTGGCTGTCCGGGTGCTTTCCCGGGGACCATGGGGTTGCACCTGCCACAGAGCTCAGGCAGAAGAGGGAAAGCTGGGCTGGAATCAATAGCAGGTGTGGCCCCTCTGGCTATGGGAGGCGAAAGTGGGTGGAGCTGCCCACTGAATTCAGGCCGAAGAAGTACTGCTGGGCTGGACGTTCTTGCAGTAGCGGCCCACCCAGCTACCAGCATTGGGGGGTCGGTGCAGTTGCCTGACCTGCCATTCAAGTATTTCCCAGGACAACAGGGAGGCTGCACACACCAGCTGAGCTCAGGCAGAGGCGGGACTGCTGGGCCAGCTTCCGGCCCCAAGCCTTGTCTCGTGAGGGGGAGTGGAGGAATCTTACTGCTTCCAGGTACCCCAACCACAGCTTCTGTTAGGGCTATGGTGCTGATGCCAGTGTGTTCTGGGGTCCAAGACTTGTTGAGGTCCCCTTGGACTTGGGAGTTGCCTCTGTAAAATATCCGGTGGCTCTCTGCCTCTGTTTAGAAATGCATGGGGTTGGGGGGTTGGGGGATGGGTGCGTAGGCACAGGGAGTCTCCCATGCTCAGTCTTGCACTGGTCCCTGTGGAGAGCATGACTTCCCCTGGGGGCTCTCACTCACTCACCCTTTCTCGTGTCAGGCAGCTTCTCCTGGCTTCATGTTGATCCCAGAGAGGCAGCTGCCTAGCTTGGCTCCTCTCTGCGCCCCCTGGAGGCCTGGATGGATGCTGACATGGTTTCTTAGGTGATCAGCTTGGAAGGTTATTATTCAGTAGACCTTTTGGTTCCTCTCTGTGAGAATGGCACATATGAGCTGCTTCTAGTCTGCAATCTTGACTCAGTCTCCTAAATTTTAAATATAGCCCTAACTAATTATTTTTACTTTTCATGGCAGTAAGCAAGGCTACATAACTATGCAGAATTACTTGTGGGACAGGTCCCTAACATATACAAATTGGGGGTTTACAAATCTTCACATTTATGAGGTACTGTTTCAAAGTGAGTCAACCAATTAACAGCCCCACTAATGGCATTTGAGAGTTCCAATTTCTTCACATCCTCACCAAGATGGGTATTGTGAAACCACCTAATTTTTGCTAATCCAATGGATGTATACTGACATTTTATTATTGTTTTCATTTGTTTTTCTTATATTTTTATATATTAATATGTTGAGAAGAAAAAATATGATTAGCCATTCCATTACTGGCCAATCATATTTCCCCTTCTCTGAAATGCCTGTTCATATTTTTGCCTGTATTCTTATTGTGATATTTATCTTTTTTAAACTGAGTTTTTGGAGCTTTTTTATGTTTTCTAAATATGATTTTTATGTTAAATAAAAGATCATGGCTTATTTTTAGATGTTATGACATTTTTAATATGTAAAAATTTTTCTTAATTGTAATTTCAAATGTAACAATTTTTTAAAAATATGGTATATTTAATGTGCTTTGTTTAATAATTTTTTTGCTTCATTAAGGTCACAAGGATATATTTTTCAAGTTTTAAAATCTTGCTTTTTACATTTAAGTCTTTGATCCACATGGAATTGATTTGTTTTGGCATGATGTAATGTTCAAATCTAATTTTATATTTTTCTCTAGGATAACCTGCTTTCTTAATACCATTTTTTAAATAGCCCAACATTACTCAATTCTGACATCTATCAAACTCTCAAATATAAGAAGAGATTCTGCCATATCAGTTGAAATAGTATCATGCCACTGAGGATTTTGGTATCTCATTTCTGTATTCTGTATTGATTTCTTTCTTTTTTTTTTTTTGAGACAGAGTCTTGCTGTGTCACCCAGGCTGGAGTGCAGTGGCGCTATCTCACCTCACTGCAATGTCCACCACTCGGGTTAAGAGATTATCCTGCCTCAGCCTCCTGAGTAGCTGGGATTATAGGCACCCACCACCAAGACCAGCTAATTTTTGTATTTTTAGTAGAGACGGGGTATGACCATGTTGGTCAGGCCGGTCTCAAACTCCTGACCTCGTGATCTGCCCCCCTCGACCTCCCAAAGTGCTGGGATTACAGGCATGAGCCACTGCGCCTGGCTGTATTCTGTTTTCAATACCCACTACATTAATCACTGTAGTTTTATAATACGAAGTGATTATCTGATAGCTTAACTCCTGTTGTCTGTTTTATTTTGTTTTGTTTTTCCCAAACTGTCTGTTTTGGGCTCTTCCCTATGAATTTTACTATCAACTTGTTATAACCTCCCACTCCTATCCCCAAAATGCCTTATTGACATATTGATTTATTACTTATTTTATAGATGAATTTTGGAAGAAGTATAATATTACATTTTTCAATTCATTTACTCAATTTTTTGTAATCTTCAACATATTTCAATTTTTTGTATAAAAAGTCTGAAGCATTTTTATATATTTATTGTACAGTTTTTAAAGTATAATACTTTATATGCTATTATAAATGAAATTTTTCTACTATATTTTTAATTAAACTTTGATTTTGAAATAATTCCAGATTCATATGCAGTTATTACATGTAATCTAGACAAATCCATGTAAACTTTCCATGTGTTATAAAAGTAGATTCATAAGGTATGTAACTACTTGGAATTGGCTTTTTTTTTACTCAGCATAATTCTCTAGAAATTAATCTAGATTGTTGCAAATGTCAATAGTTTCTTTTTATTTTGGAGTAGTATTACATGATATGAATGAAGCAAAGTTTATTGAACAATTCACCTATTGAAGGACACATGGGTGGTCTCCAGTTTTTGGTTATTACAAGATGCTGTAAATATTTTCATATATGTTTGTGGGAACGCAAGTCTTCATTTCTTTAGAATAAATGCCCAGAAGTGCCATTACTGGATTGTATGGTATTTGTATGTTTAGTTTTTAGAGAAACTCCAAACTATTTTTCCACTATGGATGTGCCATTTTATATTCACACAAGAAATGTATGCGAGAGCTAGCTACTCTGCATCCCCAGTATTTTGTGCTGTCACTTTTAAAAAAAAAAAAAAAACAGTTTAGCAACTCTGGTTGATGTGTAATGATACTCATGTGGTTTTGATTTGCATGTTCCTAATAAATAATGATGTTAAACATCTTTCCATGTCTTTATTTGCCATCTGTATATCCTCTTCATCTCATGATATGGTTTGGCTGTGTCCTCACCCAAATTTCATATTGAATTGTAGCTCCTATAATCCCCACGTGTCATGGGCAGGACCTGGTAGGAGGTAATTGGATCATGGGTGTGGGTTTTTCCCATGTTGTTCTCCTGATAAGGAATAAGTCACATGAGAACTGGTGGTTTTATAAAAGGACAGTTCCCCTGCACACACTCTCTTGCCTGCCACCATGTAAGACATCCCTTTGCTTTTCCTTCATCTTCTGCCATGATTGTGAGGCCTCCCCAGCCATGTGGAACTGTGAGTCCATTAAACTTCTTTCCCTCATAAATTATCCAGTCTTGGGTATGTCTTTATTAGCAGCATGAGAACAGACTAATGCATCTCATTTGGCCATTTTCTAGTTGTATCATTTGTTTGTTACTGTTGAGTTTTGAGAGTTCTTTATATATTCTAGATAGTCATCTTCTGTTGGATATGTTGTTTGAAAATATTTTCTCCTAGTCTGCAGCTTATCTTTGTCTTCATAATGAGGCCTTTCACAGAGCAAGAGTTTTTAATTTTAATGAAATCCAATGTATTTTTTTTTCTTTTACGGCTCACACTTTTAGTGTCATATTTAAGAACTCTTTGCCAAGCTCTAGATTTCAAAGAATTTCTTCTGTTTTTTCTAAACATTTTATAGTTTCATGTTTTACATTTAAGTGAATGGTCCATTTCAAGTTAGTTTTTGTAGGTGTGATGTTATTATAGACCAAGTTGTAATTTTTTGTCTATGGTTGGTCTATTTTGTTTTAGTTTTTGTGAAGGGTATGTGTGGGTCTAGATTCATTTTTTTTTGCATGTGGATATACAGTTTTTCTACCACCATTTCTCCAAAAGCCTACCTTTGCGCCATTGAATTGCTTTTGCTCCTTTAACAAAGATCGGTTGACTATGTTTATATGGATTTATTTCTGGGCTTTCTGTTCTCTTCCATTTATCTGTTTGTCCTTTCATCAATACCAAAATATATTGATCAGTTTTATAGTATGTCTTGAAGTCTGGTAGTGTCAGTCCTCTAATTTTGTTCTCCTTCAATGTCACGTTGGCTATTCTGGATATTTTGCCTGTCCATATAAACTTTAGAATATGGTTGTTGATATCCACAAATTAATTTGCCAGGATTTTGACTGGCATTCCACTGAATCTATAGATCAAGTTGGAAAGAACTGATATCTTGACAATATTGATCTTTATATCCATTAATATGAAATATCTCTTTATTTAGTCCTTTGATTTCTTTTATGAGAGTTTTGTCATTTTCCTCATCTAAATCTTGTACCCACTTGTTAGATTTATAGCTAAGTACTTCATTTGGGGAGTGCTAATGTAAAAAATATTTTGTATTTAATTTCAAATCCCACTCATTCATTGCTGGCATATAGGAATTGATGGGCTTTTGTATGTTAACTTTGTATCTTGAAACCTTGTTATAATTGTATATTAGATCGAGAAGGGTTTTCTGGATGATTTGGTTAATACTCTACAAAGATGATCATGTCATCTGTGGACAAAAGCAATTTTACTTTTTACTTCTTAATCTGTATACCTTTGATTTTTTTCCAGTTTTTTTTTGCAGATCTTGGTTGGAAAGCTAGTTCCTCACCATTATATATCATGTTACTTGTAGGTATTTTGTCTATATTCTTTCTCAAGTTGAGGAAAATTTCTCTCTAATCTTAGTTTGCTGAGAATTTTTAGCATAATTAGGTTTTAGTATCTGTCAAATACTTCTCCTGCATCTATTGTTATGTTCATATATTTTTCTTCTTGAGGCTGCTAATGTGATGGATTACATTAATTGATTTTAAATGTTCAACCAGCCTTACATACCTTAGATAAATCTCACTTGTTCATGGTAAATAATTCCTTGTACACATTGTTATATTCAATTTGCTAATATTCTGTTATGGATTTTTTTGCATTTACATTCATGAGAGATACTGGTCTGTAGTTTTCTTTTCTTGAAATTTCTTTGTCTCATTTTGGTATTAGGGTAATGCTGAACTCACAGAATTAATTAGAAAGTATTCCCTCTGCTTCTATCTTCTGAAAGAAGTTGCATAAAATTAGTATAATTTTTTCCTGAAGTGTTTAATAACTTCATCAATAAACTTATTTAAGCCTTATTAAGTTATTTAAATAACTTATTTAAAGAGCTATTACTACAGGCCCTGCAGATATCTAAAGGATAATAAGAGAACAAATACTATGAACAATTCTAACACGTAAATTTGACAACTTAAATGAAATGTGCCAATTCCTTAAAAAACACAAATTACCACAACTCACCCAAAATGAAATAGACTTTTAAATAATAATTTTAACTATTAAGGAAATTAAATTTATAGTTTTTAAATTAAAAAAAATCTTATTCTGTTGCCTAATTGCTCTGACTGGGACTTCGAGTATTATGTTGAATAAAAATGGTGAAAGTGGGCATCCTTGTCTTGCTCTAGGTTTCAGAAGGAAAAATGTCAATATTTCCCCCATTTAGTATGATGTTAGCTGGGGGTTTGTCGTATGCAGCCTTTGTGGCATTGAGGTATGTTTTTTCTATACCTAATTTGTTGAGTGTTTTTATTATAAAGGGATATTGAATTTTATCAAATACTTTATCTGTGTCTATTGAGATGATCATGTGGTTTTTGTCCTTGGTTCTGTGAATGTGATGCATCACATTTATTAATTTGCATATGTTAAACCTTCCTAGTATCTTTGGAATGAATCTCGCTTGATCATGGTGAATGACCTTTTTAATGTGCTGTTGAATTTTGTTTGCTACTATTTTATTGAGGATTTTTGCATCAATTTTCACCAGGGATATTGGCCTGTAGTTTTTTTATGTTGTGTCCTTGTCTGGCTTGGGTATAAGGGTGATAATGGCTTCATAGGATGAGTCTGGAAGAATTTTATTCTCTTTGATTTTTTTGGAATAGTTTGAAAAAATTGGTATTAGTTCTTAAATGTTTGATAGAAGTCAACAGGGAAGCCGTCAGGTCCTGGGCCTTTCTTTGATGGGAAATTTTTAATTGCTTATTCAATTTTCTTCTTATTGTTCTGCTCAGATTTTCTATTTCTTCCTGGTTTGATTTGGTAAGTTGTATGTGTCCAGGAGCTTATTCATTTCTTTTAGGTTTTCTGATTTGTTGGCATAAAGTTGTTCATAATAGTCTCTTATGATCTTCTATATCTCTATGGTATCAATTGTAATGTCTCAATTTTCATTCCTAATATTATTTATTTGAATCTGCTCTCTTTTTTTCTTAGTCTAGATAAGGGTTTGTCAATTTGTGTCATCTTTTCAAAAAAAACTAACTCATCCTTTCATTGATCTTTTGGGTTTTTTATCTCTATTTCATTTATTTCTGCTCTGATCTTTATTACTTTTACTCATTTTGGGTTTAGTTTATTCTTACTTTTCTAATTTCTTGATGTGCAACATTAGGTTGTTTATTTGAGATGTTTCTATTTTTTACATATAGTTGTTTATTGCTATGAACTCCCTTTTAGAACTGATTTTGCTGTATCCTGTAGGTTTTGGTATTGTTGTCTTTCCATTTTTTTTAATCTCAAAAATTTTTTAATTCTATTTTTAATTTTTTAATTTATCCTTTCATTGCTCAGAAGTATGTTGTTTAATTTTCATGTATTTGTATAGTTTTTAAAGATTCTCCTGTAAATGATTTCTAGTTTTATTCCATTGTGGTCATAAAAGATACTTGATATAATTTCAATTTTTAAAAATTTGTTGAGACTTTTTTTGTGGCCTAACATATGGTCTATCATGGGGAAAGTTTCATCTGTTGATGACTATGTACTGTGAAGCTTTTGGGTGGAATATTCTGTAAGTGTCTATTAGTTCCATTCAATCTAGAGTCTAGCTTAAATCCATGTTTCTTTACTTATTTTCTGTCTGAATGATATATCCATTGCTGAAGGTGGAATGTTGAAGACACTTGCTATTATTATTGTATTGTTTTCTATCTCCCCCTTCAGATCAAATAATATTAGCTTTATATATTCAGATGCTCTGGTGTTGGGCACACTTATATTTATAATTGTTATATCCCTTTGCTGAATTAACCCCTTTATCAGTATGTAATGACCATCTTTGTCTGTTTTTACAGTTTCTGATTCAAATTCTATTTTGTCTGCTTTCTTTTGGTTTCCATTTTCATGGAATATTATTGCCCATCCCTTTACTTTCAGTCTGTGTGTGTCCTTACAGGTAAAATGAGTGTAACGCAGGCAGCATATAGTTGGGTCTTGTTTTCTTATTTTGTTTTTGTTTTTATCCATTCAGCCACTCAGTATGTTTTAATTAGAGAATTTAATCCATTTACATTCAAGGTTATTATTGATAAGTAAGAACTTATTCCTGCCATTCTGTTAATTGTTTTCTTTTAATTTGTTACTTTCTTTTATCTTGTTGTTTACCCTTGTGGCTTGGTTATTTTCTGTACTGATAAGCTTTGATTCTTTCCCTCTCTCCTTTGTGTTTCTGTTATAATTTTCTGTTGTGACTACTCTGGGACTAATATTTAAAAACCTATGGGTTATAGAAGGCTATTTTAAGCTGACAACTTAACTTTGGTTGCATACAAATATTCTAGACTTTTACCCTCCCACCATTTATAATTTTAAAAATTTTTTGCCTAAATGTATGTATTTTATATCGTCTAGTCCTTAACAACTTATTGTAGCTAAGGTTTTTGTTGACCATTTTGACTTTTAATCTTCATACTAGAGATTTTAAAGATTATATACCACCATTGTGGTAATGGAGTATTCTGAATTTGATTATAAGTTTACCTCACCAGTGAATTTTATACTTTCATGTGATTTCACGGTAGTAATTAATGTCCTTTCACTTCCAGTTGAAGCACTCTCTTAAGCATTTCTTGTAAGGCTAGTCTAGTGATTATGAATTCCCTCAAATTTTGTTAGGCTGGAAAATCCTTTATTTCTCCTTCATTTCTAAAGAATAGCTTTGCTTGGTATAGTATTCTTGGTTGAGAGGTTTTTGTTTTGTTTTGTTTTGTTTTTGTTTGTTTTTTTTCTTTTGTTACTTTGAATATATCATCTCTTTGTCTCCTGGCCTGCAAAGTGTCTTCTGAGAAATCTGCTGATAGTCTAATGGGGAATTTCTTATGTGTAACTTGATGTTTTTCTCCTGCTGCTTTTAGATTTCTCTCTTTGTCTTTGAATTTTGACAGTTTGATTTTAGTGTGCCTTAGAGAAGACTTCTTTGGGTTACGTGTAAATGAAATCCTTTGAGCTTTATGGACCTGGATGTCCATATCTTTGGGAAACTTTTAGCTATTATTTTCTTAAGTAGGCTTTCTTAGCCTTTCTCCACCTCTTCTACCTCTGAAACTTATAATGTGAACATGTGTTTGCTTAATGGTGTTCCATAGATTTTATAAACTTTCTTTGCTTTTTTTCATTTTCTTCCCTCTGACTGAGTTATTTTAAGAGACTTGCCTCAAGGTCAGAAATTCTTCTGCTTGATCTAGTGTGCTGTTGAAGTTCTCAATTATATTTTTAATTTTATTCAATGAGGTCTTCAGCTCCAAGATTTGTTTGTTTTTGTTATATGATATGTAGCTCTTTGTTAAACTTCTCAGATTATAAATTGTTTTTTTGATTTCGATGAATTGTCTATATAATCTTACATCTCACTGAGTTTTATTAAGATCATTATTATAAATTTTTTAAGGTGATTTGTAAATTTGCTTTTTCAGGCTCAGTTACTGGAAGTTCATTGTGGGGTTTTTTTTGGCAATTTCATATTTTCCTGCTTTTCAAATGTTTCTTGTTTTCCTGTGTTGAAATTTGTGCATCTGCTGGAATGGTTACCTCTTCCAATTTTGTAGAGTAGCTTTAATAGAAAAAAGTTTTCATCTGTAGATATGTTCTAGGGTGTTGGTTAGGTATGGAGCATTGGTTTTGGTTCTGGGTGGTCATAGTCTCCCCACTGAGTGTCAGGTCACTGGGCTGTTCTATGCACTAAGAATGAATCAGTGCTGCTTAACCACCAGATTGGGTATGGCCTCACTACTGGGAGCTTGTTCCCAGAGGGCAGGGTGCCTCATGGGCTTAGACAGTGGGATTATGGTCATTCTGCTGGGTTTAGGCTTTTGTATAGCCAGGACTAGGGCACTATAGCCACTGGGATGGTGAAACAGATTATTTTGAGTTGTTTATTCCCAGGGGGTAGAGAACTACAGCTGTTCAACTAGGAAATAATGTTCTAGCATGTGTGAGCACAGTAAGTGGTGGTGAAACGTCAAGGATGGGGAAATGCCGTGGGGCATTTTGCTTTTTTTTCTATGTGTCCTGCCTGAGTCTCCATGCCCTACATGGTCTTTACCGTGAATCTACTGTACTCCAGTGCTCTCCTTCCAATACTCTTGTTGAAATGTGGTAGCCTACTCATTGTTTTGGTCGTTTTATGTGAGGGTGATGAGTATTAGGTACCTCTAGTCTGTCATCTTGCTCATTGTTTTTTTTTTTCTTTCTCTTCTTTTTTTTTTTTTGGACACAGAGTCTCACTTTTTCACCCTGGCTGGAGTGCTCACTGCAAGCTCCAGCTTATGGGTTTAAGCAATTTTTGTGCCTCAGTCTCCACAAATAGCTGGAACTACAGGCATGCACCACCATGTCTGGCTAATTTTTTGTATTTTAATGAAGATGGAGTTTCATTGTGTTGCCCATGGTGGTCTTGAACTCCTGAGCTCAGGCAATCCACCCACCTCGGCCTCTCAAAGTGCTAGGATTACAGGCATGAGCCACCAAGCCCAGCCTGTTTCTTTAAATTTGTTCTTGAGGCTGGACGCAGTGGCTCACGCCTGTAATCCCAGCACTTTGGGAGGCCAAGGTGGGCTGATCACGAGGTCAGGAGTTTGAGACCAGCCTGACAAATATGGTGAAACACCATCTCTACTAAAAATACAAAAATTAGCTGGGCATGGTGCCATGCACCTGTAATCCCAGCTACTCAGGAGGCTGAAGCAGGAGAATCGCTTCAACCCGGGGCAGAGGTTGCAGTGAGCCGAGATCATGCCACTGCACCGTAGCCTGAGTGACACAGCGAGACTCCATCTCAAAAAAAAAAATGTTCTTGATTTCATTTCTCACATTTGTTACTCCATGTATTTATTGAGGATGTATTGGTCTGTGGATAAACGTCATAATTCCTCCATATTATTTCATCATTGTCTGCTTTACTAATTTAAAAACATTTACCGTATTCCTTTTAGTTATGTTTTGGAATGTACTTTGGTATAAAATGGGTATAACCACATCAACTTTGTTTTTATTTTTCTAGGTTACAGATCTTTGACCTTTACTGTTTTATGTTGTGCTGTTTTATGTAACTCTTTTTGTCAGAAGACAATTAAATTAGATAGTTTTATTTTTAATGTTATATGGATATCTTTACAGTTGCATAGGGTGTCTACCCTTATGCACATAAGTCACTCCCTTTGCAGATGCATTTGCTATAGTCTGTCTTTTATTCATTTATACTTTGCTTTAGGTTACTTTTTGTTATTGGTAATAGTGATTTTAAAAAATGTCTGTCTATCTTACCCTTCATCCTTTTTTTTTCTCTTAGGAACTTTTTACCCCCAGTTTCTGCCTATTTAAATATAAATAATATTTTTTGCTGTGGTGGTATTTTTTTAATCTTCCCTAACAATTAATTATGAATAAGTATGTTTGATAACTCTGCTACAATACTCTACATGTTTCTGGAAGGATCCTCTAGGATAGAATAACCTGTTAAACAATTGAGTTGCCTTTGTGACTTAACTTCACCCAGATACTCATATGACATGTAGGATGAGAAACGTTGCATGTAGAATATTTTACAACTTTCCCTCACGATTAACTAACTTCCAACTCTTTGTTAGTACAGTTTGGTTTATAAGTTCCAGATTACACTTAAATTATTATATTCTTGACCTCAAAGTATTCTGTTTTAGTAGTACTATCAGTATTTCTCAAAATTATTCAGTTTGCTTTGTTCTTTACTCAGCTCAATAGAATTCCTTTTGTATCATATTATACCATTCTAAAGCTGTAAATTTAATCAGCTAGATGTTATTTTTATATTAGTTTTGAGTTATTTTAAGTAATATATAAGTATATATATATAAAACAACTCATGAAGCATAAATGCACAGCTCACAGGGCAAAAACCCAAATAAACACAAGGTAAGAAGGAAAACATTGCCACTCCCCAGGAAACCCCCATTATGTCTCATCCCCAAAATATTCACTCTATTCCTCATAACACACACTATCGCCCCAACACTCCTTCTCAACACAATATATTGATTAAATTTGTTTTAAAATTTAGTTTCTATAAGTGGAATCAAACAGCATATATTATTTTGAAACTGGCTTCTTTTACTGCACATTGTATTTGTAAAATTTATTATGATTATTGTATGCACTTGTAGCTTATATGTTTTCATTCCTGTTTTCATTCTTGTATGCGATTTAAACATACCACAAATTATTTATTCATTTTACTATTAACAGACATTTAGGTTCATTTTAATTTGGAGCTATCAAGAATAATGCTGCTAGGAATATCTTTGTATATGTCTTTTTGTGCTTTATTTGCATGCATTATTTTGGCTGGATGGTGCTATTCATATATATGTAAATTATATACACAGCTAAAAAATTACCAACAGAGATTGATATTTCTATTTGCCTCACTGCCTCAGCAATATTGTTTAAATCACCTTTTTCAATTTTGACCAATCCAAAGGTATATAATGCTATTTCATTGCAGCGTATTTGACATTTCATAATGACTAATGAAGTTAATCAGCCTTTTGTATATTATTGGCCAATATAATAGATATCTTCTTTTTTGAATTATCTATTTTAAGTCTTTAATCCAATTTTCTATTAAGTTTCTGTCTTTTTCCCAGTGGTTTGTATAGTTCTCATATATTCCAGACACAGTCTTTTGTCAGCTATATGTTTTGAAAGTATTTTATCCCACTCTGTGGCTTCCTTTATATACTTTGATAAACAGAGATTCCCTTGATAAACAGAAATTTTTTATTTTAATGTATTCCAAATAAATTTGTTACGGTTGAGGCTTTCAGGAACTTTATAAACATAAAGAGGCTATGCCATTCAAGGCTTACATTTAATCTGAGAAAGCATTAATGACATACTTGTAAGAATATCATATATAAATAAATTGTGCATGGCATTAAAGTTCAGTCATTACATAAGGCCAATGAGAAAACAAGAAAACCCAGTGTGTTGACATATGATGCAAGAGATGAGTTTTTACTTCCCTTTGAAGAAAATGTAAAATTTGGTTTTATAAAAAGAGAGGGCAGAATATTCAGGAATATTACATAAAAATGTGACGAGATGCATAAAGTAAGTAGACATAGAAGAAGGGAGTATGTAGACACCAGAACCACACTACTTGGACTAAAATTCTTGCTGTGCTATTCCCTGTGACCTTGGGCATATTACATAACTTTTGTTAGCTCAGTTTCCCAGTGTATAAAGTAGGAAGGGAAGATTATCTATTACCTACTTTTTGACAGGATCAAAATCGGAAGTAAATTTGAGTACCTATTAAATTGTCAAGAAATATTTGTCATTATCATTAGGAAAAATCATATATGTGCAGTGGTCAGTATGAAAAATTAGAATCAACTATTAACTGAATACTTATATCTCAAATATCCTAATGACTTTCTATAATAATACTCATCCCATTTGATGCTCACAGCAACATTATAAGGATAAATAATTATTTTAAAGATGAGGCCATCAACTTTATTGAAGAACTGTGTAGAGAAAAATATCATAAATAATCCTAGCTCTTTTTGGAATGCCATTTAAGGACAGACCTTGAGTACCAGAATGAAGAATTTGGCTATGATCCATGCTGTGCTTAAGGATTCACTAGAGGTAATGTAGTGATTAATGAAAATAATATTTTAGGAAAATTTAATCTAGCAATAGTTTACAGGATGGTCAGGAGTGTGGAGTTGCTGGAGGGAGATACAGAAGGTATGAAACCTTTTAAGTTGAATAAGCCTGACTTTACCTATGGTTTTTGGTTCAATGAGAAAACAATTTAATAAAAGATATCATATATGACCCAAATTTCCTATCTAGCCCATCATATATAGTAGTGCTCGTGTCACTTAAACCAAGCTAAATAAAAACGAATGTAAGGCCTATCCAGTGAGGCCTTTTTTCAGTGCCTTTGTCTGCTTTGGCTACTATGACAAAATATCATAGACTGGGTGGCTCAAACAACAGATATTTCTTTCTCATAGTTATGGAGGTGGAAAAGTCCAGAATCAGTGTGCTGCCTGATTTGGTCCCTCGTGAGGGACCTCTTCCTGGCTAGTAGAGGAATGCTTTTTCTCTGTGTCCTTATGCAGCAGGGAAACAGGGCTCTGGTTTCTTTCCCTTCTTATAAGGGCACTAGCCCTATTGGATTAGGGCCTCACCCTCATTTAATCTTAGTTACGTCCTTATAGGCCTTATTTCTAAATACAGTCACATTGGAAGTTAGGCTTTTGAATTTTGAATTTTGAAGGAACAAAATCGAGTCCATCAAAGTCAAGATAGCTTGGGATTGAACTCTTTACATGAAATCCTGAGGAAGCTCAAAAAACAAGAAATTAAAATCTTCTGAGGCTGATATGCTGCCCATAAGTCACTATTTGTGCTTCCTAGGGAAGACATTAATATTTGTGAGTATAGAGGAAGAATCAAAGTTTTGAGACAATGGTCAAGGTTACAACAGAGGCAAAACTGCCTCGCATTATTTTGTAGCTCAACCGTTCTAGGATTTATTTCCAAGGGGCCCAGAGAGAGGAGCTGTAATGAAGAGCAACTTACGAACTCTGTTACTGGAAAAATAAGAGAAAATTAACATCTCAAGGTAATATATAATTTTGGCTTTAATGATAATAACCATAACCACCATTTATGTAGCACTTACTATTTGCAAGAATGGGTCATGATGTTATTGTTTCATTTAATTTTTATCAATTTTATGGAGTTATGTTTACATCTCAACGTTTTAGACTTGGAGAAGTTATATAATTTGCCTGAGGTTTAATAGTAATGATGGAGTAAGTTTAGTTCTAGGTATGTTTGATATTCTTGGTCTTAATTCCTGTTCTGTGTTGCCCCAACAAGTGGGTGAGCACAACAGGCAGGAAAGAACATTATATTCATGGAAGTGTGGTAATGATTAGAAGGGATGAAATGAAGGAGAATCTATAATGACACCAACATTGTCAATTGCCTGCCGGATCAGTAGCTAGCACTAGCATCCATGACAAATCCAAGAGTTACATCTTGTGGTCAATGGTTTAAATGGAAAAAGAAATGAGAAAAATATATTTGGTATTCCAAGGGCACCAGCGAGACAGCTCAACAACTCACTTTGAACTAGAGGAAACCTCTTTGCTTTAAGATCCATGAATTATGCTAAGCATGAAAGTATTTTAGTAACCTTGTTATTTCTACCAGCTGGTTGTACCTAAGTCAAAAGTGGCCACATGTAATTGACCTGATGGTTCTCTCCATTATTATCTCATTTTAAAAAAGGATATGAGTTGTTTATTTACCTATGTCAGATTTCAATAACATGAAAATAAAACACTACTTTGTACTCAATAAATATTTTTGATATTTTAAATACAATTTATTTGATCTACAAATTCAGGTATTACTAAAAAACTGATTAAATAACCGATTTTATTGAAATTTAATTTTATTACTGATTTATATAGTAAATGCTATGTAGATATCCATCCAGCTGTATTTTTATATTCTAATTTAAGGGTAAGCAGTAGGTGTAGTTAGAATAAGAATGCAGTCTTCTCATACACATGGTTAATAAAATCAATATGAAAATTTAAAACACATGTCGCAAATGACCTGGATGCTGATGAACTTTGAGTCATAATTATATTCCAATAAAAGTTTACTTCATGATAATAAATAGCACTGCCACCTGTAGTTCACCCAAATCTGAAGTTCCCATCAAATAATTTTGAATACCAATCAACTGCTGATTTATATTTGATTTCAGGAACTTCCTGTAGAAAAGTTTTAAAAATAACTGCCTAGATATAAATATTAAATGAACCAAATGATGTTGTATAATCCACTAATCTTTCTTTAGAAAAACTCTGTTTTTACTAATTTAGATTTGGTTTATTTCATTGCTTTTTTAGACTAGTTGTATATATTGCTGTTCAAAATACATAAAAATAAGTGAAAATAAGCTGGTCTTGGTAGGATGTGCCTGTGTTCCAGCTACTTGTGAGGATGAGGTGAAAAAATTGCTTCAGCTTGACAGTTCAAGACCAGCATGGGGAACATAGTGAGACATCATCTGAAAAAAAAATTATCAAAAATATTTTGTGGTTTAGGTATTTATATGTAATGGTAATGTATGCATTCTAAATATGCTCTGTTTTTTTCGTATTTTAATAAAGGATTCATGAAGTCAGTAGTTACTTCTCAGTTTTTCATAAGGTTATATGAAAGTATGTATAACAGAAATTTTTCATGTATGGCTTAATAAACATTAAGGCATTCATATTATACTAAACAAAGCAAAGAATAAATGAAGCCTTTTATTAAATATAATGAGAAAACTTGAAAATCTATTCTTACATGACCACTTCCTTAACTACAGGATTGACATCCCTATAGTCAATAATAGTGGTGTTACAGGTAATTTTCACACGGTTGTCAATAAGACAATGGATTGTTTTCTATCTGAGCCTATCATGTTACTCTTCATTTTTAATTAATCTGAATATTATTTAACTTCAGGAATTTCCAGTTTGATTCCCAGGAAAGTAAATCTAAATAAGGGTTATCTAAAAAACAAAAGAAGGCAACTTTGTTCTTTTTACCCCACAACTTAATGCATAGATGCAAACTGAATTTTTCTAAACTTTGTATCCATTAGCTCAGTGTGGCTCATCACAAGACACAAGTTTACTGTCATTTAAATATATCAAATATGCAATAAAGATTTTAAGATAAAGAAGTCACCAGTAGGGAACCTAAGATTTCTTACCTCATACAAAGTATCTCCACAAATGTATTCCCCTAGGGAAGTAGTTTACAAAAGTTAATAAGCTTTGGAATATTTTTACCAAATGAGATCTCAAGTGTAAGTTCAATGTATAAAGCAAATATAGTAAAGTTGCTCTAACTGCTTATTGTTTGCCCTACTCCACTCTCCTCTGAGGAAGTCATCAAGGCTTGGAAGAGGACTTTCTCTACAGCCTAAAGTGAAACACCTCTGCTTTAACTTGAAACATTCAAATAGCATAATACTACACTTCTAACTGGCAATGCTTCCACAGATATAAGTCCTTAGAGCATCAGTGGCTATTGAGGAAGGAAAATAATAGTCCCTGAATTGATTATTAATTCAGAGTCAGAGAATTAGGGCAAAAGTGCCATCCCTTCTCTGCCAAAACTTGTCCTAGGTGTTAACTTCTCTATTGCATTTTATATATGTCCCTTCATCTATAAATGAAGAAATTGGTATCAGAGCACTTGACTGTGAAATAGGAAACATCCCTGTATAATCTACATGTAAAATAAAAAGAAGTACTCTCTGAGATAGTGTATCATATTGAAACTGAAAGCAATAAATATTTTGTTCAAGGGAATTTGATAGAAATTAATTAATTTTATTAACTGAAAGTATTTTTCCTGCTCACAGTCCAGTGTTCCGTTATCAATTTCTTCATTAATTTGGTGTTATAACTGAATACTCACAAGCCTAAACAATTAATGGATTTATTCTCTTTCTTGATATATAAAGACAATAAATGTATATATTTGTTATATCTTTGTTGCATATATTATGTATTATATATAAAATATAATATAATATTATATATAAATACATACAGTTGACTTTTGAACAACCTGAGAATTAGGGGTACAGATCCCCAACATGGAAAAAATCTACTTGTAACTTTTGGCTCCCCAAAAGTTAACTAGTAATAACCTACTCTTGACCAGAAGCCTTACCTATAACATACACAGTAGATTAACACATATTTTATGCATTCGTGACATAACTAACTTTTCAGTTTTTTCAATGTTTCTAGGCTACCCAGTTTGTGAGGTTTTCCAAATTGTCACTAATGTGCGAAAACTTTTCCAAAATATTTATTGAAAAAAATCCTTGTATGAGTAGACTTGCACCGTTCAACTGTGTTGTTCAAGGATGTACGGAGAGAAAGAGAAATAGAGAGAATAAATCTGTTAATTGTTTAAGCTTGTGAGTATCTAGTTGTAACACCAAAATAAATTTACAAATTAAAAACAGAATTTACAAACTAGCAAAAGTCAATGTACAAAAATGATTTAATACAATTACTGTTGTTTTCATGATATTATATTTCTGTTCACAGTGCAAACATGGTATTTCCTGTACAATGCAAGTTCTACTGTGTTTTACCTGTGTACACGTTATGTGCTAGGGGACACCTCAGTATTCCCTCTGTTACTCTCCCTTTGAGCTGCAATAAAAATATCCATTTGTACAACATACCTTAATGACACTTGGCCTTCATTTAGTGGTAATATATTATTTATTCTTCTTTATTCTGGGGGGCCATTGGAAACAAAGACTAATTGATGACATAGCAGTTATAACTAGCAACAGAAACAATAGCAGTGATGTCACACAACAGTGCTTGTTCAAGGCTAATGTATAAATAATGCAGAATATGTTCACTTGTTTTTTTACCAAAATTAAATTCTCCTAGAAAACTCTTGGAGCTGTAAAATTTATTTCCACATCCAAGTTTGGGAAGAACTGAGGTAAGCTGCCTGGGTAGTGTAATGTCCTCATTAGATGTCAAACACTTGTACTACTTTAGGGCACTGTACTGAGCCAAAATATCAGGGTTCTAACCCCTAGCTCAGTGGGTCTCCTTGAGGGAGAAAATGAGTCATTGTTAGCCCCTATGAAAGATTAGTTTTTTCCTCTGTTTCTTCATGGCATAAAATGAGAATAATACCTACTTCTAGGCTGTTTTAAAGATGAAAAGGGATAATGCATGTAAAAGTATCTTATAAATGGTAAAGTGCAATAAAATACAAGATATCATTAGTGCCTAGTAGCTTACCACGTTCAAAAGAGAGAACTTAGAGAAAAGAAAATACTTTTTAAAAAGAGGTAAGTTTTAGTTTCAAAGACTGTGTATTGTAGAAACACTTTCAGATCATTTTTTCCCTATTTTTACCTAATTAAAACATGTTTACCTAAGTGTTGCATTAATGCTACGAAGAGCATTAAAAAGTTTTTTTTAACAGAAATTGTGTTTTGAAGTAGCGTCAAAAATTAGTTTAAATAAATTTATGAAAATTTATCTATGCCCATGCAAACACCTACTCGTATTCCTTTTCTCAGAAAGAAATTTAATTATATGCTTTTAAACTTAAAAAAGACTTGAAACATAATTTGCTAGGACTACTTCATAGAAAAAATTTTTAAGTTATCAAATAACTTTTAGGATACCAACAGATAAATTTGAGTCAGTATATATATTTTAAGAAATTTTCTGTAACTAACATGCTTCTTTTACTAAGATTGTGGCAAAAGTTTTATTCTCTGTCTCAAGACTAGTCATTCTTACTCACTTTCAAATTCTGCCTTAATTATTATAGGATTTCCTTTAATAATAAGTTTTTCTCTGAAAATTACATGCACAAAATTTTGCATTTAAAAGTAAATATTTAATTCTCCTACCTTGACTGTATGCCACACCAGTTAATTAAAAATAGATTGACTATTATTTGCCCACATAATAAATTAGGTTCAAATTCCAATAAAACTTTACTCCCTACTTAGTGACTTTCAGGTCAAGTCACATCCTTTTAGACCTTTTGCCAGCATGGAGGGTCATCGTACTCCATTTAGAAAATGAATCATGAAATAAAAAGTATTTTATTTATTATTCTGAGTTAATATACTTTTTCAGAACAACATATTGCAGATAATTTTCACGTGGTATTCTCAGGCCACATAGTTACAAATTATGTCAAATTTTATTTATAAAATAAATGTTATTAACTTACATATGTATTACATGGTACCTTAAAAAATTTTAATAGAAATGGAATTTAAATGCTTCCTTGTAATTTGGAATGATGTCACATCTATATGAATTCCGTTTACATTTTAACTATTTAAGGAAGTGGAAAAAGCACAGAAAACAAAAGCCAATGCAATAGGGGAGATATTGTTTATGAGGCAAACATTTGAAGAAGGAGAGTTGGACACATGTCAGTGATTTGATGGAACTACTAGGGAAATTGAAAGTGTCTTTGGTCCCTTCATTAGATACTTGGCTCTAATTGGGATAGGGCATATCTGGCTTACTGTGTTTAGCTCCAGGAATCATTTATTTTAATTATTTATTATTTTTATTTTTTAAGTTTTATTTTAAGTACATTCAGGGCTACATGTGCAGGTTAGCTACATAGACAAACTTGTGTCATGGGGGTTTGCTATACAGAATACTTTGGCACCTAAATATTAAGCCTAGTCCCCATTAGTTATTTTTCCAGATCCTCTTCCTCCTCCCACCCTCCATCCTCTGATAGGCTTCAGTGTCTGTTGTTCTCCTTGTGTCCATGTGTTCTCATTATTTAGCTCCCATTTACAAGTGAGAACATATGATATTTAGTTTTCTGTTCCTGCATTAATTTGCTAAGGATAATGGCCTCCAGCTTCATCCATGTTCCTGCAAAAGACATGATCTCATTCTTTTTTTATGGCTGCATAGTATTCCATGGTGTATATATACCACATTTTCTTTATCCAGTCTAACACTGAGGGGCATTTAGGTTGATTCCCTGTCTTTGCTATTGTGAATAGTGCTGCAATGAACATATGCATGTATGTGACTTTATAATAGAATGATTTATCATTCTATCATTGGTGGGTCAAATGGTATTTCTGTTTTTGGGTCGTGCAGGAATCACCACACTGTTTTCCCCAATGGGTGAACTAATTTACACTTCCATCAACAGTGTATAAGCATTTCTTTTTCTCTGCAACCTTACCAGCAGTTGTTATTTTTTGACTTTTTAGTAATAGCCATTCTGACTGGTATGAGATGGTATCTCATTGTGGTTTTGATTGCATGTCTCTAATAATCAGTGCTATTAAGCTTTTTTCCATATACTTATTGGCCATATGTCTATCTTCTGCTTATGATTCCTCAAGGCCCTGGGGCTCTACAACCAGCAAGTGGCAAAGCCAGCTAGGCCTGTCTTCTTCCCTTCAGGATAGTGAGTTTCCCGAGGCCAGGTGTGAGTCCAGAGTGCCTTCCAGGAGTCAGGGGCTAGAGTTAAATACCTTAGAAGTCTACCTGGTATTCTATTGTATTGCAGCAGATCTGGCACTCACACCACAAGAAGTAATCCTTCCCACTCTTTCCTCTCCTTTCCAAAGGCAGAGGAGACTCACCCATAGCCACCACCACTCCAGGCCACAAGGAATAGTTCCAGACTACCTTCAATGTTTCCTTAAGGCCCAAGGTCTCTTAAATCACCTTGTCATGAATGCTGCCTGGCCTGGGACTCACCCTTCAGGGCAGTGGACTCCCTTCTGGCCCAGTGTAGGTCCAAGAGTGCCATCCATGAGTCAAGTCCTGGAATTGGGGACCCAAGAGACTGCTTGGTGCTTTGCCCCATGGTGGCTGCTCTGGTACAAGACAGAGTCCCCTTTACTTTTCTCTCTGCTTTTCTCAAGCAGAAGTTTTGCCCCATGGACACCATAGCTAGTAATGTGCTGAGTCTCACCTGAGGTCAGTATATCTCAGAGGCTCACCCAAGGCACTTGATGTAGTACCTGAGTATTGCTGCCGTTTGTTCAGGACCCAAGGACTCTTCAGTTAGCACGTGATGAATCCTGCCAGGATTGGGTTGTTTCCTTCAAAGTAGCAGGTTCCCTTCTGTCCCAGGGTGTGTCTAGAAAAGTCATCTGGGAGCCTCTGGAATGAGGGACTGGATCTGGAATGGGGTCTTAACGGGGGCCTCACAACTCTGATCAGTGACCTAACCTGCTATGGCTGAGCTGGTGTCCTAGATGCAAATCCTCCTCACTCTTTCCTCTCCTCACCTCAAGTAGAAGGAAGAGGTCACTTTTGGAGCCCTGAGCTGTGCAGCCTGGGGTTAAGGGAGGGGTGATGCCAGCACTCCTTTGGGTGCTCCAGTTGGTGTTTCAGTATGTCATGTGCCAGCCCAGTCCACTGTCCCTGGGCCTAGTTTAGCACTAGGACTCACTTAAGAGATGCAGTCCTCATGGCCTTGACTGCCCTTGAAGTTTACTTGGAGACACAGAGTGCTGTAGCCCTCAGCGGTGAGGTTTGCAATCACTCAACTTTGGACTGCTGGATTGGTGATTCCCATCTAGCTAGGGCTGGTTGAAATACTCTTTCCATGGCTGGGCTTCAGTTAAGTTCGATCCAGTTTTCTTTTGTGCTCTAACAGGACAGCAGTGAGTTAAATGCCTCACAGTTGCTGTGTTCTCCCTCCTCCAGTGCCCAGAGACTCTGCACCAGCCTGTGCTTCAGGGGATGGGGGAGGGGTGATGTCAGTGATTCAGGACTGTTTTCTCTATCTCTTCACTGCCTCTTTCAGCAATATGAAGTGCAAACCAGGCACTACGAGTACTCACCTGATTTTTGGTTCTTATGAAGGTGTTTTCTCTGTGTAGATAGTTGTTAACTTGGTGTCCTTGCAGGGGATGGGGTGGGGGACAATCAGTGAAGCTTTCTATTCCACCGTCTTGCTCCCATATGGTAAATTTTTTTAAAAGGAGGTCCCTTACATATTTTCTGAATTGTCTCAGGACCTAATTTTATTCATAACATCACTCAGTAGATGTTCTATGCAAGAAATAATACATATTTGGGTTGTAATAAAATTGCTTTGGGTGAGTGTTGCTTGAGTAACTGACTGCAGGCTTTTGCCTGCCACAACGTGGAATTTCAAAGTGTTCAAAAAATAAACAAATCTCCCTTGATATGATCTCCCTTGGAGCTTCCTAGCAAGTAGAAGAGGCCACACAATTATGGTTGAACATTCGTGTTTCTACTTTGGAGTCAGAAGCCAAGAGAATAAATGAATGTTATGATGAAGTTAAGATTTTCTAGCCCTTTAGTAAGAACTGTTATTACTGATGTAAAGGTAGTGATAAAGCAATAAGCCAAACACAGAGACATATGAACCACAGTTATAAGAAAAGAAAGATTAAACAGAGAAATGTGTTCTGAGAATTAGTACTCTCTACAGGGATAAATCTGGCTTTTATTTGAAAGGTATTTTTTTCTTTTCTGGTATTAAAGCTAGACCAGACTATAAAGTATCATGTAGAATAGCCACATTGATAATGCTGATGAAATATGCAGGTGTGATATCAGTTAGCATTTTTTCTCTATCTCCTTTTTAGATTTTATTTTATTTTTTGGCTAACCAAACACAATTATTAGAACCAATATTGTTTAAAATAATGTATTACCACATACTCAAAACATTTCTTTAGAAAAAATAAAGTACATGCATATTATGGAATAGAATTTTTCTACAGCATTTTAATATAGAATCCTGGAGGAAATTGAATGAGGATTATTTAGATGATCTTGTGTTTCTTAAAATTCAGATACTTTAAAAATTTTTATTTCTGCTATTATTTAACTGTTGGTTTTTGTTAGAGAAAAATCATTGCAAGCTAGGAATAACAAAAAATGATAAAAATGCAAAACAAACTGAGTTAAGGTAAACATTTTAGAGTACCTGAAGAAGTCAAATCCAAGAAGTACTAACATTAAAAATCCACCAGGAGTTTTTAGGTAATGGCAATGCAATGATTACATCTCAATTGTTTGAAAAAACTGTCTGACTCCATGACTTTCAAATATAGATTTTTTGGAGTAAAATAATCAAGTAAGGCTTCTAGAGGAAAAAAAGAAAGGGTTTATTACTGATGGGACTATAAATCATATCTCTATAGAATTAAATCAAATTTTTCATTTTTTGATGAGGAATATTCTATTGCTTGATGAATAAAATGATCCTTTGAGTTGTATCATTTTTCCTTCAACAAACAATTCTGCATTATAACTTATTACTTTAACTGGATATATTAGTCATTAGTACTTTCCTCATTTTTCTTTCTCTAGTCTAGTAGGCACAATAATGCTTCCCCACACTCTGGAAGTTAGGCATGGCTATAAGGCTGGGACTAGAGCGGAGGGAAAGAGATCTTCATTTCTGGTGCAAAATTTAAGGAGGTGCCAAAACACAGTAATCAAAAAAAAATGTTCAATGCAATATCTTAAAGAATCAAAATTAATGCAAAAAAATTCCAGTATGATCAAAATATCTAAATGTTAATAATGGTATGATGAATAATAATGATTTCTCTTTTTGTCTTTGGCTGCAACATGGCAGGGTTGGCTCTGTACTGATTCATGATTGAGTGGTATCTAAACATAATAACATGAATTTAAAACCATGCTCATGGGAGGATTCAATTATTGGACATACATATGTAACAAAAATTATTAAAATAATAGAATCACACTATCAATCAAATGTATTCAAACAACATCTTTTTTTTTTTTTTTTTTGAGACGGGGTCTTTTTCTGTCACCCAGGCTAGAGTGCAGTAGCCTGATCTCGGCTCACTGTAGCCTCCACCTCTTGCATTCACGTTCATTGTTTCTCTTGCCTCAGCCTCCCAAGTATCTGAGATTGCAGGCACCCACCACCACTCCTGGCTAATTTTTGTATTTTTGGTAGAGACAGGGTTTCGCCATGTTGGCCAGGCTGGTCTCAAACTCCTGACGTCAAGTGATCCACTTGTCTTGGCCTCCCAAAGTGCTGGGATTACAGGCGTGAACCACCGTGTCTGGCCATCAAACATCTAATTCCATTGAATAGTAATTCAATGGGTTGGCAATTTAATGGATCACTACCTTACTGCTAAATCTTTATGTAATTATTTGCAAATAGAGAGTTTTATAAAGAAAATATGTTTAAAAAGCAGGAAATTCTTCTCACATACAGATCTGATCAGAAAGTTATTTAATCAGACTTTGTTGATTTATTTAATGAATTAGTAATTAAGCATCTCATGCTTAATTGAAAGTTTTCTAAATATATAATGGGAGTGCAAGAAAAGTCCTTGTCTTTAAAAGACTCACAATCTTACTGAACAAACCAATACCCTCAACATCTTATCCCCAGAAGACTGAGTTATAAGAATTTAAGTCAATTGTTTGGGACTTAAAGTGCATTTTCCTCAAGAAACACAATTAGAAAAATAGTTGGTTTCTGAAGCTCTATTTTAAATCCTACTAAACCAAAGCAGTCTACTGGGGAAATTATTAGTGCACACTCACATTTAATTCTTCTCTCTCTCTCTCCTGAGCACATAGGAAGACTAGATACCTTATATCTCTTGTAACAGTGTGAGACCATGTGACAAGTTTAGATCAATGGAATGTGAGAGAAGTGATGTATGAAGAGTAGTGGGACCTCATGTATGGTACACTTACCATTTGTATTACCTGGAAGAAAGGGATCTCTCTGATAAGAAATGGAGTGGGCGCAATAAGACCTGAAAGCCCTGTAGAAAAAGTCTTCTTGGTCAAAATTACCAATAACAGCTCTTAGAGCTTGGATGATAAGATGGTGCCCACATAGAGGCAGACTGGAACTCAGGAAGCAAGTAACTCAGACAGGTTGCCTACCAAGTTATCTGTACTTTGAATACTGATATGGCTGTTTCAAGACTGAATTTAAAAATATGGCAAAACCAACAACTCTAAGGAGCAAATTTGTTGAGAAGTATCAGAAATATGTGCTGTGAAAGTCTTCCTATGTTTATATGTTTTCTAATTACCAAGTTTATCCTTTTAAAAAAGTTAGCAGCTAGTTAAAGCTTTTAAAGTTTCTAATCTATTTTACCTGTCCTACATGAAATCAGAGGGAGAACATATGCTAATGATTAGGCCACAGTGTTAAAAGGAAAATAGTATGTGCCTGTCTGTAGTAAGAATTTTGTTGCCTCTGGTAACTGAAGCAAGGGAAAGTACAACTCAGAGATCCTTGGGGATACCATGAGAAGACTCTCCTTGGAGAGAAAAACCTTGAAGTCTCTGCGTTCTTTTACTAGAGTGAGCATATTTCCTGGTTGGACAATGCTGAATTAAGGAGAAGGCTGAGTCAGAGCAGATTATAATATTTTAACCCTAAATGGCAAGAAAAATAACACCTTTGACAGGAACAGAAGATTGGAGAACATTAGGTGGAAGCTGAAGAATTCTGGTTTGGATTTATTGAGTCGGAAATGATGGCAGAATAGCTTATTAAGTGCCGATTATGTGCCAGATTTGCTTGTGCTCTGTGTCCAGATTTCCTAAGCAAATTCTGGGTTAAAAGATAGAAATCATGTTTAAATAATTATCGTATTTAATAACATGGGCAATTTTCCATGGTGGCAGAGAGGAGAAAATGGATAACTTTGAGGGTCTCATATGCTTCACTGATAATAGAATATTTTGAGTTTTATCTAAAATGATGAGCATAAACTTGCCAGATAAACTAGCAAAGAAGAGGTAAAGGCAAAGATAATCACAGAGAGGAAACAGGTAGGCTCTAACTGTATAAAATCACATAATATATTTGGCTCACTAAAAATAATTTTTATGGGGTGAGAAGAAGAAAGAGCATAATAAAAGGTGACTCGGAGAACATGGCTTGCAACATCATAAAGAATAGGCCATGAAATGAAGTTTAGATTTTATTTTGTAAGCATTGTGAAGCCATTACAAGTTTGTTTATTTGTTTCTGTTTTAGACATGGTTTTGCTCTGTTGCCCAGGCTGGAGTGCTGTGTCTTGATCACAGCTCACTGCAGCCTTGACTTCCCAGGATCAAGCAATCCTCCTACCTCAGCCTCCCAAGTAGCTGGGACTATACCAAGCCTGGCTTTTTTTTTTTTTTTTTTTTTTTTGGTAGAAACGGGGTTTCCTCATGTTGCTCAGGCTGGTCTTGAACTCCTGGGCTCAAGTGATCCTCTAGCCTCAGCCTCCCCAAATGCTGGAATTATGTAATTATTTATGTAAGCATCAGCCCCTGTGCTCTGCCCCACTACTGCACGTTTTTAAGAAGAGGAGTGACTGATCAAATTCATAGTTTAGAAAGATCAATCTGACAAAGCAGTATGACAAATGGATTATATAAGGACAATATAAGGTGTATAGGGATTTATGAGGCCTTTAAGATATTTCAGGTGAAAAATGATGAGAACCTAAAAAGTATCAGTGTCTATAAAAAGGAGAGAATGAACACCAAACTTACACTTGCAATATAAAGCCAATCTATTTTGACGACATCATAGATGTAGTGTCCACTAATTGGGGATGGTTTAGGTTGGATTGGGATGAGAATGGAATGATGCAGTTATTGAGGCAAAGGAAAATATGTAAGATGACAGTCAGTTTTCTAGCTTGGTAGTCATTCTTTTTCACTAGTCATTATGGGGTCAAATGGAGTGCCTACTGATCCATAAGATGTGCTAATTGTTACCATCGACTACAGTTAACTTGAATTCCATGTGTCTAGTCTGCCTCTACTCAACAATTACAAGAGTTTCTTGGAGCTTCAGAATTGGTAGGGAACATGTTAGTTTTGTTGTAATTAATAAAAGTACCAAAAAGCCCAAGAGATCTGAACAAGAAGGTCTTTGTCTGAAAGAACACAGGGGTTTCCCTTTAGTCCATGCTTCTAAAAACAAGTACATTGGTACCAATCTAGTGTTGCTGTGGAGAAATTAGGGTCTATCTTTGTTGTTCCACTTTGCTTCAAAACATGCACCTGAGAGGGACACAGCTCTTCCTCCAGTGTGTGGTTGCCCAGGATCTAAGGTCTGTCTGGTTTATCCTAGTTATTTCCCTTTCTCTTGTGTTTTCTTTTCATTATTCAGAATTAAAGCAATGATCTCATCTTAGTTTTCCAAAAACAAAAAGAGAATTTATTAGATCAACAAAAATTCAGTAAAATAGTAAGAAAATACCCATGCATTATAAGACAATAAAACCTCTATTGCTTTTCTTATTTAATAGGCTACTGGGCTTGTTCTTCTTAGAGACTTCTTTGAGAAAATAAAGAATATGAAATATTTTGTTCATGTGAAATCCTAGTTCTGTTTTTAGTAACATGGCTTTAAACAGGGTATCTACAGATTTGTTAATGCCAATGGAATAATACTTTAAATCTGGTGACCCAGAATAAAATTTCTGCAAAATTTCATTTATATGTCCAATAATAAGAGATCAAAAGCCCTGATACTCTTGAACACTTTGACCTGTGAAAACCTACAGGCTACTTTCCCACAGGTACAGAAGCTTCTTATCAGGCTCCACAGATACTATAGGCTGGGTCTGCAACCAAAAAGAGCATTCAAAGTTTTGGAAAAGAATAGAGAATAGTAGCTGGTAAGAAATCATGGAAGTAATACAAGGAGGTGTAAAGTAAAAAGGATCACAGTAATACAAGGAAGTAAAAAGTAAAAAATGATACCACAAATGAGGAAGAGAGATACCAAGAAGTTAGGGAAGTTGATTATAGTTTCAAGCTGAAAAAAATGAAGAGGGTCAGAATTCACATACTCTCTTAATAAATTTCAAACAGCCATTCTCCCATTACATTCATGCTGGTTTTTGTACAAAACCAGTTTTCATAATTATGACTGGTTTTTTTGTTTAGTGGAGCCAAACTGTAATGTGTGCCAGTTAAGAATGGTGGGGCAGACATTCATGGAGAGGATAGTATTCCCTTATAAATTCAATAAATTGTGTGTGCCACTTAGAGTAAAACAGTATGTTTAGTTTAAGTTTGACATATTGAAGGCTTTTTTGGCTTTAATAGCAATATTATTACATTATTTATTAGGCATTTAATGGTGCCATTTCATATAATTCTCATTCTGCTCTCCTCTGTCCTTCTGCTTTTTCTCCTCCTTCTCCCTCACCTTCTTCTGTTACTCATATCTCCTAAAAGTCATCTGAAGACAAATTAGACTTAGAACATTCACCATAATGCTTCGGGAAGGTTGTCACAGATATCCCCTCACCAGACATTTCAACAAGTTGATTGTATCACATACCATTTAGCCACAGTTTTTAAAATTTATTCACTTATTTTTGGATGCATAATAAATGTACATAGTTTTGGGGTAGACATATTGAGTTTTAAGTGTCTGTAAAATATTGATGGGAATATCTGACAGAGAGTGGTAGAAATTTCTGAGGCTTAAGAGAAACAAATACTAAGAAGAACATAGGGTAAGAATGTTGCTGTTCAAATCAAGGGAGAAATGCATCTTAAGGATAATTGAGTACTCAACAGCTTGAACACCAAAATGAGGTCCTTATCTCAACACCAGCCCATTGGCTGGTGGGCTTTTCCACCACTACCCAACTCAGGTCTTCTCTGCTCATTTTATTTTTAAGAGCTGACTCTTATATCTGTATTTTCAGACACTTATTAATGCATGGCACTATAAGTATATATCCAAAGATAATAACTATTTACATCATTCCCAAATATTGCCTGTTACTTGAATTCACTAATCGTATGCCCTTCTAACAACAGTCAGTACCTACTTTTAACGATGGTTGTAGGCATGAAGAAAGAGTTTAACATTCCGTTACGTCTCTATGACCCATTTAATTTCTTTGCAGAGCCAGTATTTATATTCTGATTATAATTCCAAGAATCGGGCTTTTCTTGATGGGGGTAGAGATTATACCCATTATCCAAAAATTTGTCCTCTTTTAATAGATAGTTGAGCTCTATCTGTGATGTATTATATATTTTTGATAGCAGTTACCTTTATCTTAATCTTATCTGACCAATCTACTGCATTTGGCACAGTGAAAATTGTCTACTTCTTGCATCTCCTGTGCAAATTTATTCTCTATTTCAGCCATAAAATATCTTGGTCCTTCAACCTTTAATCATACTCCTTTCTTTATTACTACTTCCCTATACTCTTTCTCCCAGGCAATAAGAAACAAGCATAAGGCATAGTAGCACTATTGACTACCACTATAATCTAGAAAAATCACCTAGTCTACATTTTCACTATCAAAATCACATCAAATTCAATGTGCCCAAAGGTAAATCCATGGTATGCACTTTTCCAGCCAGGTCTGACCTGGTCTTGGTCATGAACTGAAGTCTGAAAGAGTTACGACATAAGGTTATGTGTATATCAGATAAAGCTTACATGTTTATATACCTATTATTCATTAATTTATGAAAATTATTTATTAATTTCCAGCATTTATCATCTCATTAAGTGGCACCAGGATCCACGGAGTTACATCTATGATAACTAAGCATCTTCAAGTATCTCTTTTTCACAAAACTCATAACCATCCCATAACCAAGACCTATTATTTTTCTCCTTAAGCATCTCTTTAATCCACCCATTATTATTTTTAAAATTTTCACTGCCATCAAAGTCCAAAACACAGCCAAGTCTTACCTGGACCATTGTAGTAGCCATTGAACTATTTTTTTCTCATTCACTCTGCCTTCCCCCAACCCAGTGTACATACTACAATCAGAGTGATCTTTAAAAAGACAAATATGATGTCATCTTCACTGAAACTCTTCAGAAATCTCTCATTGCTTCTAGGATTAAAAAAAAATTGACTTGGCATACAAGGTCCTAATTCTCCAACCTCATCTTGCAATTTTTTTTGTTTTTTTGTTTTTTTAGACGGAGTCTCAGTCTGTCACCCAGGCTGGAGTCCAGTGGCACGATCTCGGATCACTGGAACCTCCACCTCCCAGGTTTAAGCAATTCTCCTGCCCCAGCCTCCTGAGGAGCTGGGATTACAGACGCAATCCACCATGCCCAGTTAATTTTTTCATTTTTAGTAGAGACGGGGTTTCACCATGTTTATCAGGCTGGTTTCAAACTCCTGACCTCATGATCTGCCCGCCTTGGCTTCCCAAAGTGCTGCGATTACAGGCCTGAGCCACCATGTCCGGCCTCATTTTGCAATATTCTATCCCTTCTCTCTGCACTCTAGCCATACCAGCTCTCTTTAAATTTCCTGAACTTGTCACATGGCTTTTGTACATATTGTCTACAAATGTATATTTGTACATATGCACACATATACTGTCCATATGTATAAAATGTTAAATACATAGTTCCACCTCCTCTCATTCCTCTCTGTGAGTGCCGTGGACTGCAGTTGCTTCTAATTTGCTATCTTGGCCTCTCCTCAACTAAAATATTTTTTAACTTCCAATGGGTTTATCAAGACATAACCCCATTGTAAGACAAGAATATCTGTACTGTACTCAAGAATTTACTGTTTATATCTTCCTTATGTTCATACAAAAAGATATAAAACCCAAAACTGATTACTGATTTTTAGCACATGATCCATAATGCTATCTTATAAAAAGGAGTAAAAATGTAATTAATTTGAACTAAATTTGTTCAATAATAGCCCAACCACAATACATGTTAATTTATTATAATCTAGGAACCCGTAATTTATATACACTGAGGTAATTGCTACTGTTTCTCTAACCAAATCAATAAACCGTCCTCCACTGTTAGGCCTATGTCCTGGAAACTAATCAACTGGAGTTACGTGTTAGTCTGTTTCTTTCTATGTTTATTTGAATATCTGGTGCATATAAAGATGACATGGTTACAAATTTTCCCATTTGAGATATCAATAGCTAGAACTGTTTTTTTCTTTTATCTTACAGTCAAGCTTTGAGCATTATTTTCTAGGTTCTTTACAACTCTTGTATTAGTTAACAAATAAAAAGAATCCAGTAAAATGCCTGAGACATTGAAGGTGCTCAATAAATGTTATTTACCCAACTAACCTTACAAGCAATTTTAATTTACCTTAATGTTTTCTCAAATTTTCCCATTATTATCCTTGTCTTATTAAAAATATAAAAAATCACAAGTGCCTTTATTTTCTTTTAAAATTTTTTAAATGCTTATTTTTCTTTGAAGTAATCTACAGAGAAAAATAACTTGCCAATTTGAATAACTCTGACAAAGATCTTAAGCCCCATCTTTAGGAGCCAAACAACAGTGGCAGAAAGAGACATGAAGTAAACAATGACAAAAATACTACAATAAAATTATGCTCTGTGACCAGAAAGATCAATAAAGTTTTCTTATTTAGGAGGGTTAGCAAAGTGGTATTTATGTTATTTACAGGAAGACAAGGGGGGTAAAAAGAGATACCAGGAATATGCACAAAGAATGTGACATATTCCAGAATATTTAAGCACCTGACCCAGATGGAGTTTAGAATGAATGGCAGGGGTAGATGGGATGAGGCTGGGTAGGCAGGCACATGCTAGATCAGGGAAGTCTGTGTATTTGCCTTAAAGGAGCAGAAAAACATCAAAGGATTTAAAGGATACAAGCAATGTGATGAGATTTGGCTTTTTGAAACCTCACTGTAGTTGCGGCAGCATGGTGCTTTCATTTAATAAGGCCTCTCCAAAGAGAAAATGAGGGCAGTTTAAGAGCTATATAATTTACAGTAAGTCATATGACAGCTATCACTAACAGTGTATCAATTTACTGCTTTTTACAATAGAGGAAGAGAGCAAGCCTTGGATTAGTACACTAATGAAAACTAACCTTTTCCCCCATAAATGTGAAGATTGCATAGAGAACAATTATGTCAGACTAATACAATTTATTTCTATGATGTCATCTATCTGGGCTTGAGTAAGGACTGATCCAGTTCCAGATGGAAATCAAAATAACAAGCTAGACTGATACAATCTAGAACACTCCACCACTGAGAGAAAGAACATGAAATTAGAGGAAGGGTTGATTATTTCTGTTTGGAAACAGAGGGTAGTGGGTGGGTGATCTGCCTATAGCTACTGTTGTTTAGTATCTTTATTCATCAATGTTTGAGTGCTTACCTATTAATTTTTCATATGATAAAAACTTTGTTGAACTTGACTACTTGAAAAAGCAAACATCTTTACATTTTTAATGCATATTATATAGATGAAAGTACAATGTAAACAAATGAAAAGCAATATGTGAAGAAGAAAACAAACTCTAAGTAAAGAAAAATTGTATCAGAAAAGTTTAATGTGTTCCTGGGGCCATGAAGATCCTCAGGTATATACATGCGTTCATGAATTAAGTTATGCTGGTAGTTTAACATGCACGTATTTTGCTGCAATGTGCAAATAAAAGTATGTAAGAAATTTAAATGATTCCTCTTAAAGGAGCATTTCATCCTACTCAGGGAAACAAATTTATTTTGACCTCATATTTCAACAATAATACTGTCATAAACCCTTACACTTACTAAATTAATCCTCATAATAACCCTATAATACAGGTACTACTGTATCTCATTTTAAAGATGAGGAAGCTGTTGGCCGGGCATGGTGGCTCATGCCTGTAATCCCAGCACTTTGGGAGGCCACGGTGGGTGGAACATTTGAGATCAGGAGTTGAGACCAGCCTGGCCAACATGGTGAAACCCTGCCTCTACTAAAAATACAAAAATTAGCCGGACGTGGCAGGGGGCTCCTGTAATCCCAGCTACTTGGAAGGCTAAGGCAGGAGAATTGCTTGAACCTGGGAGGCGAATGTTGCCATGAGCCGAGATCGCGCCACTGCACTCCAGCCTGGGCGACAGAGTGAGACTCCATCTCAAAAAACATAATAAATAAATAAATAAAAAAGATGAGGTATTTAAGTGACTTATCATAGTCACTAGTAAATTGTGGAGTAATTTCAAGATCTAGAGAAAAAATTTTAGCAGATAAAGATTTAAAGCAAACTAAAATTATTAGAAATAGGTCCGGGACATTATTTATTGCCACATTTAAATACTCACTACGAGAATACAATAGCATTAGACATGTCAGGAATTTTATAAAGCATGATCAAAATTTGATTTGATGTAATGCACAGTAACATGTCAAACATATCAGAAATATTGTTTAACAGTGACCTAGTAAGGATGATTTTGACCCAAGTTGTTATTTGAAGAGAAAACTGGAGACTATTTCTAGCAGCATATTCTTTTTCCTCTGGAGACCTTTCACATGCCAACAACCTGACAGATGATGAAGAATGCATTATGACAAAACTGACCTAAAACTTTCAATAAGATTCACAATGTCATTCTTATTTGCAATGCTTTTTAGGTACTACATTGCAATTTAGAAAACAATGACTCCAGGGAGAAGCATGGTCTACTATTTAGTGCATTGTGTAACATTAAGATCTACTGAAATTTGCTGGTTCTTTGAAATAAAATGAATCTTTAGTGTTTGACATTATCCTGCATCATAAATTCCTAAGGAATGGAATGAGCTTTGACTGCCTTACCTTGAGAATAAGCATATTCACGTAAAGTATATAAGACAAATACTGGTTTAGATGAAGCTGGGCCAGTACTCCCGGCCTCCGCCATTTCGGACTGGGAGCTCCGTGGCGCAGGCACTGAAGGCGGCGGCAGGGCCAGAGGCTCAGCGGCTCCCAGACCTGCTGAAAATGACTGAATATAAACTTGCGGTAGTTGGAGCTGGTGGCGTAAGCAAAAGTGTCTTGACGATACAGCTAATTCAGAATCATTTTGTGGACCAATATGATCCAACAATAGAGAATTCCTACAGGAAGCAAGTAGTAATTGATGGAGAAACCTGTCTCTTGGATATTCTTGACACAACAGGTCAAGAAGAGTACAATGCAATGAGGACCAGTACATGAGGACTGGGCGGGGGGGGGGGGGGGGCTTTCTTTGTGTATTTGCCATAAATAATATTAAATCATTTGAAGATATGCACAATTATAGAAAACAAATTAAAAGATTTAAGGACTCTGAAGATGTGCCTATGGTCCTAGTAGGAAATAAATGTGATTTGCCTTCTAGAACAGTAGACACAAAAGGCTCAGGACTTAGCAAGGAGTTAGGGAATTCCCTTTATTGAAACCAGCAAAGACAGGGTGTTAATGATGCCTTCTATACATTAGTTTGAGAAATAAAAGATGAGCAAAGATGGTAAGAAGAAGAAAAGTCAATGACAAAGTGTGTAATTATGTAAATACAATTAGTACTTTTTTCTTAAGGCATACTTAAGTAAAACTGGTAATTTTTATACATTACACTAAACTATTAGCATTGTTTTAGCATTACCTAATTTTTTTCCTGCTCCATGCAAACTGTTAGCTTTTACCTTAAATGCTTATTTTAAAATGACAGTGCAAACTTTTTTCCCCTAAGTGCCAGTATTACCAGAGTTTTGGTTTTCAAACTAGCAATGCCTGTGAAAAAGAAACTGAATACCTTTGATTTCTGTCTTGGGGTTTTTGGTGCATGCAGTTGATTACTTCTTATTTTTCTTACCAGTTGTGAACATCGGTGAGAAACAAATTAATGAAGCTTGTGAATCATCCCTATTCTGTGTTTTATCTAGTCACATAAATGGATTAATTACTAATTATAATTTCAGTTGAGGCTTTATAATTGGTTTTACTGAAACATTGAGGGAACACAAATTTATGGGATTTCTGATGATTCTTCTTCTAGGCATCATGTCCTGTAGTTTGTCATCCCCGGTGAATGTAAAGTTACACTGTTCACAAAGGTTTTGCCCCACTTTCCACTGCTACTAGTCACGGTCACTCTCTCAAAAATATTATATTTTTTCTATAAAAAAATGGAAAAAAATTACAAGGCAATGGAAACTATTATAAGGCCATTTCCTTTTCACATTAGATAAATTATTATAAGAACTCCTAATAGTTTTTTCGGTTAAGGGAGACCCAGTATGAAATGGGAATTATAGCAACCATTTTCGGGCTATATTTACATGGTACTAAATTTTTATAATAATTGAAAGAATTTTAACAGGTATAAAACATTCTCACAGGAATTAAATGTAGTCTCCCTGTGTCAGATTTCTCTTTCGTAGTATAACTTTAAATCTTTTATTCAACTTCAGTCTTTGAAGATAGTTTTAATTCTGCTTGTGTTATTAAAGATTATTTGGGCCAGTCATAGCTTAGTAAGTGTTGAAGAGACCAAGTTTGCAAGGCCAGGCCCTGTGTGAACCTTTGAGCTTTCATAGAGAGTTTCACAGCATGGACTGTGTCCCCATGGTCATCCAGCGTTGTCATGCATTGGTTGGTCAAAATGGGGAGGGATTAGGACAGTTTGGAAAGCTCAACAAATACATTCTCACTCTGTGGCAGTCCTGCTGACAAATCAAGAGCATCGCTTTTGTTTTTAAGAAAACAAAATCTTTTTTAAAAATTACTTTTAAATATTAACTCAAAAGTTGAGATTTTGGGGTGGTGGTGTGCAAAGACATTAATTTTTTTAAACAATGAAGTGAAAAAGCTTTAAAATCTCTAGGTTTGGCTAGTTCTCTTAACACGGGTTAAATTAACATTTCATAAACACTTTTCAAGTCTGATGCATATTTAAGATTAATGCTTTAAAAATAAATATTAATAAAATAATCCTATTAATACACTTAAAATGTTACTTATTTTAAAATATATGAAGTGAGATGGTGTGGTGAGGTGAAAATATCACTGGACTAGAAGGAAGGTGACTTAGGTTCTAGATATGTGTCTTTTAGGACTCTGATTTTGAGGAAATCACTTACTATCCATTTCTTCATGTTAAAAGAAGTCATCTCAAACTCATTGCTTTTTTACAACTATATAATTTATATTCCGTTTACATAGGATACACTTATTTGTCAAGCTCAGCACAATCTGTAACTTTTTAACCTATGTTACCATCTTCAGTGACAGTGACAATCTTGGGCAAAATTGTGCAAGAGGTAAAGTTTATATTTGAATATCCATTCTCGTTTTAGGACTCTCCTTCTGTATTAGTGTCATCTTGCCTGCCTGCCTTCCACATGCCCCATGATTTGATGTAATTTTAATACTTCTAATTCCCCTAACCATAAGATTTACTGCTGCTGTGGATATCTCCATGAAGGTTTCCCATTAAGTCACATCAAAATCCCTTACATCTTATTTCCTCAGGTCTCAAAAGAATCTGACAGATATCATAATGGGATTTGACCTAATAGCTAATTTTCAGGTGGTGGCTGATTCTTTGAACACCTCTTTGCTGCCCAATTCATTAGTGATAGTAGGAATTTTCAAACCTGGTATGAACAGACAGAACCCTATCCAGTGGAAGGAGATTTTAATAACGATACTGCTGAAAGAATTTCTTAGGTAATCTACAATTAGGACTACCCCTGGTAACAGTAATACATTCCAATGTTTTAATAACCAGAAATCTTCTTACAATGAAAAATACTTTAATTCATAAAGCTTACTGGTTTTGTTTGTTTGTTTGTTTTTAGGCGGGGTCAGAGTCTCACTCTGTCACCCAGGCTGGAATGCAGTGGCGCCATCTTGTCTTACTGTCTCACTGTAACCTCCATCTCCCAGGTTCAAGCGATTCTCATGCCTCAGCCTCCCGAGTAGCTGGGATTACAGGCGTGTGCCACCATGCTCAGCTAATTTTTGTATTTTTAGTAGAGACAGGGTTTCACCCTATTGGCCAGGCTGGTCTCAAATTCCTGACCTCAAGTGATTCGCCCGCCTCGGCCCCATAAAGCTTACTGTTTTGCAGAACTCATTTACTCAGTAAATATATACTGAGTGCCTACCAGATGCCAGTCACTGCCTAAGGCACTGGGTATATGGTATCCCCAAACAAGAGGCATAATCCCAGTCCTTAGGTAGTGCTAGCATGGTCTGTAATATCTTAGTAAGGCCTTCGGCATATGACCCAGAGATAACACAACGTGTATTTTAGTTTTGCAAAGAAGGGGTTTGGTCTCTAAGGTTTCTTCCAGTTCTATAATTGTTTTGCTGTGATTCCAGTGCAACTCTTTGATCTAGCTACTTTATGTAAATCACTTCATTATTTTAAAGGAATAAACTTGATTATATTGTGTTTTATTTGGCATAACTATATGATTCTGTTGGGCCAATTACTGTACCCATTAAGGTATATGTCAGATACTCACAAAATTCCCAAATGTGTAGTATTCCAGTTTTCTCTGCATAAGTAATTAAAATAGACTTAAAAATTAAATATTTACTTCTAAAATAGTTTTATCTGGATGCAAATAAACAGGCGCCTGAACTAGTTCATAGACAATGAAACTTCTATGTAAAAATCAGTATGATTTCTGAAATACTATGCTAAACTACAGATCTGTGGAACATTGTTTAGGTAGGGTGTTATACAGTACCTCTTGTTTCTACACAGAGAAAGAAATGGTTATACTTCAGGAACTGCAGAGCTTATGAGGGGATATTTAGGCCTCTTGAATTTTTTATGTAGATGGACATTTTTTAAGGTAATGATAATTACCTTTTATTATGTGAACTTTGAATGGTTTAACAAAAGGTTTGTTATTGTAGCGATTTTTAAAGTGGGAGAATTCTAGAAAGAAATGTTATCTAATTATTACAGCCTTAAAGATAAAAATCCTTGTTGAAGTTTTTCCAAAAAGTGCTAAATTACATAGTCTTAGGCATTAACATGTTTGTGGAAGAATAGAGCAGACATATATTGTATGATTTGAGTGAATATTTCCACTTAGGCATTCTAGGCTCTATTTTAACTGAGTCACACTGCCTAGGAATTTAGAACCTAACTTTTATAGGTTATCAAAACTGTTGCCACCATTGCATAATTTTGTCCTAATATATATATGGAAACTTTGTGGGGCATGTTAAGTTACAGTTTGCACAAGTTCATCTCATTTGTATTCCAGTGATTTTTTTTTTAATCCAACCATTATTTCTTCAGTGTATATACATTTAGGGGATATTTCTTTAGACACAAAAACTATCTGAAGATTTCCATTTGTTAAAAAGTCATGATATCTTGATAATTATGTAGTAATTTTTTTTAGAACAAAGCAGTTACTTTAAGGCTGAATTTATATTTAATAACTTCTGTGTTAATACTGGATAGCATGAATTCTGCGTTGAGCAATTGAACAGCATACTACTGATAGCTGTCTGTCAAAAATGAAAATTTCTTTCTAAAGATACTCACATGAGTTCTTGAAGAATAGTCATAACTAGACTAAGATTTGTGTTTTAGTTTAATAGTTTGAAGTGCCTGTTTGGGATAATGATAGGTAATTTAGATGAATTTAGGGGGAAAAAAGTTATCTGCAGAAATGTTGAGGGCTCATCCCCACCCAGCAAATAGAGCTAACTGGGTTACAATGTTTTATCCGAAAGTTTCCAATTCCACTGTCCTGTGTTTTCACGTTGAAAATACTTTTGCATTTTTTCTTTGAGTGCCAATTTCTTACTAGTACTATTTCTTAATGTAACATATTTACCTGGAATGTATTTTGTGTAAACTGAAACATGCACATTTTGTACATTGTGCTTTCTTTTGTGGGACATATGCAGTGTGATCCAGTTGTTTTCCATCATTTGGTTGCGCTGACCTAGGAATGCTGGTCATATCAAACATTAAAAATTACCACTCTTTTAATTGAAATTAACTTTTAAATGTTTATAGGAGTATGTGCTGTGATCTGAAATTTGTAATATTTTTGTCATGAACTGTATAGCTCCTAATTATTACAATGTAATAAAAATAGTTACAGTAAAAAAAATTGAGAATTCTGATTCAGTAGTTCTGGGATGTGGCCAAAGTTTCTGCATTTCTCACATTCTTCCAAGTGATAATGATGATACTGCTGCAAGGGGTCCAAGCTACACATGTTGAGGAGCAAAACTATATAGATACTCATGTGACGTATCAAAGACAACACCATGTCCAACACACATGCACACATACACATACACACACACACACACACACACACCCATTTATTCCTGAGGAATTATTACCTGCATGAAGTACATAATTCATTTGTTCTTGTAACTTTACACAGATTATTTTCTTTTTTCCTCTGGTATAATAATCTTTCTCTTTCTTATCAACTAATACATTCCTGGCCACAGCACACTTTATGCAAGTTCTTTTAAATAATAAACACTGAATCATAATTCTCTGAGACAGGAATTGGGTTTTTATTGTTATCCACATTACTGAGATATTTTTGTTTAATGAATATGAGTTGCTGCCCACAGGGGTCTTCCAATCCAGTTGGAGAGACAAAAATAATTGTCTTAATATACTATGAAGATTAGGAACAGAAACATAGAAACTCTTAAAATTGTGTTCCTAAGATAATAGTTTTACAAATATGGAATTTAATGGTTTCAAGTTCATAGACCTGTGTTAAAAACCCCAATGTCTTATCAAGAGAAAGGAGAAAGAAATGGAGGACAGTATGCTCTGTTAATGAAAAAAGCCGAACTCTGTAAAATATTGAAAGAGGCTTAGTCTGAGCCAAATATGAGTGACCATGGCCTGGAATAGAGTCTAAAGCTGTCTTGAGAACATATGCCCAAGTCAATCTGGTTAAACTTGGTTTTATACATTTTAGGGAGACAGAGATTACAAGCCAAGGCATACGTTAATACATGTAAGGTATATATTGGTTTGGCCCAGAAAGGCAGGACATCTCAAAACCAGGGACTTACAGGTCATAAATGGATTCAAAAATTTTCTCATTAGCAATTGGTTGAAAGGATTAAGCTTAGGCCAGGTGCGATGGCTCATGCCTGTAATCCCAGCACTTTGGGAGGCTGAGACGGGCGGATCACCTGAGGTTAGGAGTTCAAGACCAGTCTGGCCAACATGGTGAAACCCTATCTCTACTAAAAAAAAGAAATTACAAAAAATTAGCCAGGCAAGGGGGTGGGCACCTGTAATCTCAGCTACTTGGGAGGCTGAGGCAAGAGAATCGCTTGAACCCAGGGGTCAGAGTTTAGAGTCAGCCAAGATCATGCCACTGCACTCCAGCTTGGGCAACAGAGCACTCCTTCTCAAAAAAAAAAAAAAAAAGAATTAAGCTTTGCCTAAAGAGTTGAATCAGCAGAAAGAAATGCTTGAATTAAGATAAGGAGGGTTATGGAAGCCAATGTTCTTGTTATGTAAATGAAGCCTCTAAGTAGCAAGCTTCAGAGACAATAGATCATAAATGTCTCTTTCAGGGCATTAAAAGGTGTCAAAGTCTTAGTTAAATGTCTCCTGAATCTGGAAAAGACCTGGAAAGGGAAGGAGACTCTCTACAGGATGCAAATTTTCCCCACAAGAGACAACTTTGCAAGTCTATTTCAAAATATGTCAAAGAAATATATTTTAGGGTAGAACACTTCGATTTTCTTCAGGGTCTTCTCCCTGTCATGTGATGCTATACCAGAGACAGGTTGGAATTTGACACTTTATTGTTACAAAGAGTGTTTTGTCAATCTTATGATCCCTATTTTAATGTTAATGCTGATTAGTTAAACTGGGGGTATATGTTAGAGAAGGGGTATAATGGAGCATGTCCAACCCTCTTCCTGTCATGAACTGAACTAGGTCTTCAGGTTCCCTTAGCCAAAGATTGGGAGTCCTTTCGGTTGGTTAGGGGACTTAGAATTTTAGTTTTGATTTATATGTCCAAATATAATAGATTCTCATGGGAGTCAGAATGATAGTGGTGAAAGGGCAGAACTCCACTTGTTTACCGTAAAAGAGAGGAGAGAGAGAATAGACAATACATGAAAGACAACAATAGACATTATCCATGGTCCATCTTTTTGTGTAGGGTAAGCAATGAAGAATATATGGAAATTAGCATGACCAAAATGAAGGTGCAGTGCTGGAATTATCAGCGGGAAAGTGGATAGGCCTGAAAATGAAGAAGCCTGAATGCAATGTTTAGTCACTGGGCATGAGAGGGCAGCGAGCAGGACATTAATGTTTCTGAGTAAGACAAGTGCCATAACGAAATGTATTTAAGAATTTGTATTTTAAAAAACAAAATTTAAATAGAATATTGTGTTAATCAGATTTAAATACAGCATGATCTGCTCACAAAATTATTCCTTCAACATGTGTCATAAAATATTTGAAAAAGAAAATATTCTATGTGACATTTTGATTTACCTTTCCTATTATTGTAACCACAGGACCAACCTATAGTGGGCCTACTCTGTTGATAAGATAATGTCAGGTTACCTTGTAGGTATAACAGAGCCTAAACTGGAAGTTATGTAGCCCCACCACATGTAATAGAAAAAGATTTGACCTCTAACAACACCCGGAACCAAGGATTCCTCCCCACAGAACCAAAAAGGCTGGGACATGATAAATACTGGAATCCTTTCAAAGGTGAGGGATCTTTTGACCCAGAAGATTCAGAATGTATTAGTCCATTCTTACATTGCTATAAAGAACTACCTGATACTGGATAATTTATTTTAAAAAGAGGTTTGATTGACTTGTGGTTCTACAGGCTGTACAGGAAGCATGGCAGGAGAGACCTCAGGAAACTCACAATCATGGTGGAAAGTGAAGAGGAAGGTGTCACGTCTTACATGGCTGGAGCAGGAGGAAGAGAGAGAAGCGGGTGGTACTACAAACTAAACAACCAGATCTCATGAGAACTCACTCACTATCATGAGAACAGCAAAGGGGACGTTTACCCCATGATCAAATCACCTCCCACTGGACCCCTCCTCCAACATTGAGGATCACATGAGATTTGGCAGGGACACAAATTCAAACCATATAACATGGCTGAAATCCACCTCAGCATACCTTATTCAAATGGTCAAATCAGACCCTGACAAGCCAACATTCCCAAATTCTTCCCCTTGCCCTCTGACCCTTTAAAACTTACCCAGACCCCAAATTGGGTAGACAGATTTGAGCTGCATCTCTTGTCTCCTTGCTGGCTGGCCTTACAATAAAGCCTTTCTTTTCTCAAAAGCCAGTGCCATTGTATTGGCTTCTATGCTTGTCAGGCAGTGAGCACATTTGCTTGGTAAGATTATATTAAATGACCTAGCCACAGTTATCCAAATTCATGATTTAAAAAGAAACAAAATTAGATCTTTATTATTTTTTTCAAGTGTAGAACTAGTTTTTAATTTCAAAATGCTTCAGGGAAGGGTGTGAATGTTAGTGCTTTTAGGATATTAAAGCACGTCTAGACTCAGTACTTGAGTCCGTTTTATAAAAATATATACAAAATAAGAAGTGGTTTTACTAGAAGACAATAAAACAGTTTCAGGATGATTTACAATTACTCATTCCCATTCCTGGTATATTTAACACAGAATAGGGATATGGTGTTATTTCCATTGGGTAAAAATATAATAGTGTGAAATAAATATCCACAATCAGAACAATCTATGTTCGTTGTAGTATTCTTATTTTGTGTCTTCAAAAAAGTTTGTAGAATACATTTGACAGTCACACTGAAACAAGAAGACATCTAAGATGTCAGATAAGGAAAAACAAAACTAGAAAATGGTTGAATCTTGGCTGAGCATGGTGGCTCATGCTTGTAATTTCAGCACCTCGGGAGGCAGAGGCAGGGGTATCGTTTGAGGCCAGGAGTTCAAGACCAGCCTGGCCAACATGGCAAAATCCTGTCTCTACTAAAAATTAGTCAGGCATGGTGGCATGTGCCTGTAATCAAAGCTACTCAGGAGGCTGAGGTATGAGAATCGCTTGAACCTGGGAGGCCAAGGTTACAATTAGCTGCAATGGCGCCACTGCATTCCAGTCTGGGGGACACAGCAACGCTCTGCCTCAAAAATAAATAAATAAATAAACAAACAAACAAACTAGAAAATAGTTGAAGCTTTTCCCAATGATTCACCTTTCTTTCAGTTTGAACACTTTCTCTTGATCAGGAGCCTCAGCTTCCTTTTGTATGCATACTGATTACTATAAATTTGGAGCCAGAAAACTAAGTAACTGGAAATTAAAGACAGTGTAATATAAATAATAAATTACATTGATTCTACTATATATATTTTATTCTACTTTTGGATGAAAATCTCAAACATTTTTGCCTGCTGTATACAATTATAAATCCTCTCGCAATATTAATTTCATCAAAATTAATCCTCAAAATATGCTTATTATAGTGTAAAACTTACTGTGAGCACACAAGAATGATATTTTTAGTCCCTAAATTACACTACAGTTTATGTTAAATTATTAACATGAAGGCAGTATGTAAATAAAGCAACTTGGCTAAATGCAAATTTCATTATCACTAAAAATGCAGCAGTATTTATGTCTTCCACAGCAAGGAAAAACCAGCTCCTCAACTGAAAAATTTATGTATGAAAACTTTCTTCTCTGAGTAAAAGTTAGGTAATAAAATATGTTTACTTCCAGGATTTCCAAATGCTTTACATAGCAATTGGTGTTGAATATGCCCTCTTCCTGGGCATATAACCCTGATTTATGCCACATAACACACTTATTAGTTGTGCAAAAGTCAATGACATGAATCATGCTAAGAACACAAAAAATTATTGTTTTTTGTGGATATTATGTCCTTATTTTTATTTATGAGGAAAGTAGTACAGAGTTAAGAATTTAAATGGTTTAAATATCTTTGAATACTTAAAAGGAGATATCAAAATGTTAGTAAGCATATATACTTGGAATTTTGGTTTTAAAAATTAACCCTTAAACCACGAACAATTTAGACTCAATCAATTATGTGTTGATTTAATGTAGAATCAGTTAACAATAGAGTTTAAGAATTGAGTCCAGGCCTAGCGCAGTGGCTCACACCTATAATCTCAGCACTTTGGGAGGCCAAGGTGGGCAGATCACCTGAGGTCCGGAGTTTGAGACCAGGCTGACCAACATGGAGAAACCCTGTCTTTACTAAAAATAAAAAATTAGCCAGTTGTGATGGCACATGCCTGTAATCACAACTACTTGGGAGGTTGAGGTAGGAGAATCGCTTGAACCTGGGAGACAGAGGTTGTGCTAAGCCGAGATCATGCCACTGCACTCCAGCCTGGGCAACAAGAGTGAAACTCCATCTCAAAAAAAAAAAAAAAAAAAGAAGAAGAAGAATTGAGTCCATTAGGATTTGAGAGAATTTGCTTAAAAAAAAAAAAAGAATTGAGTCCAATCATAGAACCATTACTTATTAGCTAGGTGCAATTGGTTAAGTTTCTTAACCTCTTTAAACCATAGCACTCTCAGTTCTAAAATACTATTACTAAAACAACCATCCAACAATACTAAAATTTATATGAAACACAAAAGACCTCGAACAGCCAAAGTAATCTGAGGGAAAAAAAAAATGCTGGGGATACTATACTAACTGATTTCAAAATTACTACAAAGCTATAGTAATCAAAATAGCATCATAGTGGTATAAAAACAGATACGTAGACTAATGGAACAGAGTGTCAGAAATAAACCCACATATTTATGGTCAAATGATTTTTGACAAAGGTGCTGAGAGGACACAATGGGTAAAGAACAGTCAGTTTAAAAGTAGTATTGGGAAAAACGAGATATCCATATGCAGAAGAATGAAACTGGACTCTCATCTCACACCATAAACAAAAATCAACTCAAAATGGATTAAAGACTAAATTTAAGACCTGATGCGGTAAAAACACTGGAAGAAAACAACAAATTTATGACACTGTTTTGGACAATGATCTTTTGAATATAACCCAAAAGGCACAGGTAACAAAAACAAATGCAGACAAATGGGATCATATCAAATTAAGAAGCTTCTACACACAAAAGGAAACAATCAACAAGGTGAAGAGACAACCTACACAGTGGGAGAAAATATTTGCAAATCATGAATTTCATAAGGGGTTAATGCCCAAAATCTATAAGGAACTAAAACAACTCAATAGCAGGAAAACAAATGACCCAATTTAAAAAACAGTAAAGGACTTGAAGAAACGTTTATTAAAAGAAGACACATAAGTGGCCAACGGATATATGAAAAGTCACTCATTGTTACTAATTATCAGAGCAATGCAAATTAAAATCACAGTGAGATATCACCTCATATCTGTTAGAATGGCTATTACCAAAAAGGTAAAAAATAAGTGTTGGCAAGGATATTGAGAAAGAGATACCTTTGTGCACTTCATGGAAATGTAAATTACTATAGCTATTATAAAGAACAGTATGGAGGTTCCAAAAAAAAAATTACAAATAGCACTACCATATGATCCAGCAATCCCACTACTGGGCGTATATCCAAAGGAAATGAAATTAGTATGTCAAAGAGATATCTGCACTCCATATTTACTGCGACACTATTCACAATAGCCAAGGAACGGTATCCACCTAAGTGTCCATCAACAGATAAATGGATGAAGAAAATGTGTATATATACACAATTGAATTGTTTTCAGCATTAAAAAGAGGGTTATTTGCCACAACATGGATAAATCTGGAGGATCTTTTGCTACCTGAAATAAGCCAGGCATGTAAAGGCAAATACTGCATGATCTCCCTCACCTGTGAAATCTAAAAAAGCTGATTCATACAAATAGAGTAGAATGGTAGTTACCAGAGGCTAAGTGTTGGGAGGGTGGAGGAGTAGGGAGATGTTGATCAAAGAGTTTAAAGTTGGCAGGGCACGGTGGTTCACACCTGTAATCCCAGCACTTTGGGAGGCTGAGGTGGAAGTATCACGAGGTCAAGAGATCGAGACCAACCTGGCCAACATGGTGAAACCCTGTCTCTATTAAAAAAACAACAACAAAAATTAGCTGGGCATGGTGGTGCACGCCTGTAGTCCCGGCTACTCCGGAGGCTGAGGCAGGAGAATGGCGTGAACCTAGGAGGCGGAGCTTGCAGTGAGCTGAGATCGTGCCACTGCACTCCAGCCTGGGCGACAGAGGGAGACTCTGTCTCAAAAAAAATAAATAAATAAATAAAAAAGGTATAAAGTTTCAGTTAGACAAAAAGAATGAGTTTTCCAGATCTACTGCATAGCATAGTCATCATAGTTCATAATAATGTATATTACATTTCAAATATATGTTAAATATTCATTTTGCTGAAAGAATATATTTTGAATGTTCTGACTACAAGAAAATAAGTATATTAATGTATATTAGTTAGCTCAATATGATCTTTCCACAATTTATACATATATCTAAACATCACATTGTAACCCATAAGTATATACAATTATTGTCAATTTAAAATTTACACTAAAAAAATTTTAAAACACAAATAGAAGAATTGGCTATATTGGATAAAATAAATTACTAAAATTATAAAATTAACACAATTTTTGCTATTTGAAGATCAAATGGCATTTTCCATTTAAAGCATTTAGCGCAGTGTCAATCACAAAGTAACAACTCAATAATTAACAACACAGATTTTTGTTTTTATTGCATTATTGTTAATATTATTTTAAAGTTAAAGAGAAAGGGTTCCACAGATTTTTTTCAAAAATCTTCAAATATATATCAAAGAAGCATTAAGTTATTGGGCGCAAGTTTTTTTTTTTTTATTTAACCATTATAATATCTCTTGAATTACCATATACTTTCTATCTGCAGTGGTACATTTCACCACATCTTAGCTCTTGAATATTATGATAGTTCTTTAGTTGGATGCTAGCTTTACTAACAATCAGCTCACTCTCTACACAACTACCAAAATGATGTTTTTAAAGAAGAATAAGAGTCCAGACATAATTTTGTAGAGTAATTTTACCCTGCTCTTATCTGCTAAGTAAAACTATAATCTCTTAGGGGGGAGAAAATACAAAATGAAGTCAAACAATAACTCTAAAAAATAGAAATACAAAGGCACACTGGTTAGGAACCCTGGGAGTGGAAAAGCAACATAAGGACAGGGCATCTTACTATCCTTCACTCAGAAGAAGAAAGCAACCCTGGCCAATGCCTAGGAGGTTCATTCTCTCTTGGATCAAATATGAGTTCTCTCAGCAATACCAGGCAAGTCCAGTACCACTGGTAAAGAGGGTTGATCTGGAGCCACACTAAGAATAAATAGCCAGGGGAAGCATGGTCCTTCCCTGAGATGCTAGAGACTACCCTCCCTCACTGAGAGTAGCCAAGTGAACCCGTCACAACAAGCTGCCAGACCTGGAACATGACCTCTGTCCTTATAGGCAAGAAAAGCTTTTTCTTTGCCTTGAGGCACTAGGTGATGCAGCATAAGGCAACCCCTCTTGCCCCATTGAGAAGGACCAGCAAAGACCAGGGAGAGCTTCAGCCTCACTAAATAAATCAAGCAGACCAAAACAGCGAGGCAAAACTCTAAAAATGAAACTATCTTTGAAACCACAGCCAAAAAAAAGTGCTGTGGAACTGCATGTTACAACTATACAGGGAGCTGCTTACTATAATAAAATATTTAAATAGGGCCTAAAATCTTCTAATATAATAGCTAAATGTTCAGGACATAATAAAAAAAGAAAAAAAAATCTCGACACAGCAAGAACCAGGAATATTATAACTTGAATGAGATAAGCAATTTATTGTCGCTGACACTTAGTGAATCAGATGTTGGAATTATATGGCAAGAATTTCAAAGCAGTCATCAAAAATTTTTCTAGAAGCAATTACAAATCTCCTTGCAACAACAACAAAAAATACTTACTAATCTCAGCAAAGAGATAGAGGTTATGAAAAAGAACCAAATGTAAATAATAGAACTGAAAGATCTGATATAAAAATCTAAAAAACTTGCTGGATAGGTTCAGTAGTAGGTCATAGATAACAGAGGATAGGATCAGTTAACTTGAAAACAATCAATAGAACTTACACAATTTTCACAACAGAGGGGGAAAAGAGAGAGAGAGAGCACGCAAGAGAGAGCGTGCACAAGAAAGGATGGAAAAATAGAAGAAATAAAATTGCCCCTACTTGCAGATGTCATGATTGTCTTTGTAGAAAACCCATGGCATCTATAAAAATGCTTCTAGAATGAATACATGAGTTCAGTGTACTTGCAAAATACAAGATCAATACACAAAATTCAATCATATTACTTGTATAATACCAATGAACTTCAGTAGTCCGAAATTAAAAACATAATACTATTTATAATCAGTCCAGTGAAAATGAAATACTTAGTGAGGTATATACTTACTGAAACATGTACAGAGTCTATACGTGGAAACTTATTAAATGCTGTTGAAAGAAATCAAAGAAAACCTAAACAAATATAGAAACATAATATGTTCATAGATTTGAAAATTCAACATTGAAAAAAATGTTAATTCTCCCCAGATAGTTCTGTGGGTTCAATGACAATTACTATCAATATTCCAGTAAGAATTTTTTTTTTTTTGAGACAGGGTCTTGCTCTGTTGCCCAGGCTGGAGTACAGTGGCATGATATTGGCTCAATGCAACCTCTATCTCCCGGGTTCAAGTGATTCTCCTGCCTCAGCCTCCCGAGTAGCTAGGATTACAGGCGCCTGCCACCGCACCTGGCTAATTTTTGTATTTTTAGTAGAGACGGGGTTTCACCATATTGGCCAGGCTGGTCTTGAACTACTGACCTCATGATCCACCTGCCTTGGCCTCCCAAAGTGCTGGAGTTACAAGCATGAGCCACCGTGCCCGGCACCCAGTAAGAATTTTTACAGCATAGACAAGCTCATTATAAAATATATACAGAATAAAACACAGATCTAGAATAGCTTTTTAAAAAATCTTTGTACAGAAGAATAAAACGTGAAATCACTCTATTTGATATAAAATCTTATTATAAAGTGACAGTAAACAAGGCAGTGTGATACTGGCAGAGGGATTATAGATTAATGGAACAAAATAGAGAACCCAGAAATACACCTACGTAAATATACTTAACTAATTTTAGACAAAGGTGCAAAAGCAATTCCAAGAAGGAAATATACCCTTTTCAACAAATAGTACTGAAGCAGCTGGACATCCATAGGCAAGAAAATAAGCCTTGACCTAAATCTCAAACCTTATACAAAAACTTATTCAAAATCAATCATAGATGTTAGTATAAAAGTATAAAACTTTTAGAAAAAAACACAGGAGACACTCTTTAAAGTCTAAAGCTAGTGAAGAGTTGTTAGACTTGACATTAAGAGATGATCCATAAAAGGCAAAATTGATAACATGGACCCCATCAAAATTAAAAATTTTTGCTTTGTGAGAGCTTGCATGAAGAGGATGAAAAGACAAGCTACACAATGGAAGAAAATACAAACCACATGTCTGAAAAAGGGCTGCTATTTAGAAGACAGAACGAACTCTCCAAACTCAACAATGAAAAACAATTTAATTAGAAAATGGGCACAAAACATGGATAGACACTTCACCTAAGAATATGTACAGATGGCATATATGCACATGAAAAGATATGCAATGTCATCAGCCATTAAGGAAATGCAAATTTAAACCACAGTGAGTGCTTGCTTTAGTAACACATATGCTAAAATACTATACAACATAGGAGATTAGTATGGCTCCTGCACAAGGATGAAACACAAAGTCATAAAGTGTCCCATATTTTGCGTTCCTTTTCTAATGTTTACAGATAGGAAAACTGAGGCTCCAATAAGTAAAATGACTTCCGCAACTAAGAGTCATTTCAGCTTTAAACTATTTCCAATTCCTCTTCCTCTAACAAACAAACAAAAACCACAATGAGGTATCACTAAGTAACTATCAGAATAGATATGATTAAAATACTGGTAATGATGTGTGACTATGATTTAATTCTATTTCTATTCCCTTTTTTTTTTTTTTTTGAGATGGAGTCTCACTCTTTTGCCTAGGCTGCAGTGCAATGGCACAATATCAGCTCACTGTAACCTCTGCCTCCTGGGTTCAAGCGATTCTCCTGCCTCAGCCTCCCGACTAGCTGGGATTACAGGCACCCACCATGCCCGGCTAAGTTTTGTGTTTTCAGTAGAGACAGGGTTTCCCCATGTTGACCAGGCTGGTCTCGAACACCTGACCCCAGGTGATCCGCCTACCTCGGCCTCTCAAACTGCTGGGATTACGGGCATGAGCCACCGCACCTGGCCATAATTCTATTTCTACAACATTTTGAAATAACATTTTTGAAATGGAGGAAATATTAGTAATTCTCAGAGGTATGAACAGGGGATGATGATGGGGCAGAGGTGTAGGAACAAGATGAGTGTGGTTATGAAAGCACAACACAAGGGATCTTTGTGGTGTTGGTAAGTATGTTGACTGTAGCCGTATGTAAGCAAACCTGCGTAAGTATAGTAAAATTGCATAAAACTAAATACATGTTCTTACACATGTGAGTGCAAATAAAACTGGGATAATTTGAATAATATTGCTCTCAGTGTCCATCCCCTAATTGTGATATTATACTGCAGTTTCTGCAGTATGTTACCATTGGGGGGAAACATTGTAAAGCGTACATAAGATCTACTTGTATTATTTCTTACAACTAGATGTGAGTCTAAAATTATATCAAAATTTAAAAGTTAAATTTTAAAAATTTTACAATGGAATGGAATATTACTGAGCCTTAAAAAAATGAAGGAAATCCTGTCATTTGCTACAACAGGAATGAACCTGGAGGACATTATGTTAACTTAAATAGCCAGACACAGGATCACACATACTGTGTGATCTCACTTATATGTGGAAACTAAGCAGAGAGTAGAATGGTGGTTACCCAGGGCTGAGTGGGGGAAGGGAAAAGATGCTGGTCAAAGGGTACAATTTTCTGTTAGGAGGAGTAAGTTCAGGAGACCTATCATAGAACATGGTGACTACAGTTAATAACAATGTACTGTATTCCCCCAAAATAACTATTGCATTTTCCATATATGTATTTAAAGAAAATAAGTAATGTATAATAATATAGTCATTAGTTAATGACACATTAAAATATATTTCAATTGAAAGAGAGAGAGACATAAAGACAGAGTAATAGTCTTGTCATTAATAGCTCAGCACTATTTTCAGTGGATCTCTGGCATACACAGCAGTTCTCTACCTTTTAACACATCATAAAACATTTAGAAAATGATATTTATGTGCCACATGAAAGTATACAGAAAGTTACAGCCTAAGGCAACCAGCCATTCTCCTCTAGAAACCTCAATTCCCACCCATCGCAGACTGAAGAGATTATTATCTAACATACTTGTAATTTTGCATAACCTGAGAAGTTCTCATATAGGCTGAAATTTAAGATCTTTATTTTCTCTCTGGATGAGAAGCTCCTTACATCTGTGGTCTTCCTACAAGTCCAGCTATACTTTCTTCTTTCTATTTTATGCCTCATACTGGGAGCTCAAATCATAAGAATTTCTTGTAGTTCTCCAACCCATTAAGCCTCTTGAGTCCTTTCTATTTCTATGCATATTAATTCCTGCCTGGAAGTCTCCTCCTGCCTAGTTCATCTAGCACATCCCTTTCATCTCTCTGCTAATGGGATGATGAAAAGTTTTAAAGAGTAAAGTTATGCTTCAAGTCTATGCTTAAACATAATTTCATTTGTCAGATCAGTGTTTTATACAAACTTCAAATTTAACAAATTAGGAAAAGAGGAAGACAAATTGTCCCTGTTTGCAGATGACATGATTGTATATCTAGAAAACCCCATTGTCTCAGCCCAAAATCTCCTTAAGCTGATAAGCAACTTCAGCAAAGTCTCAGGATACAAAATCAATGTGCAAAAATCACAAGCACTTATACACCAATAACAGACAAACAGAGCCAAATCATGAGTGAACTCCCATTCATGATTGCTTCAAAGAGAATAAAATACCTACGAATCCAACTTAGAAGGGATGTGAAGGAACTCTTCAAGGAGAACTACAAACCACTGCTCAATGAACTAGAAGAGGACACAAACAAATGGAAGAACATTCCATGCTCATAGATAGGAAGAGTTAATACCGTGAAAATGGCCATACTGCCCAAGGTAATTTATAGATTTAATGCCATCCCCATCAAGCTACCAATGACTTTCTTCACAGAATTGGAAAAAACTACTTTAAAGTTCATATGGAACCAAAAAAGAGCCTGCATTGCCAAGTCAATCCTAAGCCAAAAGAACAAAGCTGGCGGCATCATGCTACCTGACTTCAAACTATACTATAAGGCTACAGTAACCAAAACAGCATGGTACTGGTACCAAAACAGAGATATAGACCAATGGAACAGAACAGAGCCCTCAGAAATAATACCACACATCTATAACCGTCTGATGTTTGACAAACCTGACAAAAACAAGCAATGGGGAAAGGATTCCCTATTGAATAAATGGTGCTGGGAAAACTGGCTAGCCATATGTAGAAAGCTGAAATTGGATCCCTTCCTTACACCTTATACAAAAATTAATTCAAGATGGATTAAAGATTTAAATGTTAGACCTAAAACCATAAAAACCCTAGAAGAAAACCTAGGCAATACCACTCAGGCCATAGGTATGGGCAAGGACTTCATGACTAGAGCACCAAAAGCAATGGCAACAAAAGCCAAAATTGACAAATGGGATCTAATTAAACTAAAGAGCTTCTGCACAGCAAAAGAAACTACCATCAGAGTGAACAGACAACCTACAGAATGGGAGAAAATTTTTGCAACCTCCTCATCTGACAAAGGGCTAATATCCAGAATCTACAAAGAACTTAAACAAACTTACAAGAAAAAAACAAACAACCCCAACAAAAAGTGGACGAAGGATAGAAACAGACACTTCTCAAAAGAAGACATTTATGCAGTCAACAGGCACATGAAAAAATGCTCATCATCACTGGGCATCAGAGAAATGGAAATCAAAACCACAATGAGATACCATCTCATGCCAGTTAGAATGGCAATCATTAAAAAGTCAGGAAACAACAGGTGCTGGAGAGGATGTGGAGAAATAGAAACACTTTTACACTGTTGGTGGGACTGTAAACTGGTTCAACCATTGTGGAAGACAGTGTGGCAATTCCTCAAGGATCTAGAACTAGAAATACCATTTGACCCAGCCATCCTATTACTGGGTATATACCCAAAGGATTATAAATCATGCTGCTATAAAGACACATGCACACGTATGTTTATTGTGGCACTATGCACAATAGCAAAGACTTGGAACCAACCCAAATGTCCATCAATGATAGACTGGATTAAGAAAATGTGGCACATATACACCATGGAATACTATATAGCCATAAAAAAGGATGAGTTCATGTCCTTTGTAGGGACATGGATGAAGCTGGAAACCATCATTCTGAGCAAACTATTGCAAGGACAAAAAACCAAACACCACATGTTCTCACTCATAGGTGGGAATTGAACAATGAGAACACTTGGACACAGGAAGGGGAACATCACACACTGGGGCCTGTAGTGGGGTGCGGGGAGGAGGGAGGGATAGCATTAGGAGATATACCTAATGTAAATGACGAGTTAATGGGTGCAGCACACCAACATGGCACATGTATACATATGTAACAAACCTGCACGTTGTGCACATGTACCCTAGAACTTAAAGTATAATAAAAAAATTTTTTTTCCACTGTATTCATTTATTTACTTGACAATATCCTGACTGAACTGCAACACTCTTGGATGAAAGAAATACGTATTTTTAATCTTTTTTATCAGAATTTATAAGATATAACATAGTAGATAGTCAATACATATTTGTTAAATAAATTCATAAATACTTGGAAGGTATCCAGAAGGATAACATCTTTATAATATTTTTGTTTAATATGTAGACCTCTTCATTACTGAATGAGAATTGTAAATTGTCTCCACAGAAAATAATGCTTTCATGTAAAATTTGCACACAATTACCTCATTCACGGATTCTCCATTTTATCACCTAATGGGCCACCAACTGCTCAAGACTAGACTGTACAAAAAGATCTCCTAAAATGGAAACTGGTTTTCAGTCTGTTGGACAAACTACTAGTATGATTTGATATTTACAGATATTTTTACCATGCACTAGTAATGAATAAACTAATACTTTCAGAATTTAGTGGTTGTTTTACACTTAATGTATGAAGATAACATCGTACCAAATTATGCATTATGCATTGAGGAAAACGAAGTCAACCAATATCCAATAAATTAAAAATGTTTCATATTCCAAAATAATCCAATATGTTACATTTTGAATGTGCAAACTGTCAAAATATTGTCTCAAGGTGTTTCTTTTATCTCAGATTGATTTTACTCATTTTTATGCTCTGAATATTTTGTTTTCAATATACTAAAAAAGGATAGTACACCATTATTTTTCATTTTAATCATGTGTATGCCTATGTCATGAGCTGGATATAAAAGACATTTTAAGAATTACTAGAAGATGTTACAAAAGTAATTTGAACATCATTGAAATTTATTTCTACTTTTGATATCAAAGGCCCAGTTGTAAATATCTCATTTTCGCTTCATATTTATGAGGCAACTGTGGACAAATTTCAGTTCTTCACCCACAATAGTAAAAAGATTTAGATAAAAGATCTCATTTTTCTCCATGGTTATTTGTTCATTAAATTTTTACTAGTTGATTTTACTTTTTAGAGCAGTTTTAGATGTGAAGAAAAATGAAATAGAAAGTACAGAGTTCCCATATACCCCCTGATAGCTCCCGTCATACATAGTTTCTCCTATTATTAACGTTTAGTATTAGTGTAGTACATTTGGTACAATTGATGGGCTAATATTCATGGTAGTTACTAATCAAAATCCATAGTTTATATTAGAATTCACTCTGTGTTGTCAACTCATGGGTTTTGGCAAATGTATGATACATATTCACCATTACAGTATTATACAGAATAGTTTCACTGCCTTAAAAATCCTCTGTACTTCACCTGTTAACCTCTCCTTTCCTTTCATCTCAACCCTTAGAAACCATTGATCTTTTTACTGCCCTCCATAGTTTTATCGTTCCACAACGTCATAAGTTTGGAATTATATAGTATGCAGCCTCTTCAGATTGACTACTTTTTTTTTTTTTTTTTTTTTTTTTGAGACGGAGTTTCACTCTTGTTGCCCAGGCTGGAGTGCAAAGTTGCGGTCTCGGCTCACTGCAACCTCCGCCTCCTGGGTTCAAGTGATTCTCCTGCCTCAGCTTCACAAGTAACTAAGATTACAGGCACTCACCACCACGCCTGGTTTAATTTTTGTATTTTTAGTAGAAATGGGGTTTCACCATTTTGGCCAGGCTGGTCTCAAACTCTTGACCTCAGCTGATCTGCCCACCTTGGCCTCCCAAAATGCTGGGATTGCAGGCATGAGCCATAGCACCCTGCAGATTGACTACTTTCAATTATTAATTTGCTTATATGGTTTCTTAATTTCTTTCAATGGCTTGATAGCTCATTGACATGTATCGCTAAATAATATTTCATTATATAGATATACCACAGTTTGTTTATCCATTATTTGTGTCTTTTACAAAGCATAAACTTTTCATTTTCATGAAGTTCATCTTATAATTTTTCCTTTAATTGATGATACTTTTGGTGTTGTACTTACAAAGTCATCTCCAAACCCAAGATCCTCTATATGTTCCCCTATTTTTTTTCTCTAGGAGTTTTATAGTTTTGCATTTTACTTTTAGGTATATGATTCATTTTGAGTTAATTTTTGTGAAAAGTATAGGGTTTGTGTCTAGATTTATTCTTCTGCATAAGGATATCCAGTTGTTTAACCATCATTTGTTGAAAAGATTATCCTTTTTCTATTGAATTACTTATGCTTTTTTGTCAAAGATCAACTGACTATAATTGCACGGGTCTGTTAATGGACTCTATTCTATTCTGTGGCTCTATTTGCCTATTTTTTCACTAATACCACTCTGACTTGAATACCGTAGCTTTACCGTAAGTCTTGAAGTCTGGTTGTGTTAGTCTTTTCACTGTTCTTAGTTGTCTATTCTAAGTCCTCTGCCATTTCATATAAACTTTAGAATGAGTTTGTGGGATCCAAAAAATAACTTGCTGTGATTTGTTCATTTGATTTTTGGTATGATTAACCCCTTAGATTTTATTCTATTTTTTTAATCTTCAATTTTAAAACTATCACTATACAAAGATCCAAATTATTTTCTCCAATACAGGATTAATCTTAACCTTTAAGCAGTTCATTTTATATATTGAGGCCACAATTTGTTTTGAACATCAATTAAATATACTGCCTAATAATTTATTTTCTATTACCTCCAGCCTAAAATAAAGAATAACATTTTGTCTTTTTTGTTTAATAAATCAGTATTAAAATTGGAACTGGGTTGAGAAGAATTCACAAAGAAACAAACAACAACAAAACATCTTCACAGTAGGAAATAGTAATATGGCAGAGACGGAAGCAGACTCCATCAAAAAATCCTTGAAGTTTTTTTTCTTTGTTTTGTTTTGTTTTGAGACAGAGTCTCATTCTGTCACCAGGCTGGAGTGCAATGGCATGATCTTGGCTCACTGCAACCTCTGCCTCCCAGGTTCAAATGATTCTCCTGCCTCAGCCTCCTGAGTAGCTGGGATTACAGGCGCCTGCCACCAAGCCCAGCTAATTTTTGTATTTTTAGTAGAGAAGGGGTTTCACCATGTTGGCCAGGCTGGTCTCAAACTCTTGACCTCGTGATCTGCCCGTCTCAGCCTCCCAAAGTGCTAGGATTACAGGCGTGAGCCATCGCCTTCGGCCGATCCTTAAAGTTTTTATTATTTATTTGAATTTGATTTATTTTTATAGACACTGATTAATTTATATACAAATTTTAAAGCATGTTATTAATCAGGACATAAAACCCAGACTAGAAAATGAAACTAGAAGCATTCACATTATCATTTCAGTTAATTAGGTACCCATCCACTGTGGTGTCAAGTTAATTATGTGAAGGTCTACAAAAATATTTATGGGGTTGTAAAATGTTGGGAGACTAATAATATATCTAAATTTCTGACATAGTATATATCTTTTAAGACTATAGAAAATATTGACTCAGTATATATATTTTGTGCTTGGGTTTGTATTCAGTCTTAAATCAGTTATTGCAATAAAAGTCACCTTTACAAAAAAAGTTCCAAGTTACTTATTCTAAGCAATGTTTTATACAGCAAACTCTCAATATTTTGTAGCCTTTGGATTGCCTGGGGAGTTCATATGCAGAACATTTTACCTGTATTGGAAATCATATTTAGATCAATGTACTTGTGAAATACATACTTATTGATTTTCTTTTTTTTTAGGTTGACAAAAGTAATAATTTATACTGACTACAAGCTCAGGGCCCTTTCCTTCCATTACCTTATCTTATTCTCCTAACATCCACATGGAGTGGGTGGTACAAATGGTGTTGCACCTGCTTCACCCATGAAGAAATAAAAGAAGAAGAACCATAAATAAATTGCCCAAGTTTAGACTAGCAGTTATCTGAATTAAACCAAAGTAAATGTGATTCCAAGTAGAATGTTTTTTCTGTAACACCATAACCAGAGATGAAGAAAGAATAAAGAAGGGCCGGGCACAGCAGCTCACATCTGTAATCCCAGCACTTTGAAGGCAGAGGTGTGTGGATCATCTGAGGTCAGGAGTTCCAGATCAGCCTGGGCAACATGGTGAAAGCCTGTCTCTACTAAAAATACAAAATTAGCTGGGCATGGTGGCACGAGCCTGTAGTCCCAGCTACTTGGGAGGCTGAGTCAGGAGAATCCCTTGAATCTGGAAAGCAGACAGCTGAGATCACGCCATTGCACTCCAGCCTGGGCAACAAGAGTGAAACTCCATCTCAATAAATGAATAAATAAATAATAAAACTCTGAGCTGGGCACGGTGGCTCATGCCTGTAATCCCAGCACTTTGGAAGGCCAAGGCAGGTGGATTGCTTGAGGTCAGGAGTTGAAGACCAACCTGATCAACACAGTGAAACCCCATCTCTACTAAAAATATATTTTAAAAAATTAGCTGGGCATGGTGACAGGCACCTGTAATCCCAGCTACTCAGGAGGCTGAGGCAGGAGAATCCCTTGAACCCAGGAGGCAGAGGTGCAGATCGTGCCACTGCACTCCAGCCTGGGTAACAGGCAAGACTCTGTCTAAAAAAAAAAAAAAAAAAAAAAAAAAACAGAAAAACTTTGAAGGGAGAAAGTCTTCTGTGGTTTTTGCTTCTCTTTAAAGCAGAGAACTGCTAGCATATATTTGACAATGTGTTTACTATGAATACTCTTAATGTATATATCTATATATACACACTTAAATAGGCTACAAATAACATCAGAATTAATTGATATTCTTCATATGGTTTGGGTCTGTGTCCATGCCCAAATGTCATGTTGAATTATAATATCCGGTGTTGGAGATGGGGCCTCCTAGAAGGTGATTGGATCCTGGGGTGGATTTCTCATGAATGGTTTAGCATCACGACCCTTTGGTGCCATTCTCATGATAGTGAGTGAGTTCTCAGGAGATCTGGTCATTTAAAAGTTTGTAGCACTTCCCACCTCGCTCTCTTTTGCTCCTGCTCCTGCTCTAGCCATGTGAAGTGCCTGCACTCCTTTCACCTTCTGCCATAATTGTAAGTTTCCTGAGGCCTCCCCAGAAGCCAAGGAGATGCCAGCACTATGCTTTCTGTACAGCCTGCGAACTGTGAGCCAATTAAACCTCTTTTCTTTATTAATTCCCCAGTCCTAGATATCTCTTATAGCAATGTGAGATGGTACCAATATAACTCTCCTTACTTCTCTACAGAAGTCCACAGGGGAAAAAATACTTTCCTTCTCTCAGGTGGGTTCAAAAAGATAATATTCTGCATTGGTGGTAACCAGATATACTTTTTTTGTGAATATTTATTAATTCTAGTGACATTCTCAACAGGAGATTTGCTATTGTTGTATGATCAGCTAAGCATTCATGTTCAATATAATGTTGTTGGAAGCCCTCAGGGTACATGCCATTGGAAAAATATCAACCTGGGTTGCAGTGTGTATTAGTCTGTTCTCACACTGCTAATAAAGACATACCTGGGACTGGGTAATTTATAAAGAAAAAGAAGTTTAATGGACTCACAGTTTCACATGGCTGGAGAGGCCTCACAATCATGGCAGAAGGCGAGGAGGAGCAAAGTCATGTCTTATGTGGCAGCAGGCAAGAGAGAATGAGAACCAAGCAAAAGAGGAAAACCCTTGATATGGTTTGGCTGTGTCCCCACCAAAATCTCAACTTGAATTGTACCTCCCAGAATTCCCAGTGTTGTGGGAGGTACCCAGGCGGAGGTAACTGAATCATGGGGACTGGTCTTTCCCATGCTATTCTCATGATAGTGACTAAGTCTCACAAGATCTGATGGGTTTATCAGGAGTTTCGATTTTTGGTTTTTCCTCATTTTCTCTTGCCACCACCATGTAGGTAGTGCCTTTCACCTTCCACGATGACTATGAGACCTCTCCAGCCATGTGGAATTGTAAGTTAAGTTAAACTTCCTTTTCTTCCCAGTCTCGGGTATGTCTTTATCAGCAGCATAAAAACAGAATAATACAGTAAATTGGTACCAGTAGAGTGATGTGTTGCTGAAAAGATACCCGAAAATGTGGAAACGACTTTGGAACTGGATAACAGACTGAGGATGGAACAGCTTGGAGGGCTCAGAAGAAGACAGCAAAATGTGGGAAAGTTTGGAAGCTCCTAGAGATTTGTTGAATGGCTTTGACAGAAATGGTGATAGTGATATGAACAATAAGGGCCAGGCTGAGGTGGTCTCAGATGGAGATGAGGAACTTGCTGGGGACTGGAGCAAAGGTGACTCTTGTTGTGTTTTAGCAAAGAGACAGGTGGCATTTTGCCCCTGCCCTAGAAATTTGTGGAACTTTGAACTTAAGAGCAATGATTTAGGGTACCTGGTGGAAGAAATTTCTAAACAACAAAGCATTCAAGAGGTGACTTTGGTACTGTTAAAGGCACTTAGTTTTACAGGGGAAGCAGAGCACAAAAGTTTGGAACATTTGCAGCCTGACTATGTGATAGAAAAGAAAAACCCATCTTCTGGGGAGAAATTCAAGCCAGCTGCAGAAATTTGCATAAGTAGCAAGGAGCCTAATGTTAATCTCCAAGACCATGGGAAAATGTAACCAGGCCATGTCAGAGACCTTCATGGCAGCCCCTCCCATCACAGGCCTGGAGGCCTAGGAGGAAAAAGTGGTTTTGTGGGCTGGGCCCAGGGTCCCCATGCTGTGTGCAGCCTAGGGATTTGGTGCCCTGTGTCCCAGCTGCTCCAGCCATGGTTGAAAGGGGCCAACATAGAGCTTGGGCTGTGGCTTCAGAGGGTGGAAGCTCCAAGCCTTGGCAGCTTCCAAGTGGTGCTGAGCCTGTGGGTACATAGAAGTCAAGAATTGAGGTTTGGGAACCTCTACCTAGGTTTCAAGATGTATAGAAATGCCTGGATGCCCAGGCAAAAGTTTACTGCAGGAGCAGGGCCCTCATGGAGAACCTCTGCTAGTGCAGTGTGGAAGGGAAATGTGGGGTCAGAGCCCCCACAGAGAATCCCTACTGGAGCACTGCCTAGTGTAGCTGTGAGAAGAGAGCCACTGTCCTTCAGACCCCAGAATGGTAGACCCACCAACAGCTTGCACCAATGCACCTGGAAAAGCCACAGACACTTAATGCCAGCCTATTAAGGCAGCCAGGAGGGAGGCTGTACCATGCAAAACCAAAGGGACGGAGCTGCCCAAGACCATGAGAATCCACCTCTTGCATCAGTGTGACCTGGATGTGAGACCTACAGTCAAAGGAGTTCATTTTGGAGCTTTAAAATTTGACTGCTGTACTGGATTTCAGATTTGCATGGGCCCTGTAACCACTTTGTTTTGGCCAATTTCTCCCATTTGGAATGGCTGAATTTACCCAATACCTGTACCCCCATCGTATCTAGAGAGTAACCAGCTTGCTTTTGATTTTACAGGCTCATAGGTGGAAGAGACTTGCCTTGTCTCGGATGAGACTTTGGACTGTGGACTTTGAGTTCATGCTGAAATGAGTTAAAGACTTTGGGGGACTGTTGCAAAGGCATGATTGGTTTTGAAAAGTGAGGAGATGAGATTTGGAGGGGTTAGAGGTGGAATTATATGGTTTGGCTGTGTCCCTACTAAAACCTCAACTTAAATTATATCTCCCAGAATTCCTACATGTTGTGGGAGGGATCCAGGGGAAGGTAATTGAATCATGGGGGCTAGTCTTTCCCGTGCCAATCTTGCAATAGTGAATAAGTCTTACAAGATCTGATGGGTTTGTCAGGGGTTTCCACTTTTGCTTCTTCCTCATTTTCTCTTGCTGCCACCATGTAAGATGTGCCTTTCACCCTCTGCTATGATTATGAGACCTCCCCAGCCATGTAGAACTGTAAGTCAAATTAAACCTCCTTTTCTTCCCAGTCTCAGGTATGTCTTTATCAGCAGCATAAAAACGGACTAATACACCGCTTATAAAACCATCAAATCTCATGAGACTTATTGACTACTGGGAGAACAGTATGGAGGAAACCACGCTCATGATTCAATTAACTTCCAATCGGGTCCCTCCCACAACACATAGGAATTATGGGAGCTACAATTCAAGATGAGGTTTGGGTGGGGACACAGACAAACCATATCAGAGAAATATGCTGCAATGTCATAGGGATCCTGTAATCATGTTGAGTCAACACCTTTAGTAAAATATTCTCACATTATTAGGGAGATGGCACTATATATACATAAAAGCTTCTGAAAAGCCAAATTGTTGAATTCTTACTTATCTCTTTCATATCAAAGATAGCATTTTATCATGTGCCTAATTTAGAATAATGTGTTGAATCCCTAAATCAGCTTTCCTCTGGAATTAATACCTGAAATCTATTTTTTTTAAGATGCTACATAGTGTTCTATCAGTGCTAGTACCTAACCTGTCAATTCTTATCCAATCAGGTGTATAATAAATTTCTTCTGTATGCCATAGTTCATTAGGGTTCTGCTAGATCATTGTACCTTTTTGCCACTCATATATAAAGGATATTAACATCATACGGCTGAGCATTTGAATGAAAGCAGGATGAACCCCCAATAAACCTGAGCTGATAATGATCAGGAGAGAAGAGATTAGTCCCTTTTTATCTTCTGATAGAACAGAGAGAAAGCACTAGAGACAGCTTTTGATTGGCCTTGCTAACAAATAAGGAGCAGTGGCATCCAAGCAGCAGCAGTCCATGGGCAGCCCTCAATGTTGCCCTTCCACTAACCCAGGCTCACATCCTTCGTGGTTGGTGTGCCTGTTCTGTCAATCCCAGTCCTGGATTATCCCAATCTTGTTTCCTTCCACTTCTGCTCTGGCCCCTAAATGGTATTAGACCAAATGCAGAAATGACTGGTCAAACTTCCACTGGATTCTTTTATACTCCTGTGCAATTATTTCATATATCATCTGCTAATTTCACACCGTAGTGATTTCCCAGAACAACTGCTTCCTTGAGTCTCTGGTCTTACTCTCATTTTAGTCCTCTGTCTGAGCTAATGCCTTTAAAATCCATCTGGAGAAAACTTCCAAGTTTCTCTCACTTCTATCCATCATAATTTTGTTTCTATATTTACCTTTCCCTTTGGACTGAGAAAGATTCCTCATGTTGTTTAAAGCTACCTCACTTGTAATAAACACTGATTTATTCCTCTCTCCCTTCTTAGATAACTTGTTTTCTCATCACTCCTTCCGTTTTAATTAGTAAAGTTCCTTTCTCTTTGGCATGCAGAGGTCTCTCCTAACTTAATAACAACAATGAAACCCCTCACTTAATTTACTTGTCTTTTCTATTTAACTATCTTATTTTATTATAAAATGCCTGAAATAGCTACATGGTAGAGCTTATTGGGCCTGGACCATAGATCTAAAATCTGAAAAGCCTAAGTTTAAGAATTTATATCATTAATGTAATTATGTTTGCAAATAGTTTTTGAGAAGGAAGAAGAAAATGTTTATATGTGTAAATATAAACACATACACATTTATACACATATCTTCATACATGTATATGTGTAAACATATACAAGTGTAAACACATGCACATTTATACACATATAAACATTTTCTTCTTCCTTCTCCTCTTCTTAATCTTTGTTCTTCTTCCTAATCTCCCTTGTTCATAAGAAGTGATGTATAAATGCTCATTAATCCATTAATTGGCATCAAAATACTATAAAACTTTTTCTCAATTGGACAGTGTGGCTGCTAGTTAGAAGAAAATGACTCTCAGAGGAGCAAACTCCACTCCTACGCTAGCCAGATGGTATGGCAATGAGGTGATGGGTTCCTTTTCTCCTGGGTGGAAGAAAGGACTGCACGTATGAACATGATGCAAAGCAAATAATCTAGAGGTGACTGAAGCATGACATCACAGTGAGCCTATAAAGCCACATATACAGTTTGCTCAATGGGACAAAGTCTTTATTAATACAATTATAATTTAATAAATATAACATTGTTTTATTACTCTTTTGATTATCATTTACTGATGGTATCTGGAACACGGAATTTGACATATGAACACTCAATATACATATGACAAAGACAAAAGTACAAGGAAGAAAATGAAGAAATAACACCGGCATGATGCCAATGATATGGGAATTTATTATCAGAGTCAATAAGTCAATTCTCTTTATCTTTAGGACCTGAACTTGGACAATATTCAGGTTCATAGATAGATGCAACATTTACTATGTTATTCAAAGTGGGAAATTTTATGAGCAAAAGTAGCAAAAGATTTAAACAAAAACTGTGTTATAAAAATTGTCACTCAACTTAGAGCATTAGTGCTAACTGTGCAGGCACTAAGAACATAGGAGCCTGTTGATATTTTTCTCATCTTTTACTGCAGATTTAAAAGTAAAATATTCAAACATTCAAATAACAACAATAAGTAAGTTCCAATATTTACTAGTCAGTTTCTAGCATGTAGTAAACCATAGAGACCCTACTAGCTGAATAACTTGGAATGGACTACTTTCCTGCTCTACCAACAAGGGCCTTGTTAGTGTGGCTATTCACAAAGATGGGGAATATATTTTTCTTTTCAATTTATATTTTTAAATATGCACATATGCCAGACACTGAGCTATATCCTAGAGATATACTCAATAAGGCAGAATCTGCCCTTGAAGATTTACAGTGGTGCAGAATATGAGACAGGCTATTCTTCAGTTTCAGTCTTATGCACTAATATATACATATACATTTTAAAAATTATCTCATTTAAATTATTCATCACATCATTTCCCTCCATTGGTGCAGAAAATTAATCAAAGAGATTGAGGAAGAGAGAAACAGATTTAAAGCCAGATTTTATTAGATACAACTTAAAAATTATTAAAATATTGATTTACTCATCATTAAAAATATCTCTTTCCAGGAAATCCAAAGTCTTGCACTGTAACAAAGGAATTGCCTCATCTGTCAGTCAATTACACTCAACTCATTGAGAACATATGCCAATCATATCCCCATGCATAACAATCAATCAATCAACTAAAAAGTAACTGTACAGTGCATACAATGTAGGCAAAATGCCAAAACTCTCTTTTTTTATTGGCATTATTGGAGGTATTTGAATTTTTAAATGGAAAGTTACCAGTATGTAACCCTTTTTGGAATGTTAGCTGTCAGCCATCATGAAACAAATACAGCACAAGAGCTAGAAAGACCACACTGTTATCATAATCTCCATTAAAAGCAAAATGATAGTTCCTTCAGCATTGAATCATTACCTTATATGGCTTACAGTCAGTAAACTCTACTCACCAATATAATATTTCATGTATCTCCAGGCTTTTGTTGAAAGCCTTGCAACTGCGATGTCCTATCCATCTTACCCTGAAAATGTTAATTATGAAATTAGAGCTTACAAAGCTATGCCTGCCAGTAGAGTCATGTGATATCATGATGTCACATACCAGTAACTGAGCTTTGGTGTTTATGACTCATACAAGTAATCCATAATAAATCAGGCAGGCAGGGCTATTTGTGAGTCATTTAGCTATAAGATTTCCTTCTTGCTTGCTGAATGTTCCTGAAGAATTTGCATCTCATATATGTTGTACATGGTTCACATTAATAAATTCATTGATTTAAAAATCTATGTTGCTAAGCAAAACCTTATATCAATCAGTGGTTGATTGAACTTGAGGACTGAGTTCCTTTTTTCCTTTTAAATATATGCAATAAAGGAAAGCAATAATATTAGTCCCAGAAAAATTTGTAGTCTTTCCTTAAAATTTGTGAATAACAACAGAAGTAAACCTGAATTATAAGAAGACATAAATTTTAATCTGAATTAGAATGTATCAATCATGTTCTAGAAACATATTATTCTGGAAGATGAGATAAATGGATCACTACAGGAATGTGTAATAGCCAACTTAATACTTGGCAATGTTACTTCATTCAAACATTCCATTGACCTCATACACAATACATGATTTTTCTTTAAGTACAGACTGCTCACCTAGATTTACCAACAGATTTAGATCTATTATTTATTCAAAGAAAACACAACGACCACAAAGATTACATGAAATTATTTTAATTCTACTGTTCTCTGTGATCTTTCTGTAAGACTAAACAATAAGTCAATAAAATTTGTCTGTGGTAAAACAAGGTTAATAATATGGCACTGCCTAATAGAAATGCTTGAGAATTAGCTAACTACTTGCCTTAAAGTACACATAATATTTTAAATAAAAAGACTATGACCTTAATGTAGTTTAGAAACCACAGGAAAAGTACTAGCTACATATATTTATACATAATTATTAAGATCATTATCTTCTATTCTGTCTTACTTGACAAGGGATTGAAGAAGGAAAATTCAATTCCACTATGCAATTTTTGTGATATTAGATTGGCAAAATTCTAACACTCAAGACAACTCTGTCCTTGGTGCTTCACTAGTGCCTCCTTCCTCAATCTTCAGCACTGCTGAGATATGCTTTTTCCTTTCTCCACTTACTTTCAAAAGCCAAGAGTCTGAGTCATTGCAGCAGGACTCGTGGTAAGGGCTGAATATGTATTGTGATTTTAGGGGGTTGAAAAGTCCTGCTGTCAGAATTCTGTACCTTTACAGTGCCATAAATGCTAGCATCCAGGTCACCTCTGTGAATCAAACCCTCTCTCTAATTGGCTTCTAGTAAAATGCATGCAAGTTGATATGGTGAAGATGAGGCGCCTGGAGAAAAAGTACTCATTAGCACACACCTCGACCACACCTTTGAAAAAAGAGCAGAAGCTTGAGTGCACATAATACAGAAGAACTACAATTGGATGACCTGTGCTTGGAGTGCCACTTAGGGAAGGCAAGACAGATAAGGCAAAAATGAGGTTGGCTATTGGCATGATAGGGAGGAACTAAACCATTCAGATAAGGCCCTGGAAAGAGAACTGCCTAGGAAGTTGACTGGAGAATTGTGGCCAACTCGTATACCACACGTCTAAATCAAGTTCTCACTTCTAAAGGGTGTAAAGCTCACCCAGGAATCTCTTAATTAGAATGCATGTAATTGAATTCCAACAAAGAAAGGGTGTTGCCATTTGAATAGGAATCAGTGTAAACTGACTTAGGTAGCAAATGTCACAGCATTTTTAGGATTCTTTCAGGCATTTATAATACTCTTGAGTTTTACATAGTTAAACTTAATATATAAATATGAAGATGAAACTAATTTGCTCTAAATTATTATTTTATAAGTTAAAAGTAAACTACATCAAACACAGCAAAATAATAATAGAAGTGGATGAATTCAGGACAAAGCAGGTCAAAAGAGATAAGGTGACCTAGTACTACAGAGTCAAGCAGACCAGGAATTGAATCCTAGTAACTCATCCTACTTGAAGTCTTAGTTTACTAACCTGTAAAATAGGTAAAATAAGATCTACCCATTAGGGTTATACATGAATTGACTAGCAAAGTGCTCAGTGAAATAGTAACCATCATTAGACAATTATTATTATTGTTGTTGCTACTACTGTAACCAGTATATACAATAAGGGCAAGACGTTTTCAAAGAAAGTATACAATTCTGTGAACTTTGGCACTCCGACACAGTTTTGAGGAAGAGACTGGGGTTGTGCTGTTGTTTGAATTTTGAGTAGATTATATGCGAAGAGAGGATTCTGTTAGTGGGAGGAGGTTTCATTTCATGAAAGAGGAAATGGTATAGTAGTTGAGCAGGCAGAAATAGCTCTGACTTTTTTTTTTTTTTTTTTTTTTTGAAACAGAGTCTCTCTCTGTTACCCAGGCTGGAGTGCAGTGGCATGATCTCAGCTCACTGCAAACTCCGCCTCCCGGGTTCAAGCAATTTCTGGCTAACTTTTGTATTTTTAGTAGAGGTGGGGTTTCACCATGTTGGCCAGGCTGGTCTTGAACTCCTGATCTCAAGTGATCCGTCTGCCTTGGCCTCCCAAAGTGCTGGGATTACAGGCACGAGCCACCGTGCCTGGCCTCTCTGACATGATTTAAAGAGATAGTGAGTAGACTGATTTAATAAGAAAACAATTTTAAGTAGGCATGGGTAATATGGGAGAAAGGGTAAGTTGGGGCCTGATTTTAAATGATTCTGATTATCTATAAATGATCCTGAATATCTGCCAGCCCTTAGGCTTTTTTCTATGGACAATTGATAATGGCTTGGGTTATGATTAATAGGCCAGAGTGAGATGCTTGGTCATAGTCTGTTGGGCTATTCTCAATGCTGACATTTTAAATGGGTTATCAAAGACCTAGCCTACATAAGTAGCCAAAGAGTTACTCCAGAGCCAGAGAATTGAGAGTTCCATTCTATTCTTCACTGCGCAGATCACACTGGAAGCAGGGGACATGTTCACAAACGATTAAACATGATAATTAGAAAACTAGAAACTTTGTCATCAAAAGGTCTGTGGAAAGGGCTGGGTGTTGTCAAACAAAAAGCTTATAGGCACTTTTTGATATCTGACAGAAAGGTTTTATTTCTGCCTATGAGCATAGGACAAATTGCAAAAGAATTCACTTTTCAGAATAACTGGTGTTCCAAAATAAAAAGAGGAGTTATTTATACTCTATTACATAGCATAAATATTGTATCTTGTGTTTTCTGTAGCTAATAGTATATTATATTCTAGTAATTCTACTCTGTATTTATATTTCAAATAATTATTTAAAGTAAAAAATGTTAATTGGATAACATTTCAGTCATTTTGATATAGACCAGGCATTTCTGTGCTTGATAATAAGAGAAAGGAATTTTCTGGTATGTAGCATGATTCAAAGCTATCTGAGTCTGTTTGTAAACTGTGTCTTTAAGGAATGTAAGACATTTAGAAATACAAATCCTTCTGAGCTATGGAATGTGACAGGCTCAATGTCCAACCAGGGATGGGCTAAGCTAATAGCAAAACATCGATGTTTTCTTTTTTTTCAAATTCTATATGTTTAGCTTGGGAAGTGAATATTTAGGAAGGCCATGTTTAGCAAATGTTCAAGTAATTAACAGGCTGTCATGTGGAAAAGGATAGACTTATCCTTTGTAGTGTCACAGAGTAGAACTAGTTCTGTGGGTAAAAGACACAAAAAGACCAATTTTAGCTTTGCATAAAAAAATTGTATAAAATTGGCTGAAAATAGCTTAGCTTGCTTCGTGAAGATGGGAATATTAATGCCAAATGTGGGTGATCAGTAATTTGTGAAGCAGGAAGGAGCTATCAATTAACTAATTCAGTAATTTTCATTCTGCTTGCATATTAGCATTACCAGAAAGGTTTTTGTAAAGCTACACTGACACCAGGGTCCCACCTCAGATCAATTCAGCAGAACCCCTGGTGTAAAGTCTATTGATATTGATGGCTTTATTAAGCAGCAGGGGTGTGAATCGAGACATTAGCTAAGGTAAGTCTATATGGTCCTACAGCATCCACCCTGTCTGTGCCATGAAGAAAGAGAGTATCACACAGAATCACTATTAGAAAAGTCAATCATAAAATGCTATGCAGAATGGATTGGGGGTAATCATGTTCATAGGCAACAAAAACAAGGTATGCTGTGAATCCAGCTGCCAGATGCTGGAGACTGCTACAAAGAATATGCATTGCTTTTATAATACAAAAAATAAGTTATTTTAAATTAGCAGTAAATGATAAGAAAAATAAATGAAAATTTGAGACTATTCCAGACTTATCTTCAGTCCCACCTTTGCTCCCACCTCTACCCTTATTCCTATCACATGCACTTATATTCTGGCCACAATCGGTTTCTCAAGATTCTGCAAATATTTTAAATAGTTTCACGCTCCTCTAATTTCAGTTATTGAAATCAATCTCCTAAGTTGTTACTTGGGAGGTTACTAAGAGTAAGCAAAGTTACTCTTAGGAGGTTTACTCTAGAGAGAGTTAAACTCTCAAGGATGGCTTTATGTATTGGGTCAACCAGTTCACTTAGTAAACATAAGTGCTTCATATACTAATTAGATAACAATCTGAAAATGAAGACCTGGCATTGTTGATCTGGTAACTCAGGATTTGTTTCTCTTTCTGGGCATACAAGATTAAATATATTTTTGGAAAAACAAACTTTATTTCCATCTATTCTCCTACACAACATTTATACTATTACAACATTATATCACTCATTATTCTTAAACAGCTCCCTAGGTTTTTGTATATTCACTCCATTCCCTATCAAATATCTGCTCCATTTCTGCATGCCAAAAACTATAAATTTAGTCATAGCATTATTTATTATATTAAAACATTAAAAACAACATAGAAGTCAATCACAGAGACTATTATAGTCCACTCTTTGTTCTCCACTTTGTACCTGAGACTAGAACTCATCATTTTTACCTGTGTCTTGATTACTTGATATAAAGTCCACTTTTATCAATTCTCTTATAGCTAGTCATGGCTATGTGACTAAGTTCTACTCTTTGGATATAAATAAAATGGTGTGTGCAACTCGTGAAAATGCCCTTCCCCATATTTACTTGACTCCAACCTCCTGAACCATGAGAAAGAGATAGCCTGGGCCTGGGATTCTACATTATGTGGTATCATACCAGCCCAGAGCTTCTTTTATTCATGTAAGAAATAAACTTTTGCCTTGTTTAATCCACTCAGTTTTGTTTTTCTCCCACTTGCAGCCCAAGTTGAAACTAAAAACATACAGCTTTCTACTTGAGGGAACAGGTTAAAAAAATTATTCAGACATTAAAAAGAAGTATCCAAATAGAAATATAATCACAATCTATTGAGTGTAAATACCAGATTACAAAATAACATTTACAGTATAATCTCATTATTATAAAAACATCTGAAAGCATAGAAAACACTGTATTAGCTATTGACAAAATTGTCCTTCATAACAAACCACCCCAAAACTCAGTGGATTAAAACAGTGATTTATTCTTGATCACATGCTGTTGGTTGTTTGATGATTATTGGCTAATCTAGGCTAGACTTTTTTGAAATTGGCTTCAAGGTGTTGACAGGATTCAGGCCTTCTTTGTAAGTCTGTATCCTTTTTGGATTAGGAAGTAGCTTATTTTTTTCATGGCAGAAATGTAAGAAAGCAGTCACATTTCAAGCCACTGCTTGTGTCACGTCTGCTAATATCACACTGACCAAAGCAAGTCACATGGATAATTCAGAAATCAAGACACAGGAAAGAATACACAACCTTTAGTTGGAGGGAATGCATGTCACCTAACAAATACCATAGATATATGGGAGGGATAAAAAATTGGAATCAGTAATTCAATCCTCCACAAACAAAACATTGATATTGACCTCAGGCTTATAGATGATTTTATTTCCTTCTATTTGAAGCTTATTTTGTCTAATTTATGAGAAATAAATAGGTTTATTTATAGAATAAGTTCATAAAATTAAGTTTTAAAACATAATACCCATGCTTCAAGGCTCATCTCAATGCTACTTTCTTTTTATAGCCTTTTTAGAGACTCCAACAAGTGCTAACTAACATTTTTCTCCTCTGAACTACGATTTATTTCTACTTATATCCTATATATAGAACTTGTCAGATATTTTTTGAAATATTATTGGTATTTACTTCCCATTGGACTGTAGGGAAGAGATTATGCCTTGTTTAGAAATAGATCTAGCCTGGGCGTGGTGGTTCATGCCTGTAATTGTAGTACTTTGGGAGGCTGAGGCGAGCAGATCACCTGAGGTCAGGAGTTTGAGACAAGCCTGGCCAAAATAGCAAAACACCATCTCTACTACAAATACAAAAACTAGCCAGGCGTGGTGGTGCACGCCTGTAATCCCAGCTGCTCGGGAGGCTGAGGCAGGAGAATCACTTGAACCAGGGAGGCGGAGGTTGCAGTGAGCAGAGATCATGCCACTGCACTCTGGCCTGGGTGACAGAGTGAGACTCCATCCCCCCCCTCAAAAAAAAAGAAGAAGAAGAAAATAATAAAAAAAAGAAATAGATCTACTTAGACCAAATTTTTCACATAGAAGTTACTGAAAAAATATTTTTGAAAATGAATGAATTGGTAAAGTATAATCAAATTTTTTAAATACGACACTTTGTATAGGAAAAATATTTACAAATTATTCACAAAACAGATATTGACAGGTCATACACAAAAATATGGAGCCCATGCAAAAATAGTATTCATTAGGAAAGATTCTCATGAGAAATGCTGTTTACCTGATTTGCCCACTCTGATCACCTGAATCTTGACTCTTGCAAACAGACAGGGATACATCCATTTTTGAATAGCCAATTTTTTTACCTTAGGGCATTATGAATACCACAAAAAAGTTAAATGCAAATGACTGTGTGGAATATGAGCCATCCTCTGGGAACTCTCATGAATAACTTGAAGAAACTTAAATGGTGGGATTGAGATTCTGCTCTTATAAAGGTGGGGAATATATTTTGCATGCAATATTAATATGCCCTTATTCATTTCCATTGGCAGGTAAGGAAAGGCTTACATACATACAGTCAAATCTACTGGATATAGAGTGGGTTGTTATCAATCTCTAGGGCTTTCTTATTTTTGACTTTGGGAAAAGCCTCATTTAAGGGAATAGCTATATCAGGTCCAATTCTCTCTTCCAGATGTCTCCTGTAATTCTTCCTTTATGCCGCTTGGTCTATGCAAGGTATATCAGATCTTTCTTTCACACTCTGCTGTTTACATTTTAATGGACTTTTGAAAAGTACTACTACTCATTAACAGGTTTCCTCAGAAGTCTTATCTCTCCAAAGTGGTCTGATAGATGCTGGGCATGACCATGAGTGCCATAGCTCTCTATATCTCTGAGAGGAGGACTCTTGACTTGTGTTCTACGATGTGAGATAAGGAAGACGCAGTGTGAAAGAAAGTTTAATAATCTCTTTTTGGCTGGCTGATTCCCGTCCTGGTGGAAGTGATACCTGAGAATTTGAAAACAAATGTGCAACTATACAAAACCAAGAGGCCACAGACACTATATCAGACTATTAAAACACAATGATTTATTGTGAATTAAACACAGCAAGCTCATCTTGGTTGACCAAGATGGGTCAAACCATCGAGATTGGTTTTACTTCTCGTTGCTATGGGCCCTTTAAGAAGTAAGAGTTATTCTCCTCCAGCTTCTCAAAGGGGCAGCTGGTTTGTATTTGTAAAGCATAAATTTTCCTTCTTTGGATAAGAATGTCCTGGGAAAAAGAAAATAGTCTTTATATGTTTTAGCCCTGAAAAGAAGTTGCAAGCATAAATGCAAACCCTGATGGGAGCTCTTTAATCTTTGGGGCAAGCAATGTATCTGGAAAGAAAAAGTGATGGCAGCTTTAAATTTGGAGTTGAGTTGTGTATGTGGGGAAGGGCATAGGAAGAGGAGACTCCCAGGGACATGGGAGTTCTGTGAGGGGTAAAGGGGCCCGAGAGAGCTAACTTTCAACATCTTTCTTAGGAGTCAAGATCTCAAAGAAAAGAAAGCAAGCAAGCAAGAAAGAAAGAAAGAAAGAAAGAAAGAAAGAAAGAAAGAAAGAAAGAAAGAAAGAAAAGAAAGAGCACAACTTCCTAGGTGCCTGTGAGCACTAGGGGCCCTAAGAAAACAGTACAGCCTGGGAGCCCAAGCAATGGGCCCTCAAGATAGAACCTGGGCCTAAGGGATAAGAAGCACAAGCAGAGTTGCCCAATTGAATAAGTTCCACTGGTTTTGGTAGGAAACTGGGAAAAACTCCCCATTAGATGCAACTTTAGTGTTGAAAAGAGACAAGAGCTTAGAGCCTCTCAAGATATTCTGTATCCACTAAAAACTAAGGTTGCTATGGAAACCATGAACATTTTTTTTCTAAACCAAATAAATACATAAGTCTACATGACTGTCCAAATGCAAGGATAGAAAAGGAGTTTCCAGAAAAGCATTTATAGAGATAGCTCTGTCTGCATAAACTTGAATTGGGCAATCTAAAACCCCATGACATCATTTTTTTTTAAACTGTGGTCAGAACCCTTATCATGAGATCTACCTTCTTAACAAAATTTTAAATATACAATATTTTAAACTATAGGCACAATGTTGTAGAGCAGATCTCTAGAACTTTCCCATCTTACATAACTGAAACATTAGACTTGTTGGATAATAGCCCATTTTCTTCTTCCCTCACTTCCTGGGAACCACCATTCTCCCTGCTTCTATGTATTTGAATATTTTATATACCTCATATAAGTGGTATCATGCCATATTTGTTCTTTTGTGACTGACTTATATCACTTAGCTTGATGTCCTCCTGGTCATTCATGTGGTCGCATATGGCAGGATTTCCTTTTTTTTTTTTTTTCTTTTTTTTTTTTGAGTTGGGGTCTCACTCTGTTACCCAGGCTGGAGTGCATAGTGCAATCTCAGCTCACTGCAGCCTCCTCCCCTCGGGTTCAAACGATTCTCATGCCTCAGCCTCCCCAGTAGCTGGGATTACACGTGGGCACCACCACAGCTGGCTAATTTTTGTATTTTTAGTAGAGATGGGGTTTCACCATTTTGGCCAGGCTGGTCTCGATCTCAGATGATCCACCCACCTCAGCCTCCTGAAGTGTTGGGATTACAGGCATGAGCCACCGTGCCCAGCAGGATTTCCTTTTTTAAGGCTGAGTAACATTCTATTGTATGTCTGTGTCATACTTTATTTATTTATCCATCAATGAACATTTAAATTGTTTCCACATCTTATCTATTGTGAATAATGCTACAATAAACATGGGAGTGCAAATATCTCTTTGAGATCTTGATTTCACTTCTTTTTGATAAATAGCTAGAATGGGATTACTGGATTATATGATATTTTTACTTTTAATTTTTTGAGGAACCTCTGTAGCAACTGTACTATTTTTCATTCCCACAGATAGTGGAAACAGGTTCCAATTTCTGCATGCCTCTCCAACAGTCATTACCATTTTTTTTTTACCATAGCTATCCTACAGGTATGAAGTGATATTTTGTTGTGATTAAGATTTCCATTTTTATAATAATTAGTAATTTTTAGCATCTTTTCATACACCTATTGGCCATTTGTATGTCTTCTCTGGAGAAATGTCTATTCAAGTCCTTTGCCCATTGTCTTAATCAGGTTATTTGCATTTGTGGGTGTGTGTGAGAGAGTCTGTGTGTTTTGTTTTTGTTTTTTGTTTTTATTTTTGTTCTGCTATTAAGTTGAAGGAATTTCTTATTTATTTTGAATATTAACCCCTTATCAGATATGCAGTTTGCAAGTATTTTCTCCCATTCCATAGACTGCCTCTTCATGTGGTTGATTCGTTCCTTTGTTGTGCAGAAGCTTTTTAGTTTGATGTAGTCGTACTTGTTCCTTTTTTTCTGTTGCTTGTGCTTTTGATGTCATATCCAAAAAAGTATTTCCAAAACCAATCTCATGAAGTGTTTCCCCTATGTTTATTTCTAGTAGTTTTACAGCTTCACATTTTCTGACTAAGCCTTTAATCCATTTCCAGTTGATTTTTAAAAGATAGGGGTTCAATTTTATTATTTTGCAATTGGGTGGCCAGTTTTCTTAATACCATTTGTTGAAGATACCAGCCTTTCCCCATGTGTATTCTTGGCACCTTTGTTGAAGATCAATTGATCTTCATGTATAAGTGTATTTCTAGGCTGTCTATTCTGTTCAATTGGTCTATATGTCTATCTTTATGCCTGTACTATATTATTTTAATTACTGTAACTTTAAAATATTTTGAAGTTATAAATAATAATACCTGCAACTTTGTTCTTTTTTCTCAATATTGATTTGGCTATTTGTAGTCTTTCTGGTTCCCTATGAATCTTAGGATTCCTTTTTTTTCCTATCTCTGTAAAACAAATTCCATTGGAATTTTAATAGGATTACACTGAATCTGTAAACCACTTTGGGTAGTACAGATATTCTAACAATATATTAAGTCTTCTAATCCATGAACATGGGATGACTTTCCATTTATTTCTTTGTACTATAATTTTATCCATCAATATTTTCTAGTTTTCAGTGTAGAAGTTTCTCACCTTCTTAGTTTATTTCTATTTTTCTTCTTGATGCTATTGTAAATAATTTTTTAAAAAAAATTTATTCTCAGATAATTTGTTCTTAGTGTATGGAATTACAACTGATTTTTTTGTATGTTGATTTGTATCCTTCAATTTTATTGAATTTGTTTATTAGTTTGAATATTTTGTGTTTGTGTGTGTGTGTGGAGTCTTTGTGATTTTCTACATATAAGATCCTGTCACTTGCAAACAGAGATAATTTTACTTATTCTTTTCTGATTTGGATGCCTCTTAACTTTTTTTTTTTTTTTTGCCTAATTTACCAAACTGAATTCAATAGCACATTAAAGGGAGCATACACTAAGTCCTAGTGGCATTTGTTCCTGGAATGCAAAGATGGTTCAACATCTACAAATCAATTAGTGTGACATAACACATTAACAGAATGAAGGATATAAATGACATGATCATCTCAACACATGAAGAGAAGGCATTTGACAAAACTCAACACCATTTCATGACAAGACTCAACAAATTAGAAAAATAGAAGAAAATAAACTTAACATAATAAAGGCCATATAAAAATGTCCAAATAAAAAGGCCATATATTAAAAGTCCACATAAAAGGCCATATATAATAAATTTCATCATTGTCAATATGAAAAACAGAGCTTTATCCTCTATGATGAAGAACAAGGCAAGGGTGCCCACTCTTGCCACTTCTATTTAACATTAATACTGGAGGTCTTAGCCAGAACAACTAGACAAGAAAAAGAAATAAAATTGAAATTGCTTTTGTATTCTGAGTATGCTATGGTGGAGCAAATGACAACTACTACACTAACAATATTGCCATATCATTAATAATTTAGAATATTTCTATTTAATTTTCTTGCCCAATAATGGATGAAGCTTTATTTAAAATATAGTGCCCAGTGAGTTTGATATATAAAACAGATAATTAAATTGTGGTACAGAATTTTTAGCTATTCAGTTTGAAAATAAATATTACACTATTGGTTTTCTTAAACGCATTGGAATAACATCCCTGATATTTTAGTTTTACAGGTTAGAAGTATATTAATCAAGGTCAGGTTGTATGAAAGATATTCTTATAATAATAAATTAACTTCTAATTCTCTTATATGAAAATATTCTCAAGTGATTGGCAATAGGACAGGTGTACAGGTAGAAAATGTATGTGCCTGACTGCATAAGTTTTTAGATTATGATTTTTCATGTTTTATTAGTCTGAAATTTTTATTATATTATTCCATTTATTATTCCTGATATTGTATAATAGTTATAACAGTTATATTTCCCCCTACACTCCCATCAGAGATACTGAGATGCTTCTTAATTGAATATATATATGTATATATACATATATACATAGAGAGAGAGAGACAGAGAGAGAGAGAGAAAGAGAGAAATTAAACATTGGTCTCTCTGTGCTGTTAAGTATTTGTACCACATGTCTGTCTGAGATAAGACCCTATTGACTTAATCGGCAATTTGGCCTAGGAGCAGCTTTATGCAATAGCTAAAAGTCTCTTACATTAATTACGAGAAGTATTTAGATGGAGGTTTAATTGCTGTACATAATCCATGCATTGTCTATTGTGAGAGCTTTCCATGATTTAGTGAAGCTAACGTGACTAATGACATAAATATTAAAAGCTCTTCTTTCTTTGTAATATGCTTAGGTCTGAGAACAAGAAGCCTGGAAATGTTCCAGAGATAAGTAAGGCTCTCTACATCATGCTGAACACAGGCTAGACCCTCTTGAACATTTCCTATGAGTTTTAAGGCTTAGGAATATTATTGATTCTGTTAGTAATACCTCGTGGTATAAAAATGGAGTTAAAATGCTGCTAAGCAGATAGACAAAAGTACAACAAACAGAGCCCTGAGAGCCTGCTATGACCATGGTTGGTTTTTGGCTTTTTCTAATCTAGTAAATTCCTTCTGTCTTTCTTGCCCCCTTGTAAAATTGAGATAATAATGCTCACTCATGTTTATAGACTGTGGTTTGGGATGCTCAGATGAAATATGTTATTAGATTTATAGAACATTTTACAGATATAATCTAATTAACCAGACATAATCTGGCTTACAGACATCATCTAAATAACTGCACTTCTTGAACTAAATTATCTCTAATTATTTTTAAGTGAATATAGAATCTAAGAAATAATGAGATTAAGTGATGTGCTCAAAGTAATATTGTAAATTAGGGACAGTGCTAGAAATATAGCCTAATGTTTATAAAACTTATTGGTATAGATCTGAATAATGTCAAAGAAACTCACTGGCTATTTATTTTAGGTAAGATTTTCCTGACTGGCTTGGTAAGTTTCAATAAGAAAGCTACTATAATGTAATAAAGAATCATCTTTTAAAACATTTTTTCTCCTGAAGTTCTTTATATTTTATACTCATGGACATTATAGTCATGCCAATCTGTGAAAATTCTAGAGATAGCATGAGCTAATGATCTTAGAATGAAGTTAAAATGAAAATGCTACAAGAGCTAATTGGAGCAATTAGTATAATGTAAATTCCTTTGGTGAGGAATATTATGAATCTGATAAATCCTTAGTCAAAACATTTGTTCTCCATCATTTTAATCTCCTGAACTTTCTGAGGATCCAAAACTACTTCTTAAACTTTACTCTGTACATATTTTGTGATATCTCTTGTAACTATTATGTCCATTTTCTATTGCTGCTATAACGAATTACCACAAATTTAGTGACTTAAAACAACACGAACTTATTATCTTACAGTGCTGGAGCTCAGGAGTCAAAAACGTGTTCCATGGGCTAAACTAACATCAAGGTGCCAGCAGAGCTGTGTTTCTTTTGAAAGCTCTAAGGAAGAATTAGTTTCCTTGCTTTTTTCAGCTTCTAGAGTCTGCCCACATTCCTTTGGCTCATGGTCCCCTTATGTCTTCAAATCCAGCAATGGCCCATCTAGTCTTTCTCACACTGTCATAGCTCTGCTTCTCCTTCTTTGGCTTCTCTGTTAGATTAGTCCTTCTGATTTTATTGCACCCCACCCCCAATAATCCAGGGTAAACTCCCCATCAAGAAGTCAGATGATTAGCAATCTTAATTCCATCTGCTGCTTTATTACTTCTTTGCCATGTAAGGTAACATATTCTCAGGTTCTGGGGATTTAGACGTGGACACCCTAGGACGGCCATTATTCCACTGACTACAGATGCAAAGAAGTAAAGCCTCTGAAATTAAAAGCAGTCTCATGAAAATATGTTGCCAACATAACGTTGTTAATCTCAAAAGTTGTAACCTACTTTACTAGGTTTAAATACTATTTTAATTCTTTAATTAGACATTTTTTTCAAAACGCAAAGCTTTTAAATCTTAATATTTTTCTTTTTTAAAAAAATTATTTTTATTTATTTATTTACTTATTTATTTTGGAAACAGGGTCTGGCTCTGTCCCCGAGGCTGGAATACAGTGGAATGATCTTCGCTCACAGCAGCCTCTGCCTCCCAGGCTCAAGCTATCCTCCTACCTCAGCCTTCTGAGTAGGTGGGACCAGAGGCACATGCCACCATGCCAGGTTAATTTTTTAAAATATCTTTTTGTAGAGATGGGGTCTCACTCTGTTGCCCAGGCTGTTCTCAAACTCCTGAGGTCAAGCAATCCACTCTCCTCAGCCTCCCAAAGTGCTGGGATTACAAGTGTGAACGACTGTGCCCAGCTTTAAATTTTTTTCTCATAATTAATGAAGATCAAAATATTCTTGGCTGATAACTATTTGAAAACATACATTAAATTATGTAATTACACATGACCAGTAACAATATTATTCAATCAGCCCAAACACATGGAATTTTTTTTTTTTTTAGACAGGGTCTTTCTCTGTTGCCCAGGCTGGAGTGTGGTGGCATGATCTCGGCTCACTGCAACCTCTATCTCCCAGGCTCAAACAATTCTCCTTCCTCAGTCTCCCAAGTAGCTGGGATTACAGGTGCCCACCACCATGCCCAACTAATTATTTCTGTATTTTTAGTAGAGATGGGTTTTCACCCTGTTGGCCAGGCCGGTCTTGAACTCCTGACCTCAGGTGATCCGCCTGCCTGGACCTCCCAAAGTGCTGAGATTATAGGCATGAGCCACTGTGCCCAGCCCCTTGAGAGTTTTTTCTTTTTCAAAATAATAAACCTCGGCATGAAAGTCACTGAAATAAGTATATTTTCAAAAGAATTTGCCAAATGTTTCTTTTAAATATATGGATTATTTTTCAACTTCCTTATTATTAAGAACACCACTATTCTTCTAGTCACTCAGCATTATAATTTATATACTTTTATTCATCTAGATATCAAATTCTATTATTCTTTTGAAAGAATATTCTAACTGTTGCCTACTAAAAATCCTGATTAATTCATATGAATATTACTATGAGAATATATTTTAAGGATTAGTCTACATTGATTTGTTTATTTAAAAGTTAATGGAGAAATATCAACTCACATTTATTGAACAACTTACTATGTCCTAAGCAGCATTGCAAACACTTTAAAATGTAAAATTTAATTAATTCTTACCTTGACACTCTGTGTTAGGTATTATTAACCTAGTTTCACAGATGAGAAAATGAGAATGGAGAAGTTAAATAATTTGCCCAAGGGCTGACAAATAAAACTAGTGAAGCCAGGATGGAGAGTTTACACCAAACTGCTCCCTATGCTACCTGAACGGTTTTATGAGAACCAAATTAACTACGTTTGTGTCTTCTGGGGTTTGGGTGACCCACTATACTAATTCTAATAAATTCTTGCTCTGATAAATTCCACAGGGAAATGAAGGACGTATTTGGTAGAGAAAAGGAACCACCGAATGTGAGGGCCTCTATTACCAAAGTAAGAAAGAGGAGGAACAAGTCCTACCACCTTCAGATAGAAACTAGCAGAGTCCTGTTTCCCTAGTCCTGCCTTGTCATCCTTCTTCCAGTCTAGCTAGACAAAGCTGCCAGGTAATTTGTTCAATAGCACCCCTTACATCATGTTATCTTCTTACCCAAGAACTAAAGTGACTTTGTAATGCTTGCAGAAGCAAGTCCAAACTACTCTAGTTGATACTGAATATACTTTTATTTAGCTCCATTGTATTTATCTTTCACTTCTGCCAAACACAAATCTTCTATTCCCAAACCTTGCAGTCATCCTTGAGTTCTCTAACACCTCATAGCCAATCTATCAGCAAATCTCACTGACTCTAACTTCAAAACATATCCTGAATCCAATTATTTCTCAAAACCTTTGCTGCTACCACCTAGATCATGTGATTATCAACCATTTTTTGGACCACTAACGTAGCTGCCTAATTGGTTCAGCTGTTTCCTCCTTACCAGTCTACAGAATCTTCCAAACACTGCAGCCAAAGTATCGTTTTAATATAAATTACTCCTTTGCTAAAATCCCTCTGGTATCTCTCCATATGATGCAGGATAAAAGTCCAAAGGCTTTACCAGAGATTACAAGGCACTACATAATTTGGCCCCAGCAATCTCTCTGACTTTATTGCTGTCCTTTCCCCCTCTTGTTCACCTTGTACTAGCCACATTGGTACATGTTATTCTTTGTAGATGTATATTTAGAAGTAATTTCTAAAAATATAAATAGTTTCCATGTATCACTTCCTGGAGCATAAAGATAGAATTAGATAGAAACTCTGCCTGGGTGCAGTGGCTTATGCCTGTAACCCCGTTGTTTTGGGAGGCCAAGGTAGGAGGATGGCTTGAGCTCAGTAGTTCGAGACCAGCCTAGGGAAAATAGTGAGACGCTATCACTACAAAAATTTTAAAAATTAGCCAACTGTGATGGTGTCTGCCTATGGTCCCAGCTAGTGGCGTGGGGGTGGACTGAGGTGAGAGGATCGCTGGAGCCTGGAAGAGTGAGGCTGCAGTGAACTGTGATCGTGCCACTGCACTCTTGCCTTGGCGACAGAGTGAGTCCTTCTCCACCCCCCACAAAAAAAAGAAAAAAGAAAAGAAAGAAAACTGAGTTTTCTACAAAAATATTGGCTGAAATTCCTGCGGATAAAAACAATAGTCATTATAATTGAAATTGTAGTCTCTGGAGAAATACAGTTTTTTTATACCTGCTTATACTTGAAAAATACAGTGATTAAATGTCACCCTTAAATTCTCTTAAGGATTTTGAAAAAATTTATTTAACCTATACATAACATACCATTGATAAAAACATAACACCAAAGACATTAATAAATTGATATTTTCTAAATAGAAACAGCTTATGAATATAAAATACTAACCTTGAATGTCTTTTAGTAACATTATCCAGTTTGAATTTTGGTAGTACATAGCAAAAATTGAGCTTGAGATGCAGTCTATTCTTCTCCTTTCTTGAAGTAAAATCATTGTCAAAACTAATAAAAGTGGATTTTACTTTATCTTCTGTTTAAATATAAACTTCATCAAAGTCTTTATAAAGGATTTTTTTAGCCCTTTAAAAATATTCCATTTTAATGCTGAACAAAATATTATAAAACTGAGGAGACAATTTTTTTTTTAACTTTAAGTTCTGAGATATATGTGCAGAACATACAGGTTTGTTACATAGGTATACATGTGTCACAGTGTTTTGCTGCACCTATCCACCTATCATCCAGCCAACATGCATTAGGTTTTAAGCCCAACATGCATTAGGTATTTGTCCTAATGAGCTCCCTTCACTTCCCCCCACTTCCCCTGAAAGGCCCTGGTGTGTGATGTTACCCTCCCTGTGTCCATGTGTTTTCATGGTCCAACTCCTGTTTATGAGTGAGAAGATGTGGTGTTTGGTTTTCTGTTCCTGTGTTAGTTTGCTGAGAATGATGGCTTCCAGCTTCAACCATGTCCCTGAAAAGGACATGAACTAATTTTTTTATGGCTGCATAGTATTCCATGATGTGTATATGTGCCACATTTTCTTTATCCAGTCTATCATTGATGGTCATTTTGGTTAGGTCTAAGTCTTTGCTACTGTAAACAGTGCTGCAATAAACATATGTGTGCATGTGTCTTTATAGTAGAATGATTTATAATCCTTTGGGTATATACCCAGTAATGAGATTGCTGGGTCAAATGGCATTTCTGGTTCCAGATCCTTGAGGAATAACCATTCTGTCTTCCACAATGGTTGAAGTAATTTACACTCCCACCAACAGTGTAAAAGTGTTCCTGTTTCTCCACATCCTTGCATCATGTGTTGTTTCCTGACTTTTTAATGATTGCCATTCTAACTGGCATGAAATTGTATCTCATTGTGGTTTTGATTTGCATTTCTCTAATGACCAGTGATGATGAGCTTTTTTTCATATGTTTGTTGGCCGTATAAATGTCTTCTTTTGAGAAGTGTATGTTCATATCCTTTGCCCACTTTTTGATGGGTTGGTTTGTTTGTTTTTCTTGTAAATTTGTTTAAGTTCCTAGTAGATTCTGGATATTAGCCCTTTGTCAGATAGATAGATTGCAAAATTTTTCTCCCATTCTGTAGGTTGCCTGTTCGCTCTATTGATAGTTTCTTTTGCTGTGCAGAAGCTCTTTAATTTAGTTAGAACCCATTTGTTAATTTTGGCTTTTGTTGAAATTGCTTTTGGTGTTTTAGTCATGAAGTCTTTGCCCATGCCTATGTCCTGAATGGTATTGCCCAGGTTTTCTTCTAACTTTTTCATGCTTTTAGGTTTTATGTGTAAGTTTTTAATCCATCTTGAGTTAATTTTTGTATAAGGTGTAAGGAAGGGGTTCAATTTCAGTTTTCTGCATATGGGATTTCCTTTTTCACTATACTGATTCTTCCTATCCGTAAGCATGGAATTTTTTTCCATTTGTTTGTGTCCTCCCTTATTTCTTTGAGCAGTGGTTTGTAGTTCTTGAAGAGGTCCTTCACATCCCTTGCAAGTTGGATTCCTAGGTATTTTATTCTCTTTGTAACAATTGTGAATGAAATTTCAGTCATGTTTTGGCTCTCTGCTTGTGTATTGCTGGTGTATAGGAATGCTTGTGATTTTTGCACATTTATTTTGTATCCTGAGACTTTGCTGAAGTTGCTTATGAGCTTAAGGAGTTTTGGGGCTGAGACGATGGGATTTTCTAAATATACAATCATGCCATCTACAAACAGGGACAATTTGACATCCTCTCTTCCTGTTCGAATACCCTTTATTTCTTTCTCTTGCTTGATTGCCCTGGCCAGAACTTCGAATACTATGTTGAATAGGAGTGGTGAGAGAGGACATCCTTGTCTTTGCCGGTTTTCAAAGGGAATGCTTCCAGCTTTTGCCATTCATTATGATATTGGCTATGGGTTCGTCATAAATAGCTCTTATTATTTTGAGATACGTTCCATCAATACCTAGTTTATTGAGAGTTTTTAGCATGAAAGGGTGTTGAATTTTATCAAAAGCCTTTTCTGCATCTATAGAGATAATCATGTGGTTTTTGTCATTGGTCAATTTATGTTATGGATTACATTTATTGATTTGCATATGTTGAACCAGCCTTGCATCCCAGGGATGATGCCAACTTGATCATGGTAGATAAGCTTTTTCGATGTGCTGCTGGATTCCGTTTGCCAGTATTTTATTGAGGATTTTTGCATCAATGTTCATCAAGGATATTGGCCTGAATTTTTTGTTGTTGTTGTGTCTCTGCCAGGTTTTGGTATCAGGATGATGTTAGCCTCATAACATGAGTTAGGCAGGAATCCCTCTTTTTTTATTTTTTGGAATAATTTCAGAAGGAATGGTGCCAGCTCCTCTTTGTACCTCTGGTAGAATTCGGCTGTGAATCCATCTGGTCCTGAACTTTTTTTGGTTGGTAGGCTATTAATTGCTGTCTCAATTTCAGAACTTGTTATTGGTTTTTTCAGGGATTCGACTTCTTCCTGGTTATTCTTGGGAAGGTGTATGTGCCCAGGAATTCATCTATTTCTTCTAGATTTTCTAGTTTATTTGCATAGAGGTGTTTATAGTATTCTCTGATTGTAGTTTGTATTTCTGTGGGATCAGTGGTGCTATCCCCTTTATCATTTTTTATTGTGTCTATTTGATTCTTCTCTCTTTTCTTCTTTATTAGTTTGACTAGTGGTCTATCTATTTTGTTAATCTTTTCAGATAATCAGCTCCTGGATTCACTGAGTTTTTGAAGGGTTTTTTGTGTCTCTATCTCTTTCAGTTCTGTTCTGATCTTAGTTATTTCTTGTCTTCTGCTAGCTTTTGAATTTGTTTGCTCTTGCTTTTTTAGTTATTTGAATTGTGATATTAGGGTGTTGATTTTAGATCTTTCCTGCTTTCTGATGTGGGCATTCAGTGCTATAAATTTCCCTCTTAACACTGCTTTAGCTAAGTCCCAGAGATTCTAGTACTTTGCCTTTTTTTTCTCATTGGTTTCAAAGAACTTATTTATTTCTGCCTTAATTTCATTATTTACCCAGTAGTCATTCAGGACCAGGTTGTTCAATTTCCATGTAGTTGTGTAGTTTTGAGTGAATTTCTTAATCCTGAATTCTAATTTGATTGCACTGTGTTCTGAGAGACTGTTTGTTATGATAGCCATTCTTTTGCATTTGCTGAGGAATGTTTTACTTCCAATTGTGTGGTTGATTTTAGAATAAGTGCCATGTGGCAGTGAGAAGAATGTATATTCTGTTGATTTGGGGTGGAAAGTCCTGTAGATGTCTATTAGGTCCACTTAGTCCAGAGCTGAGTTCAAGAGCTGGATATCCTTGTTAATTTTCTGTCTCGTTGATCTGTCTAATATTGACAGTGGGTTGTCAAAGTCTCCCACTTCTATTGTGTGGGAGTTTAAGTCTCTTTGTAAGTCTCTAAGAACTTTTTTTATGAATCTGGGTGCTCCTCTATTGGGTGCATATATATTTAGGATAATTAGCTCTTCTTATTGCATCGATCCCTTTACCATTATGTAACGCCCTTCTATGTCTTTTTTGATATTTGTTGGTTTAACATCTTTTTTATCAGAGACTAAAATTGCAACCCCTGTATTTTCTTGCTTTTCATTTGCTTGATAAATAGTCCTCCATCCCTTTATTTTGAGCCTATGTGCATCTTTGCACATGAGATAGGTGTCTTGAATATAGCACACCAATAGGTCTTGAGTCTTTTTGCAATTTGCCAGTATGTGTCTTTTAATTGGGACATTTAGCCCATTTAAGGTTAATATTGTTATGTGTGAATTTGATCCTGTCATCATGATTCTAGCTGGTTATTTTGCACATTAGTTGATGCTATTTCTTCACAGTGTCATTGGTCTTTATATTTTGGTGTGTTTTTGTAGTGGCTGGTACCATTTTTTGTTGTTGTTGTTGTTTTGTTTTTTTCCATATCTAGTGCTTCCTTCAGGAGCTCTTGTAAGGCATGCCTGGTGGTGACAAAATCGCTCAGCATTTGCTTGTCTGGAAAGGATTTTATTTCTCCTTCACTTATGAAGCTTAGTTTGGCTGGATATGAAATTGTGGGTTGCAAATTCTTTTCTTTAAGAATGTTGAATATTGGCTCCCACTCTCTTCTGACTTGGAGGGTTTCTGCAGAGAGAGCCACTGTTAGTCTGATGGGCTTCTCTTTGTAGGTAATCTGACCTTTCTTTCTGGCTGCCCTTAACATTTTTTCCTTCATTTCAACCTTGGAGAATCTGATGATTATGTATCTTGGGGTTGCTCTTCTCAAGGAGTATATTAGTCTGTATTTCCTGAATTTGAATGTTGGCCTGTCTTGCTAGGTTGGGGAAGTTCTCCTGGATAATATCCTGAAGTGTGTTTTCCAACTTGGTTCCATTCTCCCTGTCATTTTCAGGTACACCAATCAATCATAGGTTTGGTCTTTTCGCATAGTCCCATATTTCTTGGAAGCTTTACTTGCTCCTTTTTATTCTTTTTTTTTTTTTTTTTTTTTTTTTTGAGACAGAGTCTTGCTCTGTTGCCCAGGCTGGAGTGCAGTGGCATGATCTCAGCTCACTGCAAGCTTCGCCTTCCAGGTTCACACCATTCTCCTGCCCCAGCCTCCCAAGTAGCTGGGACTACAGGCACCCACCACCACACCTGGCTAATTTTTTGTATTTTTAGTAAAGACGAGGTTTCACTGTGGTCTCCATCTCCTGACTTCATGATCTGCTAGCCTCAGCCTCCCAAAGTGCTGGGATTACAGGCGTGAGCCACTGCACCTGGCCTTTTATTCTTTTTTCTCTAGTCTTGTCTTCACGCCTTATTTCAGTAAGTTGATCTTCAATCTCTGATATCCTTTCTTCCACTTGATCAATTTGGCCATTGATACTTGTGTATATTTCATGAAGTTCTTGTGCTGTGTTTTTCAGCTCCATCAGGTCATTAATATTCTTCTCTAAACTGGTTTTTCTAGTTAGCAGTTCCTGTAACCTTTTATGAAGGTTCTTAGCTTTCTTGCATTGGTTTAGAACATGCTCCTTTAGCTCAGAGGAGTTTGTTATTACCCCCCTTCTGAAGCCTACTTCTATCAATTCATCAAACTCATTCTCCATCCAGTTTTGAGCCCTTGCTGGAGAGGAGTTGCGATCATTTGGAGAAGAAAAGGCATTCTGGTTTTTGGAATTTTCAGCACTTTTGCACTGGTTTTCCCTCATCTTCGTGGTTTTATCTACCTTTGATCTTTGAGGCTGATGACCTTTCGATGGGGTTTTTGTGTGGGGGTCCTTTTTGTTGATGTTGATGTTATTGCTTTCTGTTTGTTAGTTTTTCTTCTAACAGTCAGGTCCCTCTGCTGCAGGTCTGCTGGAGTTTGTTGGAGGTCCACTCCAGACCCTGTTTGCCTGGGTATCACCAGCGGAGGCTGCAGAACAGGAAAGACTGCTGCATGGTCCTTCCTCTGGAAGCTTTGTCCCAGAGGGGCACCGGCCTGATGCTAGCCAGAGTTCTTCTGTATGAGGTAGCTGTCAACCCCTGCTGGGAGGTCTCTCCCCGTCAGGAGCCACGGGGGTCAGGAACCCACCTGAAGAGGCAGTCTGTCCCTTAGCAGAGCTCGAGCGCTGTGCTGGAAGAATCCTCCTTGTCAGGACCTGCTGCTGTCTTCAGAGCTGGCAGGCAGGAAGGTTTAATTCCACTGAAGCTGAGTCCACAGCCTCCCCTTCCCCCAGGTGCTCTGTCCCAGAGAGATGGGAGTTTTATCTCTAAGCCCCTGACTGGGGCTGCTGTGTTTCTTTCAGACATGCCCTGCCTAGAGAGGAGGAATCTAGAGAGGCAGTCTGGCCGCAGCCACTTTGCTGCACTGTGTTGAGCTCCACCCAGTCTGAACTTCCCGGCCTCCTTAGCATTGTCAGGGGAAAACCGCCTACTCAAGCCTCAGTAATGGCTGACGCCCCTTCCCCCCGACCAAGATGGGTCATCTCAGGTTGACTTCAGACTGCTGTGCTGGCAGTGAGAATTTCAAGCCAGTGGTTCTTAGCTTGATGGGCTTCATGGGAGTGGGACACACTGAGTGGGACACACTGAGTGAGACCACTTGGCTCCCTGGCTTCAACCCCCTTTCCAGGGGAGTGAACGGTTCTCTCTTGCTGGAGTTCCAGGTACCACTTAGTTGGTAATGCAGAAATCACTCACCTTCTGTGGTGGTCTCACTGGGAGCTACAGACAGGAGCTGTTCCTATTCGGCCATCTTGACAGATCCCCGATAAATGTCTTTATATAAAATTTTTTTATTTAAAATTTACCTGGTTTCTGCAATTGACCAATGGATCCAATATTAAAATTTATAAAATGAAATGGTAAAAGTACTAGATGATGATATTCTACTATTTGCAAACACCACCTTTCGTTTATCCATTCATCTGTAATAGACATTTCAATTGTTTCACCTTCCGGCCACTGTGAATAATGCTGTTATGAACATCAACAAATAAATATGTGTTTGAGTCCTTGCTTTTAATTCCTTTGTGTATATACTTAAAAATTGAATTGTTGGATCATAATATGGTTGGTTGTATGTTTAATTTTTTGAGGAACTGCCATCCTGTTTTCCACAGTGGCTGTACATCTTACATTTCCACTGGCAATGCCCACTGTTTCCAGTTTCTACACATCCTCTCTAATACTTATTATTCACTGTTTTTTGTTTTGTGTTCAGGACTCACACATAAATGGAATTTCTAATGTTCAAGGTTATTCACTGAAGCATTGTTTCTCTCAGGGACAAACAAATATAACACAATTGTCCATTAATGGTAGATTACTTAAATAAGTGGTTAGAATGTGTGTGCCCAATAATGTAGTTGTGGATCTGATACATTTATAATGTCAATGATTGACAAGGGGAAAGTAGCAAAAAATGAAAATGAAATTGGTTCTTAAATTATCTTAAGCTAATGCTAGAAACAAGAAATATGGAGAATTAGATATTTCTTTGAAAAAAATGTAAGAATTATAGATATTGTCTACAGTAGTGGCTACTCATTAGTCGAATGTAGACTTTCAGGAAGACTCCTTAAAGGGTGGGAGCAGCCTTGTTCTTGCATTCTCCTCTCTCGCTCGACAGAATGTAGATGGGTGCCTGGGCTAGAGCAGATATCTTAGATTGTGAAGCAATTCTCTTAGTATGATGAACCAGTGATATAGGAGGAGCCTAGGTCCCTGCTGATTATAGAATTTCCTGGAAATTTCTATGTTCTTCATGCCACTACTGTGTATTCTTTTTAAATATGGTGGAACAAAAGCTAAAAGAATATAGGAGCAAAGGTGAAAGCAGATTGACAGTTAGGAGGCCTATACAATAGTTCAAGTAAGAAGCAGCAACCAGGATTAAGAGGTAGTGGAATAACAATAGATGGTGAGATTCAGAGTATACTTTAAAGAACAATACAACAGAACTGGCTGGTGGATTGAATGCATACTAATTATTGAGATAGGAATGAAGCATACATCTCTATTTTTAGCTAGAATGAAGTTACTATTTACTAAGTTGGGAAAAATTGCATTTGGTGAAGCAGTGTTTTTTGTCTGCTTTTTTTAATTTTTGAAGGTCGGACCTAATCAAGACTATTTCGAGTATGTTAATTTTAGATGCTGTTATATTTTCATATTGAAATATGGTGGGGGCATTTGATAAATGATTCTGCATTTCGAGGGACAGAACTGGGCTGGAGATATATAATTATGGACTCATCAGATGTCAGGTAGGAAATATGTATAGATAAAGAAGAAATAAAAAGACTGAGCTGATGGGCACTCTGAAGTTTGCAAATTCAGAAGATAAGGAATCAGCAAAGAAAACTGAGAAGCAGCAGCCAGTGAGGTGTTTTAGCAGCAAAAGACTTGTTTCAAGAAGAATGGAGTGATCATTTGTGATAAATCCTGCTTTTAGGTCCAGTTAAATTAAATTAAAAAATTCAGGATTGGATTTGGCAATGTGAATGACAAGGATAGTCTTGTCAAGTGCTGTTTAAATAGAATAGTGATGAAAAGGACCTTACTGGAGTGGATTCAAGAAAGAGTGAGGAGATAGACATTAGAGATTCCTGGTACAGACAACTCTTTTTAGAGCCTTTGTTGTAAAGAGAAGCACAGAAATGAAGAGTTAGCTTTTTATCACTTTATTTTAGATAGGAAATACTATAACATATTTATGTGTTCGTGGGACAGATTCAGTAGAAAAGACCAGTAGAAAGCAAAAAAACAAGAGGGAGAAAAATCCATGTCCTATCTTTGAGTAGGTGACAAGGGACAGAATCCAGTACATAGATGGAGAGGCTGGCCTTTTGCATGAGTAAAAATAGTTCAACCAAAGGTTAGAGCAAACGTTTTTGCTTCAGAATTCATATCTTGTTGTTGGAGTGTTGGGACATTTTCTCCTAATTTCTTCAGTTTTTCAGTAAAATAATAGACAAAGTCATCAGTTGAGAGTGGGAGGATGGAGGAGATGTTAGAGGCTTGGGGATACACAAGAAGAACGTAAATAGAGAAAACAGTGTGAAGAGTGAATTGAACAAGATAAAATTAGTAGGAGGGTTGAAAGTTAGTAATCGTAAATGTAAGCTGGGACCAGTCAGCACTGTGGTGGGGTTTTTCTCCAGCTATATTCTCTCCTTGGGTGTAGGTGCAGAAAAGGTGGAGGGTTATATTTACCCAGGCTGGGAAACTTGGCCATGAGGATACAATGGAGGAAAGAAGAAAGAGGGAGTTACTAGTATATATAAGGAAATGGTTGTAATGATGAGCCATGGAATCTAAGTCAGGTAGAAGAGAAGTAAGGAATGAAAGAGGCAAAAAGGAGTAAAAAGGCATTAGAGTGAATGAATTGGAGGTTCGGTGGGGTTGCGGTTTTTAGATGTCAGAGATCTAGTGGGAACAAATTGAGAAGAGTAAAAGTGGTGGTCAGAGTGTGTGATGTTAAAAATTAATATTATAGAGAGGGTATTGCTATTGGTAATGGCAAAGTCCAGAGTACCACCAGAGAGTGGTTACCTGAGGCAGGTTGAAGCTAAGATTATTGGAGAAGAGGAAAAAAACCTAGTGGCCACAGTATTGGAAAAATGATCTATGTGGATATTGCAGTCACTTCTTGGTGACTGCAATTAGAGAGCAAACCAGGTGCCTAGAATATTTGTATTGGTCCATTCTCACACTGCTATAAAGAAATACCTGAGACTGGTAATTTATTAAAAAAGAGGTTTAGGGCTGGGCACAGTGGCTCACACCTGTAATCCCAGCACTTTGGGAGGCCGAGGTGGGTGAATCACCTGAGGTCGGAAGTTCAAGACCAGCCTGCCCAACATGGTGAAACCCCATCTCTACTGAAAGCACAAAATTTGTCGGGCATGGTGGTGCATGCCTGTACTCCCAGCTGCTCGGGAGGTTGAGGCAGGAGAATAACTTCAGCCTGGGAGGCGGAGGTTGCAGTGAGCCAAGATCATGCCATTGCACTCCAGCCTGGGCAACAAGAGCAAAACTCCATCTCAAAATAAACAAAAAGAAGAAAAAAAAAAAAGAAAAGAGGTTTAATTGGTTCACAGTCCTGTAGGCTGTATAGGAAGCATGGCAGCATGTGCTCAGCTTCAATCATGGCAGAAGGCAAAGGAGAAGCCAGTACTTCACATGGCGGGAGCAGGGGGGCGGAGAGAGAGCAGAGAGGTGCTACACACTTTTAAACAACTAGATCTCATGAGAACTCTATCACAACAGCAGCACTAGAAGGATGGTTTCTAAACCATTAGGAACCGCCCCCATGATCCAATTCCTCCCACCAGGCCCATCTCCAACATTGGAATTACAATTGAACATGAGATTTGGGTGGGGGAACAGATCCAAATCATATCAATATGCAAGTAGTTACAGAGTGATGTAGAAGTCATAGATGTCAAACTTCTCATTAATTCCTTAAAAATTGAACTGTCTTAGGTATGTGAATACACTGGAAACTTGAGACGATTTTATGTTTGATATAATATTAGTTGACTTTCCCTGTTTTTATTAAATGCTAACAAAATACTAGGCACTGAAGAAAGAAATATGTATAAGGATGGCACAGCCTCTGATATTAAGGAAATGACTCAATAGAGGCAACAAACTTGCAAACAAATGGCAATTCAGTGAAAATGCATTTCAACAATCTGAGAAACAATAACAACAAAAAATTATGTTGGTTATGAATTGCTGAAATGAAAGCCTCCTTGATCATATACAAGTCATCCCTGGATGCAGTTCCATTTTACACTGATTTTCTCAAAAATATCTAGTGAGTACTACATAAGACTGTACAAAGTGTGGTGGAAGATAGAATTATATATTAAATTCTAACTCTGTCTTTACATTGAATTATATTACGGTAGGTGTTGTCATACGTTAAATTCTCTGTCGTTAATTTTTTTTTCCAGACAATTTATTCAGGCAGTGCATGAGCTCGGATCACCTAGGGGCAAAGTTATTCTTTCATGTTACATCAAATTATCTGAGTCATGTAAGCATTTGTTTAAAGTCAGAGCTTCAGCTAAGAAAAATATCAAGGGAAAACAAAACTGGATACTGGATGCTGAAGACAGAGGATATTATCTAATATTCAGATTTTCTCTGAGAACTTAAAACAGGGTCAGTGTCAGTGGGATGTTGTTTTGTTTTTGTTTTGGGTGACTTTTTTTTTTGATCAAATAGTATTATCTGTCAGGGCATCTAATAATGTCTCTGGATGGCTGGTATTTACCTCCCTGTAACGATCATGACATGCTAGTGAATAACCAATTTCAAGAAGAGAACTTGCAGACTTTCTGAGAATATTTATCTCTCATCTTTTTGGTTGGAAGTTTATTATAATATCGCAGTTTACTTAAAGGAACTCAGTATCTACTGATTCTTTAATTCGTAGTAATAACTTGCTTGAATGATTTTTTTCACCTAAACATGTAACAATATATGTTAATATATTGAGTTGGGGATAATAATAGCACCTATCTCACTAGTTTATAGTGAACATTACGTAATTCATGTATAGCTGTGAAAAATGCTTAATATAAACTAACATTATTGTTATTATTGCCATCATAATTATTATTTTGACTACATAGCTGTTTTGTTTTGAAACGTCTAGTTGCAAGTAAATGGAACCCAACTAAGAGTAGTGCAAGCATGCAATGAAGCTTAATTGAATTTACAGAGACAGTGGAGTGACATAAGGGCTGGAATGGTATTAGGACTCAGAAGACAATGGGATTAGAATGAGGAGAACCATTAAAACTCCATTTAAGCATCTCTTTTTTTATTTCTGCACACCTGCATCTTTTTTTTTTTTTTTGGTCTCTACATAATGGCTGAAAGCAGAAATCTCTGCTTTTCATCCCTAAGGTGGAATGGCATTGCCATAGCCCCCGAATTTACTTGTTGAAGGTCCAGACACATGCAGGACTAACTAGCTGACTCTGAATTCCATTTCTACATAGTGGGGAAAGTGTAGTCAGTCCAATTTTGCTTAGTAATCATCTTCTGACCTTGTTAGGATTGAGGAGAAATTGATACAAGTTAAGAATGGTGGCCACCTCATCCTCATGATGCTTGGGCAGAAGAAAGATTATTATTAGTATGGCAAAAAAAGATCTACAACATACTCTTAATTTCTCAACACATATGTAAGTCTTTCTTTCTACCCAAAGGTATCCTATCCATGATCCAACTAACTTACGCATAACAACAAACTACTCAACGACTTCATAACTGGAGGAAACTGATCTTGTTTTGATCATAGGCCCACATAGGTCCAATTGCTCTACTTAAGATAAATGGAGATTTATCTGTGTCCAGAGATGTGTCAGGCTGGGACAAATAGATAGGGGTAAAGACATACTGTATGATTGACAGCCCCACTGGAATCACATGAATGGGGAAGGGATGGCTCCACAAAGGTAGAGTGTTTATAAGATATTTTCGAAGCCACTGCTATATTCCAACCCTAGCTGCCCAGCATTCACATTATGAGAAATTATTATATGTCTCCACCTAATAAGCTATAATAATTCCAAATACCACCAAATATATACTCAGTTCTTAAGGGAAATAAATCAGTATCATCTCCAGATAACATATCTACTGATCAGGTCCAGATGCAATCCTCTATGATGCATTTAACCACCCTAACACTTAAAACCCACCATGAAGGAAGGCAGAAAATCAAAAAAAAAAAAAAGGTAACTGCAATAGCTGTCTTATTTGTGAAGCAGAGAAGGAAAAATAACAAATAGCCATCCCTGAATCCTAGCATAAATCATATTCTATAGGAAGGGGTAGTAAGGATCCCTACCTTTGGCCATGGAGTAATTTCCAGGTTACATATCTGCCTCCTTTTCCTATGACTGCCAGGAGGATTGCCAGGGTTCATTTTCCTCCGTGGTCATAATCCAAAGCAGCATATGATAAGATTTCATCTGTAGAACTATAGTCTCTTAGTCCACCTATTTTCTGTGGATATGATTATAATAAACTGAGTGTTGAATTAATGGTTGAGCAAAAATAGATCTTTTTCAGGCTTGAGCGTTCTCTGACAATTACATTTTCTGAAGTACCCACTCTTTTGCTTGTTAATTTACTTCTGAAATCCCCAAAGGATAATAATCAGCATTAGAAATCTTGGATCTAGAGCACTGAATCTTAACCCCACAGGTGTATGTCTCAGTAATTGCCGTTAGTGCTCTGCTAGTCTCCTGAGGCCTCTGCTCACCGGCTTCCACTGTGCCCTCAGCTGAAGGTGGTGAAGGTGAACCGGTCTGTACCCTGTCCCGGTGCATCCCAGTAGAGAGTGCTTTACACTATCTACTACCTGAAGAGAGAGACTATTACCTCTGTCAGTCTGGGAACAAATATTAAGATGTGTTTGGAAGATAAAATATATGACTTAAGCTACTCCTGGATAGCAATCTTATTTTCTTTTTCTTTTTTTCTTTTCTTTTCTTTTCTTTTCTTTCTTTCTTTCTTCTTTCTTTCTTTCTTTCTTTCTTTCTTTCTTTCTTTCTTTCTTTCTTTCTTTCTTTCTTTCTTTTTTTAGATGGAGTCTTACTCTATTACCCAGGCTGGAGTGCAATGGCATGATCTCTGCTCAGTGCAACCTCCACCTCCCGGGTTCAACCGATTCTCCTGCCTCAGCCTCCAAAGTAACTGGGACTACAGGCAAATGCCACCATGCCCAGCTAATTTTTTGTATTTTTAGTAGAGACGGGGTTTCACCATGTTAGTCAGGATGATCTCAATCTCCTGACCTTGTGATCCGCCCGCCTCAGCCTCCCAAAGTGCTGGGATTACAGGCATGAGCCACCGTGCCTGGCCAGCAATCTTATTTTCTTACCTCCCTGATTTTGTCTGTTCTAACTTTTGCTTAGAAGCAAATGAGTTATTTTCTTTCAAAATTCACAAAGCACTGCTTTTCTGACTCTCAGCCATCTCAGATTCCTGTGTTGTGCTTTATTAACAAAGCTCTATATTGCTGTCTTTCTAATGGCAGATAACTGGCTTAAGAACCTCAGCATGACCACTTCTTGCAGGATCTTACTGGAAGCTGCTGAAAGTGAACAGTATTTGCCAACATTCTCATCTATTTCTTTTAGGTTCTCCAAAGTTCCACCTGAAGAAGGCATATCAGAAACATAACAAGCATTTCCAATCTCCAGTGCAGAGATACAGGGATCATTGCTGCCTACAAAGAAATCGGGACTCAGATAATTTCTCATTTCAAGATTTGTATCTGCAGTTTTACTTTTCAATATACCAATTTATACATTGAACTCTTTGGTTTACAGGGACAAAACCCAACTCATATCAGATTCCATTTATATATATATATATATATATATATATATTTTTTTTTTTTTTTTTTTTTTTTTTTTTTGAGACAGAGTCTCACTCTGTCACCCAGGCTGGAGTGCAGTGGTGCCGTCTTGCTCACTGTAACCTCCACCTCCCAGTTTCAAGTGATTCTCGTGCCTCAGCCTGCCCGGTAGCTGGGATTACAGGCATGAGCCACTGCACCTGGCCAGATTAAATTTAAAATGGGAACTGGGTTGATAGTTTTAGACTTGGCTCTATTCAAGACTCAATCAATGTAGTAAATTTTTTGTTCTCTCTCTCCCTTCTTTCCGCCCCCACCTTCCCCTCGCCCCATGGCCTATTTTTTTTAATAAGCTGGCTTCATTTTCTTTTTCTTTACACATTTTTCCTACATGCAGTTAAGAAAGATGGAAGCCAAGACTCCAGGCTACTAACCCCAGTTTAACAATCTTAGCAGAAAGACAGCCTCTAACTTCTTGAATTACAGTATGATATATTGATACAGTTTTTAAAAATTATCCATTTGTAAAATTAACAATTTTTTGTAATTGTACACATGTATGGCATACAATTTGATGTTTCAGTGCAAACATTGCATGATCTTAGTTATATGTGGAATCTAAAAAATAACAACTGATATCATAGAAGCAGAGAGTAGAACAACTGATATCATAGAAGCAGAGAGTAACCAGTCACTGGAGAGAGGAGGGGGAAAAGGAGGAGGAGGGAAGGATGAAGAGAGGTTGGCCAATGTGTGCAAAGTTGTAATTAGATAGAAGGAATAAATATGGTGTTCTATTGCACAGTAGGGTGACTACAGTTAACAGTAAAACATTGATATCATTTTAAACTCCACAAAATAATACTATATATTCTTTTTTGTTTGTTTGTTTTTTGAGACGGAGTCTTGCTCTGTCACCCAGGCTGGAGAGCAGTGGTGCGATCTCAGCTCACTGCAACTTCCGCCTTCTGGGTTCAAGCGATTCTTCTGCCTTAGCCTCCCAAGTAGCTGGGACTACAGGTGTGCACCACCACGCCTGGCTAATTTTTGTGTTTTTAGTAGAGACGGGGTTTCACCATATTGGCCAGGCTGGTCTCGAACTCTTGACCTCATGATCTGCCCACCTCAGCCTTCCAAAGTGCTGGGATTACAGGTGTGAGCCACCACACCCAGCCAATACTATATATTCTTTATGAATGTCTTCATATGTTAAAAAAAGTTTCATAACTGACATGGGAATAATAAACATTAAATTGAGCAGAGTGATTACTTCTGCAGGACCATAGGTGAGTGAGCTGCAGTGGGGTACATAGGAAGCTTAGCTGTGTTGGTAATATTTTATTTCTTAAACTAGTTGGTGGTTATATGGATTCTTGTTACATGATTTTTTGTACATTTAAGTATGGCCAAAATATTTTATAAGTTTAAAAAAGAAAAAAACCCAATTGTTATTAATGTTGGGATTTGGATTCCAGAGACAATCTCAGATTGGCCCTGTCTGGATGATTCAAGCATCCTAATCCTTTATTTCTTCCCAGTAAAACGTGAATGGCTAGGTCATGCGCTGATCACTGTGGCTGTGGGACGGTTAAGGACATATTGTGGTTTCCAGCTCCATTACATACAAAAGGAATAGGAAAATATTACTTTTTAAAGACAGGGATGTTGGCTACAAAAAACCAACTGAGGGCCATTTTAGTCTGGGTTAATTTTCCCTAAGCGAAGCTCGTTCCTTTCTCCAGTTTATTCTCAATCTGTCCAGGTATAGACTCTTACCACATTGTAAACTGTGCCCTAAAATTTTAAATGTAACCATGGCCAACGCACCTGATAAACAATGGTGGTGAAAAAAAAATGCTTTTTATTTTTTTGGAGACAGAGTCTCACTCTGTCGCCCAGGCTGGAGTGCAGTGGCACAATTTCGGCTCACTGCAAGCTCAGCCTTCTGGGTTCACGCCATTCTCCTGCCTCAGCCTCCCGAGTATCTGGGACTACAGGGGCCCGCCACCATGCCCGGCTAACTTTTTTTTGTGTTTTTAGTAGAGACAGGGTTTCACCTTGTTAGCCAGGATGGTCTCGATCTCCTGACCTTGTGATCCGCCCGCCTCGGCCTCCCAAAGTGCTGGGATTACAGGCGTGAGCCACTGCGCCCGGCCTGCTTTTTTTTTAAATGACATACATCTCAGTCTTTTCCTTGGGTGGTGCTGTTCAAAGCTCCTCCCAAGAGGAGCATGAGGAAGGTTTCTGTGAGTGGGGGTGTGTGTTTGCACACACACATAGGTATGAAAACACCACTTACTTCTTAGTAGTGTTTAAATTTGGATCTGAGGGTAACCCAAGTGGCTAACACTTCCCTTACTATTTATTACCATGGGTCACTATTCTTTAGAATTTCACACCATCTTAAAGCTCTTGTGTTTGCTGTGTTTTGATTTCATTTTGGGGGACTTGGTTTGCTAAAAACAAACAAACAAACCAACAAACAAAACATTTCCGTAAGACACTGTCTGTAAAGACACTCCCCAACCCTTATTCTACCATGAAAACTCCCTGCTTGTGATGATGAGCTATGGAGAGTACTCAACCATCCTCATATTTTTCTGTTGATTAAGCTCAGCCACAGACCACAGATAGGTAACAATGACCATAGGTGGGTAACAATGGGATGAGGAAGGAGCCTTGCTTACCATGACCTTGTCCTGGCTCTTTCTCCTGACAATGTAGTGATGGGATGAGTTTCACAAGGTAATGAAGAAATTATTATTACTGGGAGCAAATGTTAGAGGATTGTTCTAAAGACATTCAGGTTGGAGGTAGGAAGGATGGTCAAGTTTGATATGTATACATCCAATATTAAGATTCTGTAGTTTTTCAGTCAGCATCAATCTTATCCATAGTTCCAGTTGAATCTACCTGCTGCAATTCATTTGATTCATGATTATTATTATTATTATTATTATTATTATTATTATTTTTGCCTGGACCTCAAATATTTTAAATCAGTGACACAGCTATTTTTATTTTTTATTTTTATTTATTTATTTTTTTAAATTACAATTGAGCACAGGATTGGAGCACATTCTAGGCTAAAATGAAATATATCAGGGCGCAAACAACACACTCTCACATTTGCAGATATTTGCTACTATTTCTACAAAAGTTTCATCATTGGTAAGCATTCAGCCTAAGTATTAAGAACGAACAGATAAAAGCTTATTCAAAAACATCACTGTATAGTAGACTACCAATTTCTCCCCTGGAGTGGGAAAACCTTTCTGCACCTGAACCTTGCCTAATTTAGCCAGTTCCATATTTTCTGAGGGTCTATTATTCTCAGCACTTCACATGATACTAAAATAGGTTATTAGCTAGAATTCTTTCGAACACAAGTAACAGACACCCATTTGTGTTTACAAATATAGGAATGGAAAAATGTGTTATGAGGATGTATGCATATCTCATCTCCCAGAGCCTACGGACAGGATCACATCCAAGCCTCATGCAGAACCTGGAGCTACAAAATGAAAAGCAATTAGGACTCGGTTTCATTTTTTGTCTTTTCTTTGCCCTGTGCCTTTGTGTCCTTGTCCTCTTTTCAGATCAGTGTTCTTTGCTTTTCTATCTGCATGACTACATATAGTTACTGCACAGTTTGATTTTATAGCTTCAGACACATGCTGAAGTTGTCTCCAAATTCCAAGGGAAAATCTGATTGGCTTAATTGAACATAAATACCTTCACCTTGTCCACAGGTTGTGCTAAGTGAAAACTTAATTTGGGGGGAATTATTTTGAAATATCAGCTGGTCTCTTTAGAACATGGTCATTCAAGATAAACCATTATAAAGGAATTTTTGCCACTTAGAGAAAAAAGACTATGTTTCTGTCTAATTCATCTTAGAGCTGATCTTGGCTTCAATGTTTGAAATAGGTGTGGAATGTCTGCAGTAATGATAACCATAGTAATACTGGACTTTTGTATGATAATTGCAGGTTTTACAAGCTACCCAACATCTTTTTGAGGTTAGTCAGTATTATTATAATTATGCTAGATTTAGGGATATGGATATGGAGACATAGAAATTGAAGTTGCTATGCTAAATGGTCATAACAAATCTCAAAAAACTCAGAATTTAAATTAAAATCAACTGGCTCTAAAACTTGGGCTCAAATTTAGTAATGGTATTGGAGTTCAAGTTCTATTCCATCTGGATTTTAATTTTCTTCTTACCATTTCTCATTCCAAATGCTCTAATGGCCCAGCCAATTTTCATAATAGATTCTTTTTTTTTTTTTTTCTGAGACGGAGTCTCGCTCTGTCACCCAGGCTGGAGTGCAGTGGCGTGATCTCGGCTCACTGCAACCTCTGCCTCCCGGGTTCACGCCATTCTCCTGCCTCAGCCTCCCAAGTAACTGGGACTACAGGTGCCCACCACCACGCTTGGCTAATTTTTTTTGTATTTTTAGTAGAGACGGGGTTTCACCATGTTAGCCAGGATGGTCTCGATCTCCTGACTTCGTGATCCGCCCGCCTTGGCCTCCCAAAGTGCTGGGATTACAGGTGTGAGCCACTGCACCCGGCCCTCAGTAATTTTTATAGCAACACAAAGAATGGCCTAACACTTTAGGAAGAAAAAGTACGTAGAAGCTTGTAAACCTAGAATTGAGAGTCTAAGAAACCAGGAGGCTTTCCTGTGAGATAGTTAAGCTAAACTGTGAAGGAAGAGTTCATAGTAGATTTTTTTTTAATATACAAGGATGTTGATGGCAATATTGTGAATAGTAGAAAAAATAATCTGGATATAAAATTCTAATCAATTAGACAGTGTGCTACATATATAATATATCCTCACCAAGGGGTATTATGCACCCATTCAAATAAACAATTAGAACTCTGTCTTTTGACATGGAGGGATTTCCATGAAGTAATGAGAAGTGAGAAAAGAAGCATGCATTTTAAAAAGCACAGGAATAGTTCCAGAGAGAGCATTCCTCAAGAAAAAGAGAGAGGAAGTAGTGTAAAGATGAGCTTCCTAGGCATAAGGAACAGCATGTGCAAATGCCCCAAGGAAGAAGATGGCCTGGTGAAATACAGTAATTGAAAGGAGAGTAAAGAGGCTGGAGCTCAGAAAATGAGGTCAGGGGCTATAGGACAAGGAGAGGTGGGAGGGATACCAGGTGAAATAGAGAAGTAGATAGGTCAGAGCATATATTTGAGAAAGCCATATCAAGAACTTTGTTGTTATCCTTCAGTAAATGTTTTATACCTTGAACTATTGCCTTTTCTAACACTTAGTGATTGCACGTCATTTAACACTTAGTGATTGCTGGGAGAGCTCTGCAGAGTATTCACTATATTTTAGAATCAATGACACTATACCTGGCACAAAGGAAATTCTTTTTTTTTTTTTTTTTTATTATACTCTAAGTTTTAGGGTACATGTGCACATTGTGCAGGTTAGTTACATACGTATACATGTGCCATGCTGGTGCGCTGCACCCACTAATGTGTCATCTAGCATTAGGTATATATCCCAATGCTATCCCTCCCCCCTCCCCCGACCCCACCACAGTCCCCAGAGTGTGATATTCCCCTTCCTGTGTCCATGTGATCTCATTGTTCAATTCCCACCTATGAGTGAGAATATGCGGTGTTTGGTTTTTTGTTCTTGCGATAGTTTACTGAAAATGATGGTTTCCAATTTCATCCATGTCCCTACAAAGGATATGAACTCATCATTTTTTATGGCTGCATAGTATTCCATGGTGTATATGTGCCACATTTTCTTAATCCAGTCTATCATTGTTGGACATTTGGGTTGGTTCCAAGTCTTTGCTATTGTGAATAGTGCCGCAATAAACATACGTGTGCATGTGTCTTTATAGCAGCATGATTTATAGTCCTTTGGGTATATACCCAGTAATGGGATGGCTGGGTCAAATGGTATTTCTAGTTCTAGATCCCTGAGGAATCACCACACTGACTTCCACAATGGTTGAACTAGTTTACAGTGCCACCAACAGTGTAAAAGTGTTCCTATTTCTCCACATCCTCTCCAGCACCTGTTGTTTCCTGACTTTTTAATGATTGCCATTCTAACTGGTGTGAGATGATATCTCATAGTGGTTTTGATTTGCATTTCTCTGATGGCCAGTGATGATGAGCATTTCTTCATGTGTTTTTTGGCTGCATAAATGTCTTCTTTTGAGAAGTGTCTGTTCATGTCCTTCGCCCACTTTTTGATGGGTTTGTTTGTTTTTTTCTTGTAAATTTGTTTGAGTTCATTGTAGATTCTGGATATTAGCCCTTTGTCAGATGAGTAGGTTGCGAAAATTTTCTCCCATGTTGTAGGTTGCCTGTTCACTCTGATGGTAGTTTCTTTTGCTGTGCAGAAGCTCTTTAGTTTAATTAGATCCCATTTGTCAATTTTGGCTTTTGTTGCCATTGCTTTTGGTGTTTTGGACATGAAGTCCTTGCCCACGCCTATGTCCTGAATGGTAATGCCTAGGTTTTCTTCTAGGGTTTTTATGGTTTTAGGTCTAACGTTTAAAGTTCATATGGAACCAAAAAAGAGCCCGCATTGCCAAGTCAATCCTAAGCCAAAAGAACAAAGCTGGAGGCATCACACTACCTGACTTCAAACTATACTACAAGGCTACAGTAACCAAAACAGCATGGTACTGGTACCAAAACAGAGATATAGATCAATGGAACAGAACAGAGCCCTCAGAAATAATGCCGCATATCTACAACTATCTGATCTTTGACAAACCTGAGAAAAACAAGCAATGGGGAAAGGATTCCCTATTTAATAAATGGTGCTGGGAAAACTGGCTAGCCATATGTAGAAAGCTGAAACTGGATCCCTTCCTTACACCTTATACAAAAATCAATTCAAGATGGATTAAAGGAAATTCTTAATACATTCTAGTTTTCCACTTCACCTTGTCCCCTTTCCAGTCGTTTTCTCCCATGAATGCATACAATATGGTTCTATAGTTCTCAACTCCCAGGCTCAATGCCCCTTCTTGGTTTTAAAGAAATATTTTGTAACATTGTCTTGCTACACTAAAACAATGAAATTTATTAATAATGTAATTTAACCTACATATAACTTTTAAAAGTAATGTTATGTCCTGATTATAAAGTAAATAAAAGGAATTTATAAAAATGCTATTTGTTGTAGTATATAAACATTCATACACAAATATACCAGAAGGCAGAAGAAGCTGTGAGATGTGAGATGACTGACCTACAGATGCTAAGGAAGACTGATGAGTTTTATTATATCTCTGAAGCAGTTACGTAGTGCTGTGATCTACAAAATGATGAATAATTCTTAGCAGATGTCTATGTTAAGCAAAATATATTGTAATTGGATTCCTATAATTCAGTATACATTAAAACTGTGCCAAACATTTCTTGTACTTGTATGTAAAACAGAGAGAAGCTCTGAACTTAGGCAATTATAAATGAATTTTTCACCTTCATTTTGTCTGGCAGGACTGCTGTTATTTGCCCAAGACATCAGATAATTTTCCATTATGATGGATACATCACAGGACATTGTCATTCCCTGCCCACCAAATACCAGTACAGCCCTCAATCATCGTAACATTTTCCAAATGTTCCTTATCAGTTGGTCCACTGAGAGCCACTGATCTGATTGGAAAACAAGACGCTGGAAATGTCACATTGTACCAGGAGACTTCAATAACAGCTGAAAAAAAAACAATAAAAGGGATGTTATAAAGTCACATGTAGATGGCAGAAAAAATACTAAAGGGATTAAGTCTTAGGCATTTTAAGTAGCCCACACCAGTCAAAGCTGGAATAAGACAATGTGGAAATAGATTTTGAACAATGACTAACCTGAAGTGAGACAGAGGAACAAGGGAGGCATTTTAGGCTGGAGGTCCACTGAGCAGAGGTGGGCAAAGGTGTGATGTACAAATAAACATGATATGTCTGGGAGCCAGTGATACAGAATTTCAGACATCTTCAAATTAGGCCTTCCAGAAAGGCAGTTGGAGTTGGCAGTTTACTCTTGCTTCATTTTTGTTGTTGTTTTCTCTTTTTCTCTGTCTTAATTATAAAAAATACAAGTTATATCCCAGACCTCAGTTGAAGTTTGTGAAATCCAGTCCAGATAGTGACTCTAAGGACACCAAAAATGATTACTACTGATGTGTGTTTTTAATAATTCCTACAACATATAGTAGCAATGGATGTCTATGATTATGTTAGCAATGTTGGTGATAAAGACCTTTCCATATTGCTATGATAAAATACTTTTGAAGATGGCTATTCATATTCATCCATAACAATGATAAGTAACGAATGACTTCAGAAGTTACATTTAATATTTTCAAAGATGTTAAATATGGACAATTCTCATGTCTTAACAAATACTAATAACAAAAGATGAATGAATATTTTAAAAATTGAATAATTAAAATAATCAGTACTTTGTATCAAATAGATTCTATTAGCTCACGCTATGTTCTGTTTTTACACCTAATGGCATGATTATGCAATTTACCAGTAAATACCAGCATGGTTTTTAACGTTATTTATGTGTATTATGAAAAATGTAAGCAACCTAATATTTTCATGTGTTTGATCTGCCCAAGAGAAAGAGGAAATGCATTCATCAGAGAATAGGATCTAATGAGTTTAGCAATTTAAAAATTAAGAACCATGATTTTCTGCTATTTTAATTAAGTCATTTTATATCTCTTTAACTCATTCTCTAAAATAATTTGTTACAATTATCTAACCTTTTACAAATATTTGCAAATTAAAAGAAATAATTACCCAGTACTACACCATAATTTTGAAGAATGGATGAAGCACACAGTATGATAATGTGTTTTTCATCCTTCTAAAGGAACTTGGTGATGACCAAAACAGGAAAAAATTCTTAATCTACAAATCTATTGAATTTTATTACATTTGTTTCCACACCTCTTTTCACAAATGTTTGTACCATCTTTTTGAACTTTAACTGGTCTTTAATTAGTTCTCTATACACCAATGAACACACAAACACAAGTCAAGGAATCAAATTAACACAGGATTCCTAGTTATATTACCTGCTATGCTTTATTAGTCTTTCTATCCTCTGCCCCAACCAATGCTTGGCACAATGCCTTTTCTTTAGAAAGCCCTCAATAAATGTATTTATGACACTTACATAATACTTTATGTAACAATTTAAATGTGAGAGATATATAAAATGATTATGAAGTTCATTTCAATAATTTTCACAGTAGTCTTACATGAAATGTCATAAGACAATTAAACTAATGTGATGATTCATCTGGCCATAGGTTTAGCCAACACTGACAGAAATTTTGCTTGGTAACTTCCCCAAAGTACTTGGGGAAAATATTTTTTGTTGTTGTTGCTTTTTATTTTTTTCTTGAGACGAAGTCTCACTCTATTGCCCAGGCGCCCAGGCTCCCAGGCTGGAGTGCAATGGTGCGATCTCAGCTCACTGTAACCTTTGCTTCCCGGGCTCAAGCGATTCTCCTGCCTCAGCCTCCTCAGCAGCTGGGATTACAGGCACGTTCTACCACTTCTGGCTAATTTTTAGTAGAGATAGGGTTTCACCATGTCTGCCAGGCTGGTCTCGAACTCCAACACTTGGCCTCCCAAAGTGTTGGGATTACAGGCGTGAGCCACCACACTCGGCTGTGAAAATGTTTTTGAGAGACACATCCATTTTCTTATTGTTAGATATGACATTCTTTCTGTAGTAAAGGCTTTATCTGCCTGAAAACCATTGTCTTGAACTGAACATACATCCTAAAGCTCTTGAAGGAACTAGAATCTTAGTGCTCTTTTTGTGTACAAATAATGACTGAGACCTGGTAACTAACTGAAATAGCTTCACATACTTCTCATACTTATCATACTTCTAAGGATTTTTGAAGAACATCTTTGTTAAAAACAAATCAACAATTGAAAAGAAACATGTCATTCAGAGTATGATTTCCTTCTTTCCCAATAAAATTAGTTGCTTCTTCTCTTCTATAACTCCTGTCTGTTTCATTGTTATCTATATTTATGTGTATATATATTATTTTCTGGATTATTGTACTTCACATATATTTTATCTTATCAATTAAATTGTAAGTACTGGCCGGGCATGGTGGCTCATACCTGTAATCCAAGCACTTTGGGAGGCTGAGGCGGGTGGATCACAAGGTCAGGAGTTTGAGACCATCCGAGCCAATATGGTGAAATCCTGTCGCTACTAAAAATATAAAAATTAGCCAGGCGTGGTGGTGCATGCCTGTAGTCCCAGCTACTCAGGAGGCTGAGGCAGAAGAATCACTTGAACCCGGGAGGCGGAGGTTGCAGTGAGCTGAGACCGTGCCACTGCACTCCAACCTGGGCAACAGTGAGACTCCCCCTCAACAAAAAAAAAAAAAAAAAAAAAAGAATTATAAGTACTTTGAGGGCAGGAAAAAATACCTGATTGCTTTTGAACCCCCTTGTATATTTGAACTCAATATGGGAGGCAAATACATGCCTGTTAAGTGTAACTTCGTATTTCCACTGATTTGTTTAGACTTTAGATTAAATATTATAGAATGAGGGTAAAGATGCAAATGAAGATTGAGTTGACTTGTAGTTTTTAAAAGCCTTTTTTTTTTTTTTTTTTCTTAAAGACGGAATCTCGCTCTGTCTCCAGGCTGGAGTGCAGTGGCACGGTCTGAGCTCACTGCAATCTCCACCTCCCGGGTTCAAGTGATTCTCTTGCCTCAGCCCCCCAAGTAGCTGGGATTACAGGTGTGCACCACCACACCCAGCTAATTTTTGTATTTTTAGTACAGATGAGGTTTCACTATATTAGCCAGGATGGTCTCAATCACCTGACCTCGTGATCCTGCCACGGCCTCCCAAAGTGCTGGGATTACAGGTGTGAGCCATTAGTGTAATCTTCCCATCCATCCTGTTAGCTACTTTTAAAGTATTAACTGTAAAAGTCTAGTTTTAGTTTCTGTCTTAAATATAACCTATCCATTTAAAAAATAATACAGTTGAGAATTTATTAGGCATACTTATCATATGGAGAGACTGAGGTTTTATATCTCCCTTCCCATATCATCTGGACCTTGTTCATTACCCATTATTCTTTCTATTCTCTGCTATTTCCTTTCCAACACATTTACAGAAAGATTCCCAACAACTTGAAAACAACCTTTCACATGATCCTGCTCCTGCCTCTTCCTACTTTTCACATACATGGCCATTTTATTTCTTTCTTTCCCTCTACTGATGACTTTTGGCAGCTTGAAAACACTTAGGTTATAACTTGGGCAACATGGTGAAACCCTGTCTCTATTAAAAAAAATACAAAAATTAGCTGGGTTTGGTGGTATGCACCTGTAATCCCAGCTACTAGGGAGGCTGAGGTGGGAGAGTTGCTTGAGCTGAAAAGTTGGATGTTGCAGTGAGTTGAGACACTACACTCCAGCCTAGGGGGCAGAGCAAGATCCTGTTTCAAAAAAAGGAAAGAAAGAAAAGAAAACCTAGTTATTTCTTTCACTTTCAATTCTACATCCATTCTATCTGATGCAAATCATATTGATTTTCTATTTCATTGGCTCTCAAATCGGTTTCCTCCTTTTCATTTTCACTATTCCTTCCCTTGTCATACTATTCACATGACAGCTAGGCATAACTACTCTTCCTGACTCCCTAGAATTTATACCAAAGTCACCAACTGTTAGATTAGTCAACATATCACCAGCAAGAGACACAAGTCCATATTTTTCAGCTTGCAATCAGAGTTCTTCCCAATCTGATTCCCAGTATAATTAATAGTAATGCACTTACGGGCTTACCACAGATCAAGAGCTGGGATGTTTTCCACATACCATATCTAATTTATAATTCTCACAACAATCTTAGATTATAAATAATTTTGATCTCATTCTGTGAGAAAATTACTCCAAACTTTATGTCTAAATGTATCTTCCACCACTCACAACCATGTGATGCCCATGGCCAAATCAGGTAATTGATTTGCGTGGTTCTGGAACTTGCTTTTAGCCTTTACTCTGCTCTTTCAGCATCTAATCACATGTCAATTTCATTCTCCTGACAAGTTTGCTCATCAGTCGGGACCCAACTCAAATTCTAATAGTTCTGTGAAATTCTGTCCACATTCCTCACCCACCTTCTAGGCTCCTTAAGGGGTGAGATCAATTTTATCTATTTTTCCATCCCATTAAGGATGGAAAGGTCTTACATAGCATAATACCTTTAATAGATTCTCCCTCTCCACGTCTATTTTCTGATCTTTTGTTTGCTTTTAATAATGAACACTCGAGTAGATATATCCTTCTTTCTTTGTGATTTCACTTGACTTAGCATGAGTGCATATCTTAATAAAATTAGACTTCCTATGGGCCTCATTTAACTCCAAATATTCTTGATATTTTTAACAATAGGATAAGTGCATCTCAAAACGTTCATAAGTATTGCACCTTTAAGAGACATTCAGAATTATTCTCAAAGGCTGTAGAAACACGCCAGTATATTAAGTACCACATAGAGAATATTAATTTAGTCAATGGATTGCATGCCAAAAATGAGGAAGAGAACTGAAAAAATATTAAAAAGTGAGATGTGAAAATTAGGAACAGAAGGAAAAAATAAATACATAAAACAAGACAATTCTCTACATTCTTTTGAAGAAATGAAACTACAAACCAGACACCAAGATCTGGAAGATTAGCTTTGTACTAATCCTGGAATTTGCTTTTACTTTCCTGTCTTTGGCCTTTGCTCTGATGTTTCAGTATCTAGACTAATGCGAATTTCATTCTTCAGTTTAAATCAGCACGTCAGTCAGGGATTCATCCAAACCTTAATGGCTTAGCATTTTCCTCAACTGTTTTATTTGGAGCAAAATCGCCACGAAAGTCATTTTTAAGGGTCAATTCAATTTTATGATAATTTATATATTATGCCAGACGCTTAAAATATGCCTATTACTACCCTAAATTCCATTCTTACAGTACTAGGCTGCATTTTAGACATTTGCTGCAAATGACTTTATCTTGAAGTCTACGTGATTACACAAATTATTATAAATACTCATGACAGATTTACTGAGGTGTAGGCAAGGAAATTAAAAAATAAATTTTATTAATTACTGTATTTTATGTTTAAATTATAGTGTCTCCACTTCCGTAACATTGCTCCGCAGTATCCCACCTAGAGGGACCTGCTTTCACGCACATCTCCCTATTTTAAACAATATCCTTTCATCCCAAATCTGTAACTAGGACAGTTGAGAGTCAGTACCAAAATCTTTGATGATATTTGAAATTCTTTTACATAAAAAAGTAAAGGCACAAGCACTTTTTCTTCTACTTTTCCACTCCCCACGTCCTCTCCAAGCCTAAAGACTCTTAGGCACTGAGAAGGAGTCTGCACTGCGGGATGCCCACTGGAATTACCTACTGTGGGCTGAATCCGCCCCACACTCTCGAAGGTGCTACAACCCTTGCTCTCACCCGCGGCCCCCAGGCCTCTCCTCCAGGCATTCTTGAGCCCAGGGAAAAGCGAGGACGGGACCACGGCCCCGCTCGGCCTAGATCCGCCTTCTTCCCAGGTGAGCGTCGCTGTCCTCCGGGATCGCTCCTCGCCCCAGACCAGGAGCAGGGTGTCGGGACTTGTAATTGCCCCGTAGCCCCGAGGGCGGGCAGGAAAGAAAGGCTTTTTCATACTCCGCTGGGAGAGAGCAGGGTGTTTGAGTTCAGACAGGTTCCGAGCGCTTTCTGGCTGTTCGGGGTTTGGCGTGCCACCACTTGGGACTTGTTGTAACCCGTCTCCACTCCCGCCCCCTCCAGCGCTGCACCTTGTCTCGGGGAGGCGCGGTTCGAGCCGGAATCAGCCTCCCTCCGCGGACCTGACGCTGGGCAGGTAACTCCCCTCCCCTCCCTGCCCGCGCCCAGGCGCTTGCTGCTTCCTGGGAGGCAAACCTTCGGCGGCCGGCGCTGTGCGGCGGGCGCGGTTGCGCGCGGCTTGGGGCAAGTAAGTGGGGTTTGGGCTCCCTTGCCCCGGACCTCGGCGGACGGGACCCCAGCGGGTGCAGGGTTGAGGTGCTTGGGGTACTGGGGGGGCCCGGGGCTTCACCCGCCCCTGGCCGGCGCGGCGGACGGGAGGGATAGGGGACTCTCCCTTGGGAGCGCAGGCGGGATTGGAAATTCCACAGGGTGTAAAGCTCAGTTGCTTCAGTCTTTTCTACGTTTCTTTCATTGTCGTGGGGGTTCGAGTGAGTTGAGAAGTTTGAAAAGTTGTCTCGGGCGGAGTCGGTTTGGGTCCCCAGAGGACTGGCGCCGCCCCTCGTGGAGGCTGCATTTGTTTCCTCTTTTCCAGTGTAGGAGTGCGCCGAGGACCCCGGGAGGGGAAGCGGGAGGAGAGACCGCTGGGAAAAGTCTCGTGGGAGGAAGTCCAGGGTGGAAGCAGAGGGCATGGGGGTGGGGGGTTCCGGGAAAAGGTGGGAGAGCTTAGGTCGCTGAGGGGCGTGGGTGTTCTTTAGATCCTGAGTGGGGAGCAGAACTTGAAAAGACAGTTTTTTCACACAACCTCTTAATTGTACAGGATCCCGTTTCTGAGTGCAGACTGGTAGCGACCTGTGTTTTTCATACTTGGGTCGGCCTGAGTCTGGGTCTGTGTGCCCTAGCAGCTCTCCAGGAGAGCCTGTACCTACCAAAGTTTGAGAACCACTGCTCTAGATCCTGGTGAGTGATCTAGAAGAGGAGAGTAGGCCTAGAGCAGATTGCTCCTGGAACGGGACTTGGAGACTTTTGGCCTATTCTGTGTGATATGTGGGGAGACTTACCTGTGTAAGGTTAATGGACAGGCAGAGAATGCCTGTGTTCATTGCAGGAGTCATAGGTATGTAAAGAGACAACAGCGCTTTCTTTATAGGAGGAGGCTGGGAGGTTATGGAAACACAGGTTAGCATGTTGTCTATGCTCGGAGCGGTGAAGTTATAGGGTCTCTCTGACCTAGAAGTGGAAATGAGAGCTCAGGCGGCCAGAACACTTAAGAAGAAGGTGTGCGGGTGGCAAGCAATTGAGGCTAGAATTTAATGCTCAACAGCTTATGTCCAAATTCCCAGTTACAAACATCTTGCTAGGTTACTGGCAGGCACCTCCCTTCTTTCCCTTTCTCATCCTAACAAGTGCAAGAGCCCCGAGGAAATCCATGACTGAGGCTGAATCATTGCTGACAAGCAACAGGAAGGGAGAGAGTGATGAAAGAGACTTAGAAGAGAAAACTGGGGTTTTTTGTTTTTTATTGGAGTGGGGGTGGGGGTGGCGGTGGGAGGCTCAAAATGATTGGAGAATGAGAATAATGTGAAACAGAATGATGGAAGGTTGGGAGTGCAGGTCTTTGTTGCGTTTGTTTCTCTCTGTCTTCCTATAGTTCCCAGAAAAGTAGAAGTCCCCACACCTTCCAATTGCAAATTCCACCCCCTTGCCTTTGGGGCTCAGGCACACGTGGGGTATACACCTATTTAGGGTGCTGGCTACACCCTCTAGAGCCTGCCTAAGGGGCTGGGTGGATCCTGCCTTTAAAGCTGGCAGGCTTTAGACCGCAGATGCTGAGAATTTATTGTGGGAAGCATTACCAGTTGAACAGTTGCTGAAAGAGATTGTATAGATGGAGACAAACCACACCTCTGGTGCTGACTCAGTGATGTCTTTTACGTTTATGCCCTTGAGTTTATGACGCTAACTGGCTAAACTTTTTTGGGATGAAGTAATTAATTTTATTAATCTTTCTATTTTATTTCCTCTACCGTCCACCGTTCTTTATAGGTTAAGGTGGAGGTTCATTCACTGAGTATTTTCTTGACCATGACTCACCTTGCAGCAACTAACCTACTTGTTTCCCATTTAATTACATTATACAATACTGAGTTGCCAAAATGTAATGTTATTATACTTTTAAGTGTCCAGAATCTTGGGGTGAAACTGTTATCCCATCAAAGCGGGACTCTTCTAATACATAAATCTGGTTGGAGGAGACCTTTTGAAAAGAGGCCACTTAGCTTAATTTAATGAATTATTGGTAAAATTTCAAGTTGTCCTTGTTTATCTAGTTAGGTAAGTTTGCACGTCTGTCCCTTTATAAGTTGCAAAATGTGAATGTCCCATGGATGTTTCACAATTCACCTTTTTAAACACAATGTTTTGTTCATTTTGAAATGTGCTTTTGTTCCTTTAATTTCTGATCTGGAGATGGAATGTATTTTAGAATTTTGTTGTTGAATTTATCATCTGAACATCAGAATACATCCGCTCCCCCATGGAAACAGAGTTCTAAATGATGGTTATTCACAGCCCAGCTTTAAGGATGCCGTAGATAAAAAGTTGTACAAATAGCACTTAAACTCCATCAAGAATCAAAGCCAACAACATTTCTCTGAGAAAATGTGTTAGAGCCTTCAGTGGGAGCTTCCTTCCCACTGAGGTGTGCCAATGGGCATGGGCACTGTCTAGAAGTATCCTGGCCCCTAAGGGTAGAGCAGGCTTCCCAAGGGGATTGGGAGGCTGAGTGCTGTGGGCTCCTGAGACAAGAGCTGGGGGAAATGGTAGGCTCCAGTGGAAAGGATATACGTGGAGGTGAGGTGGAGTGGGGGGCAAGTGGGCTGTATGCTGGGGAGGAGGGTGCACTAAGGAGGCAGGGGGCTAACATGTACAGAAGGTAGGGGTGGGTGATGGAGGGGGCAAAGGATGTTTTCAGGGGCTGTGATGCTGTAAGGAAGGTGAGCCTTGGTGGAGAGATGATCCAAATATGAGAGATATTCATTGGGCATGCTGTCTATGTTGGGAAGTCCTGGAATCACATGATCATGAACGGTAGGAAACTTTTCCTCTGGGGACATCTAATTACTACCCAGTTTGTCTTTTGTTTTATTTTTACATTGTCCTTAAGAGTGGGGTGAGAAGTCCCCTAAGGGCACATGACATTTATCTTTTCAGCTGTGTCTTAAATAATTTGTAGATTACTGGTCCATGGGAAACTTAAATTAGTCATGGTCAGCCTCTCTTGCATACTGACATAGAGTCAGGTGTAGTCTCCCGGTTACTGGCAGGGGCCTATGTTGAAGAGTTTATAGAGAAGTTATGCAGTGATGATGATTATCTAATGGCTCTAACTTTGTGCTCTTTTACACTATCCCTTTGATTAAACATATTTATTGACCATTATCTGCCAAGCAATATGTTCCTCTCCAGGGGTAGGAAAGTAAAAATATATTCCTGGATCTTAGGAAGCTTCCAGTTTAGGAACCTAATGATAATTATAAGTACACAAATAAATAAATGGATCAAGTCCACTGATTTTTGTAGTTCCTTCCTATTCTCTGAAGGTCACAGCAGACGTTGTTTGTGTTCATTAATCATTTGTGAAATTGAACATTAGCAGCCCTGGGATAGTCATGTTTTTTGACAAAGTATTAACATTCTTTAGGCTTGCAGGTTTTTCACTGGTATTGTGAAAGGTTTAGACTATGTGGTCACTCCTGTGTCCCACCCACACTGCTCTGAAATTCTCTGTGATCACTTCTTATTGAGAGTATCATAAAATAATGTTAACTAAGGTTTCCCCACAGTATCACTGTGAAGCTTATTATTTCCACTTCTTTGGCCAAATTTTCATTTCAAAAGGTTTTCGTTCTTTAACATCAGATTCCTTCTTTGATTACATAAACATTACTACTTGGAGAAGAAAAGGCAGTTTTCAAAGCACTAAAGAGTGTCATCTTCCATCTCAATGGTGGTAATAGAATAACTCAACATAAGATGTTTGGGCTGTCATTTATATATACACACTGGCAATGATGGCTTTAATTCTTAACAGCATGTTACTCCAAATACCTAGTCTCATAAGACTCATTCAACAGATGTTTTAAAAGTACTATATTTTAACGGCTGGAAATAGTGGCTCACACGTGTAATCCCAGCACTTTGGGAGGCTGAGGCGGGTGGATCACAAGGTCAGGAGTTTAAGACCAGCCTGGCCAAGGTGGTGAAACGCCGTCTCTACTAAAAATACAAAAATTGGCCAGGCGTGGTGGCGGGTGCCTGTAATCCCAGCTACTTGGGAGGCTGAGGCAGAGAATTTTTTGAACCTGGGAGGCAGAGCTTGCAGTGAGCCCAGGTCGCGCCACTGCACTCCAGCCTGGGTGACAGAGTGAGACTCATCTCAAAAAAAAAAAAAAAAAAAAAAGTGCTGTATTTTTCTCAAATGTAACTTCTGACTTATTTGTTTAAAGATGAGTGCAATATAGCTAAGTTGTTTTTAGAGTAAGTAACTGTTTACAGTGTTCCCCTGTGATTCTTTTTTTTAGTTTCAACCCTTCCTTTCCATTTTCATCTTTATTGGCCTTTTCATCTTTTTTTGTCACATCTCATCCTTTGTATCCTCCTTTTGTCCCTTCTCTTCCTTCTTTTTTCTTTTATGCTTCTCTTCTCTTCCCTCCCATTATGTTTTTCTCTTCACTTACCTTCTCTTTTTATCTATCCCTTCTGAGTCCTTCTGATTTACTTTTTTTCCCGTTCATCTTTCTTCTTTCTCATCTCCCATTTCATACTTCTATTTATTTGTCCATTTCACCATCTGTTGAACTACCTATTTATTTACATTTTGTTTTGTTTTGTTTTGGTTTGGTTTGTTTTTTTGTGACACAGTCTCACTCTGTTGCCCAGGCTGGAGTGCCATGGCGTGATCTTGGCCCACCACAACCTCTGCCTCCCGGGTTCAAGTGATTCTCCTGCCTCAGCCTCCCGAGTAGCTGGGACTACAGGCAGGCGCTACCATGCCCGGCTAATTTTTGTGTTTTTTTTTTTTTTTTTTGAGACGGAGTCTCGCTCTGTCGCCCAGGCTGGAGTGCAGTGGCGAGATCTGGGCTCACTGCAAGCTCCGCCTCCCGGGTTCATGCCATTCTCCTGCCTCAGCCTCCCAAGTAGCTGGGACTACAGGCGCCCGCCACTACGCCCGGCTAATTTTTTGTATTTTTAGTAGAGACGGGGTTTCACCGTTTTAGCCGGGATGGTCTCGATCTCTTGACCTCGTGATCCTCCCGCCTCGGCCTCCCAAAGTGCTGGGATTACAGGCGTGAGCCACCGCGCCCGGCCTAATTTTTGTGTTTTTAGTAGGGACGGAGTTTCACTATGTTGGCCTGGCTGGTCTCAAACTCCTGACCTTGTGATCCACCCACCTCGGCCTCCCAAAGTGCTGGGATTACAGGTGTGAGCCACTGCGCCTGGCCTATTTACAGTTCTTTATTTCTGTCTGTCATCTTTATCAGCACAGTTCTCTACTTTGGTATTCTAAAAATCTGTACAAGTAAAATTAGAAGCATATCTCGTTTTATTGTGCTTTGCTTTATGGTACTTTGCAGCAATTGTGTTTTTACTAATTGATGGTTTCTGGCAACACTGCCTTAAGCAAGTCTGTCAGTGCCATTTTTCCAACAGCACATGCTCACTTTGTGTCTCTGTGTCACATTTTGATAATTCTCACAATATTTCAAACTTCATTATTATAATATCTTTTTTTGGTGATCATTGATCTCTGATGTTACTCTTGTAATTTTTTGGGGGTGCTACAAATCATGTGCACATATGACAGTGAACTTAATCTATAAATGTTGTGTGTGTTCTGACTGCTCCACCAACTGGCCATTCCCCTGTGCCTTTCCCACTCCTTGGGCACAGTATTGAAATTAGGCCACTTAATAACTCTACCAGGGCCTTTAAATGTTCAAGGGAATGGAAGAGTTGCATGCCCTCATTTTAAATCAAAAGCTAGAAATGATTAAGCTCAGTGAGGAAGTCATGTTGAAAGCTGAGATAGGCTAAAAGCTAAATCTCTTGTACTAGACAATTATCCAAATTGTGAAAGCAAAGGAAAAGTTGTTGAAGGAAATTAAAAGTGCTACTCCAGTAAACACACACATCATGAGAGAGTAAAATGGCATTGCTGATAGGGAGAAAATCTTATTGGTCTAGAATTCAAGGCTGTTCAATCTGTGGCCTGCAGGCCATATATAGCCCAGGACAGTTTTGAATGCTGCCCAATACAAATTTGTGAACTTTCCTAAAAGATTATTCGATTTTTGTTGCAATTTTTTTTTCTTTTTTTAAGCTCATTGGCTATTGTTGTTAGTGTATTTTATGCGTAGCCCAAGACAATCCTTTTTGGCCCAGGGAAGCCAAAAGATTAGACACCCCTGGATAGATCAAGCCAGCCACAACATTCTCTGCCAAAGCCTAATCCAGAGCAAGACCTTAACTCTCTTCAATTCTGTGAAGGCTGAGAGAGATGAGAAAGCTGGAGGAGAAAGGTATGAAACTAGCAGAGGTTGGTTCCTGAGGTTTAAGAAAAGAAGCTGTCTCCAAAATGTAAATGTGCAAAGTGAAGCAGCAAGTGCTCATGAAGAAGCTGAAGCAAGTTATCCAGAAAATCTAGCTAAGATAATTGATGAACAAAGTGACACTAAACAACACATTTTTAATGTAGGTGACACAGCCTTCTAGTGGAAGAAGATGCCATCTAGTATTTCAGAGCTAGAGAGGGGAAGTCAATGCCTGGTTTCAAAGCTTCAAAGGATAGGCTGACTGACTTTTTAGGGGTTAATACAGCTGGTGACTTTTAAGTTGAAGCCACTGCTCATTTACCATCCCAGAATGCCTAAGGTCTTCAAAAATTATTCTAAATCTAGTCTGCCTGTGCTCTGTAAATGGAACAACAAAGCTCAGATGAGAGCACATCTGTTTACAGCAAGGTCTACTGACTTTTTAAGCCTACTGTTGAGACCTACTTCTCAGAAAAAAAAGATTCCTTTCAAAATGTTATTGCTTATAGACTGTGCACCTGGTCACCTAAGAGATCTGATGGAGATTAATGTTGTTTTCATGCCTTCTGACACAACATTTGTTCCATAGCACATGGATCAAGAAGTGACTTTGACTTTTAAGTTTTATTATTTAAAAAGGCATTTCATAAAGCTATAGCTGCCACAGGTAAGTGATTCCTCTAATGAATCTGAGCAAAATAAATAGAAAATCTGGAAAGAAATCACCATTCTACATGCCATTAAGAACATTTGTGATCCATGGGAGGCGGTCAAAATATCAACATTAACAGCAGTTTGAAAGAAGTTGATTCTAACTCTTGTAGATGTCTTAGAAAGGTTCAAGACTTTTGTGGAGGATGTAATTGCAGATATGGTGGAAATAGCAAGGGACCTATTAATAGAATTAGAAGAGGAGCCTGAAGATGTGGCTTAGTTTTTTCAGTGTCATGATAACACTTTAATGGATGTGGTGTTGTTTCTCATAGATGAACAAAGAAAGTGGATTCTTGAGATGAAATCTACTCTCTTGGTGAAGGTGCTATGAACATTGTTAAAGTGACAACAAAGAATTTAGAATATTATAAAAACTTAGTTGGTAAAACAGCAGCAGGATTTAAGAAGATTGACTCTAATTTTGAAAGAAGTTTTACCATATGTAAACTGCTGTTAAACAACATTGCATGCTACAGAGAAATCGTTTGTGAAAGGAAGAGTCAATCTTTCTGGCAAAATTCGTTATTGTCTTATTTTAAGAAATTGCTATAGCCACCCCACCCTTCAGCAACCACCACCCTGATCAGTCAGCAGCCATCAACATCAAGACAAGCCCCTCCAATGGCAAAAAGATTACAACTTGCTGAAGGCTCAGATGATAGTTAGCATTTCTTTAGGGATAACTTATCTTTTGACTAAGGTTGTTCATTGATGTTTCAGACATAATGCTATTGCACACTTAATAAGCCACAGTATAATGTAAACATAACTTATATATGCACTGGGAAACCAAAAAAAATTTGTGTAACTCATTTTATTGCAATACTCACTTTATTGTGGTGTCTGGAACCCAACCTGTATTATCTTCAGCGTATGCCTAGGTGTGAAAGTCAAATTTTATATTCTAATACAAGTCAAATTTTATTTTCTAGTAGCTAAAATATAAATACAATTGACGATTGATTACTCTGTAAACATTGTAAACACAATATTCAACAATATGTTTCTAGTATTTTATACTTTTAAAAAATTGTTCCTTTTCTTCACAATGGAACACGTGTGCAATGGTCATCTGATCAAGACCAAAGGGCCGCTTCTCTTGGCATGTACAGTGAAGTTCATCTTTGCTTTAATTGTATCCAAATTATAAACATCCTGTCACTAACTTCAGAATTTTCATTTTTCCAGTTTTCAAAATTGATTATAAGTTCAAATTGCAATAAAATATTCAAATAAGTGTGCAAATACGCAGTAAAAAGAAATACAGTGATATTATTGAAACTGCATATTGACATGCTGGCAGCCCCATGTACAGTAAAATGAAATACTTAGTAATTGATGGATTAAAGACTAGAATTATTAAAGTTGTTTTGAGTGTCAATCTCTCATGCAGAAAAGTTCAGGATTTTCAAATGTCAAAAGAGCTAAGTAGGAGATCACTTATACATATAATTGAAAATTACAGCATATGGCTACAATTTCTATGTCTGTTAATGTCAGACAAAAACATCAGTCCATATACGTTGAAAAAAATATAGAAAGTGGTTTATTGCAGAAGCACTTATTTGTGTGATACTAGGCCAATTCATGTCCGTTGATATCTCAATATATTATCTGAGAAATCTGTCACCTTTGGTTCATACTCAAAGCCATACTCATAGCTCTGTTATTAACATAAGGTCTTCAAACTATTTGAAATTCTATATTTTGTTTATGGAGTGGCTTTACTCCCATTTAGCATGTTAAATCTTGTATGTGGAAGAATTAGAATAAGACATTTACAGGAAAAGAAGAGTGTTAAATCTCTCCAAGGTCATTAGATCCAAAATGTGATTCCACAGAAATTTGGGGTGGATCCAAAATACGATTCACCAAAAAGTGGGGGCAGGAGCCCTTGAAATCCTAAGTATGTGTGTGGATGTATCACACACAGAGTAAATAATTTGATAAAACCATTAATTACTTGAGTTAAAGAAATGAATCATCTTTGATTTTAATGTAACAATGTAGAAATTCCATTGTCTCCCAAATAATTCAGTTTATTTTGTATACATATGATAAATATTTTTGATTTGTACAGAGGATGGTTAAAACTGAAAGAGAAGAAAGGTATAGATAACATAATCAATGATGATTCCATGGAAAGGGTGCCAAGGTCTTTTCACTTAAGATATGTAGTGTTGTAGCAATTGCTAAATAATGGCCACAACTCTTTGGGGAAAGCTTAATTGAGAGACTAAGTGAGGAGCCCTGTCTTTGAAATCAGTTAGAACTTTGAGCTGCGAAGGAGTGGAAAAAGCAAGATTTACTCATGGACTCACATATACACACCCATATGTAAATTGTGCAGAGCGATAAGTCAACCAGTGATAGCTGCAATACCATGTGGCCAAGTCGTCTCCCTCTCCCCCACTGTTATGCTGACATAGGCCTTAAGGACAAATGAAAGTGAAATAAGCTGCCAGGTGCATTTTCTGGTTCAGGTGTGGTTTAAGCAACTGTGACTAGCAGAGTTCTATAAACATCAGCTTTGTCTCAGAATTGCAGTCTTGCAAGTTAGCCCTGCTGTCAGAAGAATTGAGCACAATTGTAGAGAGAGAAAGCTGAGAAACCAAGTGACTGTTCATATGTAACCCACAAGTCCTAGAAATCTGTCTATATAAATCCAGCAGCATTTTACACATTTAAAATATATATTTCTTTATTTATCTCTTATTTATTAACTTCCCTGTGTGCAAGTGCTCTATAAACAAGTAAAGAAGCCAACAAAAAAGGTTATTTTGAAAAGAACAAAAAGTCGAACTAGAGTGGGCTAGTTTTCTGATCAGATTTGTTGGCAGTTTCTGGGGTAACATAAAGAGAAAAGCACTTTTTTCAGTTGTGATACAGCTGTCTAGGCAGGCTTGATTACAAGTGAATCCTAAGGGAAATGACTGATAAAGAATTGGTAGGTATTGGGATTATTTTTAGATATTCTGATTATTTATATGGCTCTTTAACCAAGTGAAAACTAAAAGCTTTCCAGGCTAGATATATTATTAATATTTAATATTATTTGGCATTCGAACTAAATAAATTTGTGTCCACTTACACAATTGGCACAAAATTATTTCTGTTTTTAACCCTCTACTTTATAAGCGTCTGAGACTGCTTTTCTGCCACTAAATGTATGTAACAATTTTACTTTTTATGAAAAGCTGTTCCTAACATAACTAAACAAAATACATTTTCTTAAGACATTTTATTTATAGACTTTCGCACTATTTTATAGTTGAGGCACACTACCCTTGTTAAATGTATTTGGGAAGCTGTTTTAAAAGTTGGTATTGGAACACACATTTATCATTTTTCCTACAGCATTTACTCTGCAAATGTCAGCATGCACCAAGAGTGACTTTATTGGCCTTAAATAGACTCAGAGGTGGGACAGGAGGGCACATGACACATTCAGCATTTCACTCCATGGGGCTCTTGTTGCCTGTGGTGTTTTTGTCTAAATATGTCTTTGTTGTAAATTATACTACATTTCTGAAACTGAGGTTGAACGAGACTGAACCCTGCTTCCCGTGGTGTTCAGGGAATTATGTATGAGTGTTGTGAAGTGAGGAGGAGGAGAGTCAAGGTGAATAAGTAAGGGGTAGGTCGACAGATCTCTAGTTATTTCTCCTTTATAATTATACCGTGAGGGCAGAACTGAATTTACTTGTAATGTAAGAGAATAGGTCTTATCCAAGACAGTGATGATACCTAAAATATGGAATAACCAACATGATGGGGCCAGTGGTAAATTAGAATATACAGACTCAGTGGCCTTTAAGCAGCTGTTATTTTACTGAAGGGGGTACAGGAAATAGCACATAAATAAATATTTTACTTACTTCACATAATAAGTGTTATAAGTTAGAGCAGGGTACAACGATTAAGTATGGCAGAGAGAGTGGGCACTCTCTACAATGGGTAGTCGGGAAGACCTCTCAGAGAAGGTGGCATATGGATAAGATAGAAATGAAAAAAAAGGAGCATTCCAGGTGGATGGAACAGCTAGTGCAAAGATCCTAAGTTGGAAATTAACTCAGGATGTTAGGTGTAAAGAAAGAAAACCTGTTGGATATCCAGGGAAGAGGTCCACAAACCAACTGGATATGTGAGTCTAGAGGAGAAGGGAGCAGTGAAGTCTGGATGTTTGCAAGTCATTCATGGATGTAAGACTGGACGGGATTATTCTGGGAGAGTAAAGAGAGAAGAGCGAAGAGAGATGGCAACTCCCAAGTCCAAACCCTGATAACAGGAAAATCAATAGCTTTGATGACACTTGAGGAAAATTCTTAGTCTTCTGCATATCTCAGCAATGATTTTCAGATACCATTGGCACTAACAATAGTCACTATTTAAAAGTCATTTCCCCCACCTATCCGACATTTTCAAGAAAAGGAGATCCTCATCTTGTTGTAAGTTTTGCCTACCTTTAGAGTAGAGTGAGGGATGCATTCTTCTTGAAAAAAGAATCTAGATTCATATTTGGATGACTTATTGGATGAACTTAAGCCTTACACTGTTCTGTTATATCAAGTTGTAAAATATAGACTTCAGCTTCCCAGGGACTGCTCTGAAATATATAGTTACTTCAATTTCACCTTATTGATATATGAAATATACATAACCATAATTTATTTAAACAGCCAATTAATCTTTTCTTGCTATTGAAATAAGTTTATATAATAACAAAACTGATACCAGAAACACAAGAAAAAATGAGTCATGCTTTATAGCTAATTTGTATCACTATTTGTGTTGAAAACACAAGACTTAGTAATTTATTTTTTTATGATTAATGAAAATGCCAAGAATCTGTTTGCAGAATGACTTTAACATAATAAAATAATGAAAAATGCAAATTTTATGGAGAATCCCCAGAGACACTTGATACCACCTTTCTTCTTCTGACAAAGTTCTCATTTGAAATTAATATTTATGTTTTTGATATAGATCTATCCATTTACCTAATCACTTTTACAGTACTCAGCGCATTTCTGGTTATTCTTTCTGAAGCCCTTTATAAATGGGTAATATTTTATATTACCAAAAACCTAACCTCGATTTAACATAAGCAAATATATGTTCAGATATTGACAGTTTCTGTATGGGCATTATAATTCCTCCCCCGACACCGTGCCCACCCCCCAGCCCCCAGCACTGAGACGGAGTCTCACTCTGTCACCCAGGCTGGAGTGCAATAGCGTGATCTCAGCTCACTGCAACCTCCGCCTCCCGGGTTCAAGCGATTCTCCCTGCCGCAGCCTCCTGAGTAGCTGGGATTACAGGTACCCACCACCATGCCCAGCTAACTTTTGTATTTTTAGTAGAGACTGGGTTTCGCCATGTTGGCCAGGCTGGAGTCCAATTCCTGACCTCATGATCTGCACACCTTGGCCTCCCAAAGTGCTGGGATTACCAGCATGAGCCACTGCACCCGGCCACGGGTATTATGATTTTTTTTAATTTATTTTTTAGCAGTCTCTAGTTTAGACTTTAGTCAACTCTCACTCTGTTACCTTCAGTTATTAAGGCAGTATATCATTAGCTTATTTAACAATTATGTACTTACTGAGCATTTAGAATTGTACTAAACAGACATAATCTCTGCCATCATAGAGCTCACAGTCTAGTGGAGAGGGTAGAGTATGATGCATTTAAATAATGCATGAGAAGGGATAGCATGTGTTAGGGATTACTGTGGGAGCTCCTTTCAGTGACTGTTGTACTAGCCCCCGAGTGTTAGGCATGACACTGTGTGTCAGTGAGCTACTTACTAAGCCCTAATTAAGTACATCTAGTTATTTTAATTTTTTTCCTTTATGGGTCTGTACCCATATGGCTTTAGTTTGGATATTCTGTACTTGTTCATGTGTTGCTCTATAAGAATTATCAAACTTTGATATGCAGGGTTTTGAATCACCAATTACAGCCAACAGTCTGTGAATGAGAAAAGAAGTGGTTATTGTAAACTCAAAAATAACTGTTGAGGTACTTCTTTTAAAAAATCTTTCCCCATTGCAAAATAATACATATTCATTGATAAACATTTGTTAAATACAGAAAAGTGAAAAGAAGCTTCAAAAAACCACCTGTAGAACCACTACTCAAAGAAAACCACCCTCATTGTGTGTGTGTGTGTGTGTGTGTGTGTTTTCCTTTTGTTTTTGGGTGAATTTTCTCCAATTATAATTTTGCTCTTATATAGTTTTGTAGCCTGCTTGTTAGCTACATAGCATAATAACAAGCTTTTCTGCATGTTATTAAAACCACTAGAGGCAGCTTTTAACAATCTTGTTTTGTTTTTGCATTTGAATAGTGGTGTTGATAATGTTGCTTAGTTAACTTAGAAAAAAAATGAAGCTGGAGAGTCTGGGTTGGTAAACACATTGACTTGCTGAGACAGGGATGTGCTTAGAGAGAGCATGAAAGCTCCTCACTTCCTCTATACTCCTATACCTTGCCCTATGCATTTGGCTCTTCCTGAGTTGTATCCTTTATTGTATGCCATTAAAAAAATTGACAAGCTGTTTCTAAAATGCAAAGGGACTAGAATATCCTAAAAAAATCTTGTAAGAGAAGTACAAAGTGGAGAACTTACATTAAGTAACTCTAAGACTATTAAGCTATAGTAACCAGGATTGTGTGATACTGACATATGTATCAATAAAGAGATCTATGGAACAGAAGAAAGAACCCAGAAATAGACCCTCCTTATATAGTTGTGTCACATTCAACCAAGGCGTGAATCAATTCAATGGGAAATAGAATTGTCTTTTCAGTAAATAGCCCTGTAACAACTGTATTATGTGTAAGTGTGTGTATAAATATATGTACATAATCGTATCACACCCCATATACGAAAATTAATTTGAGATGAATCAAAGACCTAATACTTAAAATCTAAAACTATAAAGCTGCGTAAGGAAAGTGTTTCATCAAAATGTAAAACTCTCTTGTGTACATGTTCACAGCATGTTAACCACAGACCTCCCTGAGCGCTGACTCATTGCTCTGCTTATCCCTGACCCTCTCCAGGACTTGAGGATATTGTGGTTGTTCATGTTATGGTCTTGAACTCATGACCTCAGGTGATCTGCTTGCCTTGGCCTACCAAAGTGCTGGGATTATAGGTGTGAGCCACCATGCCCGGCCATGGGTTTATGTTTTCTTAAAATTTATTTTTTAGTAGTCTCTAGTTTATACTTTAGTCAACTCTCACTCTGTTACCTTCCGTTATTAAGGCAGTATTTCATTATTAATTTGAGATGAATTTGAGCAAATCTTTCCTAAGATGAGAGTTGAATATTTCATTCTTTAAACTGCATCAAAATGTCCCAGTAGAGAAGTGGCCTAGGCCGGGCACAGTTGCACATATCTGTAATCCCAGCACTTTGGGAAGCCAAGATGAATGGATTACTTGAGCCCAGGAGTTTGAGACCAGCCTGGCCAACATGGCAAAACCCTGGCTCTACCAAAAATACAAAAAAATTAGCCAGGGATGGTGGGGCGTGTCTGTGGTCCCAGCTACTCAGGAAGTTGAGGTGGGAGGATCACTTGAGCCCAGGAGGTGGAGGTTGCACTGAGCCAAGATTGTGACACTGCTGACAGAGGAAGACCCCACCTCCAAAACAAACAAACAAAAAAGAAGTGGTCTCATAAAATGAGAGGAATGGTCCATGATGTGGTCTCTTGGGTTCTTTCTGGCCCTAAATGTCATTTCAGTTTATAAAATGATGGAAGAAGCAATGAATCCCAGGTAAAATGGCCCCAAATCTAGTTGGAGTGTTTCCAGACAGAAAGGTCCAGCTGCTTGTTCTCACTGTCCGATAATGAGATGCAGACAGACGGGGAAAGAAGGGAGTTTATTTCTGCAACCGGTTACAGGGAAAAGGCCTGAGTAACTCACCGGACCAACTCCAAGTTACAAGTTTTTTTCTAGTGCTTATGTACGTTTTAAGCCCCATGCCTACCTGTGGGAGTGCACCTACAAGCCGGAGTGTTTCATTCAATCTATATCTAATCTTTAACTAGAGTCTGGAGTCTGGAAGGTTTTCTCTAGAGTCTTGGAAAGTTTCTTAAGTGGGCCCTGGTACAAGGTATACGTGTAAGAATGCCTTTATTATTCAATCAGACATTAGGGTCTAAGAAAACCCAGGTGGGGTCATAATGGGTTTGTTTTCGTATTCCAGCCGTTGTACTCAGGCACCAGTTTCCCCAGTTCTTTAATGTTTAACTTCTACATACATCAGAGTTATAATAGAGGATTAGTAGAAACTGACTCTTCTAGTGGCTAATGGGAACCTGGCCTGCCACAGAAGGCCACGGGTTTTGAGAGGCTATAGATCTATTCAGATTATATGACCAGTCTGGGCTGAGCACAGTGGGTCACAGGAGGAGGGGAACAAAAGGAGAAGGTGTAGTCCAGCCTTTGAGCAGCATCAGGGTATAGTTGGAGTGATCCAAGGCACACCCTAAAAACAGTGAGGGAAGTAACCCTTGCTGAGGAAGCTAGGACTGTGGGAAGGACACTAGATGGCAGTTAACAGACTTGAGTTCTTACCCAGGATGTGACTTTCAGTGTGTGGCCCGTGGTGGACATTCGCTTCTTCCTCCGTAAAATGAGAGGCTAGATGGATCAGCAAGTGTTTCTTCTTCTTTTTTAAAAACCTGTCATTGGCCGGGCACGGTGCCTCATGCCTGTAATCCTAGGACTTTGGGAGGCTGAAGTGGGCAGGTTGCCTGAGCTCAAAAGTTCAAGACTAGCCTGGGCAACATGGTGAAACCCCATCTCTACTAAAATACAAGAAAAGAAAAATTAGCCGGGCATGGCAGTGTGTGCCTGTAGTCCCAGCTACTTGGGAGGCTGAGGTAGGAGAATCACTTGAACCTGGGAGGTGGAGGTTGCAGTGAGCCGAGATCGCGCCATTGCACTCCAGGCTGGGTGCAAAAACCCCCCCCCAAAAAAACCACGAAAAAAAAAATCCACCTGTCATCTTGTTTTCATTAATTAAATACTTTTTATTGGTGCAAAAAAATAAATAAATGAAGCTGCACTTTGAAGGGTGATTCTGGAGAAACTGGGAAGAAGAGTAGGAGGCGAGTTCTTGTCACTCTGGTGTAGGAAACCACAACACACCTCACTGCTGAGCAAGCTTATGAACCTCACAGATCTTTTGAGCGGGCAAAACAAATACTATTTTGGAATTCTGACATGAAGAAAGTCTCAGAAATCCAAGTTGTTATCCTATAGGACCCTCTCCAAAAATGTGTCCTCTGCTTAATTATGCACATAAAGAGGGGTTTCAGTTAAAAACAACACAACAACAACAAAAACCCAAAATAGAGGTACCAATTCTGTCTTTATGCAGCTTTATTATTAAATAAAACTCCATCTTAGATTATTACCTAACAGTTTTTAGCAGTTTTTATGGCACATGTACACTTGAGGGCCTTTGTCTCATTTAGTCCACATAGAAACCCTTCGGGTCAGTACAGTTATTTTACCCTTTTTCCTGGTGAGCACCATGAGGCTTAAGGCCCTTAAATAACATGACTGAAGTTTTACAACCAATAAGTTTCAGAGTAGAGGTCGAAACCTGTGCCATCTTACCAACTATGCCGCTGAGCCAACCTGTGACTTCTCCACTTCATATAATTGAAGACTACCCTTTAGTGCATCTCCTAGTGTTCTCTTTGGACTAAAAGTTCCAATTTTTCAACTATTCTTCATGACATAATGGGCTCCAAACCCTGCCTAATCCTGTGTGAATGTAGTTAATTTTTGATATAAATTAAAACCTCCAAATTTATTGCACTTGAACTTAATAATGTTCATGTTGATTTATTATTTTGCCACTTTGTCACTATTTTACATATCTGTTTTGGCATCTAACATGTATGTTTTTTGTTGATTTCTGCAGATTATATTAATGTGTCTCTATTTATTCATCCAAATGATTACTGATCAGGGCCAGAACAAGAATACGTCACTTTGGTATGGCACAAGACACAACTTTATCAGGATAGCCTTGTAGTTTAGATGTTGGTAAAATAATAATTTAATTTTATTTGCATTTTTAAGCCATGTATAATCCTTTGGAATTTGAGCATTCAGTATAAGCTCTCTCTGTAAATGGTTTATTTTTTCTTAATGAATTTATTTACAGGAATTATTCAATAAATGCTTCCAAATGACATTGAATAATTGTGTTTTAATGTCATTAACATGTATTGGGTATTTTTTTCCCCCAATATCTAAAATTCCTGTAGTTTATATCTAAGAAGGCAAATAGCAGCCAGTACAAACAAACCCTGGAATCATATTGGTATGAAAGTGATATTGCTATCCCCTCCCTCCAGTTAAAGTAAATTGAGGAAATTAAAGAATGAGTAGGTATTGAGCAAATGGGATTCCCATTTGAGATTTAGAAAATGAATTGGAAGTATGTTTATTGTTTTTATGAGTTTGATAAGATGGGTGATTCTACTGGTAATCCATCTGTGGAGATGTTTGCACCCAACACCCTGTGACTGAGTGCGTCATGTATTTATACTTTCTGTGACCTGCTGAATATCATGCCGTGCAGATGACTGTAATCTGTGCTATTGGGCCATGTTGTTATAAGTATTATTATGAAGCCAGCTTAGAATTTTTTAATGAGTTTGGATGTCAACATGAGATATCAAATTGCACTTGACAGCTTGAATATTATAGTCAATTTTTAATTTAATAGAAACTTCTTTCATGTTTTAATTGTTATCTTAAATTTCTGGTAATCAAATGAGAAGACAAACAATCTTGACAGCTGAAGAAAGAAAAGATATATGATTTTCAACTGTTGTGGACCATGGGTAATGATTTTATATGAAAGAGATGTTCTGAAACAATCCTTTATGAAACATTTTCTTACATTATGTAGACAGACATTTTGATACATATCATAAAGTCAATTACCAAAAGAAATAACAAATTCAAGAATTTTTTCCCTCAATATATGAGAGTTTGCAAAGTATTTCTTAATAAAATTGCTTAACATTGAAGTTATATCAGATAACTAGTTTAACTATATCATTTAAGCTGCAAAAACCAATCATTTCTAAATGGTAAATTTACTTGGTAATTTAAGTTTATTTAAAAATTTTGAAGGTTTCAAAATAAAAGCATTTTTGTACGCATTTGTATCAGCTGCCTAGTGCAGCTGTAACGAAGTACCAAAAATATTGGCTTAAAACAGCTGAATATATTCTGTTATGCTTCTGAAGTCTAGATGTTTGGAATCAGAGTGTCAGCAGGGCCATGCTCTCTTTGAAGTGCTCTAGGGGAGAATCTGTTCCATGCATTTCTCTTATCTCTGTTCTTGTAGGCAATTCTTGGCATTCCAGTCTCTGCCTCTGTAGTCACGTGCAGTTCTGCCTTTGTGTCTGTCTCTGTGTCCCCTCTCTCCTTATAGACACAAGTCATATAGTCATATTGGATTAGGATCAGCCATGGTCTAATATGACCTCATCTTAACTTGATTACATCTGCAAAGACCCTATTTCCATGTAAGGTCACATTCACCGGTAATGCAGGTTAGGACTTCGACATATCCTGTTGGAGGATGTAGTGCAACTCATAAAGCATTCAATACTTGGAGAGAAACAGCTTAAGAGAGAGACTGGAAAATGGACTGCAGTGATGTTAGCACCTGTGATATTTTTTATATTTGTTTCAGTCAAAATTCTGACTTTGGTTTATTGGCTTGCACATTAGGTAATTATAGCCTCGGACTTTTGATTTAAAAAAGCTGTAATTTCTCTTTGGAACATTTTCCCACTGACCTATTACATCAGAAGCCTATTCAATGAATTCTCTCAGGTCAGAAACTAGGAACAAACTGATACTAGGTTTGGTTGTTTTATACTGCAGATGATTAAATAGTTACAAATTGTATGATATTGCTAATGGTATGAAAAAACATCTCTTTTCAAATCTTAAAATCTCTTATCAAATTTATTACATATTTATAGTAATTATACTATAGCAGATTGTGAACATGTAAAATAGTCATAATAATAATAATAATAATAATAATAATAATAAGGTTGAAATGCATTACCTTATTTATTCCTTAAAATAACCCAAGAAGATAAAGACTGTTGTTATTCTCCTCTCTACATCTGCCCAAACTGAGGCTTGTGGACGTGTGTAACTTGTCCAAGAGCTTCATAGTAATTGATGAAGCAGAGTTTTAACCTGGCAATTTGACCCTACAGATGAACTCTTATCTTGTGTGCTATAGGTTTTTTTTTTTTCTATCTAAGTCTCATGACATTGCTCATCAGTAAGATTTTTTTCATTAAACTTTTTATTTTGAGATAATTGTGGTTTCACATATAGTTAAGGGCAAAAATCCAGAGAGATTCTTTGTATCCTTTACCCAGTTTTCCCCAGTGCTGCTGTCTTGCAAAACTATAATACTGTATCGTAACCAATATGCTGATATTGATACTGTCAAGATATAGAATATTTCTATAACTACAAAAATTCCTCTGATTGCCTTTTTATAGCCACATCTACCTCTCCGACTGTCATTTTAAGAGTGCAGCATCTAACCAAATGGAATTATTCAGCATGTAAACTTTGGAGATTGGTGTTTTTTCATTCAGCATAATTCTCTGGAGAGTCATCCAGGTTGTTGCATGTATTAGTAGGCCATTTATTTTACTGCCAAGTAGTATTCCACAGTATGGGTGTACCATAGTTTAATATTCACCTGTTGAAAGACGTTTGGGTTGTTTCCATTGTCAGGCTATTATGAATAGAGCTGCTATAAATATTTGTGTACAGGATAAGTTTCAACTTTTCTTGGATAAATCACCAAAGTGCAGTTGCTGTGTTGTATGTTAGTTGCATGTGTCATTTTATAAATGAAACTGCCAAACTGTTTTTCCAGAGCAGCCCATGAATTGAAAGCAATTTTTATGACTTATTTTATATCCTTTGTATTTATAGAATTTCAGTGGAATTTCTACTTGATACAAATGACCCTAAAGCTCAATATCAAATGCAATTTTTAATTTTTTTTGAGGCATGGATTTGTAAGGCCACTTTTTTTCTGGAATGAGTCATTTAACTGTTAGATAAGCCTAATGGTCTGCTCAGCTTACATGGCATAGTGATATCTTTTTTTTTTTCTCTACTCATTAACTCTACTGTGTATGATAAAAGAATATGCTTCCTGGGAGTTTTTAATAGTTATTAATAAAATAATTCCTTATTTTTTATATATATATTTAAAGGCACACCTAATTAATTTTGTCCTCAAATAAAGCCCTCCAAATGTTCAGGGATTGAACTGCTGAGAGTGCTTTATTAAGTCTATAATTAAATACAGGTGATATTTAATTGCAATACTCACTATGCAAGTGCCATTACCCTGTAGTTCTCTGATAAAATTCATTTATAGATGGTTCCTTCACAAGTATTCCATGCAAATAGCTCTTATGATAAATATCTCTAAACCGTGGCTGGAACATAGCCTCTCCACCAGAACAATATAAAGTATATTTAGTAGTAATCTTAAGTCTTGTACATAATATTGTAACCTCATTGTTCATTCTGTTGTATGTTTTGTATAATATATTTTTCTGTGTGGTATCTGGCTATCGATTAGTCCTGTAATGGTAATTAATTATAAATAAGTTTCACTTCTTATTTCCAATTTTTTTCTTCAGATTAATTTATCTATGTTTTCATGGTTTGGTTTTCATGGTCCTTTCGAGGTCTGTGATTTCAGAGTTTACATAGTTCCAGAATGAATTTTTTACAGTTCCAAAATATTTATTTGCATAGGTGTAGCTCAGAAATAGGTAGTATTTTAAAAGTACTTTATGCATTTTAACTTCCAAATAGGTAACAGGTGTTTAACATCACATATATAGGAATTCAAAAGTTACATTTTAAAAATTAAATGAATAGGTTTGCAGGAAACTTGGATTATGAACAACTAGTAGTTACCTATGACTTAACAATTACAAATTACAGATGTAATTTATCATGTAATCACCAGATACTTGTTCCTTCATTGGCTGGAATTTTCAAGTGAAAACTGTACTTCAATAAACCTTAGGAAACTGTAAGCATAAGGATTGAGTCTTTTAAGTGAATGCAAATCTTATTTTTTAATTTTTTTTGCTAACAATGAGCATTATGTGCAAAAGAGAACTTCAATGAGTGTTGAAAGTTATTAATTAGTGGCATGATATCATGAATATGAAGTGAGCAACTTTATGAAGATTTGTCAACCTTGGCACTGTTGACATTTTGGGTGGGATTATTTCTAAATATGGATGGCTGTCTCATGCATTGTAGTATGTTTAGCAGCATCCTGGGTCTCTAATCATTAGATGCTAGTAGCCCTCCTCCGCACAAGTGATTCTATTTAAAAATGTCTCCAGATGTTGTCAGATGAGGGACAAATCTTCCCTTTTGAGAACCACTGAACTTGAATGAAATGTGATTGGGAAAAAGATGACATATCCTAGAATGATTGAGAAATTTATGAAAGTTTTAGGATGTATCCCAATACATGTCAATAGATTAATTTTAATTAAGTAACAAAAGAAATTTTATTTCCCCATGCGATAGCTTTTATACTAGCAGACAAGATGGGTGTTCTTCCTTTTTCTCTTGGAGAAGAGAATATTTTTGCAAAACTTCACCATTATACTATAGGGCAGGAAGACTGCCATCACCAGAATTCAGATGCTGCCATCCCCAAAGTTCAGATGCTGCACTGTGGAGCCTAGGATCCAGGTATAGTTCTAGTTGTCTGGGCTTGGATCAAATTATGACTCAAGCTGAGGGCTTTCCAAAAGACAGAAAAGAACATGTTCTATTTTTATTCCTGTATCATATTTAATCTTTGGGCTTTCTGTACTGTTAGACTTTCTTTGTAAAACTTCTGAGCCCAGAGATAGGAACAGGATTGTCTCCACTAAGATGGTAAATGGAGGCACCCTTTGTGTTCCATGCTCCAAGTTATCTTTTTAATGCTTATAGCACATCATAAATCTGTACCTTGAATCCACACAATGGAGATCATGACTTCAAAAGACTGGAAAGTCCATCATCTGATTGAGAGAGCCCATTCCAGTATCTCACACAGTGTGGAGTAGTGACTGAATGATTGAATGGAGAGCATTCTGTGGGCATTGTGAGAGATGGAATGTGAGCCTGCATAGGCAGATTTTGACTCCTAAGAGAAATTTCTGAATTATCTTTCATGTCTTAAATTTCATCTCGTATACTCTGTCCAGTCACTGAATCTCAAGGCTCCTTCCTTAAACCATCTCTGGAATACTCTGTCCACTTCCTCACTGCGTTTTTGAACACTGAAACACTCTCCTAGCTACCTGTCTCTTCTTCAGTCCCCTGCTACTGCCAGAATTGTTTCAAACAGAAGTTTTGTTGAATCACAAAACTTTGTGTCCGTCCATTCTTGGCTTTATCTTGTCTATTCAATTTTATCTCTTACTCCTGTTAAAAGGAACCTGTTTTCCAGCATGCCAGGTTTTTTTTTCTTTAATTTTTTTCTTCCTTCATAATTAGTGAATGTACCAAACTCTCATATCTCTTCCGTGATTTTGCTCATGTTTTTATCCTTGTATGGGATGGAAATATTTCTTCTTGCCACCTGATCAGATTCTTACTCATTGCTCCGGGTCCAGCCGAAGCCCACCTCTTGCTCAGGGCTGTTCATAACTCATTTGCTCCATATTGATCTCTACTTGCTTTTATTCTTAAAGCACTGAATATAGGCATTACTCATTTTGGCCTTTAGCAATGTATGGCTTTCTTCAAAGTGGTAAGTAATGTTTTTTGCGTACAATTTGCCTCCTCAACTAATTAATAAATTCCTGAAAGACCAGTGTTTTGTGCTCTTAACATTACATCTAGCATATTCTGTATGCCTGACAGGTACTCAGTAGAGACATTAATGGCTGGGTAGGCATTGATTGTTTTCTAATTCTCTTTTAATTTAAATTGAGATACCTTGGAAAAGGAAAATCCAACAGCAATCTGTAAGGGAAATCTGTGTAGCTTATTTGTGATAGATGTGTGAATTGTGGTGCTATTAATGTCATTTTGGATATGAAATATGTGTCATTTTGAGCTTCTGGTAATGGAAATGTGTAAATGAAAAAATAATAGTTGATATGTATCATAAAACATTCTGTTACCGAATTTTAACTTGATCTTGATTTTCTTCTTTTCAAATACCAGATACTTCTCACCACTGCATGAATGGACATTTGAAAGTGCCATAGCCAAACACTTGCAAGCATGGAGACCTCATCAATGCTTTCCTCATTGAATGATGAGTGTAAATCTGACAACTACATTGAGCCTCACTACAAGGAATGGTATCGAGTAGCCATTGATATTCTGATTGAACACGGGTTAGAAGCATACCAAGAATTTCTTGTCCAGGAACGAGTTTCAGACTTTCTTGCTGAGGAAGAAATTAATTATATTTTGAAAAATGTCCAGAAAGTTGCACAAAGCACAGCACATGGTACTGATGATTCCTGTGATGATACCTTATCTTCAGGGACCTACTGGCCTGTTGAGTCTGATGTGGAAGCTCCAAATCTTGACTTAGGCTGGCCATATGTGATGCCCGGACTCTTAGGGGGCACCCATATAGATCTCCTTTTTCATCCACCAAGAGCACATCTACTTACGATAAAAGAAACTATTCGGAAGATGATAAAAGAAGCAAGAAAGGTAATAACATTTCTATTTTGAAATGAAAAATTTGAAACATGTAGAAAAGTAGAGAGAGTAATAACACAAATATGTATGTTAATAAAAGAATCTCTATATGTATAGGCCATGCCTATTGTTTTTAGGAAAGTACCTATGGATACACAGGAAGGTTGTATTTCCTATATCTTGCATATATCCAAGAGAGTGGCATTAGGTCTCTGCTAAAGAAAAGAGATTTCCTTTTCTTAATAATGTACTCAGGAGATCTCTTCTCCCAGAAGACTGAGGTATGTTGACTAGGAATAAGATTACTCAACACTCATAATTTTAAAGCACCTAAATTTTTCTTCTTCTCTGAAAGGAAGTAGTTGGTGGATATGGTGAAGTTTTCTTTGTTTTTAACAGGACTGAATACCAATTCTTGCTCTGAATGTGCTTTATGCTATTAAATAAACCATATGTTTACTTATCTATTTTCCTGAGTTGTGTGGAAACAGTATAAAATCAACATAATAATGTAAAATTCTAAAGCAAGATTCTGAGATATTTAGCATTTTAAGGCTTTGGTGTTCTTTATCAAATATTTATATTGACTTATACATCTCACAGATCTTATTTTAGAACTTGGGTAAAACTGTAGGACTCTTTAATCAAGCAACAAAAGTTATTAAGAGTTTTGTATCTACTCAGCACCATGGTGGGCACTTTGGAGACTACAAAAAAATTTGCCAAGCTCAATCTAGAGTTTTAAAATGTATGGGCAAGGCTGGGCGTGGTGGCTCACACCTGTAATCCCAGCACTCTGGGAGGCTGAAGCAGGCGAATCACTTGAGGTCAGGAGTTTGAGACTACCCTGGCCAACATAGCAAAACCTCGTCTCTACAATAATAATAATAATAATAATAATAATAATAATAATAATAAGCCGGATGTGGTGGCGAGTGCTTATAGTCCCAGCTAGTCAGGAGGCTAAGACACGAGAATTGCTTGAACCTGGGAGGTGGAGGTTGCAGTGAACTGAGATTGCGCCACTGCCCTCTAGCCTGGGTGACAGAGCGAGACCCTGTCTCACCAAAAAAAAAAAAAAAAAAAAAAAAAAGTATAGGCAAAAAGTTACAATTTTTAATTATAAAGTGTGCATTTTTTAGTTATGACTATGTGATACAAAAATTTAGATCTAAAAGGAACCTTAGGAAGCACACACGCATGACATTGCTTTCTTCTATGCCAATAAGACACAGAAATGCTTGCAAGAGTATGCTTTTATGAAGTACGTCAATATAAGACCCTTGAATTCCTCAGTGACATGGCAGTTTGCAAGACAGGCAACTAAAAGGCTAACAATAATGTAGAGAGACACAGTGTTCTGAAGCTAATGTCAAATGCAAGCTTTGTAAAAATGAGGTAATTTTTTTCCCTAAACCTTTTGAGTTTAAATAACCTGTCTTTTCAGCTGTATTAATTCCTTTAACAGTATTATATTAAATAAAGTACTAATCCATTCCAGTTGTTAAAAATTAGCTATAGAATCAGGCTCACTGTAAGTGACCAAACTTTTATTGAATGAATTGAACTGTCATTCAGCTTTCTGAATTGAACCATGAATATTTTTTTAAACAGCGCTATCTTAGGCCTTGTGAACAAATTATACAATTGCATTTTGTAAGGCAACAGTACAAAATTTGAGGCTATATGTGAGTCTTTGTAATGGCAAAATAATAAATATCAAGTATTAATGTTTGCTGATTTTGTTTGGTGACATGATATGCTTTTGAAGCACAATGTTAACAGGAAATTGAAATCCATTTTTGAAAATACATCAGTGAAGATGAAGATTCTTATTGTAGTAACTTAGTAATGCATTTATCACCCTGCGTGATAGCTAGTTTCCTTTGGGACATTGCATTATTGTGATACAAAATGTTAATTCAGGAGATATCATAAGTTTTTGGGCTAGCACCCACTGGGAACCGAACATTAGTCATGATCTTTTGATGTATTTTTCTTTCTAATGTGGCAGCTTTGTATTTAATGAGCCTCTAAAAGTAATATCTTCTACCCGGTCACTGTCCGTTGAGGACTCCCACTTGAATTAGCGAGCTGAAGAAATTGAAGTCCATACTGTAAAACAGTAATGTGATGTGTGCTTCTCTTTCATAAAATCAATGTGGCATACAAATAAGAAAGACAATTGCATCTTTTTTCTACTTGTATAGCTATAGCTAAGTTGAATTTGAAAGAAGAGAATTATTTGATCTTGTAAACTGAGTATACTGCCAAATATAAATTATAACAGACGACTTCGATTTGGTGCACATGGTTTTTGTTTTTAATTTTATTTATTTTATTTTTTTTATTTTTTGTTTTTAACACAGAGACAAGGTTTCCCTATGTTATCTAGGCTGGTCTCAAACTCCTGGATTCAAGTGATCCTCCTGCCTCAGGCTCCCAAAGTGCTGGGATTATAGGCATGAATCACCACACCCAGCTGTTATTTTTTAAGGTGTTAGGGACTGTGCTAGTTTCTACCCAGATGCAATAAATATTGAAGTCAAATTGGTTATCTTTGCATGGAATATGTATTTCTCAATTATTTTGGAAGATTCTTTATATGTCGCCATATCTACTTAAAGATTTTTGAAGAATTAAGTAATCTGGGGAAAAAAGTTATTGACCCCATTTTTAAAAAATTAAGATTATTTAGCTTATAACTGGACATGGTCCTGTGAAGAATTTTTAAAAGAACAAATATGAAATAAAAGCTTACCAGAACACATTGCTTTTTAAAGATTAAATGTGGTTTTCATGACTATCATTTACTCAACAGATGTCATGCTCTTATTATCTTTCAGAATCAATGGGAGCCTAATAGTCATCAGGATAAGCTTTCTGTTTTTGAATTTTTTTCAGAGGGTAATTTATCTTTATTGGTAACTCAGTGAATTGTCATGGCATTGTAAAGGGATGATCTTTTTTTTTCATAAAGTATTTGGATAATGTATATTTTAATGGATAAAGTTTTTTTTTTTTTTTGCTTCTAAATATCTCAGGGAGAATCTTTTGGTAATAAACACTGTAAAACTCTACAGAGATATGAAGCCAAACCAGTAGGACTAGACACCGTCAAAACAGAACCCAGGAAAAGATCTCAGATAAGAATTTAAATCCATTTTCACTTTTGTGTTTGCAGTTGAGATAAGGTACTTGTGAAAATAATGCCATTTTATGGAAAAATCTTAAACTAATGAAAATAATATAAAAGTTATCTGCTTAAAGGCCCAAACATTTGAAGTCTGATTATAAGCACCAAGTTAACCTTCCAGTCTCTTATGAAAGGAATTAAAAATGATTCTCAATCTCAACTGTCTTTACTGGAAAGAGGTGAAACATTTTGTGTTTGTTTTTGAATTTCAGTAATTTATATGCTCTCATTTCTAGCTTAAGTTATATAGTTAAATGAGCTCTTGATCATTTTGCTTTTATAAGCAGAATGTGATCTTTATAGTATTTCAAAAATCTATACTTTTTTACTTATTAATTTTATTTTTGCTAATTATCACTTAGAAATTGATTAGATATTTTTTGTTTATTTGTTTTGTTTTATTTCTTTCTTTTGTATGTTTGCTTATTTTGTTTGAGAACTTTCCTTTGGGAAAATTCAATTGTAGATAATATCTTACTTGTGCCCTAAAGGGACATATTTTAATTTACTGATTCTTTTTTTGAAACCCTTTCTATTTTTCACTTTGTGATTGACATAATTACATTTAGGTCAGACTTTACTTTGCAAAGTCTGATAGTGTCTAGCCAGACTTTTCCCAGGTAATTATTTGTCTGTCAAGAAGTGTTCCCAAGATGATATATGCACATATTCCTAATTACTGTGAACTCCTCTTATGAAAACATCCCCTCTAATTACTTAAAAAAGTCTTCTTTCATTAAAGTTTTTTTTTCCTAGCCACTCAGTGGTACGTATTTACAAAGTTATAACTTCTGAGAGTCTTGAATATCTGAATGTTTAACCACAATGTTATTTGCATCTCTGTTTCCTAATTCTAGGCTAGCTTTTTTTGTGAGATGTGAATCTTACTCTTGTGAAATATGGGATCAAGACACATAAGCAAAAGTCTAGTGAGAATTAGGACAGAGTAATTCCTGATGCGCTCTATACCACATTACCTGAGTTCAGGGCTTGGTTCTTTACTGAGTCACTTACTGAGTTCCTGGGTGTGTCTGTTATGGCCTTGGGAGGTATTAGTAATATAGAGAAATATTAACCATCAGTTGGCCCCACAGATGCAAAGAGGAAGATGAACAGGTGATGGGGAATCTTCTTGGGAGTGAGCTGATATTATAAAAGTAGAACTAGAATAGAGACTTTGTCACCAGGACTCTAACTAGCGTGGCATTAAACAAGTCATTGTACCTCCTCAAGTTTCTTCATTTATTTAGGAAAAGATATGAAGCAAAAATGTTTTCACATTTTTTAAATCTGGTGTTCCTATCCAAATCTCTAATACTGCTTACCAACTTAAGATTATTTTGATATGTTATATTCCTTGTTGAATTAGTTCGTGATAGAAATGATTTTTATTGTGTCGTGATATGTTACTTTCATCCGCATCCCTTTGCAACCATGTCCTGCCCAGCTAAGTGTTATTTATATGTTTATCTGTGCCTTCATTAGACTAGAATGGTCTCTGTCCTGATGTTCCTAATTTTTATTAAGAATTTCCTCTCTACCCTATCCCTGTCCCAACTCTCACCGTGAATTTTGTCATTCTTTGAATTTGAGTCAAAATTGATTTCTTCTTGGAAATAATATTTTGCTTAGTCAAATTTAATGACATTACTATCCTGGGACATTAAGTTGAACATTTCTTCTGTGAATAAAATGCATTACATGTTAATATATATTTATGTTTGAGTGTGTATGTTTGAGAGACAGGGCATGAGAGGAGAAGGACGGAAAGAGAGAGGGAAGAAGAGACGGAGGGGAAGAGGGAAGGTGGAAGAAAGGGAGAGAAAAGAAGGTGGGGAAGAAGAGGTGGAGGGGAAGAGGGAAGGTGGAAGAAAGGGAGAGAAAAGAAGGTGGGAAAGAGACAGGAGAGGAGGGAAGGAGAGAGAAAGAAAAAGATCTGGTTAAAATTGCACTGACTTCATCCTGCCAACAATTGCTGTGTCTGTATGGCAGTACTCTGTCTTTAACAAACTCGTGGTGCTATACAGAGAGACAACACATTCTATATCTATTTTATGTTTGTTGAAGCAAAAAATTAAAAAAGTATGAAAAAATGAAAATGAAATTGTTATATGAGACTTCCAACTTGGTTGCACACCAAAGTCGTCAGTAACTTAGAAATTTCAGATGTTTTACTCTGCAGTGTATTATCAGGTAAAGTCTAAGGATCCTCAGTGACTTGTATTTTTAAGAGACTTTATTTAAAAATTGACAACTGAGAAAAGAATTTAGCTTTAAAAAGAAAAAATACAGTTACTTATGGGTGTCAGTAAGTTTATCAGAGTCTTTGCATTGCTAATACTAACCAATACCTCTATTAATAGTTGGAAAGAAATAATTTAAAATGCAAGTTATTTAGGAGTGCATATATATATATATATATATATATATATATATATATATATATGTTTTTGTTTTTTTTTTTTTTGAGACAGAGTTTTGTTCTTTTGCCCAGGCTGGAGTGAAATGTCACAATCTCGGCTCACTGCAACCTCTGTCCCCCCAGGTTCAAGCGATTCTCCTGCCTCAGCCTCCCTAGTATCTGGGATTATAGGCACCCATCACCACGCCCGGCTCATTTTTGTATTTTCAGTAGAGACAGGGTTTCGTCATGTTGGCCAGGCTGGTCTCCTGACCTCAGGTGATCCACCCGCCTCAGCCTCTCAAATTGCTCGAATTACAGACATGAGCCACCGCACCCTGCTGGAGTGCATATAATTTATTTGATTGGGAGAAATGTTTTTGAGACTATTTCCTTTAGTCAGCTATTACTCTTTAGTATTTTTAAATTCTCTCTCTCTCTCTTTAAATATATATATATAAAATAAGCAGTGAGAAACAATTTTTGTAGGTACTGCACATGGTGTGTATAGTCCTCTGAGCTTTGAGGTAGTGTTACTGACTATGGTACAAAATGTAGTTCTATATATTTGGGGATCTCTGAAGTAGAATGTTTATTTTTTGTGATTGTTTATGTTTACTCATTCTTTCCTGTCTCTGGTTTAAAATAAAAACCAAACAGTTACTTATTGAAATGTGTAATATTTTCTGATGATACACCTTTAGTAGTTTGTTGGAATGGCAAAGCTAATTGTCATCATAAAACCTTGTCATAAAATACTGAGAATTCCTAATGCCTAAACACCTAAATTCCAGAGGGGTAGAAATTAGCAGTTTTACACACTCAGATGCCTTCAGGGCTAAGCCACAAAAATAACTGCAAAAACTCTGCAAAGGAGAAAGGGCAGATGGTAGTCCAATAGGGAATGAAAGGAACATGGAAGAAGAGATAACTTGACCAGACTTAAGGCATTCTTTAGGCATTTGTTATAGAGGTGATAAGCTTAGGACCTTAGGTACACATTGAGGCATCTTATCAAAAGTTAACTTTCATGAAAATAAGGGGATATTACTTTACTTGTCTGTCCTCTCAATGAGATGTAAAAAGTCATGAAGGTTTGCCATGGGAGCCTTTTTGAGATGATGAGTGCTGACATTTTGACACACTGACATTTTGCATTTTAAGGATTCTGCCTGCTGTCTTATAGTTGCTACAGATCCATCATGTGGCATATATTTTTATATCAATTATTGATTTATTTAACTAGTCACTCTTCAAATTATCTTGTAAAAAGTTGGGCGACTTTTATCCTAAGGACTGGAACTCACATCTGATTTTGAGTAATGAATTTATATTATGCAATTTAGTAACAATATCAGGTAACATGTATTGAGCACTTACATGTTAGGCACTGTGCTAAGCACTTTACATGCATTATCTTAAGTTGACCTTCATAGTAACCTTGTGAAGTGTGTCCTTTTATCCACATTTTACTGATGAAAAATACTGCGTTCACGTGGTAGGTTGGTCAGCGGTAATGAAGCAGAATGAAACCAAAATGCTCATAACTAGAAAGTGGTAAAGATTACATATTCCTAATCGGAGGTGTTTGAAGACCTGGTTGAGAGGGTCTAAGATTGAGATCAGTGGGTGTAGATGTGGAAGCATTGATTTCTAAATGAGTCAGGTAAAAAGTATCATGTGGTTGTTATTAGAAGTCAGAAGTCACTCACCTGGAACTGACAAAAGTTAATGATAAGTAGATGAGGTGCTAGTACCCAGAATGTAGACCAGGCCAGGAGGCACTGAAAGGAAATGCGTTTCTGAGTTCAAAGGTAAGGTAAATTTGAAGCAGGAAGAAAAGGAGAATCAGGTAATGAAGTTGTCCTTTGGCCTCTGCTGGGTTCAGCTATGAGGGAAATCAGTAAGTCTTTGGCCAACCTTATAGGTTAAAGGTATTGCAGGCCATTTATTCATTTAGCAGTTATTTTTTTAGTGCCAATGATGTATCAGATACTATTCTAAGTTCTGAGAATACATAGGTGATTAAAGTACCAAAGAAACCCTGCGTACCCTTGAATGAAGTTTACCTACAAATGGGGTTAATCAACTAATAAATAAGGAGTGCTAGCAGGAAGAAGCAAAACACAAATATGGTTGAGTAAAGGGAGCTGAGAGTGGTGGTGGAAGGTAGTTTGCAATTTTAAATAGGGTGCTCGGAGTAGGCCTTAACAAAGTGACATTTCAGCCAAGATTTGAGAAAAGAAGGAATAAGCCATGCATGTATTTGTGGGCAGAACACAGGAGACATAGGGGAAGCTTTCTTGTTTTTTAGAAGAAGAGCAGAGACCAGTTGTTGGACCCGACAGCAAAGAGGAGATGAGTAGAAGATGCATCAGAGAGGAAACATGGAGGCTAGATCTTGGGGATCCCCACTGGCCATTTTAAGGAACTTGGCTATGATTCCTGTAAATCAGGAATCTACAGGAGAATTTTGAGCAAAAGAGAGACATCAATTTTAAACCTGCTATATTTTAACAGTATACTTCTGGCTGTAATATTGAAAATTGACTGTAGGGGACTAAGAATGAGCATATCAGATATTACTAAAATAATTCAGGTGTGGGGTGATGGTATCTTAGATGGTCAGGTGGTGGCAGCAATGGCTAGTTTTTAGGTATATTTTGAAGGTAGTGAAACATGGGATGTGAAATAGGTTGAACAACATAAGACGACTTCAACATTTTTTGCCTGAGCAGTTGGAGTGATGGTATTGTCATTTGAGGTTGGTGTCAGAGGCCCCAAAGTTGGGATCAGGAAGCAGGCATAGAGACTGAGTTAAGGGGACTTTTAAGTTACGACTTCACCATAGCCTTTGGATGGTTGATCCGTAACCCCAGTCACTGACATCTGGCAACACACATGTCTAAGTATCTCTAGATGAGGGTTCACATTGGAACCCAAATAGACTGACTTGGAGAACAGTCCTGACCCTGAGGACCTAGTTGTAAGTAACTTGGATAAGATTCAGATGCAAAGGAGTGGGTAAATACAGAATATGAGATAAGAACATGACGGATTAGATGCTGTCCCAGGACCTAATAAAACAGGAGATTATCTACCCTGCTGAGAAGCAGAACCTCCCAACACTTAGTCTTTTCAAACAAACTTTTACAGGCAATTATTTCGCAATTCCTTTATGCTGGGTCAGGTGAGTGGAAGAAGGAGAAACTGGGAAGGGGTCACGTAGGAGGTCCCTTTTTTTAACAGGCCATTTAGATGGATAGTTTTGATAAGTAGGAGATGTATGGTGGAGAGCTGGGCATTTTCAGACAGCGGGGGAGCGTGAGAGAAGTAGAGTAGGGTGGAAAAAAAGGAAAGCAGAGTTGTTGAGAGAGGTTGATTACGGCCAAATTGTGAAGGTCCTTTGATCAAACCTTGTGGAAGAGAATAGTGGGAAGTCATGAGATGTTTTTTAGTGACAGTGATGTTGTGAAATCTGATTTTGGACATAATAATATTGTGTTTTGGTTAGTTAACACATACAGAAGAATGTAAGACAGGTTGTAACAGGCGTTGGGATAATGGTCAGCAACAAGCTGACAATAGGCTGAAGCTGACGTCCAATAGCAAACAAAATGTCTTTTCAAGGGGAAAATATATCTTCAATTTCCTACTAGAATAGAATGTAAATGTAACTACTTAATTCTGAATCTTAAGGAAAGTCCTTTTTTGTTTTAAAGCTATTTTTAAGATGTCTTAATCATCTGATTTTAAGCTAATAAAATTTATTTCTGTACAAAAAAAGTTTTAACAATCTACATATAGTTTAAGTCTACCTATGCTTATTGAGTCCCAGCTATGTGCAAGGCACTCTGCTAATTCATACAGATGGGGGGAAAAGCCCACTTCAAGTGATTTAAAGTCTAATATTTGAGGGATATGGTAAAAGATTCATAGGAAATATATAGGTAAAATCATGTGTGCTTATGGGCATCACCCGAATGATCTCTGTGTTATATGGGATCTGGATTTTTTTCCACCTGTTTACTCTTTAAGTATCAGGATTATAGAGACAATTATTGAAATTTTAAAGTAGCAAAAATATGATACAGATAAAATACCTCCAAAATATTTATTAGCAAATATGTTTTACTAGTGCGACAAATGTATATATAGAAGGTTTCTTTTTTTTTTTTTTTTTTTTTGAGACGGAGTCTCGCTTTGTTGCCCAGCCTGGAGTGCAGTGGCATGATCTCGGCTCACTGCCACCTCTGCCTCTCAGGTTCAAGTGATTCTCCTGCCTCAGCCTCCTGAGTAGCTGGGATTACAGGTGTGCGCCACCATGCCTTGCTAATTTTTGTATTTTTAATAGAGACAGGGTTTCACCATGTTGGTCAGGCTGATCTCAAACTCCTGACCTCGTGATCTGTCCGCCTCGGCCTCCCCAGGTGCTGGGATTAAAGGTGTGAGCCACTGCGCCCAGTCGAAGGTTTATTTTTTATTATTAGGGTACATACATTCCTTATAGTCAATATGGAAAAATTCAAGAAAGGGTTAAGAAAAGGCAATCATAATCTCCCAGTAGAGATAATCACTGCTATTGATGTTAGAAATTTTCTTACCTATTAAATAAATAGAGACATACATGTATACACAAGTGAATGTGTATGTGTTTTGATATCTTATATAAATCCCTGAAATAGAAGATTCAGATGTGTTATATTTGAGATCATATGTTGTATAATATTTTTAAAGTTGCCTCCTGTCTTTTTTCACTTAGGATTTTTCTTACAATAAAATAATTGGTTTCTTGTACTGAAATGCAATGGCATAACAAAATAGGGGACAGTGGGAGCTGCTGTGTCTCCCACAGAATTTAAAAACACTAAGATTGACTAGATGGCAGTCTGCTTTTGAGAGCATGTGCTGACAATTGTAAATAATATTAGTGATAATATACTCCTTCATTACTGCCACCTCCACCCATTTCTTACTCATCCCTCTACCTCTTAGCATACCAGTGCTGATATGGTGAGAGTCTCATGGTAATATTCCTTCAGAAATGAAGAAAGCCTCATAACTGTTTCTGTGTAATCATCAGTAAGAAAAATTGGTAACTGTACATTTTCTTTTGAAAATGAGAACTTTCCTTTGGGCTGTATTAATTTCATATTAATAATCACATTTTGAATTTTTTTCTTCCTTGAACTCAAACACAGGCAATAAATAAACATGAAAGGGAAAACATTGTCATTTGGCTAAATATCAATCCAATATACGCTGCTGAAAAAAATCTATAATCATAAAAAAAACTGAGTCATAGTAGTCATATTTCAACCTGCTGAATTCTGGAGCAGTTACTGAAAAAAAAATAAAATCTGAGGTTTGTGATCATGTAGTCTTTTTACAATTGGGCAATGAGAAATTGAGAAAGTCCAAAGTCACCCATTTGGTGACCATAAGGACTGACAGCACTCAGGCATCTGGGCTTCTATTCTTTTTTATTTATTTATTTTTATTATTTTACTTTAAGTTCTAGGGACTTGTGCACAACGTGCAGGTTTGTTACATATGTATACATGTGCCATGTTGGTGTGCTGCACCCGTTAACTGGTCATTTACATTAGGCATATCTCCTAATGCTATCCCTCCCCCTTCCCCCTGCCGCACGGCAGGCCCCAGTGTGTGATGTTCCCCACCCTGTGTCCCTGTGTTCTCATTGTTCAATTCCCACCTATGAGTGAGAACATGCGGTGTCTGGTTTTCTGTCCTTGTGATAGTTTGCTGAGAATGATGGTTTCCAGCTTCATCCATGTCCCTGCAAAGGACATGAACTCATCCTTTTTTATGGCTGCATAGTATTCCATGGTGTATATGTGCCACATTTTCTTAATCCAGTCTATCACTGTTGGACATTTGGGTTGGTTCCAAGTCTTTGCTATTGTGCATAGTGCATCTGGACTTCTATTCTATGATTATTGTATCATGTTGCTTCTCTAGTGGGTAGGAGAAATACATTTGTTAATGACACCAGTAACAGCTAATGTTTAATGCTATGTGCCAGGCAGTGTTTGAAGCATTTTATATATACTGATGTATTAACACATTTATCTTCACAACAGTTCTCTAACGTAGATACCTTTATTGCCCTTTTTTTAGAGGTGAGGAATAAAAAAATAATTTTTTCTAGGCTTCAGAAGTAGAAAATGACAGGTCTGGTATTTGAGCCTGGGTCATGGGCTCAGACAGACCCTGCTTGGGCTTACCATTATGGTGTATTACCTCTGATAGACCACTCCAGGCAGGCTCCATGCAAACCAGCTGAACATTCACAACCATGCTTTTGTTCCAGTATTATTGCATTTGATTCCTGGTTATCTGCCACATGGACTCCAACTCATAAGCATGGAGTATATGATGAGGCTTTGTGCTTTATCTCCTGCCTCCCTCAATTACTTCCACTCCAGGGCTACTGGACCTGTTCTGGGCCTTCCACTGCAGAAGTATTCCTTCCTGCTTTTGTTCATGATTATTTACCTACTTGGAGCATTCTTTCCCAACTTTTTGCCTCCAATTCATCTTTTAAAATCCATGTTAAATTATACTTGTTTGGGAAAGCTTTGTTTGATTCCCTTACCAGACTTCAGTTAGTCATCCTCTATATTATTGTCACTTTATTTTTTTATTATTTATTTATTTATTTTGAGATGGAGTCTCGCTCTGTCACCCAGGCCGGAGTGCAGTGGCGCGATCTCAGCTCACTGCAAGCTCCGCCTCCCGGGAGCTTCTCCTGCCTCAGCCTCCTGAGTAGCTGGGACTACAGGCACCCACCACCACGCCCGGCTAATTTTTTTGTTTTTGTATTTTTAGTAGAGACTGGTTTCACCGTGTTAGCCAGGATGGTCTCTATCTCCTGACCTTGTGATCCGCCCACCTTGGCCTCCCAAAGTGCTGGGATTACAGGCGTGAGCCACCATGCCTAGCCATTATTGTCATTTTATACCTGTTCTTTAAGATGAGATATATTCTTCATTTTCTCATAGGACCCATGATTTTTTAGTGATTTTTTTTTAAGTTTTTTTTTTTTTTTTTTTGAGATGGAGTTTCACTCTTGTTGCCCAGGCTGGAGTGCAATGGGGCAATCTTGGCTCAACGCAACCTCCGCCTCCCAGGTTCAAGTGATTCTCCTGCCTCAACCTCCCGAGTAGCTGGGATTACAGGCATGTACCACCATGCCTGGCTAATTTTTTGTATTTTTAGTAGAGACGGGGGTTCTCCATGTTGGTCAGGCTGGTCTCGAACTCTCAACCTCAGGTGATCTGCCCTCCTTGGCCTCCCAAAGTGCTGGGATTACAGGCGTGAGCCACCGCACCTGGCCGATTGTTTAAAACTAGGTTATTTTTCTTTTTAAATTTATTTGAAATAATTTTTTATGCTGTGTATGAATTATTTGTCAGACACATGTTGCAAATATTTTCTATAGCTTAGTTGTTCACTCTGATAATGGTTTTTTTTTTTGGATTAACAGGAGTTCTTAATTTATAGAAATTCTTAATCTCAGTGTAGCCCAATTTTTTAATCTTTTATTTTAAGGTTAGCTATTTTTGTGTTCTATCAAAGAAATACTTGCAGCTGAGTGCAGTGGCTCATGCCTGTAATCCCAGGACTTTGGGAGGCCGAGGCGGGCAGATCACTTGAGGCCAGGAGTTCATGACCAGCCTGGCCAATATAGGGAAACCCTGTCTCTACTAAAAATGCAAAGAAGACCAGGCATGGTGACTCACGCCTTTAATCCCAGCACTGTGGGAGGCCAAGGTGGGCGGATCACGAGGTCAAGAGATCGAGAACATCCTGGCCAACATGGTGAAACTCCGTCTGTACAAAAAATACAAAAATTAGTTGGGCATGGTGGTGTGCGCCTGCAGTCCCAGCTATGCTGGAGGCTGAGGCAGGAGACTCGCTTGAATCTAGGAGGCGGAGGTTGCAGTGAGCTGAGATCGCGCCACTGCACTCCAGCCTGGTGACAGAGCAAGACCCCGTCTAAAAAAAAAAAAAAAAAAAGAGAAAAATAGAAAATGAGCTGGGTGTGTGGCGCATGCCTATGATCCCAGCTACTTGGGAGGCTGAGTCATGAGAATTGCTTGAACCTGGGGGGCGGAGGTTGTAGTGAGCCGAGACTGCGCCATTGCACTCCAGCCTGTGCAACAGAGTGAGACTCTGTCTCAAAAAAAAAAAAAAAAAAGAAATATTTGCCTTCCCCAATATCAAGAAGATGTTATCCTTAATTGACCTCTAGATGTTTTATTTTGTCTTTCATATGATGTGAGGCCAGGGTCCATTTTGATTTCCATATGAATATGCAGTTACTGCTGTGTCATAACTCAAGTGACCACTTACATATGGGTATATTTCTGGACTCTATTCTAATTCCATTGATTTACTTATCATTGCTGTGCCAAAACCACAGTGTCTTGGTTATTACTGTAAGCCTCTCCATTTGCTAGTGAGTCCTCCAGTATTTTTTTTTTTTTTTGAAACGGAGTCTAGCTCTGTCGCCCATGCTGGAGTGCAGTGGTGAGATCTGGGCTCACTGCAAGCTCCGCCTCCCGGGTTCACGCCATTCTCCTGCCTCAGCCTCTCGAGTAGCTGGGACTACAGGCGCCCGCCACCACGCCCGGCTAATTTTTTGTATTTTTAGTAGAGACGGGGTTTCACTGTGTTAGCCAGGATGGTCTTGATCTCCTGACCTCGTGATCTGCCCGCCTCGGCCTCCCAAAGTGCTGGGATTACAGGCGTGAGCCACTGCGCCCGGCCCAGTAACAATACTTTTTTCAGTATTGCCTTGGCTACTCTAAATCTTTTGCTTTTCTGTAGGAATTTTAGAATCATCTTGTCAACTTTCCAAAAAAAAAATAATGTTGGGATTTTGATTGGGATTTCACTGCATTTATAGAACAGTGTGAGTAGAGTTGAACCTTACAATATTGAGTCTTCTAATCCAGGAACAAGGTATATTCCTCTATTAAGTTATGTTTAATTTTGTTCTGTACAATTTTGTTGTTTTCTGTGTATAGGCCTCACATATCATTTGTTTGATTTATTCCTAATTATTTGTTATTTTTGATCCTGTTGGAAATATTTTAATTTTTTGTCTTAATTTTTTCTTTTTTACTAATATGGAAATATATTTTTTGTATATTGACATTGATTGGGTCCAGTGACTGGATTGATACCCTTATTAATTCCAATAGTTTTTATATAGATTATTTTGGATTTTCTAGATATATTATCTGTAAATAATGGTAGTTTTATTTTTCTCTTTTCCAACCCATATAACTTTCAAATCTTTTGACTGCCGTAATACCTTGGGTACGTGTTCCATTGCAATGTTTAACATAATGTTAAATGTAAACAATACTTGCTATACAAAACCATCATTCTCAGCAAACTATCGCAAGGACTAAAAACCAAACACCGCACGTTCTCACTCATAGGTGGGAACTGAAGAATGAGAACACATGGACACAGGAAGGGGAACATCACACACCGGGGACTGTTGTGGGACAGGGGGAGGGGGGAGGGATAGCATTAGGAGATATATCTAATGCTAAATGACGAGTTAATGGGTGCAGCACACCAGCATGGCACATGTATACATATGTAACAAACCCGCACGTTGTGCACATGTACCCTAAAACTTAAAGTATAATAATAATAATAATAATAATAAGTAACTGTCATATATAGGAAGTTCTATTCTTAAAGAGTTTTTATCATTTTATCATGTCATATGATTTTTCTCCTTTATTCTGGTAATATCTTAAGCTACATAAATTGATTTTTCTAGAAAGATATCACCAATGCAATCCTGGAATTCATTTGAATTAGTTGTGATATTTTATTTATATAAAGCTAGATTATATTTGCTGGTATTTTATTTATGAATTTTGTGTTTATGTTCAGAAGAAATACTGGCTTGTAGTTTTCATTTTTTATAATTGTAGTCGTCAGTTTTTAGTATCAAGGTTATGCTGCCCACATAATGATTTTTTTTTGTTTTTTTGTTTTCCCAGTTCTCTGGAAGAGTTTGTATAAGATTTCAACCTTGAATATTAGGAAAGATTTGCCAATTAAGTTATTTGTGCTTAAAGTCTTTTTTATGAGCCTAATTTTAATTCTGGGTTTAATTTCTTCAATAGGTCTAAGGCCATTCAGATTTTCTATTTTTTTCTTGTATTTGTTTTGTTTTTACTGCTTTTAAGTTATATTTTTTACAGGAACACCTGAGTTTTTCTTATGGATTGGCATAAAATTGTTTATAATATCTCCTCATTGTATTAATGACTGTTGGATTTGTGATGATGTTATCTTTTCATCCTTCATATTGGAGGTTTGTTCTTTTTCGTGACTAGTTTCTTGATTTTCTTTTTCAAATTTAGCGTGTTGATTTTTTTATATTACTGATTTCTGATCTCATTATTCCCTTTTTCTTTTTTCTATTTTACGTTGTATTATTTTTCCAGGATTCTTGAATACTTGAACTATTAATTTTCAGTGTTTTAGTTTATAATATGTGAATTGGAAAATAATTTTTTCTTTAAATATAGCTTTAGGTTTATCTTATGAGATTCAATATTTATATATACCTTATTATTATTTAAACTATCATTTAGTTTCAATTTTAATTGATCCTTTGGTTGCTGGATTATTCAGAAGTGTTTGTTAAATTTCCAAATCGTTTCGAATTTTTATCTTTTTGTCGTTGAATTTTATTTGAATTATACTGTGATCAGATAATTTACTCTGTATGACTTATGTACTTTGACAATATTTAAAGTATGTTTTATGATTCAGCCTGTGTTGCATTTGGTAAATGTTTAATGAGAATTTGAAAAACATAATTAACCCTTGAACAACATGACTTTAGAACTTCATGAGTCCATTTGTATGTGGATTTTATTCAACAAATACAGTAGGTCTCCTTTTCCAAGGGTTCTGCATCAACAACCAAACACAGATTAAAAATACAGTATTCTTGGGATGCAAAACTCACATCTGTGGAGGGCTGACTTTTCCTAATGCTGTTTCTGCAGGATTGACTGCAGGACTTGAGAAAGCACAGTTTGGAACATACAGAGGTCCTGGAACTGGAACTGTGTATTCCGAGGGATGACTCTATTATATATTCAATAGCTGTTAGGTGAAGTCTTCTGTTCCTTAGGTTAAGTTTTAATTCTTGTATAGTCCTCCTTATTTTCACTTTGGTTTTTTTGTTTATTTGTTTTATTGCTTGTTTTATCAATGGTTATGGACCTTGTTATTACTAATTGTAATTATTTTATTTTTAAAGGGAATATTTTGAGACTCTTTTTAGGTACATAGAAATTTCTTTTGTTTTGAAACAGTTCCCTTTATCTCCTAAAAAACTTCTTTATAATTTACTCAATTTGAAATTACATAACTATTTAACTTTATAAAATTAGTATTTTATATGTGTGTATATATAAAATGTGTATATATGTATTTGATGTGTCTTTGTAAACACACACACACACTATACATTGTATGCTATATATTTTCATCCCTATATGTTCAACTTTTCTCTGTATGATTATGGTATGTTCCCTATAAACAGTGCATAGTTATATTTTTAAAAATTAACTTTAACCAACTTTTGTCCTTTAATTGGTATGATTAGTATATAACATGTAATTACTGATTTCTTTTACTCACCCCATCTGTTCTTTATTCCTTTTTTTGTTTTTTTTTTTTTCTGTAGGATCATTCACATAGGTTTTATTATTCAGTTTCCTCATTTATGAGCTTGTTTGTTGTGTGTTATTTATATAATAATAAATTTACATTCTTGACATTTTAAACTGTATTAGAATTTAGTATTCTTAGTACAATCTAGACAGTACAAGGACCTTTGAACACTTTAATTCTACTAATGCCTCTCTTGCATCTTGGTCATTGTCATGAATTCAATATATGTTTTATTTCCAAAATATTTTTATTATTGTTTTAAGTTATCAATATTCATTAGTTATATATACATATTCACTTTAGCCAGAACAGCCAGTGCTGTTCATTCCATATTTGTTAAGATTCTGTCATGTGGGATAATTTTCCTTCTTCCTAAAGAATTCCCTTTAGGATTGCTTTTGTTACCAGTCTGTTGGCAATGAATCCTCTTGGAACTTTAAAAAAATGTGTTTATTTCTCCTTCCTTTTTCCAGATAATTTATACCTGGTATGGAATAAAAGTTGTTATTATTATTATTGTTATTTAGCACTTCAGTGACTTTGAGTTATTTTATCTTTAGGCCTTCATAGTTTCAGTTGTAAACTCTTCTGACTTTTATTGTTGCTGATTTAAAGGTATATATTTTTTCTCTGTCTACTTTTAAGGATTTCTTTTTGTCATTCATTTTTAATAGCTTTAACATGATGTAACTAGGGGAACAGTTTTTAAATTTTTTTTTTCTCCTTGACATAATAGAGCTTCTTGAATCTGTGCCTTAAAGTTTTCCTGCTGTTTTGGAAATATATCAGCTAGCATCTCCTCAAATATTGCTTCTACCTTCTGTTTCTCTTCTTCTAGGAATTCTGATTACAGGTCTGGCATACATTGTTTTGTTTGTTTGTTTGTTTAACCATGTTCCAGCTATCTCTCATTCATTTTTGTGTTTTTTATAATTTTCTCTCTCTGTACTTCATTTTGTGTATTTTCTACATAGATATCTTTCAATCACTAATCCTCTCTGCAGTTGAGTCTAATTAACTATTAAACCCATCTGTTGAGTTTTAATTTTGGTATTGATATTTGTCAGTCCTATAATTCTCATTAGTCTATGTATTCAGTTCTCTGTTGAAATTTTCTTTCTTGGCATCTGTTGTCTTGAATGCTTCAATAACAGTTGTGTCACAGTCTGTTTTTGATAACACCAATGTCTGCATTACCTGTAAGCCTGTTTCTTTTGTCTGTTTTTATTTTCTTATTTTAAGCATTTCCAATATTTTAATGGATGGAAACCATCCTGCATTTTGTTTTTTCTTCCCATGTCTTACTTTCCCAACATTTATTTATGCAGTGCACATAAAGAAACATGATTTTAACCATTATCCCAATGAAGTGTTGTCTATTTAAGCTACATACGATAAATCCCTGTGTTTAAAATAACACTACCGCAGAGTATTGGTTCCAGGACGCCCACACCCCTTCCTGTACCAATGCGGGATACCAAAATCCATGAATAGGCCTTTATATAAAATGACATGGTATTTGCATATAACCTACATACATCTTCCTGAATACTTTAAATCATCTCTAGATTGTTTATACTACCTAGTACAAAGCAAGTGCTGTGTAAATATTGCTATACTGTGTATCCAAAATTTGTATTTTTTTAATTGCTGTTTTTTAAATCAAATATTTTCTGGAAACAGAATCATGGACAGAGTGCTGACTATATACATATGAGGATATATGTGTAGACTTTTCATTTTCTTCATAAACTTAGAGAATGAACTCCAAGTTGTTGATACACACTTACAAATGGTTGACTCTATTGGAAACATAATAGAGTTTAAGTACTCATGGCTTTAAAGCCTTAAAAAATTAGTTATGGGTGTGTATTTCTAAAATGGGATTATAAATATCCTACAAACATACATAATTTAGTAGTGAAGTTTTTGATACTTATAAGTTTTACATTTTAACCATTTATGTTAAACTTGTTTAAAAAATATATATAGTCATGATCTATTCAAAACATGAAAAGAACAGCCATAAATAAAACCAAATACAAGAATTTTATTGCATCATATTCTTTACAGCTATTCTAGAAAATAATTGTATTGTAGAACACATAGGTTTGGAAAATGTAATGTCAAAACTTTTTTGAGTATATGTTCATTTAATCTGATTTTCAAAATTATTTGACACATTGAAATAAGAAATGTTTTATTGAACCAAGTACACCAACCTTTTGCTAAGTTACATTTTCATAATTTATTTCAATTCTTAACAACCCAAGTTGAAAAATTGTGCAGCTAATTCCCAAAATAAAAGATTGCCTTGTCATCTGCCTTTTTCTATTTTTGTAAAACTGGACCAATTCTCATTCAATCAACACAGTTTTTAGGATTTATTTACGTAGTTTCACAATAGTAAAATTCCTGGAGCTCAAAGTTATAGATTTCCCAAAGCTTAGTTTCATGTTAACTTGTATGTCCATATTATTTTATTTTTAAGGGTGAGATCAAAGAAATTAAGAGTCCAAACAATTATTTTAACATAATAGTACAGGAAATGTGACCAAAGAATGCACTCATCAGTTACACATGTGAAATATCTCAACTTCAAAAGCAGAAAAAGTCCATTCCCTGCCCTCCCCTCATCTTCCCCCACCACCTGCCACCATAAGAATTCTATAGATTACTGTAACCTGTGTATCACTGCATTCAATTTATGTAATCAGTGAGAAGAAACAGTGATAAGATCAGTTTAAAAATTTACACATTTATCATGTGCATTAATGTTTTAAACTCAACTGAACCTTTTTGTTCTCTTTCCCTCAACAAATCCCTGTGTTTAATAGGGGACATTCAGAGTGAATTTTAAACTTCCTGTCTTCCCAGTCTCAAAAGCCTAATCTCAGCTACCATTACTTCTAATTTGCTTTCTTCAGAGAGAAAAAAAAAAATAAAGTTGTGATCTTGAGCCTCCTGCGATTCCATTTAATTTTTATACCTTTAATTTGTATTTATGGTTACTTCTCCTCTGTGTTCCATCATGACAGTCCTCTAGAGTGAGTTGCTTGCTTCCCTGCTGCTAGTGTCTCAGGTTATTATTCCTTTTTCTTGCCTTTTAACCATTAAACATTTGAAAGAAGTAGTTTCCATAAAGGGCTCTACTTCCTTACTTTTTCCTCCCAGCCCTGCAGTCTGAATTTTGCTTTCCTTCCTCTCCTAACCTGTGTCTCATAGGCTACTGTCGTCCACATGACCAAGACATGCCTGCAACCTTGTAATATCCTTTAGTCTCTTCCACTCCTCTGTAAGTAGTTTGCCTTTAATTCTCTTACCATTGGTTTCTGTGTTATTTCTCTTTTTGTTCTTTCCCTGTCTCTTCAACTGTTGTTTCTTGATTTTCTTTGCTCTTTCCATCTGTTGAAAGTGAATGTTTTAAAGACTTTTAGCTTTGGGTCTGTTCTCTCTCCACATTTTATTTCTTACTGCTGCTTTCTACCTTCATACTTTGGCACTATTGCTATTTACAACCTGATGTGGCCTGTCTTCTGAACATTAGCCTATGTGATTCTAGCTGGTGGTCCAGCATATTTACCTGTGGCCCACTGGCCTATCAAATGCAGCATGTCCAAAATAGTAGCTAGAAGAATGGAAAACTCACTACACTTTTTCTCATCCTCTCTCTCTGTTAAAGGCATCATCACATTCCTAGATGCCAAGACTACAGTATCTTGGAATCACATAATGATTCATTCCTCTCTCATTGTATACCTTCACTTTTGTCATCAGGCACTGGGTTTTGTTTCTTTTTTTTCTTTTTCTTAAAATAGAGATGGGTTCTCGTTATGTTGTCCAGGCTGGTCTAGAACTCCTGAACTCAAGTGATCCTACTACCTCAGCCTCCCAAAGTACCAGGATTATAGGTATGAGCCAGCACACCTGGCCACAGGCACTGGGTCTTGGAAATTGCCATGTCTACCTCCTTCTAATGCTCTCCATTGCTACCATCCATGTTCTGCCCTCTACATTTGGTAATTACTTGCAACAGTCCCCTTAACTTATCTTGCTAATGAACATTTCTGCTTTCTCCCGTATTCCTGTAGCCACTTGCCTGAATGATCACTGATAATGTCATTCTTTTCTAAATATAAATCTCTGTGTCTTTGCATTCTGCAAGTGCCAAAGAAGCCCTCACTTCATCCAACAACCTGCCTTTCTAGATTTAACATGCTCCTTTTTTTCTGCCTCTGAATCTTTTTTTTTTTTAACTTTCATTTTAAGTTCAGGGATACATGTGCAGGTTTGTTATATAAATAAAATCATGTCACGGGGGCTTGTTGTACAGATCATTTCATCACCCAGGTATTAAGCCTAGTACTCAGTTATTTTTCCTGATCCTCTCCCTCCTCCCACCCTCTACTCTCCAATAGGCCCCAGTGTCTGTTGTTCCTCTCTATATGTCCATGTGTTCTCATCATTTAGCTCCCACTTATAAGTGAGAACATGTGGTATTTAGTTTTCTGTTTCTGTGTTAGTTTGCTGAGGATAATGGCCTCCTCCATCCCTGTTCCTGCAAAGGACATGGTCTTATTCTTATTATGGCTGCCTCTGAATCTTTCCTTTCCCTTTTTTCTTCCAAAAATACTCTTCTCCATCTCCTCCTATTAATATTATATACATAAATATATATATTGTATATATTGTATATATATTTATATTTTAAACACCAAATTTAAATGTTACATGTGATAATTTTAAAATACATTTACAACACTTCAACAATCCTCCCTCCAAAAGGTGGAGCCAATTGTCTCCCTCTTAAGTGCGGATGGGGCTTAGTACCTCCCTTCTAATGAGTAGAACATAGCAGAAGTGATGGCATGAATCATGGGTTATAAAGGCATCATGATTCCCCCTTGCTTTCTTCTGGATTATCCACTCTATGGGAACCCAGCTGCTGTGTCATGAGATGACTCAGCAGGTTATATAGAGGCTGTTGGGGTGAGGAGCTGAGTCCTCCCACCAACAACTGTGTGAGTAAACCATCTTGGAAACAGATACTCTTTCCCAGTCAACTTTAGATGACTGCAGCTTTGATTCACAAGTGACTCTGAATCAGCACTGCCCAGTCAAGTTCCTCTCAGGTTCCTCACCCACATAAACTGTGAGATTATAAGTGTGGTTGTAAGCCACTAAATGTTGGGAACAATTTGTTATGCAGCAATAGATAACTAATACAGTATATTTTCGAGGAGATCTAGTCTCTATTAGTAAGATAATATTTCTCCTGAGAATTTTTTATTTATACCATCAACCTGTTCCTTGTCACAGTCTATTCATATTGTGGTTATTTGTTAATACATTTTATAATTTTGTGTATTAGGGCAAATTTTTCCAAGTCTATACTATTTAATGAAACATGTAAATACATAAAAGCTCAAAATATGAACCAAAGTTCTGGTTATCTGTTTAGTATCTTAATACTTCATATTTTGGGAAATTTCTAGGTATAAATGTTTATCATCACCAGGTGGTTCTTAAATGGCATCCTCATCTTAAGCTTCACATTTCTGATTATGCTGTATGTCCAACATACATGAACCAATTAAAGAATTACGATTCTACTACATTAAGTTGTATATACAGCCAGTATCTAAATCTAAATTCAGATACATGAATATATATCTATATGTGTATAGTTAAGCATAGATATATATAGATAGAGAGGGGAAATGATTCTTTTTTTACAAGAACCTTCTTAAGTTTAGTGCCAAGGAGTTTCCTTTGATAATATTTATATGCAGAGAAATATAAAAGGGGCCTCCAATGAGTAATTTATAGTGCACATGTATGTATGTGTGAGGTCTCAATATTTATTACTGTAGCCATTCTACTTCTGTCCATTTTGGAAATGATTTGACATTCTAATCACTTGAAGTGTTATAGGTGATAAAAGATCACTGGTTTCTTCTCACCTTATTTTAACCCGAGTCAGTATGTTTTATTATGGTCAAAGATCAACACTCTTCATTATTCCATGAAGTAAACTGTGTTCCTTTCCACTAGGTCCTTTATATTTTTCTGTAGAGGCTTAACTTAAGGATGAGGGAGAAGGGTTCTTTCAAAGCTTATATTTAAGTATGTCTTTTGTGCTTTCATCACATAAATGCTGTATATGGGTAACCATTGGCCTTCAGGGATTGTAGTGTCCATTGATTTAAGTGGTTCTTGCAAGTGCTCTGTATCTGAATTCAGGAAGCAGTGAATCTGGCAAGAATTTACAAACTTAAGTCCTAGGAACTTTTTTTTTTTCCCTGACAGAATTTGGTAAGATGGTACATTGGTCTATGTGGATTCTGATGAATCTCTTGATTTTGTTTAGGATGATAGTCTCATAGGTAAATTGGGGAAATATGATACGCATTCTGTAACTTAACATATTTGTGTGATGTCTGCTAAGAAAATGCACACTCATGCCATACAAAATGTACAAATAAGTCTAGTTTATGCAGGTATCTTATACTTGAGAGAACACAGTTGAAGAGATTTTAATTAAGAATCTATGCCATCTTAGGGAACCTAAGAAGTAGAACTCCACAGGGGTTTGGCCTCAACCATCTGGTGTTTAACAAATTTTGATTTTTACTGGAATAGAATACAAAGCCTGCTACTTAAGTTTTTTTGTGTAGTTGATGACATATTGGAAAGGGTAACAGGCCCTTAGAATTTAGAATTCAAATACAAAATGGCTTCTTTGGTCAGAAAACTTAGAAGCAGGGACAAATCTGATATTGTGGTTTTTGAAAAGACACTGTGAGACAGCTTAGGGCAGTGGTTGAGAGCATGAACTCGGGATCCAGACTGCCTGGCTTTGAATCTCAGCTCTACCACTTAGCTTTTACAGTGTCTTATGTATGATGCTACACATGCCTCAAAGAGTCTTTCATTTGATCTTTGAAAACATTGTGGGTAAGGTATTATGTTCCCATTGTTCACATAGAGACTGAGATTTCAAGAGGTTAAGTAATTTGACCAAGGTCAGCAGCTGAATCCAAGACTGACACCTAAGTCTCTGACTGCAAAGCCTAGGTCTTAACTCATGCATTACCAGTGGTGTTAAAAGTACTGTATTGTGTAGATTCTGTAACTCAGAAAGGATGTGGGGAAACAACATCCAAAACTGTATCAGTGAGAAAAACATTACAAAGAGATATTGAAGAAATGATTACTATTGAGTATGAAGAGAACAAATTTGGTTTACCTAGAAAAGCCATAGTCTTGGAAAGGTCTTGGGACAGATTCAATAGCATTTCAAGGTCTCCTCAGTCTTTATTATTTTAGCCTTGCATAAAATTCTATTATACCTCCGTGGGACTTGTACATTTATTTTCATAAGATATGTAGTGTCTTTTTCATATCCTCAGGTAGATGTGCCAATTTGTGCTTCTGATTTTTACTACTTTTTAAACTTTTTAAGCAGTATCTTTTAAGCAATATTACTTTTACAAGCAATATCTATTCAAACTCAGTTATTGCACCACAGTTTTAATACACATTTACATATCAAGCATCATATATTCTGGAACTGAATATGTGAAGTTGACATTCATAGTTTTTATATTTTATGTAGTATGTATGTTGTATGTAATGATTGTTTTTGTTGAGAGGGACTTCTACTGAATTAGGGAAAAATGGGTTCTGAAACTAGTAACCAGTAACATGGCATAGGTTTGTTTTGTTTTGTTTTGAGATGGCGTCTCGCTCTGTTACCCAGGCTGGAGTGCAGTGGGGTGATCTTGGCTCACTGCAACCTCCGCCTCCCAGGTTCAAGTGATTCTCCTGCCTCAGCCTCCTGAGTAGCTGTGATTACCTTTTTGTTTTGTTTTGTTTTTTAGATGGAGTCTTGCTCTATCACCCAAGCTGGAGTGCAGTGGCATTATCTCAGCTCACTGTAACCTCCACCTCTGCCTCCTGGGTTCAAGCTGTTCTCCTGCCTCAGCATCCCTGGTAGCTGGGATTACTGGGCCATGCCACCATGCCCAGCTAATTTTTGTATTTTTAGTAGAGACAGGGTTTCACCATGTTGGCCTGGCTGGTCTCAAACTCCTGACCTCGTGATCCCCCCTGCTTGGCCTCCCAAAGTGCTGGGATTACAGGTGTGAGCCACCGTGCCTGGCAACATGGCATAGGTTTAAAACAAACAAAGGAAAAAAATACAACCATTGATAAAATATCTCATCAACTGATTATACCAAAAGCATAATCTTAACATTCTACCTTTCTGGATTTGGCTACCTTGTAGCATCCATCTCGAATGATGCAAAAAACAAGAAATGAACAAATTATCCACTGAGCAGCCAAAACAGACATGCAAAGCTTGTTGGTAGAAGAAGCCTCCTGGTCCTACCTCAGAGCTCATTTACCCTTGTTTTATACATAATTCAAAGTTCTCTGATCTTCTTTCCACACCCACATCAGATTATAAGTATGAAATTGGAACACAAGAGGCCAGTCCACACTGATAAGAGAAGGAAGGGTTAGCTTGACGTCTAAAAGGAAAACAAGAAAGAGAAATACTGTTAAGAAGCGTACAAAAGAATACCATAAACACAGCAGCATAAAGCAAAAGAATATGGCCACTGCCACTCTCAATAGCCTTTAAAATTGTCAATGTCTCAGAGTATTTTTAAATAATACTAAATTTAAATTATGTTCTGGACACTATTTCTGAGAAGTCAGGAAAGTATCTTCTATATTTAATAGTATTTTCCATTTAAAGTTGACAGAAGGAAAACAACAAAGATAATTTTGTACTTAAAGAAGTCACATTTCTACAACTGTCAGGAAAACTTTAGCCACAATCTTTGGAAGGAAGTTATTTAACAAAAATCAATTATATTTGTTGAAAAATAAACATAATTGAATATTATAGTTAAGTCTAGATTCTTAGAGGTCATACTGTAACAGTAAGAATGCACAATACTATGAAAATACATTTGACACCATCCTGTTAGTATTTAGCTAGAGTTTGTTTCTGTCTTGACTTCCCTGGAGTCCTCCTTTTTATCATTACTGTTAATATTATTGTCACTGCCAAATTTCTTCCCTTGTCCTCTCTCTGAGACCCTTTAGGCCACTCTCACAACAAACCTGGGGACAGCTTTACCAGCTAATACTGCTGCTACACTGGTATGGCAGTAACCCATGTTGTGATCTAAAAAAAAAAAACCATCTGGACAGTGGGGAAATCACATATGGGAAACAGTCATGGGCACAATGATTAATCTAAAACAATATATATAATCTCCTTGCTGATAATGAAAGTCTTGATTGCATTGTTATGTATTCTCAGTAGTTTAAATGTTACAAATAGGAAAGCCTTAAATGAGGTTAAAATTTCTGACATTTACTTATATATCATTTTATTCTCTATAAATAGAATATAGGAAATAAGGCCCTAAAATTTTTTTTTAGAACTTTTGACAGAAATCCTAATAACAGTTTCCATCTGAAAACTGCAGATGTCTGGAAAAAAGCAAAACAACGTAGAAACCTGACTATTAAATTAGCTGTCAAAGTCCAGTCCAAGTGTTTAATCTCTTATTGGGTAGAGTTATATTCTGGAATTTCTTAGTCATTTTCTTTCTTTTTGTCTGAACTGGTAAGATGATTCAGTAAAAAAGAAATTTAAACAACATGAAGATATCTAGAAGAAAAAGAATGAAATAACTCACATGCAAGTTCACCATCAGTAATGCTTTTGGCAAGCATATAGGGATTAGATAAGCATAAAATAGAAATATTGCCTGAACTATTTATTTTCTAATCAGCAACCTTAATGTTTAAGGAAATTTGGTGTTATAATTACAACATAATCAAGTAAAACAATTACTTGGGGGCAGAGAAAATACCCGAATGAATAAGAAACATACCTGAATTATTACATATGTTTAAACTAGAATTATCAGAAAATTGAAAGATTATGATGTCATGTATACTTTTTGGTTGTATATAACTAATATATTTATTTTTTTCTCCCTCTATTCAGTAGGTCTTTCTTGGGGTGGCTAATGATACATTATTCCTCCCCTTTTGGGTGTTAGCTAAAATTGCTGGCTTAAATAGGCTTTCTAAGAATCCAGTATAGCTTTCTCTATATTTCCTCTTAGAATTAATGCTTGAGAGAAACAACGGGTGCCTGACATACTGGAACCTGCCCATTGCTATTTTCTGATGCTCTTCTCCGTCCAATATGTCTCTAGCTTAGAAAGAAATTCCCTGTTAGCCCCCCAGCAGTGCAGGAATAACAGAATTTCCTGGGAGACTTATCATTAGCTCTGTTCAAGTGTGAAGCAGGGTTGGGTCGCCTCTACATTGTTCGTGGACTCAGAAATGAAGATGGCTGGTCTTTGTAGGTCATTTGTTACTTGTTGAGAAATGGGACAAAGGCCACAAAAAATGAAGTGCTGCCCATCATTGCTAGTTCATGAACATCGTCTTCTGGACATCCCTACCTGAGTGTTCCATAGACCCCAAACTAGGTACTTACTTCCCCAACTGAACTCCTTATCTCTACTCTGCTTCCAAACTGGTTATTACCATTTATAGCTTCTGACTAGGATAATGGAATTACCATCTAACAACTCATTCAACATAGTAACATTGAAGTTATGTTTTAACTCTTTCCTCTTTCCCGTACCTTTCCCTAACCTCATCCAAAGTTTTGTCAAGACCTGTTGATTCTATCACCAGCATATATCAAATTGGTTCTATTTTCTCTATTCGCAGTGCCACATGCTCTACTTTAGGCATGCATGATCTTTTGCTTGGACTGTTTCAGGAACTTTTTAACTTACTGGTGGTCTCTTGCAGTGTTCCTTTTGACTTCTTCTGTAAGGTTTGAAGTGTCTTTTCTATTAAGCATTTCCTGAACTTTCCAAGTTAGTTCATTATTGCCTTCCATGCTGCTATGCACATTTTCTGTAGCACTTAATCAGGCAGTGACTCAAATCTTTGTTTATGCCTGTTGCTCCAGCTAGACTTTGAAGTCCTTGAGATAGGAACCGTACTTTCCCCATTTAACATTTTCGAGCTCATAGTAAATGCCCAGCATATTTCTTAAATAAAAATGAGAAATAGAAAAAGTGAGTTTTAATTTGTCATGAAATCTAGAGTTAGTCATATAAATAGATAAAGTAGAAATTGAAAAGGCTCTATTATTTTTGAAGGGTGTTACATATAACACTTGGGTGCATGGGAGAATCGGTACAAGGGTTTTTCTAAACATTTCTAAGGATTTCAAAAATCACAAGCATGGGTAATTTTGCATTGAGATTTTAGGATTCTTTTGTTGTAGTAAATGTAGCAACTCTCCATATGGATTCACAATACACATTTTATCTTTCGTTATACCTAATGATTTCAGTGTTCTCTTCAACTTGTTTTTGTCAGTGTCTTCATCTGTTCAGGACTGCTATAACATAATGCCATAAGCAGAGCAGCTTTTAAACAGCAGGTATTTATTTCTCACAATTCTGGAGACTTGGAAGTCCAAGATCAAGACACTGGCAGTTTGGATGTCTGGTGAGGGTCCACTTCCTGGTTTTAGATGACTAGCATGTTGCTATGCCTTCAGATGAGAGAAGGGGCGGGGAGCTCTCTGATACCAGCTTTATAAGGGCACTGATTCCATTCATGAGGCCTCCCACAGGCTCCACCTCCTAATATATTGTCTCCTTAGAGGTTAGGATCCCAACATAAGAATTCGGGGAAACACAAACATGAATGTTACCATAGCAGTCGGTGTTTTTTTCAATAGCTAGTGGAAATACCAAACTGAATGTTGTTCACATGTTCATTTTCAGTTTTTTTCTGACTGAAGGTAAGTTGCGCTCCAGCAATGAAATGACCCAGAGCATGTATTTCAATTATAATAAAATGAAACAACTCACATTAAAACAAAAAGGAAACCTGATATATGAAACAAGTTAGTAATTTATCCTATGATAATATAGTTTAGTGATGATTACAAAACACAGTATCACATTTCAAAGCTAAGTTTTTGTCAAAATTAACATTTGTTATGCAAAATATCATGTACATGAAGTTTTTGTTGTACATTCATTTCTGTAGCACATATAACCTTAATGGTGGGGCTTTCCAATATTTGGTATTTTCATATAAATGCAAGGCACAACATGAAAGCAAGAACAAAGAACCAATCTATTTTTAGATCATTGTCTTTCAGTGGGTTGGAGTGATGAGAAAAGAGGGAGGCCCTATCCTACCCCATGCTGGCATATCAGGATCTCTGGGGGAACTTTTCAAACTGCTCATTTTCTTTGGCCCCAGTAGGAAGCACCAGGTGTAATGTGAGCTTTTGCCTGACAGGAGTGTACTATTCTTGAAGAATATTGAAGCAGAAAAAATGAGAGTACTGTTGGAGGAAGAAGTTAATAGCTGATCTGATTTCTGTTTCATAGTTCAAAAATATAAAAAATAAAATAACTCATTTTAAAATATTCAAAATGAAGCATTTATTTTAAAGTTATTTGTTGCCATAGATTCTGTCTTTGCTCGTAATCAAGTAAGTGTTGTTGACAGGGGTAAAATAAGGGAGAACAGATGTAGAAATAAGTATGTGTCAGTGACAATATACACATATATGTAACACATATGCACAGGAAATCCAGTGCTTGACCTAGGAGGGCTGAATTGACTCTATAGCTTGCAGCTAAATGATGGTATGCCTCAAATAAGTTCCTTTAACAAGAAAGTGAGAAATGCCAAAACTGATGAGTGTGATAGACCACCCCCTTCTACTTAGTAAGAAAGGCTGGGAAATGTGGGCATAGAACCACAAGCACTGTATCCACATGTGTATCCAATAAATAACAGCAGGCACGCGTGGGCTCAACATTCAAACAACTCTAATTGTGTATTCAGACATTAAAGAGTAATCATAGGTCAAAATTTAAAATTGCCTATTAGAACATGATTGCTCTTTGACACTATAAAAATGTTGTGTTACTGACAACAAAAGCTATTATCCATGTGTGGAAAGAACTGGGAATCTGTTTATTTATCTAGCCAAGCCAGGATTCTTGAACAGACTAAAACAAGAAAGCCTGAAGGTTACAGATGACAAATAACTCAGAACACAATTTATATTGATCCTTCTTTTCAGGCTGTTATCCTTGACAACTGTTGTACTCCTCTTAATACATCTACCATGTGTTCTTAGACTGTAAACTCCAGTGGGACAGGGGAATTTGGTAAACACCTGGATCAATATAGAATATCAGTAAGTAAAATTGTTTCAGGTTTACAAAGTTTCTCACGATTTAAAAAAACAACAACACTGTATCTTATTATCCTCTTGAGCAAATGTGATAAAAGCCTGTTACAAGATAGTTTTATTTCTGAAAGCCATTATGTTAAAGAATTTTCTGTCATGAGATAATATATAACACATCACATATTCCCTGAAAGAAGCTTTTAAAATGTGGAGATGCAGCATTGCTATGATATAAAAAGTTAATAACTTATAGAGGTTCTTATTAAAAATTTCATTGTTTCCCTTATTTGATTCTTTAATGTTGAAACATAACATTATAAAAGAAACAACATAAAGAAAATAAACAATATTTGCTGGTTGAAGTTATGCGGTCAAGGTACTAAGCTCTTTCTTGCAATGACCTGGAGGAAAATTTAGTATTTTACATTCAGATAATTTTTTAAACCAGATTTATAGAGAAGCAATTTAAGGTAATTAAGCACTTTAACTCTGACAGGTTGATGTTATTTAGTGACAGGTGTGTCATTTTTATGACAAACAGCTAATTTGAAGACTATATTTCCTTCCTGTAAGCCCTATTTTTCCTCCTTTTCAAGCCTTTACAGGTCAGCTGTCTTCCCATCCGTGGTCCCTCTTACTTAGGAATCATGACTTTATTTGTATTCATAATATGCAAATTTGCTGCTATTTGCCTGAAACACTTTCAACACAGTTATTTTCTATTTCATTTAACTCATAATGAAGGGATTGGTGTATTGGGTCAACCATTATTTCCTATATCTCAATGTTTTCTTTCTCACATTGACACCAAGCTGTATTTTTAAAGATAGCAGAGCAATTGTCCTCCATGATCTGACTCCAAAAAGTAAAGCTTTGTCCCGAGATGCCCTCAAGTTCCATTTCAGAGGTGTTTGCAAATTTATAAATTATGGATTTATTTTTACTCATTCTGGATTATATTTCTCAAGCTCCTGGCCTCAAGCAATCCTCCCTCCTCAGCCTCCCGAGTAGCTGGGATTTCAGCCATGGGCTACAGTGCCCAGCTCTCATTCTGGATCATATTTCTATTGTCTTGACTCTGCCAACTTCTACAGGTAGAGATTCCTTAGGTCCAATATCTACTATATCGAATTTCTTCTTTTCTGGGGTTATGTTATTAGGAATTGTGCAGGTGTCATGATTTCAGTCTTCAACTCTATTATGATCATCGTCTTTGTGGAAGTTCTGATTAACTTGTTTTTCTGGAGGCTACACATGCCCTCATTGATCATCATAGTTACCTTGTTTTTGACATTTTTCTACATTTTTCCATATTTTTATGTTTGTCCTAAGATTAAGAGGACCATAGAATTCCAGGCAATAGCTCCCCTTATTTTGTGTAAATGTCAGATTGTCTCCTCATTTTATTTCCAGTACTCTATTAGTGATCCCCACATAACCTGTAACTCAGTCAGGCAGAAATAAGTCTTATTAAGACAGAATTTTTCAAGGAGTGCTGATTACTGTACTTGCTCTCTCTCTGTGTACAAGAATCTTGAAGGGTTCTTTAGCTTTTAGGAGTAAAACAAAATGATTTGTTCAGAGTAATTGAACCCCCAAGGTGTAAGATGAGATTTATACACTTTATTTTCACAAATATTTAAAACAAGTACATTTTGATAACTAGAAAAAATAGAACAAGTCATCTTTAAGGTAATATTCATGTATAACAAGAAGATATGTAGAAAATAATAAAAATAACCTCATACAATTTGCATATATTTATAGATTTGTTTCTATGGATATATTTCTCTATATTTCAATAAGTGGGTTTATTTCAGCATTCTTTGAACTTGACTTATTTTTATCATTGTTTTCCATTATATACGTGTACCATAATTGGAATGCCTTATTATTTATTGGACATTTAAGTTTCTTACAAATGTAAGTGTAGAGAGTGTAGTGCTGAACATGCAAGTATACATATCTCTGTATATTTGAATCATGCTTTTCCTTTAGGATAAGTCCAAAGAGTTGGACCGGCATGGCAAAAGAGTATGGCTTGGTCACCTACTCACTGTAAAGAACATTGCCAGATTGCCATTTAGGAAAATTGTCTGCATTTCTACTACCATTGAGACTTCATGTGAATATTTCTGACACCACCTGCTAACTTTGAATGTTGTCAATAGCTTCAATTTTTAACAAAGATGACAGGCAAAACATGGTAGTTTAATTTGCAGTCATCTGTTATTGAGGTCTTGTGCATCTTTTTATATGTTTCTTGGCCACTTATATCGGTTTTAATAATTATTCTTTTGGGGTATGAATCTTTATTATTTCCTAACTACATTAATATAATATTTCATCCTTTCTTAACTGCTATAAAATCGTCTTCATAAAATCATCTCAAGTGTTTTTTTAACTCATTCTTTATTTTTTTCTACATACCTTTCTACTTGTCTGCTTCTTATATGCTAGTTACATACTATTTTATTCTAGCATAATAGGTTTTTTTAATTACTTTTTTCTCTGACATTTTCTGTACAGTCTTACATTTCATTTTTCAGGCAAATATTGGAATCGTTGCCCCATATGCTTATGTACCACACATGTACAGAGTAGATTCTCATATCACTTCCCAGCTCCTCCTCACTAAGATTTCATGGCAACCCTTATCCATTATGGCTGGGAGAAACCTCTTTTGTTTGGCTGAAAACTGTCCTCTGCATCCTAGATTGTTGTTGTGCCCTCTCATTTGGCCAATATAATTTACTGCTTATTTTAAGGCTCCTCAGACTAATCACAGTTTAAAGTCTGTTTACATATTGTTCATTGCTCAATTGTTAAGTTATGAGTCAATGTTTTTAAAAACTTATAAATGAAAGACTCTTTCTCTCCTGAAATGCTTTACAAAGTAGTTGGTCTTCACAGGTTTTTAATGTTGCTAGAGAATGATGATCAGTACATATGCTGATATGTAGGCAGTTATCAAGTCCATCTGAAAAAACAAAACTTCTTCAAAAGCAGCCAGTAGCATGATCTTCCACAAGTTCTAAGGTACCTGTGGAGTGAATCTACAGGTACTGACATTTCTATGTAGAGGTGCTGTCGTCCAAAGATTAAATATTGTTCTAAACTAGATCACTGCCTCCCCCTACTTTCTAAGACAATTTAAGGAAAACACACCTCCCATTCCTTGCCCCACTCCACGGCTCTGTTTTAATATCTCTCACAGGTGCCTGTCAGCGAATGAGAGCCCAGTACATTTTTTAATAAAAAATAAACATATGGATATGGCTTCACCTCTGCCCATGCCAGTCATTACTATTCATTCCATGGGTGTACCAAAGATGTTCTGACTGAGGATTAAGACATTAGACTAAGAGACTTAGATACTAAGGTTAGTAGATGACATTAGGACTAGAGCTATGAAGCCAGAATGTGGTAAGAGCCAGGATTTGGCCATGGCTTCGGGAACTGAATGCAAGCCAAACTTGGCATAGTAGGAGTGGGTGGCAAATACTACCAGCTTTGTGGAGAAGGCAAGCAGTAAAAAGAAGCAGAGAAAAAATATATTCTGTGGAGCAGGGAAAGAGGAAGAAAGAAGAAAATTAGAGGGAAATAAGAGAGCAGAGAAAGAAAGGAGGAGGGAGAGGATGGGAGATCAACGATCTGTAAAGAAAGGAAAGACATTCTGGCAAGTTGTAAAATGATTGGCAGAGGTAGTAGCAATGGTGGTTAAGGCAGGACCTGGAGTAGGTGGATAGGAGGAGTAGTTGCAGGGCACCTAGTGGGAATAAAGTCTTCTCTGTTTCTACTCAAAGAGCAAGAGGTGGAGAAAAGAACCTGGGGTCAGCAGGGAGAATTTATTTGCTGCAAAGAAAATATAAGATGGTGGTGCTGTTTGGAACTGTTGGCCCCTGCTGTTCTGGGAATAGCATAGCATAGTGGTAAAGTCTTAGCTTTACTACTGACTGGGTGGCAGGAATCCTCAGGAAGCCAGTTATCTCCCTAATATGAAGCTCTCAGTACGTGTGCGATTGTGCTGAAAGGACTAAATTATGAACCTGAAACTTAAAAATTGACAAATAATACTTGTATATGTTTATCAGGTACAATGTGAAGTTTTAATATATGTATACATTGTGCAGTAAATAAATCAAGCTAATTAACATATCTTTCACCTCACATTCTTTCCTATTTTTTTCGTGGTAAGAACTCAACATTTTTATTCTTGGCCGTTTTGGAATACAATACATTATTATGAACTATCGTCAACATGCTGCGCAGTAGATCTCAAAAATTTATTCCTCCTGTCTAAAACTTTGTGTGTGTAAAAAAGTCTTTACTATTTTCTTAATTACACAGTTGAGAAAATAAAAAGTTTAGAAAGGTTATGTAACTTAGTAAAGGCTAAAACTTATATGTTAACAAAATAAATAATAGAGACATTTAAGAAAGTTGAATAAAACTAAAATATCAAGGTTTGGCCATAGGATCATAATCTTTTATGATCACAATCATAATATAAAGGAAATTGCTTCCTTTATATTATGAATTCTCCATTTCTGTTTTTCCCCATTTGCCCCCTATAAACATGTTTTTCTCTTCTATTAGAAGAACAAAATCCCACTATTTATCCTATTTATGTTAGTTATGATTTTTCCTCTTTCTTTTCATGGTTAAGATTCTATACAGAATAGTTTATATATATTCTCCCTGACACTATCCTTTTGCCTTCATTCCACTGCACCTACTATTCGAAAAAAAAAAAAAAAGTATTAAAATAACCAGTGACATTCTAAATGAAGACTCTTTGTTTCAACTGATCAGCTGGTTCTATCTCTATGGAGACTGTAGATTCTATTTAAATGGCATTTTCAAAGGACCACAAGATATAGAGTGTCTAGTTCAATTTAAATATAAACTAGGTCATTTATACCATTAAGAGCAGACAAAAGTGCCAGAATCTGTGACAATTACCCTATATAGTTAACATACATGAAATGAATTGAGTTGGTGTTTTGGTACCTATTTTATCAGATTTTATTATCTAAATTTAAACCAATAAAACAATTATTATTATTTTTATGCTTATTTATTTATTTTTTTGAGACAGAGTCTCACTCTGTTGCCCAGGCTGGAGTACGATGGCATGAGCTCGGCTCACTGCAACCCCTGCCTCCTGAGTTCAAGCGATTCTCCTGCCTCAGCCTCCCGAGTAGCTGCTATCACAGGCGCGTGCCCCTATGCCCAGCTAATTTTTGTATTTTTAGTAGAGACGGGGTTTCACCAAGTTGGCCAGGCTGGTCTTTCATTCCTGACCTCAGGTGATTCCCTGCCTCGGCCTCCCAAATTTCTGAGATTACAGGCGTGAACCACCATGTCTGGCCGAGAAAACAATTATTTTTAGACTGAAAACTCAATCTAATGAAGTATAGTATATAGTTAAAGCAAGACAAGTTATTTACCATTCTCTCAGTTAATAGATTATTTTTAAAAATGGTGATTTGATAGAGGATGTTGCTAAGAATTATATTTCAGTCCAAGTAATATGACTAAATAACAACATACTGAAATAATATATTCACAGATACAGCAGGTATTATACAGTCTCTTTTGTCTAATATATATTTGTGAACCCTTTTGGTTAGACATTCTTTCCTGATTATATTGAAACCCATTCTGTTTTATGAATGCCCATTTCCATTTGTTCTATTATTATAATGTGTTAAGGGTGAACAGTAGCATCAAATTTATACTCATTACAGTTATATGGAGAAAGCCTACTTTTTAATACGTGCTATGCATCCATTATCAGCCTGTGCCTTTCCTTGAATGCCAGTTAACTGTAAAATAAAACAGATGCTAGAAACGTATTCCAGCCTCTTTTGTTGTTTCTTTAGGATAGAAAAGCTATTATCTACATTAGTCTTATTATGTTTTTAATTAAAGATTATTCTTATTGTTTTATTCAATCAAATGGTATTTAAGAATATGCTATTTTTCGTAGATTGTTTTATTTACATATCTCAATGATTTAGAAGTATTACCGTGGAAAATAAACAACCACAAAGCTTTATTAAATGTGGCTAAAATAAAAAAAGTTAAAAAAAATTCAGTGAGTAAGTTTTTGAGTAACATTAGTAACCATTCTCAGAAACCTAGCACTGCATCTCTTCAGTTCTTTATTCTCTTTGCTCTCACTTGATCTTTACTTTCAATTTCTATACTTAACATCTCATTAGCTTTCAACATAAGGAGCCTTCTGACAGGGTGAGACTGAGGAAGTAGAAGAGAGGTTTTGATGATATTTTCATAGAGAATGTTTTATGAAGATTTTTTTTTAAAAAACAGTGTCATAGAATTTCAGAGTTTGAAGGCACCTCAGAGGTCAGAGTTGACCTAATTTATGTATTTGTTCAATGTATGAATTTTTTCTGTTCCATGCGAGGTTCTGGTTAAACACTGTAATGTTGCCAAATTTTTGAGGATATATTAAAATTTGAAGGAATCTTGATTTCTAAAGCTAATACATTTTTTATATTGGCTTGGGAAGAGACCTAAGGTCATAAGTATTATGAGAACATATTTAGCTTGAATAAGTTACTATATGATTTTTATCAAAGGAATGACATGAGACAGATATGATGTAGAACTCTGTTATGAATCAAAGTCCACTTAAGGAATAAAAAATTACCATTACTTATTTAAGGTTCTTCTTGGCCATAATTTAGAGGATGAAAAAAAAGTGGGCTTGATACTTTCAAAATAACAGGGCAGCTGTTGCTGTCTAATTTGTTGACCAAATGGAGATTTCTGCCTTCTTGGGATTTCATGGAAAAAAAAAAAAAAAAAAGTCTAGCAATTACTGTCAGAGTGGGTGCTGCGTAAAGGATAGCTATTCTACTGATAGAAGTTGTATTTAGTGATTTCGTTCACTCTCAAACTCCTTATTCCCTTATGTTTTTTCTTTCCTCTATTTTTTTATTAGAAACTAAGCAATTTCTTCCATGAGCTATTGTATTTTCACTGTTGAGATTCTAACTTTTAATAGATAGGGTTCTTTCATTTTTGAGAGTTATTCCTAAAGTATCATTCTACTACCAAAGAAAAGAGCTCCTTCAAACACTCTGAAATCTGTCATATAAATATTGTATGCATTTAGCATAGATGAACATTTTCTGATATCTGGTTTATTCTGATTAGTTAATTTCTAATTTCTAAATTAAAAATTTAAAAATTATATTTTATAATTTCTCATCCATAATGGGTTTAGGTGCTTTTATAATTGAAGTTCTCGGACTTAAGATTCTGTCCTAGACTTGCTTCAGCTATAGCTCATCATAGAGACAATGTACAATTCAATACCAGCCTCACCCAAATGGCAGTAACATGGAAATTGCCAGAAGTTTGAGGCAGGATTCCAGAACATGGGGTACAGGTGTACTTCAAGAATGGAACTTTGAATCACACTGTTCCTTGACCCTTCTTATTAATGGAGCATTAGCCATATATCTGTGATCAATTTGGATTCTATGTTCTGGAACCCCTCAGGTATACCCATTTGTCCTTGATTTTGGTAGGGGGCTGGAGTCATATAGTATAATAGTAGAGTACTGATCTAGAAGAAAACTAGTTCTAGTCATAACTTCATCACTTACTGTGTGATCTTAAATAAATATTAGTTTCTATGATATTTAACCTTTTATTGCTGATGTCTTTGGCGTGTGTCTGTATTAGTGGAAATAATACTACTTGTCTAACACAACTCATAGAGCTGTTTTGAGAAATTTGATTTTTACAATACCTTCCACAATGCAAGTGTTATTATTCCAAATTTACTAAGATTCATGTTTTTTACATTTATTACTTGTAGCATTTAGAATGTATTTCAGGTTATACTTCATTTGAATATATGGCGGGTGACCTTTAGGAGTCTTCTAGCTGTTTTATACAGGTGTTCATGCATAAAATATTACCTAGAACCAGAAGACCAGCAAGCAAAGTAATAACAGTCCATATATTCCAATCCAACTCCCTCTTGGAATGCTGTAGATTCCAGATGAAAACTATTAGTTTGGTGCAAAAGTAATTGCGGTTCTTGCCATTACTTTCAGTGGTGAAACCGCAATTACTTCTGCACCAACCTAATACCATGAGAGATTTCTGAGGCATTGCTTCATTTAGAAAATTATTACAATTTTCAGGAATTCAAAAGAAAAAAGATGAAATATTCATTAAATATATTTATTTGCATGTTTAGTATTTGAAAATAACTGTACCTGATGCTTTGGAGAAATAACAGTGAATAATAAGTTTTATTGAGTTATATTAGTTAATTGGATGGGATACAGCAATGACTTAGGTCCACACCTACCCTCAAGTAACTTATTGCCCCCAAGAAAGTAATAAGTAAGCAACAAGGCTGAATAAAATAAACACTCCACTAAAAGTATACCTAAACTGTAGAGGAGCATAAATTAGGATGCAGTTAATTTAGGCTCGGAGAATTGGCAAAGGCTTTATGAAGAGGACTGCAGAAGCCTGTGCCTTTAAAGATGAGTTGAATTTTCTTAGAGAAAAGAAAAGACGGGGATTTTGGATGGAAGGAACGACATGAGCATGATATTGGGAAAGTACATGGCCATCAGAGCAGCACACATGGAAGATTCAGTAAGATGTGAAACTAAGAAGAAAAGTTAACTTTTGGTAGACACTGAATATCATTGTAAAGAATTTATATATGATTCCATAAATTATTTTTAAATAGTTTATCTGAAAGAAAGATAGATTGGAAATTGGAAGCCAGGAGCTTTCTTCTGAGACCCAGACCATGAAAACCAGCTCACAATGAGTTTCCACCTAGCTGTTTCATAGATGGCTGGAACTCAGCGACCCAAAGCCAGATGGATTCTATCCAACAATCAATATACAGATGTCTGTAATTGACAACACCAATCACTTAGCCAACAAGAAACCTGGAAATACATTCTCCTCATGTACCCAACCATCCAATTGACTGTCAGGTTTTATATTTGCCACCTAGTTTCTAAATATCTCTGAAATCCGAATTCATTGTTCTACATCCTTTAGCGTGCTATTTTCTGTTCCCGCCTCTACCGGATCTATTTTCCATGCTTCTCTGCCCTTTCGTTTTCCGAGGCTAATGCCATGGACTGCATTGGCTGGGCTTCCTTGCTGCCTGCCTTTCTGGTGGTCACCAGGTTGCCTAGTAGGAAGTGCCAGCAGGAGAGTAGAACACTAGAGCGGGGCAGAGTTCACTTTCCGTTTGCTTGCTTGTTTTTTCTCTTGCTCCCTCACTCCTTGAGTGCCAGAGTTCTGTCTCCCATGCTGGTTTCCTTAGCCATGCTCACACTTCAGTAAATAGTCTTTTCATAAATGTCTCATTTTCGTAAATGTCAGCATTGAAATCTCTTAGGGAAATTTGGATTCCTGCCAGAACCCTGAATGATAGAATCCCCTTTGCCAATTAAGTTAGATTCTCGTTTCTGGACTTCTGCAGCAGATTTATGACTGGTCTTTCTGTGTGCAGACTACATTCTTTATACTGCTTTGAAGAACTGTTTTTTTTCCCAAACATGGGATGTAACAACAGTTTGTAATAAGAAAATATACTATAATGATAAACATGCAACATACAATATCACATACCTAAGATGATCTCAGCTTTGTAAAAATATACATATACCAAGATGAAAGGAAAAGAATCACTTTTCCTGGTTGCAAAATTATAGCTATTTTTCTTTTCTTAGTCTGTTTTCTATCATTTTTCTCCTGGGGGGTACAGAGAGAGTGAGCATGAGAGGAATGCAGAATGACACACAGCGTGTGTGTGTGTGTGTGTGTGTGTGTATGTGTAATAGAAAAATATTTTATACATTTTTATATAGAATGTTACCAACTATTTGTTTGCTTCTTTGTTTTTTGATACAGATGTTAGAATTGAAAGAAATGCCCCTAAACTTTACTTAGGAAGTTTGAGTTAAAGAAAAAAAAAAACAAAAGCAAAGGCAGTCTGACATTAAGTCTAAAAAAATAGTGAGATGATCTTTCACTTTTAGCTGGATAATTAGTGATAAGATTACCTCAGGAAGTGGGGTTAGGAGCCTGTTTTAGATGCTCACAAATTGTAATTTACTTTAAAATTAAATATTTTATTGAATAAGTTACATACTGTCACAAATTATAAATTCAGAAGAATATCTTACAAAACCCTTTTCTTCCCTCCTCTCAGATGACACAATACTTTGGGCCCCTTCTTAGCATATGGCTTTTTTGTATTTCGTAAGGTCAGTAATAATAGCTTAAGGTTAGATTTTTTACTGAACTGCTTCACATTTTAATAATTTGGATAATTTTTCCTTCGCTGTGACTATTGGGATTTTTATTGGCCATCTGATATAATTTTCTCTTGCCATTTTATGTTTCTGAAAATGAAGTCTCAAGAAATCTAAATTATAGGCATATTTAAATTGTCTCAAAATATTTCATTTGCCCAAATTGAAATTCTAATTTAAATGTTGCTGATCACAATAGATACATCTTTTTAATATTATTTGTGTCCTTATGTATGAAAGATGAAATTATTCAGCCTTTGGACATATGTAAAGTTTAAGTAAGTTTTTAAATGCCATTTTATATTTTTGGTACAATAACCACATTTAATGTACTGCTCCAAGATAATTTTTATACCTTTTTTCTATGTTTTGCCCTCTTTGTCTCATTTTCTTCTTCTTCTTTAATCATTATATTTCATGATCCCTATGTTTATAACTTAACTGTCTGCTTGAGGATATATTTATATGAAGCATATTTTATTTTCCCAAATAACATTTATTTAGAATATCAAGTGTGATACATAAGGCTGTGAAAGTTTTTGAATTTCACAAATAAAACAATTTGGTTTAATGTAATGAAAATGGTTGAAGTAAATGTGGTTGTTTTAGCTTTTGATATAGGCAATCTCAATTTCAATAAAATGTCAATTTTTAGATGTAAAATACGTAATAAACAGAAGCAACCTTCCAAATCAGAACACTGACAAGTTCTTTTTTATGAACCTGAATTCATAAAGGAAGTGAATTATGCTTCATAATTTCCCCAGCCAAAAAAAAAAAACAACAAAAAAAGATTCTGACGGTGAGATTTTAATCATTACTTGAAAAGTTGAAAATAGAAATTGTTAATAAAATACAAACTCTACATCTTACAGCCCAATTGAAAAATATTTTCTAAGTTTTATAATTTGAACTATATATTATATTTATATATTGTTTATCTGTTTATAGATTATCTATTTTCATTTATCGTTAGTTGTTAAATACTTGTGAGAGGAATATTCAGTTAGTATTCTAAGTAACATGGCTAAAGTTGTTCAGTTTAGCCTGATGGCCCCCTGAAAATTTATTTCTCACATCTTTAGCTTTGAGAACAAATGTTTTCTACCACCAAAGGTATGCTGTCTTTCAAGTTTCAGGCTTGAAAGTGAAAAATAATGCATAATTTACGGAAGCTATTGGTGTGAAAATATCCAAGAGAAGAATGAGGAATAGTGGAGTGAAATAAACAGGAGATTAGGTAGATAGAAATTGACTATTGGGTACAGATGTAGGAATATATTACATTAAATACAAAATTGCTACTTTACCAGTTTATGACTTGACTATAACTACTTTACATTTAAGTTTTTTACTCAAATGGAAATTACTAAAAAATAAATAGGACTATATTTTTCCTTTGCAGTATATTTGATTTTTTATGCTAGGTTAATTGTTTATACTTGACATCAAAGTGAAACAATTACCACCCAAGTAAAGAATGCAGCCTCTTAAAATGGGAATAGGAAGTTTTGTTTTGCTGTATTTGTTGTGTTAATTGTTGGAAGAATATTTGGTTAAGGTCAACATAAATTAAAAATAATGGCTTGAGAAATGTGAAACACCTCACCAATCTTCTCTTTACATGTGGACTATCAGTTTCTATTCTTCAAGTTATATTGTCACCAACATTTTTATTCATAGCCACTATTTAATGCTTCCTTACCATGTGCTACTGCTCTAACAACTTGGTATTCATAATCTCAATTTTCGCAATAATCCCATGGGACAGGAAGTATTTATTTGATTTTATAGATGAGGAAATAGAGGCTCAGAGATAATTTTCTTCTCTCAGTTTGCCCGAGTAGAAAATGGCAGATCCCAGATTGAAATAGATATACAGAGACAGACACTTGTGGAAGAAAAGGAAATACTGACAGGTGACTTTGGGAGAATGAGAACAAAAATAAAAAGAGAAAATTTAGCAAGAATGTTATATACGAGTTAAAGAGAGATAAAAATAGAAAAAAAAACCATGAGAAGAGGAATAAGATAGAGTAAAAGCTAAGATAGGTTATTGAATACTTAACATCTTGTTATGGAAGTTTTCAAACATATGTATATGAAGAATCAGTTTCAGTAATTATCAACTTGTGGTCAATTTTGCTTCCTTCGTATCTCCCACTCTTGCTGAATTACCTTAAAGCAAATTTCATGCATCATATATTTTTAATTTCATCTGAATTGTTTCAATGTGATTGTCTTTTTTTTTTAAAAAAAAGCTTTTGAAAACATACCCCATGTGTAATTATCAAACCTAAAGAATAAAAATAATAATTAATATTATCACATATCCAGTCAGTGTTGATCTTTTCCTGATTGTTACCTAAATGTCATTTTACAGTTGTTTTGTTGAAATCCAAACAAGATCTGGTCCACACATTGCATTTTGTTGATATGTCTCTTAGTAATCTTTTAATCTATAAGTTTCCCTCTCCTTTTTTGGTAAATAGTGGTGGGATATTTTCTGTTTTCTAGGTGTCTTTAAACGTAAGATACCAATGGGTGTGTTCCTGTGAACATCAGCAAAGTACTGTGAAAAACTAGAATTTATTCATGAATTATGTGTTGTATAACATTGCTGCTAGAAAGGACAAAACCTTAAGTTTATGTTACATATTAGAAATGCCAAGTTTCATGACATAATAAAAAATAACCTATTTATTTTTATATTGAACCTAGCACTTACATTCTGTCTCACCCTAGAGGTCACTTTTCATCAAACCCAATGAATTTGAATTTTTTTCTTATGCTGATTTCTGGTCTCTTCACATTCTTCTTATCCATCCATCAGTCTCTTTGGATGCTGTTTGGTCATTTGTGTCAGAACCCATCTCTCTATTAACCTGAGGAACCCCTAATCCTGAGTCAAACCCACTTCCTGCTGCCTTTGCTTTCACTCCAGGGTTGTTGGGCATTGCTGGAAAATGTCTAAAACATTTGTAAAAAATGTCAACTTCAAGTTTACATTTTTGAATCTCAATTGGGCTCTCACTGAACTCTGCCAACCCTTTAAAAATTTCTCATAAACTGTTATTGTATTTCTCTAAGCAGCTATTCTGATCTTTTTCACTTCCTGGCAAGCCCACAATCTGAGCCCTCACTGACTGCACCCAGAGGAAAACTTTACCTCCCCAGTCATGAAGGGTATGTTAACAGCATCAAGTGACAGTCCCCTACTCTGGTTCCCATTTCTCCTTTGTGTCCTGTTCACCACCAAAATATGCCTTTTCATTTTCTTCTTCCCTACAGTTTTAGCATATTTGTATAACTTAATTCTAAGGCAGACTTTTTCTCTTGTGCTTATACCATATCATTGTGATGCCACTGATATCTTCTATCATCAAGCAAATCACCTCTTTCCTATTTTATTCTTTTGATGTTCACCCACCTGTTTTTATGCATAAAAATTCCCGAGTTTCTATAGTTAAAAAAAAAAAGCATAGATAGTTAGATGGGTAGATGTGTGGATGGATAGATGGATGAATGGCAGGTAGATTAAAAAGTAACACAACTTTTTATCATATTGTTTTGACTTAGTCTGATGGCTTTCTTTATACACAAAAATGAAATACTACTTTTGAATTTTAAGTTTTCTTATAATGCTACAGTAATTCTCCATGTAATTTAGGTCTCTACACCCTAGAGATTTCTGTCTATCCTTTCTCTGTTGTCCGTTAGAAGCAATTAGCCAATGAGTCTTGTCACATCATCCTTTACAACTTTACCTCCAACCCTTTTATTCCTGCTTTCGCCATCCACGTTGGCATCTCATGCTAGACTAGGACTGAAAACCCCTAACTCCTCTACCTACTGGTAGAAACTCACATTTCTGGCCGGGCGCGGTGGCTCACGCCTGTAATCCCAGCACTTTGGGAGGCCGAGGCGGGTGGATCATGAGGTCAGGAGATCGAGACCATCCTGGCTAACAAGGTGAAACCCCGTCTCTACTAAAAATACAAAAAATTAGCCGGGCGCGGTGGCGGGCGCCTGTAGTCCCAGCTACTCGGGAGGCTGAGGCAGGAGAATGGCGTGAACCCGGGAAGCGGAGCTTGCAGTGAGCCGAGATTGCGCCACTGCAGTCCGCAGTCCGGCCTGGGCGACAGAGCGAGACTCCGTCTCAAAAAAAAAAAAAAAAAAAAAAAAAGAAACTCACATTTCTAACTCATCCTATGTATACAAACACGTTAATTTTCTCAGGTATTGTTTTAATCATGTGATTCTTTGACTATAAAGTTATGAATGGTTCACTGTTGTGCCTTATAGAATCCATAGTTAGCCTAGCATTCAACGACTTCCCTCCACAATTGACCAAATTTACCATTACAATCTTTCTAGCTTTATCGCCATCTCTTTCTTAGTAGAATTCCATTTCCCAACAAAACTGGGCCTCTAGCTGTTTCTGCTGTAGTGCTGCTTTGCCGCTGAACCTTCCTAAAGCTTCTGCTCCTATTCCCCAAACTCCTCTTCATGCACTATTCATGCACTATTTTACAATTTTCCTTATGCAGAGGGATTTTTACTCCGTCCTCCCTCTTTCTCTTTCTGCCTGCAGTGCCCTTCACTTCTTTTTTCATGACAGACACCCTTTTATATCACTAAAGTACAAAATAAGATAATAGCTATCTCGGGACCATGGATAATTACATTACTGAGAAAAAGTTACCTACCAAGAGGTCTCAGGGAGAATTTTTTTTTCTTTAATCACTTTGCCAAAATCTAGATTCTGAACCTTACACTTAAGAATTAAAAGCCTGATTCACACGCTCGTATTGACTAAGCTTGGAACACGGATGTCTGACAAAATAATTTCATTTTATAGTGCCAATTGTAAGTGCTCAATATCCTAGCAGATTTGTGTTTTCCAACTGGCTCAGTCTCCTTTGTGGCAATATACACACTAAATCCCAATATATTTGAAGGCTATAAAATCAGAACAAGAGGAGCTAATAGGATGTTTAAAACGCATCTGGCTCAGATGCCATTACCAAACCAAATATACCTAGCCAATATTATACAAAGATCAAGTTCATGCTTTTCGATACCCCTCCTCTCTTCTGGATAGTACACAGATGAATGTGGGCAGTATTTGTCTCTTTGACTCTATTTGCATGACTTACGAACCAACTTCTACATTTTTCTACTGAAATATCTACTTTTATATGTTATGTTGCTATCTTTCATCTGGCTATTATTACATCTTGCAGACCTTGCTCTCTGCTAAGGGACTTTGAATGCCAGTGCTTTCATTTGTTGACATTTAATTCTTAGAAGACAGTCTCATTTCCCTTATTAAATGAGATCCACAGGGATGCCTCACTCACTGTAGGCTCTAGGTACTGATGACACATAATTCTTAGTCATAAACAGTTATTCCCTTACAGTAGTTTGTTCTACTGTGTTATGTACATTTTATGGCAGATGTCACAATGATTTATAGTTCTATGAATGAGTCTCTCAATACTGTGTACTCTTTGAGAACAGGTGCCATGTAGACACTGCATCCCAACAAAAATTTATTGAATACCTGAAATATATCAGTTATAACTACCTTAGAAACTAGGTGTAACAGAGTAAATACTCTCAGGCTGTGTGGTTAATTATGGAAAGATCTAACTAACTTAATAATTACAAAACACGTGTTTAGAAAGATCAGATATGTTTTAGTCTAACCCAGAGGTTTTATTTACAACTAAAGTTTTCACTTAAGTGATTTTTTAAAAATTTCCACTTTTAAATGTTCCCTTCCCAATGTCTTCTTTACATAATTAAATTAATAATTTAATCATTTCTCACTTTAATGCATACCTATATTCATGATTGGTGAAAATAACAAAGCCAGAGAAAAATTTAAAAAAATATGACCTACCTTTTGCCTTCTTGTTCAGAATTTTTACCTTCTTGGTCAGAATTTTGAGGAGCTTTTCTTGGTTCAAATTAATAATCTAAAGTAACAGTTATTATAATAGTCATTTTCTCCATAATAAGTTTTCTTTTAAATAGCACCAGTGAAAATGACCAATTACACATTCGGTTATAGTGCAAAATTGAAAAATTAATAGTAAGCGATTAAGAAATTAAGTAGAAAAAGGTTTATTACTTTTAATGCATGGCTTAAAAAGTCTCATAAGAAATTCTTCTGTTTTAGCAAGTTGCCTTACGTATCCACCCGAAGCCCTCTCTCTAACTCTTGTTAAAAAATATAGCCATATCAGATGTATCTGTTTTTACTCTGAATTTTGATCCTGTGTCACTTAATAAATACCTGCAAAGTTAAATATGACAAAATTTTAACATGTAAAAATATTGGTGATGGATTATAGATACTCATATTATTCCTTCAACTTTTCTGTAGGTTTGACAATTTCAATAATAAAATTGAGAATGAAGGAAAATAGTCATATATAAATATTGTATTTTGATACTCATTCCTAATGAAGTGATTCTATGGTAATGAAGTATTAGAATACTATAACATACACTTTGAAAAATTATGAATGCTTCATAGTTTCTTAGTAAAGTCTATTATTAATTTCAAATCTATTTCTCCTTACATTTTTACAAATATTTTCAGAATTTACTAAAACTGGCCCTGATCCTTCAATAGCAGCAAGTCAGAAAACACTGGGATTTCTAACTCTGTAGTAATACAGCACACATCTTTATTTTAAAGAACATCTGTATTAGTCCATTCTCACACTGCTATGAAGAAATACCCCAGACTGGGTAATTTATAAAGGAAAGAGGTTTAATTGACTCAGAGTTCTGCAGGGCTGGCGATGCCTCAGGAAACTTACAATCATGGCAGAAGGGAAAGCAAACATGTCCTCTTCACATGGCAGCAACTAGGAGAAGTGTAGAGTGAAGTGGGGGAAAGCCTCTTATAAAACCATCAGATCTTGGGAGAACTCATTCACTATCACAAGAACAGCATGGAGGTAACCACCCCCATGATTCAATTACCTCCCACCAAGTCCCTCCCACAACACATGGGGATTATGGGAACTACAATTCAAGCTGAGATTTGGATGGAGACACAGTCAAACCATATCAACATCCTTCTGACATACTGAGAGTTAGATTTTGCAGAAAGTTGGGGGCATTTTAATTGTTTTCTGGTTGAACTAAATATGCTTTGGCATTGCCTCCTCTCTGTCTTCCAGCATCCCCTCAAATGGTGTAACTCCCCGCAGAGCTTCCTCTTTTGCTTTGTAAGGTGCATTGTTTGTGTGATCACAGAGCTAGATTATTCTAACATAGGAGAGGCTGAGGGGTCTTGAGCTCATTTTTCCACCACTAATTACTCTGTCCTGACCCTCCAACATCTTGGCTTTGAGGGCCCATGCGTGGGACACTTACCAGACCAAGTTTCAAAAAAAGTAACTTTTCAGGAAGTACTGAGGAAGTTAGAACATGAAAGATTATTGAATTGTTGAAATCAGTAAAAAAAACTATGGCTTTTCTTTGCAGTTTCTTTTAGGCCTACTCCTCATTCTTTATTCCTCCCAATTCCTTGTAGATTTCCTTATTAGAGCAAAAGTTCCTTTAAAAATCAAAGATGCCTACTTGCACAGAGCTGATATAAAGATTTCCTTAAATTGGACAAAGGTAAAAATGTGATTTATTTTTGTGGTATTAAGTATTTTCAGTTCTATGATATGATGCAAATAATGTGGAAAATAATGTATGCAGATTCCCTTCTGAGTTGCCATACACTAGTATTCATTTTATAAATTAATTTTGCTGTAACAGAACCCAAACATGCCTTTTACATTTCCAATTGACTTTTATTAAAATAATCTAGATTTTTCCCCCCACTTTCACCAAGCAAGTACAATGTATGTACTTGTAAAAGGCTATGTACAATGTACCTTTTAATCCAATTGCTAAAAACTAGTGAGATCTCATTATTTACAAAGTCTAGATAATTAGGATTATAAGTTTCAGGTCTTGTTTGTATCCCCCTAGTAATATATAAATCAACTTTGAATAATAAGTTGCCAAGATGTCTAGTGTGACTCAGTTCTCATGTTTTAATATATATAAATGAAACCCTGTAATACTCTTTTATGATAGTGCTTGAAGTCTATGTCTATTTATATTATTTTATCCATCATAATATGGAGTGAATGAATGGTTATTGAAAACATAGACTTTTGGAACCGGGTACATGCAAGATATTCTCTGGTTCATTTGTTTATTATATTTAGAGGTGTGTGAGACTCAAAGTCATTTCAGTAACTTTCCCAGAATCACTTAATTTATGGCAGACCAAACCAGTAGATATATAGATATAGCAGTTAAGATAGATTCTTAAATATCTGAGAAATTATTAATACATCCATAATGTAAAGCTGTAAGTTACTAAGCAATACTATAGTGCACACAGTATATTATATATAAATTTCATGCAAAATGGATACTCTTACTTAGGCTATAGAAGGATTTGGGCCAAAGGTACTTCTTTATATCAGCCTCATTTTTTTTTTCTGAAATCATTTAGCAGATTGTTTTTGACAGGGTTTACAGACTTGGAAATATATGTCCCTTAAGTGATCATTTCCCTTTATCTGTTATTTAATTCTTAAAAGTTTTTCAGTTGTGTTGAATTTTGTTATAATGTTATTGTAGAGCTCCATTAATCTGTTTTTTCAAAATTAGAACTCCCTATGAGTTTTTCTTCTGCTGAAAAAAATAAATCCTCCTATCTCTATTTAGGCAATTACAAAAGAAGTCTGAATAATATTCAGTTGTGAGGGTGATAGTGACAGTTGTGTGACTAAAGAACATTAACCCAAGGTACACCTATATTTCATTAAGTATCTAGGTCATACAAAAGCATATTGCTAATAGCTCTGTATTATAATAGACTTCAAAGGGAAAAACAATGTAGGTTTTAACATAAAATATTGAAAATAGTGAAGCATATTTGTAAGGAAATGCAAGTTTTCAATGTCAACACTAATGAATATTTTCTATGAAATCTGTCATTTATTTTCACTTTTCTTATCACTGGTTTCTACCACACTTTTTGGTTATTTGGTGCATTTATTAAATTACAATAAAAATCATACAGAAGGCTTCACAATCTTATGCAATTGTATGACTCAGTAGAACTTAGATATTTTCAGTATGCGTATTACTATCAGACACATTTTCCCAACACACTGTTTTGACTAGATATTCTCTTTTCTAGCACTTATATTGGTCTCCAGACCAAATGTAATAATGAATCATATTTTCAAGATCTTTCATAATCTGTATAAATCCTGTCTAACTAAATTTATTCCTTGCTTGTGAGCATAATGATCTTTGTATTTAACTTTATGTTAATTCAATAAACATTTGTTAGAATATTACCCTCATCTTCTTTTTTACTTTTGCCTCTGTATCTTTGCAGTACTAGCCTTTCACCTTGGATGGCTAAAAATAATTTTGCTCATTATTTACTGCTTATCCATGAAGACCTGTTGTCTCTTTCATTCTACTGTATTCCCCCCTTTACAACCATGTACATATAGATTATTGTTTTTTCTTTCTCTGAATTACCATTCCCGTGTATTACTTAACACTTGATTATGTACTTTCCTGAATGGCCTTACATTTTGCAATGCATATGAACTTATCAAAATATCCATTGACTATATATGTAATATATACTGTAGGTGTCCTCCGGGGTCTGGGTCACTTTGGGAAAATTTAGTACTGTAAGAAAGATAAGTGAAGAAAAATGTCCTTGGGTCAGGTTCTCGGAGACCGTTAATACTAAAAGATGTGAAGTTTTACTCAAATCTTAAAAATGACCTGGGGTAGCGTTCTGAAAGTTTTCTAAGTCTCATGTTTCCGATGAATGCATTTATTTATTTACCTTTTCGAATTATAATGCAAGAATTGTGAATTCATGACAAGAATTAATGAAGAAGCAAGTACATAATTTAAGAAATATATAATGTCATGGTAGTTTAATGAACACCAATTAATAGAACTGGTTTCTTGATTAATATAATAGATTGATGTACCTTTTGAAAAGCCTTATACTAATCAGGCATATAATTTTTCTTCAATTATATATAGCCATGTGGCCATGTGTGCAACACAGTGTAATTTTGATAACTAACCAAGCATGTAATAATTTCAGATCAGATTTGGCATACCTCATTTCTAATTATTATTCTTTCCCAGGAATGTAACCCATCATTTAAAAAAAAAAGTTACATTATATTTTGCCTTTTGCAGCATAGCTAGAAGTTACTGTAGATTTCATGTAATTTTTCCACACATCAAGTGAGAGTACAAAGAAACAGAAGCCCTGAAAAGCAACCTGGCTTGGTTGACATCAGATAAGCTTGTCAGAGATGTATAATCTAGTCTTCTGGATGCTGATCCAGCGTATTATTTTGTCATGCAAGAAAGACTGTCATTTGTTCTGCATTTAGTGTGACAGAAACATCCATTGGCTGAGTGACTTCAATTACTTTTTGCAAACAAAATCCTTTATGTATCCTAGTAATGTGTTTTTGTTCACTTCCAAAGTCTAAAGTAATGTGTTACATGCAGACTATCTGGCAAATTAAAAATAAATTTTTAAATATGCTAATTAAAGAATACCATGTTGTACAATACTGTTTCTGTATTCAAAAAATTCTGATTAAAAAAATTAGTGCCAGACTGCACCAGACATATGTTTTTATAAGTTATTTTATAAAATAAATGTGAAATATGGACTTTAAAAATCTTAATGCCTATATATCATTACACCCCTCATTAATGCATAGCTAATGCATTAAATTAATAATTTTGGGTATGATTTTAAGACTTTTTATATATTTGACATTATGAAAAGTATTCTCAAACATGAATGAGACTGTTATCACTGGTTTCTCCCTTCATCTGGCTCCTCATACCATTTATAAATAAGAAAAAGGTTGTGGGAAGCTACTGGAATGATTGAAATTGTTCTTTCTAGAGAAAATCTGATTGGAGTATGTTTCACAGGTAGTTTGAAGAATGTTATCACAGATAAAATTCGAGCATGGTCCAGTATTTTGTTTAAACACTGTAATTAGCGTAAATAAAATTATTTCATATATTATCCATAACTTTGCTCATCTTCTAAGGTATTCACAATGTATCCATTACATTATGCTGTATATTGCCATTTGCCTATTCTCAGGTCATTCCATTCCCCCTCATTTCTTTACAATTTTTGTTTTCTGGTCTCTGTCACTCTTTTCAACATTATTCATCTGACTACCACCTCTGCTTCTATTTTTGGCTTACCATCTCTAGTATCTGCTAGTAAAAAATACTCTTGTGTTTTTAATTTTTTAATCTTTATGTTATAAAAACTTTCAAAAGTAGGAAGAATAGTATATGGAGCCCTTATGTACAACCAACTAGCTTCAACAATTATCATTCACGGCCATTTTTTTCATCCATTATAATGGGAAGTAAATATAAGGCGTGATGTTTTCATCTGTAACTATATTAACATGTATATTTTAAAGATAAGATATATATTCAATCTTTAACAATAATCCTTTAATATCTAATGTTCTTTAATGCCAGCAGGATCTAAAATTCATTTATCCTACCTTCATTTCACTGCCTCTCACATTCATGACATCTTCTCTCCTTTCTATATCAAACTTAAAGCCCATGATCAATCATTTCAGCCACTCCATATTATATACACCTTCAATCTCCCTGCCCTCTTTCAATTTGTTACACACTCATGGCAGAACCACAGCCATGGCTAAATCAGACTCTGCCTACTCCATTCCTAGAGGCTTGCCACCAAACAGCGTTGAAGAATAACTCACAACCACATTGACTGGTCCCATATTAAATTTATGACCTGGTGAGTCTTAAAGCTAACCATCAATCATATTATATTTTCTTAGTCTATTTTATTTTCTACTCTCCTAGATGACTACATAGTACCCTTTTCCTCAGATCTCTAAAATGTCTTCTGGAATCTTCACTCTGAGTTGAAGACCTTGCTTCCCACTACACTGAGAAAATCAAAGAACTCAGAAGAGAACATCCACAGCACCACTGCCATGCTGTCTCCCCCAGCAGCATCTGCACCTTTATACTTAGCCCTCTGGCTTCATATAATAGATGACCAGTTACTAGTCTTTACTTTACTTTCTGTGCTATAATTTTCTTTTTTCTTTTTTTTTTTTTAACTTTTGCACTAGACTCTATACCTTATTGCCTACTAAAAGATATTGTTCCAGAAATTCTCCCCTTCTCCACCTCACCTCCCACCTTCTCTTGCACTATTAATTTTACTCTTTACTGTAGCATTTCATTAGCATAAAGACATACCGTTATTTCTCTCACCTTAAAATATTTTTAGATTCTACATATGAGTGACATCACTCAGTATTTGTCTTTCTGTGTCTGCCTTATTTCACTTAAAATAATGCCCTCCGGGTTCATTCATGTTGTAACAAATAGGATTCTTTTTATGGTCAAACAGTATTCATTTATACACACACACACACACACACACACACACGCACACACCACATTTTCTTTGTGCATCTGTTGATGGACACCTAGATTGAGTCTCTATCTTAACATCATGTTGTACATGATGATTACACACAATTTTATGCCAATTAAAAAATAAAAAGTACAACTTCTTTTGATTCAGCTCTACCCCCAACTACTGTTCAATTTCTCTGCTTCCTATTGTAGCCAAATTACACAAAAATAGTTTTCTGTATCTTCTATATCTAGTATCTGCCCCGATTCTCTCTTAAATGCCTTCCACTGAGGCTTTTGCTGTTCCTTCTCCACTAAAACTATTCTTGGCCTAGCAGTAGGATTTGAACCTCTCAAGTTCACCTTCCTTCTTACAAATGCACTGTCTTTATTGGTGTTCAGTATTCCACCTGCCCTGTGTTTCCTCAGTCTCCTTTGCTGGGAATTTTTCTGGTATTAGACTTCTTAACTTGGAGTGTACCAGGGCTTGATTCTTGGTCTTCTTCACTTTTTCTCCCTTTTCTCTCATACCTTACAGTCAGTCCATCCACAAGACCTTTGGACTCAAAGATATCCAGTATCTGGCTATCTCTTTTCATCCCTGACACTACCATCTTGGTCCTACACACCGTCACCTCTCACTTCACTTGCACCAGTAGTTCTAACTGGCCTCCATGTTTCCATCCTTGCTACCTTTTTTAAAGCCTATTCTTAACACAGTAGCCAGAACAATCCTTTCAAAACATAACCAGATCATTTCATTACTTCAACTCAAAGCCCTTTAATAGCTTACAGTCTTATTCAGAAAAAAAGATACTGAAGGCTTTTAGTGACTTTAAGACATTGTGATAACTCTCCCATTCTCATTTCATTCCTGCTATCTCGTTTCTGTTTTTTGGATTGCCAGAGCAAAGTTGCTGGTTTCCTCTGCCTGCAACAGTCTTCTTGAAGATATCAATGTGGATAATGTCATTTCCTTTAAATTCTATTCAAAGGACACTGTCTCAGAGAGACCTTCCCCGAAACCCCCAAACTCCTCCTGAATTTCCAGGAACCCATGATCCCCTATTCTGCTCTTTTTTTTCCAAAAAACCTATAGCTTGTTATATAATTGACTTATTTATTATCTTTATTACTTATTATGTCTTCCCCCACTAGAATGTAAGCTTCATAAGGGCAGGATTTTGTTCTTCTTGCATGGCCCATAGTAGGTGGTCAATAAATATGCCTGGCACATAGAAGGTGGACAGCCACTTAAATGATTTTTCCCCTTCTGCTAGCATTATTTTACTTTCATTCCAACAATCAACACAGACTCTACATCTTAGGGACCTGTTCTTTAGGGCATTTTCCTTCTAAATTATATCACCTTTTTAATTCACTTTTTTCTTTTGCTTATTTTATCTGCTAAAGTAATTTTAGGCAAGTACAGCTGGCCCTTAAACAACATGGGTGTGAACTGCTTCAATCCACTTTTTGCAGATTTTTTTCAACCAAACATGTATAAAATACTCCAGTATTTAAGGGGTGTGAAACTCACATATATGGAGGTCCTGCTTTCCATATACGTGGGTTCTTCAGGGCTGACTGTGACTTGAGTATGTGCAGATTTTGGTATATGCAGAGGTCCTGGAACCATTCCCCCAGTAAACTGAGGAACAACTGTATATTTAATTTTTTGGTCTTCAAGTCATCTTATACTCTTTCTCCATCTTTCATCCTTTCCTAGGTATATTTCTATTTCTAGAATATTTTTTTCTCTGTCTCAGTTCCCCAAGACTTTTATTCTTAATGACTGGTTCAAAAAAATCCTACTTTCCCCTGGAAATGCCTCTTAGAAAAATTGTAACACTGGTTTCCACCTTGTCCTGTTTGTCTACCTTACAGGCAGTCTTGAAATCCATGATTTGGATTTGCCCATTTTTCAAAATCCTACTGAAATGCAGATTTCCTTTAAATTAAAGCTAATATGAAAATGACTTAGTGTACAAATCTGCATATAGTTATTTGCTTATTTTAATATGGTTTTATCTTCTGTTTTAGAAAATGAAATGAATATTTGTATATACATACATATATGTATTTAATTTTTAAAATTTTATCTGACCTTTACTGAAAGTAAGCAATTTCTTAAATCTTTCTCTATCAAGGATCTAAAATTGTTTCATATTCTTATATTTAACAGGTCATTGCTTTAGTGATGGATATATTTACAGATGTGGACATTTTCAAAGAAATCGTTGAGGCATCAACTCGAGGAGTATCTGTTTACATTCTGCTTGATGAGTCCAATTTTAATCATTTTCTAAATATGACTGAGAAACAAGGTTGTTCAGTTCAGCGTCTCAGGGTAAGAATTCTGTTTTTTTTTTCCTCAAGTATTTTATGTGTCATTTTCAACTCAGTCAAATGTAAGGCATCTTAAGGTAGATGAATATAAAACTGAAAAACAAAAAAAAATACGTATTTAAGGTTATGGAATGATTGATCACAGAAAGGTCCCCTGTACTTTTTAGAATGCAACTGAAAGCACATCTTCATGGGAGTGTTTGTTTGTTTGTTTTTGAGACGGAGTCTTGCTCTCCCTCCCAGAGTGGAGTGCACTGGTGCATTCTCAGCTCACTGCTACCTCCGCCTCCCAGGTCAAGCAATTCTCCTGCCTCAGCCTCTCGAGTAGCTGGGATTACAGGTGCCCGCCACCATGCCCAGCTAATTTTTTTTGTATTTTTAGTAGAGACGGGGTTTCACCATCTTGGCCAGGCTGGTCTTGAACTCCTGACCTCGTGATCCACCCAAAGTGGCCTCCCAAAGTGCTGGGATTACAGATGTGAGCCACCGTGCCCGGCCTTCATGAGGGTTTTATATTGTGCTTTTCCTGATTAATATTTAATACATCAGTTTTGCATGCACAGCTTTGAAACCAGTGACTCTGGTGCTTCTATGGTTCAGCATGTATTGCTTATTAGAATCATTTCACGTAGTATTTTCTGTTACTTTTGACTTTTTAAAAGGAAGGTTAATTTTAATTTTAGTTAATTTATCATCAAGGCATTATAACCCAAAAGGGTTTTTTATAGTGAGAGGCTGAGTGATCTTTGATGCTATTCTGTGTAAATGTAAAGTGAAATCTCCTATTTAAGCTATATTGAAATGTATATTTTAAATGATTATTTTCATTAAGGATTTAATATTTGGGAGTTTTTTTTTTAATTACCTTAAGTAAATTTTTTTATATTAAGATTCTATCATGATATGGATTTTGGTTTTCAAAATATTCTTTTCCTAGCCATAATGTCTGCTTTTTATTTACATATAATTCTAGAATATTCGAGTGCGAACAGTAAAAGGCCAAGATTATCTTTCAAAAACAGGGGCAAAATTCCATGGAAAAATGGAACAGAAATTTTTGTTAGTTGACTGCCAGAAAGTGATGTACGGTTCTTACAGGTAAGATCATTGTGTTTAACTTCAGTGTTATCAATCGTTTTGATGATTTATTAGTTTCAAATTTTAATATAATCAGTTAAGCTTTTTCTTAAAAGTAAAAAAAAAAAAAAAAAAAAAAAAAAGAGAACACTTGCATGGAGATTAGAGACCTAGGTTTGAGTCATGAGTCTGCCACTAAAGAGCATTAAGATCTTATGCAAATCATATAACTTCCTTGAGCTTCAGATTGTTCATCCAGAACATGAAGACATTGACCAATATCTAAGGTTCCCTACAGCTCTGTGGTACTAAAAGTGGTTTTGCTCCTTATGGAAACATTACATAGTATGGATTTAGTTACAATCGTTTGTAAAAACAGAAGCTATTTACCACTTTAAGTAATCTGGTAAATGGATTTTTCTTATTTTGTATTCTTAAGAATCTGATCAAAGCAGAACTGGCAACCCAGTCCAGGTGAGGCTGGCTCGAGAGTGTAAACACTGCCCTAATACTCTCTTGTAAATAAATCCCCTGGCTTCAGTCCTGAATCAGATACATAGTGAGGCTACATAAACAGGCAGATAAAAGCACCACCAAATACCCATGAACTGCTAGGTCACTGAGGCAGGGTAGAGTCATTATTAAAGACTGAGGGAAGAATCCAGAAGAGCTATGGATGTGAACACGACTGTGTAAGGCGAAACCTTTGTCTCCTGTCTTAGTAACAGAAAGTCCATGAGAAGGAGGTATCACATTGAAATGGTGGCCTTGAGCAAATTACTTTATTTGGTTGCACTTTAGTTTGCTCCGCTATAAAATAAATCATAGAACTGGCCTCATATCATTGTTGTGAGGATTAAATGAGTTCATGCATCCCAAACCCCTAATGTTAACTACTATTTTAGGACTTGATTTGTTACTTTCTGCTAACTCTCTCTTTAAGCTCGGGACCTTTTTAAAAAAACATGCTGTTTGGAGTTCCAAATGAAAACATATTAACAGCAGAAAATACAGCTAGTGCTTGAAATTCGTGAGTCCTTTTAAAGACTCATTATATGTGAATATATTTGTCCAGACCCACTTGGTTTTGGAGAGTTTTTAATTGAACTTTTAATTAAAATTGAGAGTTCACTTGACTTGTAGAATCATTGTTATTTAAGGTCATCATAATTAATAGTTTCTATGGTTATTATTTAAGTTTTAAGATTATCTTTGACAGTAAATTTACCTCAGCTTTGTTTTGCTGCCACTAGATATTAATAGTTGCTAGTGTTGCAATGACTATAGTTGAGCTACTTTTGATTAATGTGGGGGAAAATCAAACAGCAGTGACAAAAAAATTATATATCTCTATCTTTCTGTCTATATCAGAAGCCAGAGGCAGAATTTAAGTTACTATTTATGATAGTAACTGTAGAATTCCTAGGACCATGGATTATAAAAAATTTATCACAACTCTTAACTAACACTCTATTCTCTGTGTTATCTCAAGTTCATTTTAAATATATTTCTTTAAATAATTTATAGTTGTAATCATTGTCCTTTTTATTTTTTCTGACATTATCATGGACCTTTCCTGTTGCTAACAATATTCGAACGAGATGTGGTAGACTAGTTTTGAACTAGTTTGGTTAAAAGTGAATTTCCTTTTGGTTTAAAAACAGCCTTTGTCCCTCACATTCTGGTATTGCTATTGTTTTCCTCATAGGCAAGTTGAAAATGCCTTCTTCTTTAATTCAGTATTCTTTGCCATGGGATATCATTGGATTCTAAACTCCTACCATTCCTGGAGAGGCCCAGAATCTGTATTTACCACAGTTACACATTGTGTGACAGCTCACTCACATGCTGATGATTTTATCAGGAAAACATGAGGAGTTTTTTCATAACATGATACTAACATTGATGAATGTTTAATAAAGCATTGTCTATAAATCAAACTGAGAGATAATTTTATAGGCTTTTTCATTTTTAATCTCATGAGCTCAATGAAAGTTACTTTCAAAAGACAAATTGGCTGAAGTTGGCACCTCTCAGGTTCCATTTTTAACCACACATAAAAATCATCACAGTTGAGGTCCATGCTGCAACCAGCATACTGTTACTATTTACATTTGATGGACTTTAAGCCCCCAGCCAGGAACTCGGAATTTTTAAGTCAACTTCATGACTAATATCTGACAGTGTGTGTTTAGTGGAGCTGGGAGTAGACAGTTTTTTTTTAATCCATGAAAATATTTGCACATTTTAAAAAAATCAAATATTACTAAAATATGTGCAGTACAAAACAGTGACTTTTGTTTTCCATCTCTAGCCAACTCTGGTCCTGATCTCCAGATGCAGTTGCTCAATTCTTTTAGTTGGTTCTTCTGATATTTATTTCATCCCTTAAATAACATGATTATGTTATTCTTTTTTGATTTACCAATTTCATATATTATCTTGGCTTTTTATTTTTGGAGAATTGTATTTACTACCTACTATTCCTTCTTGTCTGCATTATAGTTTTATCACAATTTTTGGTTAAATGAGAAGTCCAGGTCTACATTATTGAAATTGTGTCAAAATGGATCACTGATGAGCCATAGAGTGATGTACGTTTCTTTTTTCGAAACAAAGTTAATAATGGCCATTTTGTTTTTATTAATTGTGTTTGTTTTCTATTTATCTATTGCTACTTCTTTCTCCAGTTGACCACATAGATTTTGCAGCACATGAATGATTTTCCCAAATGCTCAGTTACAACCAACCATCTATGACATCCCATCTGAACTAGCAGGTCCTTAAATTGGAAGCACACCTGGGGGCCTGGTATTTTTCATATTTCTAAGTGATTTGATCCATGATTTCTTAAATCCTGTATTTCCTCATTTTGTTTCCAAGTCTTCATTTTTCTCCCAAGATTGCTCAAGGACTTTTAAATTAAAAAATTTATAATTCTAAGTCATTTATGGCTTAATGTGGGATGGAACTCTAAGTTGAACCATTTTTCCTCCAAATTGGTAAGGTATTACCCCATAATCAAAGTTGCTGCTGAGAAGTTTCAGCAATTATTATTAGTCACATTCTTTTCACGCAGCCATGTTTTCTTTCTTGAACCTTTCAGAATTTCCCTTTTTTCCCTATTTGTTTTTGTTTTTTCTAGTTTCTTGAGGTATAAAGCTAGGTTGTTGCGTGAGATCTTTTAGCTTTAAAAAAATGTTTTATTGATAAAAATACATGTACATATGGTATAGGTCATATTTTTCATATTTTATTACATGCATAGACTAGGTAATATTAAGTCAGAGGAGATATTTTTGCTTTTTTAATATATGTATTTACACCTATAAACGTCCCTCTTAAGAGTGCTTTTGCTACATCTCATAAATTTTGATATCTTGTGTTTTTATATTCATTTGTCTCAAGGTATTTTCTAATTTCCTTTGTGACTTCTTCTTTGACTCATTGGCTACTCAAAACTGTGTTGTTTAATTTCCACATATCTGTGAACTTTCCAATTTTCCTTGTACCATTGATTTCTAGTTGTGTTCTGTTGCAAGTAAGATACTTTGTGTGATTTAAATCTTCTTTAATTTGTTGAGGTTTGTTTTGCCTAACGTGATCTGTCTTGGAGAATGTACCATGTGTACTTGAGAAGAATGTATATTCTGCTTTTGTCAAGTGTTCTCTATGTGTTTGTTAGGTGCTGTTGGTCTGTACTCTTGTTCAAGTTGTCTGTGTTCCTTTTGATCTTCTGTCTCATTGCATTCATTATTGAAAGTAGAGTATTGAAGTCTCCTACTAATACTGTGTTGCTGTCTGTTTTCCCTTTCAATTCTGTTAAAGTTTGCTTTGTATATTTAGGAGCTCTGAGGTTTGCTGCACAAATACTTATAATTGTTATAATTGTTATATCTTCTTGGTGAATTGACCCCTTTTTTATCACATAATATTCTTCTTTATCTCTTATAAGTTTTTTATTTTAATTTAAAGCCTGTTTTTCCTGATATTTTTACAGCAATTCCTGCTTTCTCTTTTGGTTACCATTTGCATGGTGTATCTTTTTTTATCCTCTTACTTTTAGCTTATGTATGTCCTTAGATCAAAAGTGAGTCTCTTGAAGATAGCATATATTTGGATACTGTTTTTTTAATCCATTCAGTCAATTAAAGTCTTTCAATGAGGTAATTTAATTCATTTACCTTTTAACCAATTACTGATGGAGAAGGACTTACTATTGTCATTTTTTTTCCATATGTCTTGTAACTTCTTTGTTCTTTTTTCCCTCTTTTACTGCAGTCTTTTGTGTTTTGTTTTGTTTTTTGCACATACATGCTTTGATTATCATCTCATTTCCTTTTGTGTATATTCTAAAGATATTTTCTTTTCAGTTATCACTGGAATTACATAAAACTTTTTTTTTTTTTTTTTTTTGAGACGGAGTTTCACTTTTGTTGCCCAAGCTGGAGTCCAATGACACAATCTCAGCTCATTGCAACCTCCGCCTCCCAGGTTCAAGCAATTCCCTTGCCTCAGCCTCCTGAGTAGCTGTGATTACAGGTGTGCACCACCACGCCTGGGTAATATTTTGTATTTTTAGTAGAAACTGGGTTTCACCATGTTAGCCAGGCTGGTCTCGAACTCCTGACCTCAGGTGATCTGCCCACCTCAACCTCCCAAAGTGCTGGGATTACAGGCGTAAGCCACCATGCATGGCCTTACATAAAACATTTTAAAGTAATAGCATTTTATTTTAAACTGATAACTTCAATCACATATGAAAACTCCACACCTTTATAGCTCTATTCCTCACTTTACATAATTGTTGCTCCAAATTACGTATTTATGTATTGTATAGCAATGAACACAGATTTAAAGTTACTTTTTATATTTTTCACATTTAAATTCTATGAACCACATCTGCAATAGTACAGGTCACTTCATTTGTCTACATATTTACTTTTACTGGAGAACTTGATATTTTCATAAGGCTTTGTGTTGCTCTCTACCATCCTTTTATTTCAACTTAAAAAGATTCACTTTAGCATTTTGTGTAGAGTAGATCTCCTAGTAGTGAACTCCCTCATTTATCTGGGACAGTCTTAATTTCTCCTTCCTTTTGAAGGACAGTTTTGCTGGATTTTTGGTGTTTTCAGTGTTTTTCTTGTAGCTCTTTGATTATGTGGTCCTGCTTCATTGTAGCCTGCAAACTTTCTGCTGAGAAAGTCACTGATAGTCTAATGGAAGCTCCCTTGTATGTGACAAATCACCTTTCTTTTGATGCTTTCAAGACTTTCTGTCTTTGACTTTAAACAGGTCTGATTATAATGTGTCTTGGTGTAATTCTTTTTGGATTTATCCCAGTTTGAGTTCTTTAAAATTTGTATGTCAATTTTTTTTCCTCAGACTTGGGAAGTTTTTGTCCACTATTTCTTCAAATAAGTTATCTGCTTCTTTGCCTCTCCTCTTTCTGAGCTTCTCATAATGCAATATTGATCTCCTTGGTAGTTCTATAAATTCTTTAGTATATCTTTGCTTTTCTTCATTCCTTTTTTTTTTCATTTTGCTCTTCTGACTCAATTATATCCATGACCTGTCTTCAAGTTTATTCATTATTTCTTCTGCCTGATCAAGTCTGCTGTTGAATCCTTCTAATGAATTATTCAGTTATATTATTTTTTCAGTTCCAGAATTTCCTTTTAGTTTTATTTTATAGTTTATCTTTGTTGATATTCTCATTCCATTGGTATGTCATTTTCCTGATTTTGTTTACTTGTCTGTGTGTGTGTGTTGTTGATGTTTTTTTTGTTAGTTTTGTTTGTTTTTAGCTCATTGAGCATTTTTATAGCAGTTATTTTAAATATTTAATCAGGCAGCTTATAGATCTGTGATTCTTTAGGGTTAGTTTCTGGAGTTTTATTTTATTTCTTAGGATTGGGCTGAGTTTCCCTGCTTCCTCATATGCCTTGTAATTTTTTGCTAGTATTCAGACATCTTAAAAATAATCAGTCACCTCTCCCAGTCTTTGTATACTGTCTTTGTTCAGGGAAAGACCTTTACCATTCAGCCCAGCCACAGATTCTAGGACCTTTCAAATCTTTTCTGACCTCTCGTTCCTTTGGTGTCTGCCCATGGAACTGCAGGTTTAACATGCTGCTTACCTCTATTTTCAATGATTTCTAAACTCTGGTTCCAATCCTACCAGCACTCAGGTAAGATAGAAGCCAGTCTCTTGGGCTGCACTGAAGACAAGCCAGAATTATGATCCACAGTCTACTCTTTTGTTTCCATCCTGAGGGAGGACCCCCAGTCTGGGGGCTGGGGGAAAAGTTTCTCTCTGTTTGTTTCATGCTGTACCATATGGGGGAGGAATAGGAATGAGCTGGCCAAACATCACAGGTTTTTCAACCTGTATGGCTGGAATATAATGTTCTGGGTGCTCTATCTTTTCAATTGGTCGCTAGCATTTCACAGAGGTCTTCTGTTTCACATATTGTTGTTAACTAGTGTCTCTATGGGGTACGTAGGGCTTGTAACTTTCTAATCTGCCACTTTACTGACCTTGTGTTTGTGTTTTCGGAAGTATTTTTATTTGTAGTTTGTGTCTGTTTCTTCTAGGTGCCATTTTCCAGCTTGTTTTGATCTATGATTGCATCTAAGCTCTTAAGCTTTATAAGCTGTCTTTGAAACTTTGTTTATTCATCTGTTAATCTTTGTTATGTGTTTATATTTAAGAATGAGGGACTGTAAAGCTGATTAGAAACTGAGCGGGAAATGCTTATCAACGTTTGAGTTTACAGCTGAATGATAGACTGGGGACCTGGCAACTTTACAGGAGAATCCCCGACTATCAATATAAATATCACTTATCTGGGGTTTTTCAATGTTTCCAGAGAATAATGTCTTTCTCCAAAAGATTGTCAAAGGAGATGGAATTTGGAATGCAGTCAGAATATGATCCTAACTGAAGATATTCTAGAAGCAGAATGGGAAAGAGAGCTGAGGGTCTGATAAGTCTCATTTTTAGCTCACCTTTATCCCAGTCATGGTTTGTTTAAAGTTTCTGAGTTCAGACTTTCTCTGGATTGGTTTCTGCTGAAGTAAACCTTAGATTCCTGAAAGGGATAGGAAGGAGTGCTTCATGGGAAAGGAAAGAGTAGGGAACCTGGAGGCCCAACTGCTCTATATGAGACTTTCAATCAATCTTCCTGTTTCTCTATTTTCATGACCTTTCTAACCCACCATTTGTAGTACCTTTTGATCCGATGTTGAATTCATAAAGATTCTGCTGGGCCCATCTGGCTTATTCTCATTGCTGCTCACCTCATGCAAACTTCCTATAAGTCAGCCACCACTTCTCCATCAGATTTCTCTGTTCTAAACATTTATTAAATACTTTCACTTGCTACTTCCCTTTTCCCTTTGCTATCTTTTTAGTATTGTGTAGGAAAGAAAAAGAAATAAACCTGCATGATAATCCAGATTTAATGTAAACCTTTTAAGTTTTCCACCAACATAAACATCTTTGCCTTTTAGTCTTGATTTTGAAACTAATAGTTCATTTATATTATCATTTGTTTATTTACAACTAATGTTTTTAAGTGTTTACAATATGCCAAGCACCGTTCTTAGCCCCTGGAAGTGCAGTCCTAAATAAGGTACACAAGATTGCTGAGCTAAATTTTATTTTAGTGGGCACTGGAGACAGACAAAGGGAGAACATACAAGAAACCATCTGATAGTGGTAATGGGGTATTGTATAAATGAAATCAGGGGAATATGATAAAGCATGATCAGATGGATACTTTGAATAGAGTGATCATAAATGTCTTCTAAGAGCATGTCAGCAGGGGAAGAGATATATTGAAGAGGGAACAATAGATAAAAGATCCTGGGGCAGATATCTGGGGGATAGCAGAAAGGCCAGTGTGGTAGGACCACATTAAGCAAGGGAAGAGCTATCCATAGTAAAACTGGAAAGCAGGCAGGGTAGGAATTATCTTAGGCCAGGTAAGGAGCCTGAATTTTCTTTTAAACAAAACAGAAAGTTCTGTGTGGAAGTGTGACATGACCCAATTTGTTTTATGCAAAGATCACTTCTGCTGTTCTGTTGATTGAAAAATGAGCAAATGAGAACACTAAGAGTCAAATTAGCCGAAAATGCTAAGACTAGGGTGATAGTGGGATAGGACTGATTTGTGAGAAGTTTTGCAAGCAGAGTCAACAGGACCTTTTGGTTCTGAAAAAGAGGGCATTCAAAGATGACTGCTTGTTTCCTGTCTTGATCACCTGAAAGATGGCTGAGTCACTCACTTAAGCAATACTAGGGAAGGAATAGGTCGGGGAAGGAGGAGTGCTAGATGACAACTTATGAGTCATACATGTGAGGCTTGCAAGGCCCACTAAAATTTTGGGTAGAGATTGGACACAGATTCCAGAGATGAGGAAGAGGTCAGCACTGGCAATACGGACTTCGGACTTCATAGTTAATGGCATAGAAATCACCTACGATAATAGAGGAATACAGAGATCATTTCCAAGCCCTGAAGCATGTCTGTAGGTTTTCAGATTTACTTACTGAATATATTCAATGAATGTCTTCCTGTTGCCTGAAACTTTATTACAATATTATTTTCTGATTTACTATAGCAGGGAAACTTTTCCAATTGCCACACATTCACCAACACCGTATCTTCTTAGTTTTCTAACCTCAACACTTGGAAGTTGTTTTTATTTAATAACGTATGGATGTTCTTTTGACATGAAGTCTTTTGGTTCTTTCTTTTTACTACTGGCTCAACATTTTCACTCATTATTCCTATTTCTACTTTGGTTGGGCTCTTACTTTTAAGTCTGTACTACAATAGTACTACAAATAGCTACTAGAAAAAAATAGTTCCTCAAACATCTCTTTCTATTATAATTTATCCAAATTTGGAAACAAATTCTACATAATCGAACTTTCTGTTTTGTTTTCAAGATTTTCCCCACTAGTTCATCAGTCTTTTATATGGCTTCTTTGCTCCAGCTATATATAGTATGTTTTCTGTGTTCAACTAGAACATGACCCTTATTGCATTCTTCCCTTTTCCATATTTCTCCCTCCACACAAATTGTCTTCCCACATCTTTTGTGTCTGAACTGGGAATCTAGTCTTTATCAAAATATTGCAGAACTTCACTTTCTTCATGGATTTCCTCATACTTGATAGTTCACTGTTCATTCCATTACTTGATGTTTCTAATATTTTGAATTCATACCTTTAGTCAGATTGAAAATTTCTTTAGTTACTTACTTTTATACCATTTCTTTTAAGTCAGCCCAGTGGCATAATAAATATTCCTTCTGTATCATGCTTCCTATAGGCATACTAGATAAAATTAAGCATATCCAAATAACAAGATTCTTAAGTTACATGCTCCTGTTTGTGATATGTAATATTTTGTTTATTTTAAATGTTTAATCTGCACATTCTTTTAATTATTTTCCTGCATTTTTATTGTCTCCTTTATAGAAATAATAAGATGCTTCAATGTGGAGAGTGTCTCTTTTTTCTTTTGTATTAACCCCCATTGTGTCATATACATTACTTTATGCATAGCATAATAGCAATTCATTTATTTTTCAGTTCAGTTGACTGTATATTAAATCACTAGATTTTCAAAAATCAGATTTAAAATTTGATATGAATTTTAAAGGTAGCTGTTACCTCTAAACTCTAGGAAAGGAATTGGAGCTTCCATAAAGTACTATAAAGTCATACAGACATTAATTTCCTAAAAATTGTATTTTATATTAAAAGATCCTGATTGGCATTTTGACTGGCATGGTTTCTGAAGCCTGCATTTACTAATACTATGTACAGTGAGTACAGTGAATTCTGCCCTTTAATGATTGAGGCAGCTGGCCACAAATCCTGTTTACAGCTCTTGGCATCCTAAATTACACTTATTGAGTAAACCACAGAGATAACAGTCTGAAAATTTACCGACTCTTAAAATACATGCATTAACACAGCTGTATCTTACATTATATCATGTTACAGCTATGAGACATTGTAGCTATTATGCTGTCCGTATCCTTACATTGGACACGAGGAAAGTGAAGCCCAAGCTCATGTGTCTACAATTCAGCAGAAACCAGGCCTCTTGACTTTTTCTCCAACACTGGCTTTACTGCATTCTGCCAAGATGGTATATATAAAATATAATATCAGTTTTTATGCCACGAAGTTTTGACACAGATGTAAAATACACAGCAAATTTTTCTTTATTTTTTTTAACATTCTATTTTATTTATGTCATTAGTGTTTGGGGAACAGTTGGTTTTTGGTTGCATGGATAAGTTCTTTAGTGATGATTTCTGAAATTTTGGTGCACCCATCACCCAAGCAGTGTACAATATACCCAAGGTGTAGTCTGTTACCCCTCACCCCTCTCCTACCCTCCTTCTCTAGTCATTATATCATTCTTCAGACTTTGCATCTTCATATCTTTAACTCTCACTGATAAGTGAGAATATACAATATTTTGTTTTCCATTCCTGAGTTACTTCACTTAGAATAATGGTCTCCAGTTCCATCCAGGTTGTTGCAAATGCCATTATTTTGTTCCTTTTTATGGTTGAGTAGTATTCCATGGTATATACATACCACATTTCTTTATCCACTTGTTGGTTGATGAGCATTTAGGCTGGTTTCATATTTTTGCTATTGCAAATTGTGCTGCTATAAATAGGCATGTGCAAGTGTTTTTCATATAATAACTTCTTTTCCTCTGGGTAGATACCCAATAGTGGGATTGCTGGATTGAATGGCAGTTCTACTTTTAGTTCTTCAAGGAATCTTCCTACTGTTTTCCATAGTGGTTTTACTAGTATACATTTCCACCAGGAGTGTAAAAATGTTCTCTTTTCACCACATGCATGCCAATGTCTATTAGTTTTTGATTTTTTAATTATGGCCATACTTGCTGGAGTAAAGTGGTACCTCATTGTGGGCTTAATTTGCATTTCCCAGATAATTAGTGATGTTGAGCATTTTCTTTTGTATTTTTGTTGGTCATTTGTATATTTTCTATTGAGAATTGTCTATTCATGTCTTTTGCCCATTTTGATGGGATTATTTGTTTTTTTCTTGCTGATTTGAGTTCCTTGTGGATTCTGGATATTATTCCTTTGTTGGATGCATAGTTTGCAAATAGTTTCTCCCACTCTGTGGGCTGTCTGTTTACTCTGCTGATTATTTTGCTGTGTAGAAGCTTTTTTGTTTAACTAGGTTCCATCTATTTTTCTCTGTTTTTGTTGCATTTGTTTTGGGGTTCTTGGTCATGAATTCTTTGCATAAGCCAATGTCTAGAAGAGTTTTTATTATGTTATCATCTAGAATTGTTATGGTTTCAGGTCTTAGATTTAAGTTTTTGATCCATCTTGAGTCGATTTTTGCTTAAGGTGAGAAGTGAGGATCCAGTTTCATTCTTCTACATGTGGCTTGCCAATTATTCCAGTATCATTTGTTGAATAGGGTGTCCTTTCCCCACTTTATATTTTTGTTTGCTTTGTTGAAGATCAGTTGGCTGTAGGTATTTGGCTTTATTTCTGGGTTCTCTATTCTGTTCCATTGGTGTATGTGCCTATTCTTATACCAGTAGGATGCTGTTTTGGTAACCGTAGCCTTGTAGTATAATTTGAAGTCAGGTAATTTAATGCCTCTAGATTTGTTCTTTTTGCTTGGTTTTGCTTTGGCTATGCAGGCTCTTTTTTGGTTCCATATAAATTTTGGGATTGTTTCTTCTTATTATGTGAAAAATGATGATGGTATTTTGATGGGAATTGCATTGAATCTGCAGATTGCTTTTGAAAATGCACAGCAAGTTTTTCTTTGGACTTCTGGAAAGTAGTGGATTCAAAGCCAAAATTTGAGTTGCGTTGTTATTTAAAATAGGAACATGAGGATGGGAAAACATGTAGTGCATGTAATGACGGAAAATATTCTAAATAATGATAGCCAAAGAAAAGTACAAAAACATAGTCATTAAGTGATACTTTTTTTAGTAGAACTATATGTTATTATCAATCTTTTAAATGATTAAAATTTTTCCATTTTTTTCCCCAGTTATATGTGGTCATTTGAGAAAGCTCACCTCAGCATGGTTCAGATAATTACAGGACAACTTGTTGAGTCCTTTGATGAAGAATTTAGAACTCTCTATGCCAGATCCTGTGTCCCTAGTTCATTTGCTCAGGAAGAATCAGCAAGGGTGAAGCATGGAAAAGCCCTCTGGGAAAATGGCACTTACCAGCATTCGGTGTCTTCATTAGCATCTGTTTCCAGCCAGAGAAACCTTTTTGGTAGACAAGACAAGATTCATAAACTAGATTCCAGTTACTTCAAAAACAGAGGGATATATACTTTAAATGAACATGACAAATATAACATAAGAAGTCACGGATACAAACCTCATTTTGTTCCTAACTTTAATGGTCCAAACGCAATACGTCAGTTTCAACCCAATCAGATAAATGAAAATTGGAAAAGGCATAGTTATGCTGGGGAACAGCCAGAAACAGTGCCATACCTCCTGCTTAATAGGGCTCTGAATAGAACCAATAATCCACCTGGTAATTGGAAAAAGCCATCTGATAGTCTCAGTGTGGCGTCCTCATCACGGGAAGGCTATGTAAGCCACCACAACACACCTGCCCAGAGTTTTGCCAATCGGCTTGCGCAGAGAAAAACAACAAATCTTGCAGACAGGAATTCAAATGTTCGGAGGTCTTTTAATGGGACAGATAACCATATCCGCTTTTTGCAACAACGAATGCCAACCCTTGAACATACCACAAAGTCATTCCTACGTAACTGGAGAATTGAATCCTACTTAAATGATCATTCAGAAGCTACACCGGACTCAAATGGATCAGCTTTAGGTGACCGATTTGAGGGCTATGATAATCCTGAGAATTTGAAGGCCAATGCCCTTTATACTCATTCTCGGCTTCGTTCCTCTTTAGTATTTAAACCCACTTTACCTGAGCAAAAGGAAGTTAACAGTTGTACAACTGGCTCCTCAAATTCAACTATCATTGGTTCTCAGGGAAGTGAGACACCTAAAGAGGTCCCAGACACCCCTACGAATGTACAGCATTTGACAGACAAACCCTTGCCAGAATCAATCCCCAAGCTCCCATTGCAGTCAGAGGCACCAAAAATGCACACCTTGCAGGTTCCTGAAAACCACTCAGTAGCCTTAAACCAAACTACAAATGGCCATACTGAATCAAATAACTATATATATAAAACCTTGGGTGTAAATAAGCAGACAGAAAATCTAAAGAATCAACAGACTGAGAATCTACTTAAAAGGCGAAGTTTCCCGTTATTTGACAACTCAAAAGCCAACTTAGATCCTGGAAATAGTAAGCATTATGTATATAGTACACTTACCAGGAATCGAGTTAGACAACCAGAAAAGCCCAAAGAAGATTTGCTGAAAAGTTCTAAAAGCATGCACAATGTGACTCATAACTTGGAGGAGGATGAGGAGGAAGTTACCAAGAGAAACTCTCCAAGTGGCACTACTACCAAATCAGTTTCCATTGCTGCTTTACTTGATGTGAATAAAGAGGAATCTAACAAAGAACTTGCTTCAAAGAAGGAAGTTAAGGGTTCCCCAAGTTTTTTGAAAAAGGGGTCTCAGAAGTTAAGGTCATTACTTAGCCTTACCCCAGATAAGAAAGAAAATCTATCCAAAAATAAAGCACCTGCCTTTTATAGATTGTGTAGTAGCTCTGACACATTAGTTTCTGAGGGTGAAGAAAATCAAAAACCAAAGAAATCAGACACAAAAGTTGATTCATCTCCTAGAAGAAAGCATTCTTCCTCATCGAATTCTCAAGGCAGCATCCACAAGAGTAAGGAAGATGTAACAGTTAGCCCATCTCAAGAGATAAATGCTCCACCAGATGAAAATAAAAGAACACCTTCTCCAGGTCCAGTTGAAAGCAAGTTCTTGGAAAGGGCAGGAGATGCCTCTGCCCCAAGATTTAACACTGAACAGATCCAATACCGAGATTCAAGGGAGATTAATGCAGTTGTTACCCCTGAAAGAAGACCTACTTCTTCTCCAAGGCCAACGTCCAGTGAGCTTCTACGATCTCATTCAACTGATCGGCGTGTTTACAGTCGTTTTGAGCCGTTTTGTAAGATTGAGAGCTCTATTCAGCCAACAAGCAACATGCCAAATACCAGTATAAATCGCCCAGAAATAAAATCTGCGACTATGGGCAACAGTTATGGCAGGTCTAGTCCATTGCTTAATTACAACACTGGTGTTTATCGCTCATATCAACCCAATGAGAACAAGTTTCGAGGATTTATGCAAAAGTTTGGAAACTTTATACACAAAAATAAATAGCTATTAAAATGCAAAATGAATGAGGCTATCAATATTTGTCCAAAGAAAATTGTGGACAGTCTTTGTAACATGCCAATAGATTTTCCTAAGGACAGAATTATGGGTATGATGTATATGTTCACCAGTGTCCTAGTATAAAGTTATTTTTCTGTGTGATAAAGTTAGGGTCTGCTGTAGATAGAATTTCTCTGTAAACACATTATTTGTAAGTGGTAATGGTAAAAATAATAGATGTATTTAAATCATTTTCTTTAGACTGAAGATTTTAAGTCTCACTTAGAAATTTTTGTGGACGATGTATGGTGTATGGTGTATGGTGTATGGATTTTAACCATTTCCTTTTAAAAAGGTCATACTACCCTCAGTAACCCTTTATAACATGTGTTTATAGTGTTTTCATATCTTCAAAAATATAAGCAAATGGGACAAAGCCCTTTTTTAAGATTAACTTGAAGTTCTACGGGATAACTTGTTATATTTTATTAATATTATTTTTTCTGTGGATCATTGTACAGCTGTTTGGGCAACAGCAGTACCTTTTACATTTTTTATTTTTTATTTTTTTTTCTGCCTGAAGTGTTTGCAAAGTATCAGCCTCATGTAGTATAATGACATTCGTAGGAATTTATTTTCCTCAGCCTTTGAAAACGGTCTGGGATGTGCTTCTTTCTACACTGGACCCAGGGAGCTGTCCCCCTCTTACCCATAGGCTGCTGATTTTTTATAGTCATTCCTTACTTCACATTTAGGACAAACCAGTAGGAATTTAGAAAATCTGAATGATTCCCCCTCCTTTTTCTATTGTATAAAAGCTTTTAGAAATGTAAATTTCTGCCTAAATTTTTGTTAGATTGGCATGACAATGCTAAGGGGTCTTGCTTGCGAAAATTCTTGCTCTTTTTTTTTTTCTTTTGAGATGGAGTCTCGCTCTGTCACCCAGGCTAGAGTGCAGTGGCGCAATCTTGGCTCACTGCAACCTCTGCCTCCCAAGTTCAAACGATTCTCCTGCCTCAGCCTCCTGAGTAGCTGGGATTACAGGTGCGCACCACCACACCCGGCTAATTTTTGTATTTTCAGAAGAGATGGGATTTCACCATGTTGGCCAGTCTAGTCTCAAACTCCTGACCTCGTGATCCTCCCGCCTCGGCCTCCCAGAGTGCTGGGATTACAGGTCTTGCTCTTCTTTAAGTTGTGCCAAATATGATATGACTGCATAGTGTTTTTGTAAGAATACCATTGGGAAAATGAGAAGTTTTACTGGGCTAGTTCTTCCATGATTTGAGGATGATATTCAGATTATAAGATACCCTTTGTCTTTCTTACAGTAATGAAGTATAAGCTCCATATCTGTTCCAGAGACTTTAACTTGACTTTGCTTCATTCACAAAGAACAGAGTTCAAGAAGCAGTGCATCCTGTGAGAAGTGTGAAGTGTTTGTACATCACTTTAAATATATTACTTAATATATTCTAAGTTGCTGTGTGGAGCAGTATACTGTTGTTTTAAAAATGCAAGATTCAGACAAATTTTAATATTGTCTCATTAAAATAATTTAAATAATGGTATAAAATATCTATATCATTAAAATAATTTTCCATAGTGTTTAGAAACCATGAAAAAGAAAACATAGCAGGAGAAAATATGACAGGAAAAGAAAACCTAACAAAGCCCAGAACCCACAGTTAACCAAACTAGACTGACTTTGTTATTACCCATTCTTTGTTAGTATTGGATAGGGAATTAGGATAATGAGCCATTAGGCAGTTCTGAAATGGAAAGCCCTGAAATTTAGTGCAATGTAACTTTAAAACTGAAATTATATAAAGAGTAGAAGTTTAATCATGTTTAATTACAACCAAAAGCCTGTTGCCTTTTTGTACAGAAATCTCCTTAATTTCAGGACATGTAGATAGCTTATAGAAACATCCTTTTAAATAGTTTGTGAGCTCTTCCTCTTCAGTGGAATTGAGGAATACAGAATGCTTTATTTCATCATCCCCTGACAGGTGACTTAGGCTTTGCACAGCAGATTTATTTTTCTCTGCGTTTTTTAAAAATTGTTTTTCTTGTATCTTTTTTCTTCAAAAATATCTATATTTGAGAATATGTACATAACAACTTTCCAAAGTCTCTGTGGCCAAAACCTCTCCAGGGATAAGACTGAGCAAGAATATAATACTTCAAAAAATGTACAGCTACTGTTTAAGTTTTAAACAGACACCATCACAGTTTGTGGATGAAATAGTTTTAAGCCATATACTTTCTGTCTTTTTTTCCCCATATTAATATTGGGGGGCGGATAATATCACTTTGATGTACATTGATATTAAAGTTTGGTAATGCAGCTTTTACTGTCTACATGGTACTGTACATTAGTTTTTAAGCAGAAACACAAGAAAAATGGGTATAATTTCAAAGTAGTTCTTGGCAGATGGCTAGAGAATACTGCAAGTGACCCTGTATCCCGAATACACAGATATCCCTCTATTACAAGTTTGGGATTAGCCATAATTCTGACATGGTGTGTTCAGGTATGGGTATATGTTGTCAGTCTACACTTGTGGAAGCAAATATCTTGTTTAATCAAGATGATGTCTAGTGTCACCTAAATAATGCAAAAAGTTTAATTCTGGATGAATTCAGCTTTACTCAAGATCCACATATTCAAGTATCATTCCACAGATATTCACAGAACACAGAAATATCTGTGTTCTGCCTTATGCCTGTGGCTAAGGGATGCAAAGTAGAATTGCTTTACATTGACTATATATGTGACATGTACGTTGCTGTTTTTTTTAAAATAACTTTATCATGATATTCAGGTAGATCCTGGGTTCTAGAATATTTAAAACAAAAGGATAAAATGATAAACCAAAGAGTCAACTTGTTAACTTTTCTTTTTTAAGAGATGGGTTTTCACTAGTATGCCCAGTCTGGACTCCAAGTCCTGGGCTCAAACGATCCTCCAGCCTCAGGTTCCTGAGTAGCTCAACATTTTATGTATGTACGATATTATAAAGAAATATTCTTCCAAATGAACTTTTGTTTTTAGATCAATAAATGAATAATAAATAATTTTGTACAAACATCAATATATTGTAAGCTATTGTTTTTTTAAATCTTCATACTCTGCATTTCTGCATTCAAGCTCAGTCTTTCACTTAGTTATTCTAATCAGGAATTTAGATGTGTACATATTTTTAAATGTTTTTTCCATGAACTTGGAAATCACATGTAAAACATTGTTTTGATTACCAATTATATTTTATATAGTAATTTATTCATATTTGAAATTCAGTGGCGATTCTCTTCCTTTAAGCAAAATATTATATATACACATTCTCTTTATTTCTATTATACTGTAACATAGTGGTTACTTTAAATAATTTTTTACTTTTTTTTTTTTTTTCAAGATGAAGTCTTGCCCTGTCACCCAGGCTGGAGTGCAGTGACACGATCGCAGCTCACTGCCACCTCAGCCTCCTGGGTTCAAGCGATTCTCCTGCCTCAGCCTCCCAAGTAGCTAGGTTTACAGGCACCTGCCACCTAATTTGTGTATTTTTAGTGGAGATGAGGTTTCACCATGTTGGCCAGGCTGTTCTCAACCTCCTGACCTCAAGTAATCTGCCCCAACTTGAGCTCCCAAAGTGCTGGCATTACAGGCATGAGCCAATGTCCTGGCCTAATTTTTACTTTAAAAGATGGAGAATCTTTAAAAAGGAAAAAAAAATGATGGTTGACTTCTTTATAACTTCATAGCATTTGGTTTGAGTAAAATATTCTATATGTGCATTTGTATTAATGACATTAAGTAACCTACAGTCTGAGAGTTAGTGAATTAAAACTCAGAATTTATTAGAAAAAAATATCCTTTTTATCACAGCTTATGAGGTAGTTGAAATAGTGTGTATTGCAGATTAAAAGTTGTGTCCTTTTAAAGGCAAATGTGCTTTTTAACTAATTAATTATAATGAATGGTAGAACAAATTAATCATAAATGCCAATGTTTAAGAAAATCCTACTTCAGTTAGAATAGTAAGGGAAATGGATAAGACTTCACTTTTGTGGCCATCTGAAAGGAAAGTTATAAATAGGTTCAGTTGGTTTAAGGAGTCAAAGACCATCTTGAGTAATTGGACCTGGGAAAGACGGAAGGGCATTGTAGGGGATATGTGTGTATCCTGTCCAGGGAAACACTTGACATAACGAGAATTACCCGAGCTTCAAGCAGTGAGAAAAGCAAGAGATACACAGAAGAATATTTCTGAGTTAACAAAGGGGTAATAAGTTAAGTTTGGACATTCCTCCTATAATATTAATGTTTCAACAATCTGGCTCATTTATTTAACACTCATACTGGGGACCTACTTTGTTCCAAGTGTGTAGGTTATAGTAGGCTTTTGATGGAAAAAATTAAAATAAAAAAAAAAGGGTTGTCTGGATAATCAGAGGCTGCCAGCAAGTTTTCATACATGTTTTAAGAATACCCCAAACTTACGGCAAAAGTCTATGTTACTTGAGGGCTATTTGTCCTAACTTGTTACTTAAATGTACTCCTAGTGCCTAAAAAGGGTGCACATAAAAGATACCTGATAAATACTTGATGTGGGAATCCAGTCATTTCCTTAGCTGCAGTTTGGAGAAGATAATAGTCCATTAATATCCATACATTAAAATGGGTATTTTATAACTACCTGAATAGGCATTTGTATTAGAAGATGTAGATAGGTTAATGCAGCAAGGGTTCTAGTTTAAACTTCAGCCACATTAACCCTAGAATCTGGGCATCTTTAAAGACCCAGAAGTGCTGGTCTTCCTAGGGTATATTTTTGTGCAGGAAAGAAAACCCCTGATGAATTCATCCTGAAGGAAAAAAGAGTAGAGCTTAGCAAATTAAGTTCAAAGGCAATTGGCACATGAGGGAAGGGAGTGGTGATTTTGTGTTAGTCCTTTAGATTGTCAGCTAACATGGGCAGGTTGTGTGGGAATCTTAATTGAAGAATGGCTCCTCTAAAATCTCTATAGTGAAAACTCCTGGTGTCAGGACTGACAGCAGCGAGCACCTTCACTGAGGACCTCAGAACACTCGACCTATTGCTTTGAACAGCAGCCCTTGTGCTCTTGTTGAAAGGTTATAACAACTGCAGATACAATATACAAAATTTGAGTTTGACAGAATGACCACTATTTTACTTTCATTAGAAAGGTAAATTTAGAGTCGGGCGTGGTGGTGAATGCATGTAGTCCCAGCTACTTGGGAGGCTGAGGCAGGAGAATCGCTTGAACCTGGGAGGCCTAGGTTGCAGTGAGGCGAGATTGCGCCACTGCACTCCAGCCTAGGTGACAGAGCAAGACTCTGTCTAAAAAAAAAAAGGTAAATTTTTAAAAAGTCCAACAACAAACCCTTTTATCAGGGCTTTGTTTTAGAAAACAACATTCAGTGTATATTTTAATTTTAGTATATTTTGCCTCTAAATTTCTTTTTAGCATTTTAATAATGTGTATGTGTCTCAATTCAATTGGCAGATTCAATTAGACTCAATAGCCTACATTTTAGAAAGTATCTTCTTTTTGTTGTTGTTTGTGTATTTTTGGTTTGTGTGTTGGTTGTTTTATGCATTACCAAAATTTAATGTTAGTTAACTGCTAAGGCTAAGTAAGATAGTTATTAAATTAAGTATTCTAGTTAATTGGGATCTACCATAAAGCTAAGAACTAAATGTATTTCTATAAATGGAAAGTCTAAAATACTTGATTTCTTGTTTTTCTCCTTCAAGCAGAATATTTTGTTGCTTTTTAAAGACAGAAGGAAATTGTTATGTATTTTGCTAATTCAAGTACGAAAAAAAATTTTGCTTTACAAAGCATTTACAAAATGTGTTTCATGTGACACAAAATTAAACAGTACTGGCTACACCATGTGCTTTCACAGTGCTTGACACAGAGAAGGGACTTAATAAGTGCTGATCTCATTTGATTTTCAGAGGAAAAATTTAAGAGAGATTTTGCATTATAATTTAAGGCGAAAGACATTGTTTTGAAATAAAATTAGATAGAAATAGAAAAAAGAGCATGGAGCAGGTGAAAGGCCTAATATTACTTCAATCTTCTGGTAAATCACTTTTTGACACTAAACTTATTTGTTCTTGGTTTCCTTCATATTAAATAAAACATTATATTTTACTTTATGGGAATATGTACATATTAAAGACATCTACCTTATAAGTTGTGTCCCTTTGAAAGGGCCACAAGGTAAATATTAGCATAGATCATCATTCCTCTTGCATTGTTTTTTTACTTAGGTAAAAACAGTAATAATATTTAAATTCTTAGTAGTTCTCTTCACTGGACTCAGAGTTTGGCAAAAGGGTAGATTTCCAGATGCTGGAATTAAAACTAAATATTTGAGAGTAAAATACAATGTAAAATGTCATCTAGCTTAAAATGTTTGTGTATGAGCTTGAAGGCACATATAATCAGAGGTAAGAGACTGGCTGGAATAGAGTGATTTAGAGGCAGAGCATGCCAGTAGCAGGTGCTGCTCCTAGTGCCCCCAAGATTGGACGTGTTCTGATGCAGCCACCCTGTGACATGCTTAGAGTAATGATGACTCCATCAGTCAGAATGACAGAACCCATTTCTTACTGTTGGAATCCTACAGACAATGATTTAAGACACTGTAAAATGTTTTAATACCTAAAAAGCCTGGGAAGTTATTTTTAAGTTATCTTTATCTAATGTCAGGCAATTACAAGAATGGGATTCTACAGACCTTCTACCACAATAGTAACACATCTCAGTTTGGCTAATGGCAAAATCTGCTTAAAGGTGGCAACCAGGAGTGATTATTATACATACTACATTATAGATTTCAGATTACTTACAAACTTCTCCATGTTAGACTCCATATTGACTCATCAAATTCATGCAAGGCTTCTTTTCCCCCATAATATTACCTGATATATATAATCAAAAACTACTTATAGGTCAGTTTTTTTCAAGTGCTTAGCCAATTATTTTCATTTTACATCTAGATGTTACCTTGTTCTTATTTCTCCCTATACCAGAGTAATGCATTAAAGAGCTAGGATGAGTTGTTTTTTTGTTGTTTTTTGTTTTTTTTCTTGAGACGGAGTTTCGCTCTTGTTGTCCAAGCTGGGGTGCAATGGCATGATCCCGGCTCACTGCAACCTCCACCTCCCAGGTTCAAGCAATTCTCCTGCCTCAGCTTCCCAAATAGCTGAGATTACAGGCGTGCACCACCAAGCCTGGCTCTTTTTTTGTATTTTTAGTAGAAACGGGGTTTCTCCATGTTAGCCAGCTGGTCTTGAACTCCTGACCTCAGGTAATCTGCCCGCCTCGGCCTCCCAAAGTACTGGGATTACAGGCGTGAGCCACCATGCCTGACCGATGAGTTGGTATTTTAATTCAACACGCATACTATCAAATTAGCTTATACACATCAAACACTGTCTTCAAAATTATGGGGTACAGGCCTCAAGCACCTTAAAACACAATCTGTAGAAATAATGTAAATACATAGGAACAATTATTGAAGGGTTAAAGATTATAACACAATGTATAGGTTAATGTATTCATTTTTATCTTTATGATTTTTAAATGTAGTAGTGTAGATAATATCTATTAAATAAGCCAAAAACTGATTTGTCACTATTTAGATGCCTATATGGCTTGTTAATATCAAGAACTTAGTGGTACTCAGTTTTTCATTTTTAATATATTTATTTAATCAGTTAAAATTGATTTGAGGCCTGAAAATTAAGTCTAAGGTAATATATTTATTTGATCAGTTAAAATAAGTTTGAAGCTTGAAAATAGGTTTGAGGTAATATACTTATTTGATCAGTTAAAATAGATTTGAGAGTCCAATTAAGTTGGAGGGGACAACAAAAGAGGCAGTTCAGTGGGACTGCATAAGATGCAACAGTATCACTAACTGCTCCAATATAAAAAATGTTTATTATTTGTTGATGGCACATCCTAGGAGGCCTAGCTTGTACCATAGGAAACAAATGACGTGGGTAAAGGGAAGTGTATTTATTAATAAAAACAGAATGGCATTTAACTTTTTTAATCAGAAACAAATGGGCTGTACAAATAAAATCTAAGGAGTGACTTAGGATGCCTGGAGAATATATGAAACTGGAAGTTTCTCTGTAGTTGCAAAGCTAAAAAACAATCAGAATGTAACACTAGAAAGTCCAGCAAAACAAAGAGAATTGCAGATGATTATACACAGAACAGAACATAGGGAAGGGTGAACGTTCAGGAAGACTCTCTTTTTATGTTAGGGTCAAGTTTAAAGGATACAATTTAATCATCTGGGACAATATTGTTGACAATATTGCTTATTGTTTTATTCAAAGCAGTGTTCTTTATAGAGTCAGAAAAAAAATTGTCCAGGGAAGGACAATATATGAAATCAAAGCATAACTTTGTCCATAGCCTGCCTTAGTCTTCAACTGTTTAGACCAACCCCAGAAAACTCTTCTGCAGCAGACTTTATGACAAGAACCATGTGATGAAATTAGAGTAACATTAGGGAGATGCTTAAAAGCTTAGGAGCTTTATGAGAAGGTTAATATTTAATATGAGTTATGGAAGATTTTTAAAGTGGGCATTGGATAAGAGGGAGATTAATTCATGCAGGATTATTTTATGACATAGAACAGTGTTTGAACTCTTTAGCAAAGACTGAAATAAATTTAGTGGTTCATCTTTAGTAGGCTTAATTTAAATTAAAAATAGAATAGAAAAGAAAATATTAGAGTGTGTTACAAATAGCAGCAAGCATTTGATGTCATTTTAATTGTTCATATTTGTGTAGGCACTGGTCATGATGGAAAATGTATTTCTTTTTTAAACTTTATTGTAGAGAATTTCAAACATACACAAAGGTGAACAGATATTTGGATGAATGTTTGTTATCCATCACCTGTCCTATATACCCATTGATATGGTTTGGCTGTCACTCAAATATCATCTTGAATGGTAGCTCTCATAATTCCCATGTGTTGTGGGAGGGACCCGGTGGGAGATAATTGAATCATGGGGGTGGTTTTCCCCATAACTGTTCTTATGGTAGAGAATAAGGCTCATGAGATCTGATGGTTTTATAAGGGGAAACCCCTTTCACTTGGTCCTCACTTCTCTCTTGTCTGCCACCATGTAAAATGTGCTTTTTGCCTTCCACCATGATTGTGAGGCCTCCCAGCCACATGGAACTGTGAGTACATTAAACCTCTTTTTCCTTATAAGCTACCCAGCCTCAGGTATGTCTTTATCAGCAGCGTGAGAACAGACTAATACACCCATTAACCTGTGGATAAACCTGCCTTGTCCACATTCTTAATTACATCACCATTTTGCATTATTTTGAAGCACATCTCACAGGTCATATGTGTGTTTTCATCATGTATCTCTAAAATTTAAGGATTCTCATCTAATGTAACTGTAATACCAGTACAAGTTATTTCTTAATATCATCAAAGATCCAAAAATGTTTTTCTTTGTTTGGCTGATAGTCAACATTATACTTCACTTAAAAGACCTGTCCTTAATATTATACATTGAGGATTGATTTGATATTAGATGTGGAAAATTTCGGACAAAATTTTTGAGTTAGTTTTCAACAGAGATGTAAAATGGCAAACATGGTATACTTTAAGCATGAAAATAACTTTTCCTTTACATTGCAAGTAAATGAGAAGAAAACTGGTATCTTTCCAGATTTGTAGTCCTTCCCCAAATATATACAACTTACTACTCACTCATTTATCAACTTTATTCAAACATCACTAGGATTTTTATTTATAGGTATACTTACTAAGCATGTTGCCTTATATTGATTCATTTATTCATTCACTGAAATTAAATGTCCATTATTTGCTAGATAACTATGTTATACTCATCATCCTTTTTTCCGGGAGCACAGTTCAATGAGCAAAGAGTCACAAACACACAACTAACATGCCACATGAGAAGTCATAGTGGAGATACTGCATACCAGTAAGATAAAAAAAGAGATATTCTATGCAGAGAAAAAACATATACTGTAAAAAGAAACAAAAGCATAAAAGGGGTTGTGCGTGGTGGCCCATGTCTATAATCCCAGCATTTTGGGAGGCCAAAGGGGGTGGATCACGAGGTCAGGAGTTCAAGACCACCCTGGCCAAGATGGTGAAGGCCTGTCTCTACTAAAAATACAAAAATTAGCTGGGCATGGTGGTGGGCACCTGTAATCCCAGCTACTCAGGAGGCTGAGGCAAGGTGGAGGTTGCAGTGAGCCAAGATAGCACCATTGCACTCCAGCCTGGGCAACAGAGAAAGACTCCATCCCACCACCTCCCACTCCCCCAAAAAAAGCATAAAAGGTATTTTTCTATAACATTTAAGTTTGTATGGTTTGACTTAGCATTTATGGAGGTGCAAAGGAGAAACAGCAAATGTTAGAAAACAGATTTTAGAGCCAAATTGTAAGGGGTCTTATGTGCTTAGCTCAAGTAGACTTTACCTTGGAAACAGCAAGGAATTCTTAGAGGCTCTTAGATACAGAATGACCTTTATTTTTATTTTTGGTAAAAATAAATCTCAAGAAGTGATACAGAAGATGGACTGAAGGGAAATATGGAGACTTGGAGACCAACTAAGCAGCTATTTTAGTAATCCAAGAAATTTGTAATGAGTGACAAACTAATACAATGGCATTGGGGGAAGAATAGGAGAAAAATTGAGAATTATTATGGAATTGAAAGAAAAATCAATAACAAATTTATTATTTTTATTTAAAAGGGGGTGAATTTTAGATAATTCCAATATTTTTATCTTTGGAAACTGCAGTCTCCTTAGCTTAGATAAGGCATGTAGAAGGAAGAGCATGTTCCATGTGTGTTTGTGTGAAGGGCATGGGGCACAGTGATGGTGAGTCATTTGCAGTTGGATTATGTTTCAGTTGACCATGAGACACCTGGTTATAGGTACCCACTAATGGTGTGTACCTGGAGCTCAACAGAGAAGAATGATAGATGGGGAAGTAATGTGCATTGGAGTCTATAACTGAAGCGATTAATACACAGGGTAAGATAGTGCAGGGAGAGACAGAAAGAAAAAAGAAGTAGAGACAGGAGAAAGAGAAGAGAAGAGCAAATGGTGGGTTTTTTTTGGCCTTTTTTTTTATTAATGTCTATGGAATAAATGAGTCTTCTCTGCTAAAAATCTGTTTCTTTTATTATTTATTGTGTCTTTTAAATAGTCAGGGACTTCTCCTAAAATCTTTACTTGGAAACTCCTGATTAAAATCCAAGATGCTGGCTATATATCTTATATACTGCTTCTGCGTTTATGAATGTGTATAAATACATACCAAAATTTCTCAAGATGCCAACAACCATAAAACTGCCTTAAGCCAAAAGTAACTTCCAAAGAAGATTTTGATGGCTCTCTTATTCTAAGTGTGTCTTCTATTGAATTTCTCTTTATCCAGATGGTCTATCATGATGAAAACTCAAACTCAAAAGTGCAACATTTTCAAAGATCTCTTCTAGTCTGATATCATTTGCTGAGTAAAGTGACTATTCTGTTTCACAATAGAACCAGGCTTTGACAGAGTAACTACAGCAGAACTATAAAGAAAGATCTAAGAGCTAGAGTTAGAACTAGAATGACTTTTAATGGGGCATGGAGTAAGTGAAGTTTCTTACTCTCTTTCATCATCTGAGAGGAAGGCAGAACTTAGAATATTGGAAGCATAATAGAGATGTTTTGTACCACAAGAGATGGTCCAAAACAGAACCCAACATTTGGAAATACAAACAAAGGGTAAAATGAGTTCCCCAAATATTGACAAATGGAGCATATAAACTGCTGGTTTATCTCAGAGCAATTGACATAGATAGTTATGGCTGGCCACAAGGACCTTTCAATCCACTGTTTCTTCTTCCTTCTGGGATTCTCTGATAAGAAAGCACCTGATGCCCCACCACCTTTAAGGCTTGGCTGAGAAGTAGCATTAAACTTAGACTTGGCAGGCTGCTGGGTGCTTCCTACTGCACTCCTATCCCTCTCTGCCACAATCTGTCCCTCTACCCAACCATGTTTACTCTCATATACACCAGTAGTATTCCTGCATCCTGATGAAGAATGGCCTATTCAATGACTTAGTTTCTGACTAGTTTGCTTAATAATTATTGCACCCTTGCAGAATAGGAGAGAGTAGTCAGAGGCACATGCTTGGGTGGACATTGTATCCTCTGTGATAAGAAATTGAAAAATAAGAATGAAGTATACATGCTTCAGAAGTAGGAACTTGGTTTGATAAATAGACAAGGTAGAACTAACCACTATGATAAGTGAGATTGGCAAAGAGTGTCACAACACTGAGCTTCAAATTATTGATCTGGAGTTACCTTGAATGTGGTCAAGACCAGTTTTAAAGATCAAAATAAAATTGAGCTTGAATTTATAGCAAAAGTGGAACAAATAGGGCATTGTATAAATTGCATTTTAATTTAGTCAAAGGAGTAAAATAAATAGATAGGACTCGAAAGCATCTGGAAAATGCATCAGTGGCAAACTTAAGTAAGTTACCGAAGCATAATTTCATGTGTTTGCCCCTGAACATCTTGGTTACATACATCAAATTTCTCTTGTTTTGTGAGGAATTGATTTAGACCAGGGGTCCTCAAACTTTAGCATGCATCTAAATTGCTTGAAGAGCTCATTAAAACACAGATTTCTTGAGGTCCACCCCCAGAGTTTCTGAGTTAGTAGGTCTGGGGTGGAGCTTGAGGATTTGCATTTCTAAGTCCTTGGATGATGCTCTTGCTGCTAGCCTGGGCATCATAATTTGAGTCATTGAATGCTAATTTTTTAGTAATGCTAAAAAATACTCTTAAATCTTAATTTCAGGAAAGGTTACACTACCAGAATTGAATGTTGACATCATGATGTTTAACAAATTCCACAAAGATAAAATATTAAAACTTGTTCTTTTAGGCATGATTTTCCTTCTTTACCATCTCTTATAAAACCTGTCTCTCATGCACATTATTAAACACATATTTGATGAGCCCCAGTTTATTTAATTGTATAGGGAAAGATACTATATGCTCTTGTTTGCTAGTTCTACACACACACACACACACACACACACACACACACACACTTCCTAGGACCTATATTTGGTTAAACGAGATTATATTGGAGAGAAACCACACTTCTTCCATCTTCAAGCTTAGAAATAATTTCCCGCATAAAATGTTCCCTCTTCAACTTGTGCAAAGTTAATTTATTTGCCTTATTGAAATTTGAAGGTTTTGCTTACTTAGCCGTAAAATGATATGTGCGTCAAAAGTGGAGAGGAATTATATCTGTACTAGTTTCTCATTGAGACAAATCTTATTTGTCTTTGTGCTAATGCATATTATTTTAAATAAATAACATGTGAAATTAGATTGGGAATTGTGTACTCTGTATCATTGCACTTTATTAAAATAACATTTAATTTGCCAGTTGAGAATGGAATATTTTTCTTTTCTCTGAAAGTTTTACCATCTTTAGTGACAAGGCAGCTCATTTGCTGTTCCTCCAGAGCTCTGTGGTTGCAATCAGTTTGATCTGGCTACTCTGCAGAAAGAAACACATTATCAAATACCCTGTACTTCAAGTGTGAATTCTGAAATTTTTGAGAAACCTATCAAAGACAATTTTTAAAAATTTGAGTAGGAAACAATAAGGTGCTGCATATAAGAGCCTCATTTTCATAAATAACAGCAGAATCCAAGGTTCTCACTCTGTCACCTAGGCTGGAGTGCAGTGGTGCAATCACAGCTCATTGCATCCTCAACTTCCTGGGCTCAAGCAATCCTCCCACCCAAGTAGCTGGACTACAGATGCACATCACCATGCCCAGCTAATTTTTTAATTTTAATTTTTGCAAAGATGAGGTCCCACCTATATTGCCCAAGCTGGTCTTGAACTCCTCCTGGGCTTAAACTACCCTACCACCTTGGCCTCCCAAAGTGCTGGGATTACAGGCGTGAGCCATTGCACCAGTCCAGCCTTTTACTTCTTGAATCGATGTTATATAATCACAGTAAAGAGCTACTGAGTAGTTGTGTTGACACTATTCTAAGACAATGCACTAGAATTATATTTTTAAAACACACTACTGGTTTATGTATTCTGTTCAGATTAAATTAAAATAATGAATGAATTTTAAGATATATTTGAATGCATCTGACTATTTAGAGTAGGATCAAAAATTAAAATAAAATGGAAAGATAATCAGGATTGGAAATTCTGTGCATTGTTATGAATGAGAGAATACCAAGGACTCCTGGGCTTGAGACAGCTCCCTTTTCATAAAGCATTCTAAATGGACAAATGTTAGCTTATTGAGACCAATTAATAAATTTAAACTTTACCAGTATTAATTATCCATTCAAAAATATCTGCCCCACAGGAGAGGAAAGTCATAATAGGGACAGCTGCACAATAAATCAAGACCCAGTATAACAGTATTAACTAGTATTTACTGCATGCTTACAACATGCTAAGTATTTTAATTACATTATCTTAATTGATCATCATAGAAATTTTATTGCCTCAGTTTTACTAACATCTCCATTCTCCCAGTGAGAAAACTGAAGCTAGAAAACTCCTTTAATGGTCTCACAGGACAAGGAGCTAGTAAGTGGTAGAATTAGAATCTGAACTGAAAAAATTAGCTTTCAAAGTGAAATATGAGAAAAAAACATATTTTAAAGCAGATTCATCTTTCATTGGATGGTTCAAAACACATTATATGCCCATTAATGTCTTAACCACAAAGTCTGTTCAGACCAGATTTATTATCATAAATTAAAATAGTCATATTTATCTATTCACCTCTTTAAAATTAATTTGAGACACATAGCCTATAAGGTATAGATATGGTTCCTAGCAGAGTGTCCTGCATATACTAAATAATAAATATTAGAGACAGGGAAAAGAGAGGAAAATACTTGGATACTGTGATTGTATCTGAAAGGAGGATAATGCTGAAAACTGTTCAGACTGGGCATGTTCTCCAATGCTCCTAATATTATATCTGTATCCTTTTCTTGCCTTAGGAACTGCAAGTTCTTTTCATGTCTAGTCTTCTTTCTTCTCCCTCAAGTTCCCTTTCTCCTTATTTTCCTTTTCTTCAAAATATAAATTGCCCTCTCTGCTACATATATATCTCTCTTCATCATTGCAAATGATCAAAGCAAATCAAACATTATAAATGGTCAGGTTTGCTTTAGTTGAACACAGGAAACTATGTGGCACCCATATAATTTCCCTGTGTCTGTCAAACAAAAGCACACAGCTTTCCTTATAATACACATTTCCACAATTAAATGTTTTACTCAATTTTAATTAATGCTTTCCCTTTTATCATAGAACCAGAATAAAAAATATCATTTAAAGATTTGGTACCTGCCTTCAGTGACTTAACAATATATAGGGCTATGTAGAATGACTGAAGTAAATAAATAGCTGTAATGAAAGATCAAAAGTATAGTAAGAGGCATGTACACAAAATACTAAAATGACTCAGAGGAGGGAGAAAACATAACCTGATGAAAATTCATGTTTTAATTACTGTTTGAAAATGACTTAGTTTCGAAGCAAACTGTCCAAAAAATGAGTCAAAGATACCCAAAAGTAAAAAAGAAAGTTTAGAAATATCCAGTTTAATTTTTAGACAAGACATTTACTCTGTATAATTTTCTAATAACTATCTCCCTTTTCCACTTACAGTAAATACTAGTTTAACCAAAGCAGTGCTCTTCCAAGCTGTGCTATGTATCTTTGCTGCTAAGTGCTAAGTCATAAAAATAGATGTCCTAAGACCCAACATAACAATAATTGGAGGACTACATGTTCCAGAATAGGCCATGAAACAAATGCAGATCAAGTGTTTCAGTCCAAAGATCCTAAAACCATTGACAACATAGATGGCATGGGATACAAATTACAAATTTGTTAACTCATAAGTCAATATATAATCCCCAAACTAATTATTAGTTAGCCACTGTGCCCCTGTCTACACATCTCTGCAAATATTTTAAAAAAGATATCCCTTAATCCTTCGTGACCCTGCTTGGGTGGCCTAACAGAATACAAAATAGTACTCTTGAATATTAGCACTATGCCATTTTTATAGTTAAAAAACCAGGCTGTATGATTGTTTTAAACCATAATATCTAAAATGTAAAATTTGTCAAGGTGCAAACTATCATAAATGCATTTAAAAGCGAATATTAAAATGAATATTGGATATTAAAATGTTGCTGTGAGAGAATAATTCTGACATAATAATTTTTTTTCATTGGTTTAATGGACCAAATCTTGCCACTATTTCTGGCTTCTGAAACCAGGAAGGGATTATTTTTTCTCTTCACTGGCAATTAACTGAATGTATAATTTTGAATAATCATTTGTAATTATTTCTTGGGCATGGTCCCCATACCTTTCATCGAATTCCAAAAGCCTAGTATATGTGCTGTGCTTTTGAAGTTAGGTTAGAAGTGGAAGTGTTTATAATTTGTGGCTGGCAACCGTTGCACTTGAACTAGGACCGGAACTTCACTGTGCTGTGCAGATGTCAGCAAAACAAAACACTCTCCTAAATTCAGCAGCACACCACTTTACAGAAGTGGTAGCAGCCACCTTCTGCCAAACCTTTCTGCAATGTTCTAGATAGAAAATACAACTAAAGAGTCACTAAAATGTGATTTACTTTTCATGTGTGAAATTCACTGATTTCATAACAAACAAGCACTATAGTGACAGTGTGTAGTTGTTAAAAGTATGATCTCTGGAGCAATCAGACATGGGTTTTCATGTGTTTCACCACTGATTTTCAAGGTAGCCTTAGCTAAGTTACAGAATTCTCTGAGCTTCATCATCTGGTAAATAGAGTCAGCAAAGCTTTCCATAAAAGGTCAGATAGTAAATATTTTAGGATTTGTGAGCCATAGGGTCTCTGTTACAATTACTGAACTCTGTCTTATAGAACCAAATCAGCTATAGATAATATGTAAACAAATGGATGTGGATGTGTTTGAAAAAAACTTTATCTATGGATGCTACAATTTGAATTTCATGTAATTTTCACATGTCACAAAATACTATGTTTCCTTTGACTTTGTTTCAACCACTAAAAAATGTATAAACCATTCCCAGTTTATGGACCATACAAAAACAGATAGCAGGCCCGGCGCGGTGGCTCACGCCTGTAATCCCAGCACTTTGGGAGGCCGAGGCAGGCAGATCACGAGGTCAGGAGATCGAGACCATCCTGGCTAACACGGTGAAACCCCGTGTCTAGTAAAAATACAAAAAATTAGCCAGGCGTGGTGGCGGATGCCTGTAGTCCCAGCTACTCAGGAGGCTGAGGCAGGAGAATGGCATGAACCCAGGAGGCGAAGCTTGCAGTGAGCCCAGATCGCGCCACTGAACTCCAGCCTGGGAGACAGCAAGACTCCGTCTCAAAACAAAAACAAAAACAAAAAGACAGGTAGCAGCCCAGGCCAGACCCACGAGCCATAGTTTGTTAAATGCTGATCTATAAAATGGTGATAAAAATATAGCTCCCTTACAGAGTTCTGATGAAGAGTAAGAGAGAGAATGCAGGTACAATTGTTAGCATTATTTTGGCCCTTACAATTTCTATTCAGGTAAGTGTGGATTTTACAAACTTGTCATCCTAGAAGCCAATTTGTATTTTTCAACTATGTTGTTATTGAGAGCAGTTTCATGTACACCTTTACGGATGGCTTAAGAGACTGCGTTAGACTCTCCTTCTGGCTGAGTACTTGGCAGCATGAGACAGCAGCAAAGAGAAGCGCTAATGCTCCAGGTGAAATCAAATGACTTAGCTTTGTAGCCAGGCCCTTGGTGCCACAAGACTTGGGTAATTCTAGGCTTCAGACAGGCCAGCAACGACACTGAAGGCAATCTAATTTAGTTGATTGAACAAGGCAGCAAAGGTCACTCACATCAAAGGATGTTTAAGTCACTAAGTGGCCAATACAAAGTATCCTTGTGATGAATACATTCAGAATTAGTCAAGTGAGCAGAGATTTACAGCACAGATTTAATCCACTGGGGATCTGGCATACTAAGCTCAAAAGTGCAATATCAAACATAGAGAGCAGAGATTGAGGTTGGCTGTGAATTGGTGCATATTTGAGTTTCCAGTGCTCAACAAGATGCCCCACCTGCCAAGTTTACAGAAGTCAAACTTATTCCACTGGTGTAAAATATTGGTCCTATTTGGTTCAGGAGAGATGATAAAGATTTATCATAAAACGTATATGAGCCAAGCACTACACAGTTATTTGCACATAAAATATTTCATTTAATCTCTACTCAACATTCAATCATATGTATTACTCCAATTTTATAAAGACAGTAATAGAGACAGACCTTGTCTATCAGGATCCAAAATTCATTCTTTCTTATAGCATTAGGAGGGAGAAAAATTTTCTTCTTAATGTCCCTCTTGTCTCTCAAAGTTCTGATAACCTAGCAAAAAAAATGGCTAGTAGAACTAAACTTGCTCAGTGGAAGAACGCGAGGTCTCTAGGTAAAGGCAGTGCTGGTATTCAGACTCACCTGGAATTTTGCATTTTCTAACCAGCCATTTCTCTGGCTAAAAACCTTCCATTGTTGCATAGTCCATGGGTGTTACTTGCCACCTCCTAGCTTCTCTGTAATTATGTGAAATATTGCAGTTAGAGATAGCTTTATCAAGAAGCTAATAAAAAATGAATAGGAGAATTCTTCATAGTGTATGTGGAGAAGTGCTGGGAGCATGGCATGATACCACCATCTGTTCACCAATGGTGGCCATGGGGCTGAGGGTGGGCCAATAGGCTGCCATCTTCACCTTCAATAGTTAGATCTGTGCCCAGTAGATGTCATCATTCATCTGGACCCCGTCTTTGACCTAAAGAAGAGGGAACTGACTCAGAGTCTGCTCCATTGCTTCCTATCCAGAAGATACTATGTCTAAGCTTCATAGTTACTTCATGCTCTGCACACCAATGGTCTGGTGAGGGCTGGCATGGTTCAAGGAAGACACAGTTAAGGTGGACCAATTGCTGTCTTTTCAGTTCTCTGATGACTTGTCCCCTGACAAGGAGCACTGTCTGAGCAGATGTTGCACTATTAGTAAAGAAATGTGACATATACAGACTCTTTTGTGTCAATAACTTTTAAAAGTACACCCAACTTTCCATGAAGCATGTCAGAAGAGAGATTGACTATTACCTTTTTATTTTCTTTTTAGAAAATTATTTCACAAAATTGTTGCCATGGGAAGAGACAGTCAGAGAGTATACACCAAAAATTGTAAGAAATAAAGTGTTAGGGCCAAGATGGCCGAATAGGAACAGCTCTGGTCTACAGCTCCCAGCCTGAGCAACGCAGAAGACGGGTGATTTCTGCATTTCCATCTGAGGTACCGGGCTCATCTCACTAGGGAGTACCAGACAGTGGGCACGGGTCAGCGGGTGCGCGCACCGTGCGCGAGCCGAAGCAGGGCGAGGCATTGCCTCACTCGGGAAGCGAAAGGGGTCAGGGAGTTCCCTTTCCTAATCAAAGAAAGGGGTGACGGACGGCACCTGGAAAATCGGGTCACTCCCACCCAAATACTGCGCTTTTCCGACGGGCTTAAAAAACGGCGCACCATGAGATTATATCACACACCTGGCTCGGAGGGTCCTACCCCACGGAATCTCGCTGATTGCTAGCACAGCAGTCTGAGATCAAACTGCAAGGCGGCAGCGAGGCTGGGGGAGGGGCGCCCGCCATTGCCCAGGCTTGCTTAGATAAACAAAGCAGCCGGGAAGCTCCAACTGGGTGGAGCCCACCACAGCTCAAGGAGGCCTGCCTGCCTCTGTAAGCTCCACCTCTGGGGGCAGGGCACAGACAAACAAAAAGACAGCAGTAACCTCTGCAGACTTAAATGTCCCTGTCTGACAGCTTTGAACAGAACAGTGGTTCTCCCAGTACGCAGCTGGAGATCTGAGAACTGGCAGACTGCCTCCTCAAGTGGGTCCCTGACCCCTGACCCCCGAGCAGCCTAACTGGGAGGCACCCTCCAGCAGGGGCACACTGACACCTCACACTGCAGGGTACTCCAACAGACCTGCAGCTGAGGGTCCTGTCTGTTAGAAGGAAAACTAACGAACAGGAAGGACATCCACACCAAAAACCCATCTGTACATCACCATCATCAAAGACCAAAAGTAGATAAAACCACATAGATGGGGAAAAAACCGAACAGAAAAACTGGAAACTCTAAAAACCAGAGCGCCTCTCCTCCTCCAAAGGAAGGCAGCTCCTCACCAGCAATGGAACAAAGCTGGACGGAGAATGCCTTTGACGAGCTGAGAGAAGAAGGCTTCAGACGATCAAATTACTCTGAGCTACGGGAGGACATTCAAACCAAAGGCAAAGAAGTTGAAAACTTTGAAAAAACTTTAGAAGAATGTATAACTAGAATAACCAATACAGAGAAGTGCTTAAAGGAGCTGATGGAGCTGAAAACCAAGGCTCGAGAACTACGTGAAGAATGCAGAAGCCTCAGGAGCCGAAGCGATCAACTGGAAGAAAGGGTATCAGCAATGGAAGATGAAATGAATGAAATGAAGCAAGAAGGAAAGTTTAGAGAAAAAAGAATAAAAAGAAACGAGCAAAGCCTCCAAGAAATATGGGACTATGTGAAAAGACCAAATCTACATCTGATTGGTGTACCTGAAAGTGATGGGGAGAATGGAACCAAGTTGGAAAACACTCTGCAGGATATTATCCAGGAGAATTTCCCCAACCTAGCAAGGCAGGCCAACGTTCAGATTCAGGAAATACAGAGAACGCCACAAAGATACTCCTCAAGAAGAGCAACTCCAAGACACATAATTGTCGGATTCACCAAAGTTGAAATGAAGAAAAAAATGTTAAGGGCAGCCGGAGAGAAAGGTCGGGTTACCCTCAAAGGGAAGCCCATCAGACTAACAGCGGATCTCTCGGCAGAAACCCTACAAGCCAGAAGAGAGTGGGGGCCAATATTCAACATTCTTAAAGAAAAGAATTTTCAACCCAGAATTTCATATCCAGCCAAACTAAGCTTCATAAGTGAAGGAGAAATAAAATCCTTTACAGACAAGCAAATGCTGAAAGATTTTGTCATCACCAGGCCTGCCCTACAAGAGCTCCTGAAGGAAGCGCTAAACATGGAAAGGAAGAACCAGTACCAGCCACTGCAAAATCATGCCAAAATGTAAAGACCATCGAGACCAGGAAGAAACTGCATCAACTAATGAGCAAAATAACCAGCTAACATCATAATGACAGGATCAAATTCACACATAACACTATTAACTTTAAATGTAAATGGACTAAATGCTCCAATTAAAAGACACAGACTGGCAAATTGGATAAAGAGTCAAGACACATCAGTGTGCTGTATTCAGGAAACCCATCTCACGTGCAGAGACACACATAGGCTCAAAATAAAAGGATGGAGGAAGATCTACCAAGCCAATGGAAAACAAAAAAAGGCAGGGGTTGCAATCCTAGTCTCTGATAAAACAGACTTTAAACCAACAAAGATCAAAAGAGAGAAAGAAGGCCATTACATAATAGTAAAGGGATCAATTCAACAAGAAGAGCTAAGTATCCTAAATATGTATGCACCCAATACAGGAGCACCCAGATTCATAAAGCAAGTCCTGAGTGACCTACAAAGAGACTTAGACTCCCACACATTAATAATGGGAGACTTTAACACCCCACTGTCAACATTAGACAGATCAACGAGACAGAAAGTCAACAAGGATACCCAGGAATTGAACTCAGCTCTGCACCAAGCGGACCTAATAGACATCTACAGAACCCTCCACCCCAAATCAACAGAATATACATTTTTTTCAGCACCACACCACACCTATTCCAAAATTGACCACATACTTGGAAGTAAGGCTCTCCTCAGCAAATGTAAAGGAAGAGAAATTATAACAAACTGTCTCTCAGACCACAGTGCAATCAAACTAGAACTCAGGATTAAGAATCTCACTCAAAACCGCTCAACTACATGGAAACTGAGCAACCTGCTCCTGAATGACTACTGGGTACATAACGAAATGAAGGCAGAAATAAAGATGTTCTTTGAAACCAACGAGAACAAAGACACAACATACCAGAATCTCTGGGACACATTCAAAGCAGTGTGTAGAGGGAAATTTATAGCACTTAATGCCCACAAGAGAAAGCAGGAAAGATCCAAAATTGACACCCTAACATCACAATTAAAAGAACTAGAAAAGCAAGAGCAAACACATTCAAAAGCTAGCAGAAGGCAAGAAATAACTAAAATCAGAGCAGAACTGAAGGAAATAGAGACACAAAAAACCCTTCAAAAAATTAATGAATCCAGGAGCTGGTTTTTTGAAAGGATCAACAAAATTGATAGACCGCTAACAAGACTAATAAAGAAAAAAAGAGAGACGAATCAAATAGATGCAATAAAAAATGATAAAGGGGATATCACCGCCGATCCCACAGATAGACAAACTACCATCAGAGAATACTACAAACACCTCTACGCAAATAAACTAGAAAATCTAGAAGAAATGGATATATTCCTCGACACATACACCCTCCCAAGACTAAACCAGGAAGAATTTGAATCTCTGAATAGACCAATAACAAGATCTGAAATTGTGGCAATAATCAATAGCTTACCAACCAAAAAGAGTCCAGGACCAGATGGATTCACAGCCGAATTCTACCAGAGGTACAAAGAGGAACTGGTACCATTCCTTCTGAAACTATTCTAATCAATAGAAAAAGAGGGAATCCTCCCTAACTCATTTTATGAGGCCAGCATCATTCTGATACCAAAGCCAGGCAGAGACACAACCAAAAAAGAGAATTTGAGACCAATATCCTTGATGAACATTGATGCAAAAATCCTCAATAAAATACTGGCAAACCGAATCCAGCAGCACATCAAAAAGCTTATCCATCATGATCGAGTGGGCTTCATCCCTGGGATGCAAGGCTGGTTCAATATATGCAAATCAATAAATGTAATCCAGCATATAAACAGAGCCAAAGAGAAAAACCACATGATTATCTCAGTAGATGCAGAAAAGGCCTTTGACAAAATTCAACAACTCTTCATGCTAAAAACTCTCAATAAATTAGGTATTGATGGGACATATTTCAAAATAATAAGAGCTATCTATGACAAACCCACAGCCAATATCATACTGAATGGGCAAAAACTGGAAGCATTCCCGTTGAAAACTGGCACAAGACAGGGATGCCCTCTCTCACCACTCCTTTTCAACATAGTGTTGGAAGTTCTGGCCAGGGCAATCAGGCAGGAGAAGGAAATAAAGGGTATTCAATTAGGAAAAGAGGAAGTCAAATTGTCTCTGTTTGCAGATGACATGATTGTATATCTAGAAAACCCCATTGTCTCAGCCCAAAATCTCCTTAAGCTGATAAGCAACTTCAGCAAAGTCTCAGGATACAAAATCAATGTGCAAAAATCACAAGCATTCCTATACACCAACAACTGACCAACAGAGAGCCAAATCATGAGTGAACTCCCATTCACAATTGCTTCAAAGAGAATAAAATACCTAGGAATCCAACTTACAAGGGATGTGAAGGACCTCTTCAAGGAGAACTACAAACCACTACTCAAGGAAATAAAAGAGGATACAAACAAATGGAAGAACATTCCATGCTCATGGGTAGGAAGAATCAATATCGTGAAAATGGCCATACTGCCCAAGGTAATTTACAGATTCAATGCCATCCCCATCAAGCTACCAATGACTTTCTTCACAGAATTGGAAAAAACTACTTTAAAGTTCATATGGAACCAAAAGAGAGCCCGCATTGCCAAGTCAATCCTAAGCCAAAAGAACAAAGCTGGAGGCATCACACTACCTGACTTCAAACTATACTACAAGGCTACAGTAACCAAAACAGCATGGTACTGGTACCAAAACAGAGATATAGATCAATGGTACAGAACAGAGCCCTTAGAAATAACGCCGCATATCTACAACTATCTGATCTTTGACAAACCTGAGAAAAACAAGCAATGGGGAAAGGATTCCCTATTTAATCTATGGTGCTGGGAAAACTGGCTAGCCATATGTAGAAAGCTGAAACTGGATCCCTTCCTTACACCTTATACAAAAATCAATTCAAGATGGATTAAAGACTTAAACGTTAGACCTAAAACCATAAAAACCCTAGAAGAAAACCTAGGCATTACCATTCAGGACATAGGCATGGGCAAGGACTTCATGTCTAAAACACCAAAAGCAATGGCAACAAAAGACAAAATTGACAAATGGGATCTAATTAAACTAAAGAGCTTCTGCACAGCAAAAGAAACTACCATCAGAGTGAACAGGCAACCTACAAAATGGGAGAAAATTTTCACAACCTACTCATCTGACAAAGGGCTAATATCCAGAATCTACAATGAACTCAAACAAATTTACAAGAAAAAAACAAACAACCCCATCAAAAAGTGGGCGAAGGACATGAACAGACACTTCTCAAAAGAAGATATTTATGCAGCCAAAAAACACATGAAAAAATGCTGACCATCACTGGCCATCAGAGAAATGCAAATCAAAACCACAATGAGATACCATCTCACACCAGTTAGAATGGCAATCATTAAAAAGTCAGGAAACAACAGGTGCTGGAGAGGATGTGGAGAAACAGGAACACTTTTACACTGTTGGTGGGACTGTAAACTAGTTCAACCATTGTGGAAGTCAGTGTGGTGATTCCTCAGGGATCTAGAACTAGAAATACCATTTGACCCAGCCATCCCATTACTGGGTATATACCCAAAGGACTATAAATCATGCTGCTATAAAGACACATGCACACGTATGTTTATTGCGGCATTATTCACAATAGCAAAGACTTGGAACCAACCCAAATGTCCAACAAGGATAGACTGGATTAAGAAAATGTGGCACATATACACCATGGAATACTATGCAGCCATAAAAAAGGATGAGTTCATGTCCTTTGTAGGGACATGGATGAAATTGGAAATCATCATTCTCAGTAAACTATCGCAAGAACAAAAAACCAAACACCGCATATTCTCACTCATAGGTGGGAATTGAACAATGAGATCACATGGACACAGGAAGGGGAACATCACACTCTGGGGACTGTTGTGGGATGGGGGGAGGGGGGAGGGATAGCATTGGGAGATATACCTAATGCTAGATGACGAGTTAGTGTGTGCAGCACACCAGCATGGCACATGTATACATATGTAACCTGCACAATGTGCACATGTACCCTAAAACTTAAAGTATAATAATAAATAAATAAATAAATAAATAAATAAATAAAATAAATAAATAAAACCTCTTCCTCAAATCATTCCAAAAAAAAAAAGAAAAGAAATAAAGTGTTAGATATACAGGTTATTAATTAATAATAATAATGTGTTCTTTTATTTTGTGAAACTTGGGATGCTGTTTATTTTTTAAATTGACTGAGGTTCTTTTTCTCATTTCTAATAAATATACAATTTCTTCCCCTATCATTGTTCACATTTTTATAATCTTTTCCGTAAAGGGCAGGCCCCTGAATTAAAATGCTTCAGGCACCACCAAATTTGATTCAGTTGAGTCCAAGGGTGGATTTCTTTCTTGGCATGCAATTATGCCCAACCCAATACTGGTTCTTTGATAAATAGAAAACTGGAGGATGAGGATTCATGTCTACTCTACTGCAAACTTTTTCCTTGTTAATATTTTTATAATACATTTTTCTCACTCTCTGTGTTGCTAGTGGTATGTCTATGTCAACTTCCCATATATTCGCTGCCTTGGTCAGAGATGACTTGAAAATGGGCAACATCAAGCTTGCCTATGAACATTTTACAAGTTATGACTATAGGCCTGAGATCTCTCAATGTCTCATTTTAAAAATTGTTCCATGGGAATAATAGTTCCCATTCCACAGAGCTGTGTTGAATGTTAAAATTATGCAAACAAAGGACTCAGAATGTTTCTGGCTTACAGGAAACTTTCAGTAAAATGTTACCTAACATTATACTTATGATCATCATTTTTGTTAAACAGATCTGTGAAGGCAGGTCTGGCCTATTATTCATTGCATGTTTACAGTGATGGCAAAATCTTCCTCATGGGGATAATTTGATAGAAGGCAACAAAAAGAGAAACAATAATAAAATAAGTGGGAGTTGTGTTTGATGAAGGAGGAATGTGATGAAAGATGAAAGAGTGATGTGTGGTACTAAAGTGGTCCATCCACTGGCTCTGAAGGCAATGCCATCCCTTATCAAAAAGGGCACTAAATACATGTGAGACAATAACAACTCTGTTAAATATTTATCCTTCCAAGGTGACCACTTTGATAAAGTTCCACAAATACATGGATGTCTAAGTTTTATTGTGTCAATAAGTAAATCAGACCTATAACTCATATAGTTCCACTTAAGCCTGCCCAGCTCTGTTGATTAGAAGGCAGGAGGGGTTAATAGACATTCTGCCAGGCACATCTTGTGCATAAAAGAACACAATAAAGACTGGCAGCCTGACAAACATTTCCAAAGAATAAATGCAAGTAATTTTGAGTTCCTGGGAAGAAAACTATTTTATAAATCCAAGGCAACCTTATATCTAACTTCCTTCCTGATACTGTTAAAATTGAGATTGAAATACAAAAGAACAAAGAGCCCAGTCCTGTACAGTATACAGAGAAAGTAATTTTAAATTATGTTTTGTTTAAAATTACGTGTCTGAATTCACAGCTAATGATAATAAGAAAAGTAAATTCTTTCCATATAGTCAGATAAAATACCCATACTGGCATTAATACAAAATAAACAAATTTCTTACTGCTAGTGATGATATGTATTATTTGTCTGAATTTTTTTCTGTAGTATGTAGTTATGTATTAGGTTGGTGCAAAAGTCATTGCAGCTTTTGCCATTGAAAATAATGGCAAAAGCTGCAATGACTTTTGCACCAACCTAATAGTTAAAAATGTATTTCAGTACGCCAAATTAACATATCTTTCTTATTCAGAAGTTACATATCTTTTAATAGTTACATCTTTTGCCACATATTTTCTCCAGTACATTAGAAAATGACATTGCTTTTATATTTTTAATGATATAGATAAATGTACATATACAAAAAGCAAACAAAAAATAGTATTCCAGAACTGAAGTAGATTTAGAACATTCTACTTATTGAGCATTTTCACATTCATTATTATGAAAATCAATTCAATTTTTAAAGACAGAGATAATTGTCCTTTGATATATGGAATAATTTAAAATTATAGTACACCATGTAAAATAATCTTCATAATTTCTTGCTGTATATACTTTGCATTTGACATTCATAATTGGGTCTCTAAAACTTAACCAGGGAAACTATCTTACTTAAGGTAATTTTCTAAATTGGATAAATCTGCAATTCTCAAACTCTCTTATGAAGCACAAAGAGATCTCCAGGTGATTCTCACATACTACATTTTGAGAAACTTTTGTACTAAACTATGGCAACTCCAGATTTGAGCAGTTACCCATCATGATTTCTTCTTTTCACTCATATTTTATTTGACAGCAAAATATATCCACTTTTTATGGATAAATTAACATCCACATTATGTCATTTATCTTATTAGCATTGTTCAATGTCCCAGTGTTGGGAAAGAATTACAAAGCAGACACTATCTTCTAATAAATAAATACAAATTAATTTTTAAAATATATTAAAACAGTTTTTTGCATAGAATGCGTTCCATGACACTAGGCAGTTTCTTGTGTTGGATTTGTTGTCTATAAACTGCTCTTTTTAAGACCACACCTATGAAAGAATCAAAATGATTTCGGTAAAAATGTTTGCATTTTGGCGTAAGAGATGTACTGAGCAGCATGAAATCTGTAGATAAAATGTTTTGAACCCTTCTCTTCCACCATAGTTAAAAGTGGAGATCCTGTCAACACGGTTACTTCAAGTTTAGGTCCATGATGATTGTATTCCCTGGGAAGCTCAGAAAAGGATCTTCTTTGAATGGTGCCAATGACACACTACTCCCAGTGGGCCCAGTTTGACCTGGAGTCCCAGGCAGAATCCCCATCCCTGCAACTCAACATGATGCAGGGAGCAAAGGGCTGGCTGGAGAAAGGGTAGGACTATGTTGAACTGGTCATGGGGCCTGCAATCTTCAACACTATTGTCAGTATTCGAGATGCCCAGCTCAACTAACTTCAAGCTTCCTCTACCCACCTTGGCCAGATTTTTCCAATTGCTGTTATTCTCTTTTAACCTCAATTTCTGCTTCCCAGCCCCATTTCCCTACTAGGCTCAGCCTTGACTGACTGACCCTTGATGCCGTCCAAGTCCTGTGTCATAAACAGAAGATGCCATGAGTCATAAACTAGAAAACACTGCCATGAGTCATAAACAGAAGATGAATCCACCAGGTACTCAGCATTTGCATCACCTTAAGTAATTTTCCGTATTAAGATTTGAATTGATTTGTAGTTGCCACATCAGGCCTTTTGAGGATGGACCTGCTTGAGCTTCAGTTCCTTTGGACCTTCTGCATGCTGCAATTTTATTCTTAGGCACTGGGTAAGCCAGGGTCAGCTGTCAGTTCTGTGATGCAGTTGGCCAAGTCCTTAGCCTTTGTTTCTTACTGAGATTCCAGCAAACCTGAGCCATAGTCACCTGAGTTAATCATGTAGACATATTGATCATAACAAGATTATTACATTGATCATGACAAGTGCTTGGTCTTTCCATCTTCACTCTTTCTCGGAAGCCTCTGAAAAAGACACAAATTGACTTAAAAGCTCTCACTGAGCCTAACATAGACTTATAGCTCCTCTTAATTAACTGCTATGGAAAACTACTACCAATAGATCAACAGAACAAAAACCCTACATCTTTAAAGACTTGTTTTCCACAGAAAGACCCTTTTCTCCAAAGGGATCTATTTAAAAAATGTGTAGACCCTTCTTATGCAATCTTGAAAAATTGGAATTAGAGAAGATGGAAAGGGACAGAGATTTTTAACAAAAGTGATGCAAGTTAAGGCATTTCAATGATTCAAACACCCTCAGTACAAATTAGAACAACAATCCTCTTTCAGGAAAATTAAGAGTGATTTCCTTCTCTGAGTTTGAGTTTTATTTTATTTTTAAAGAGCATCAAGAAGGGTAAAGTGCCAGGAAAATTAGAGGTATAGACAGCCAGAAAGAGATATCCTATCCTTCAATTCCCTATTAAATATGACGCTAAGCAATGTGAATCTGCTAGTGGTAGTATTTCTTCCAGTTTTGGCTTGATTTGGGATTTGTTCCTTGTCTTGCCAATTCTGAGCAGAGGCTCATGGTTCTCTCCCATTAACTGGGTATAAAACGCAGAGAAATGCTTGGACTTTGCAGATGTTGGGATCCCTTAAAGACACTGAGAGATTATAAGGGCGAAACTGTAGACTTACATAATTCTATCCCTTTTTTATAAGCTGGTTATTTCTTGAAAGGGGTATTAAGAGATTTATTTGCTTAAAACCAAAATTCACAGTTTGTAATTCCTTTGCATTCTGTAAGAAGGGATGATCATTACATGATGGAGGTCTCAGGGCTCACTGAAATTTTCATGAGGATCTCTGATAACAAAAGTCTTTTCCCACAGCTCTGTATCTTTTCAAGTCCATTCACTGCTTACTCTGTTTTTTGTCTAACTCCTAATAATTTCTCTTTTAAGCTAAGTCCCAAAGCTGGCAAAGAAGCTCTACATCTTGTATTAGTTTATAGTGAAGTTTAGGAAATCGTGTCTTCAGTGGCTAGGCAGGTAACATGAGTCACTGAGAAATGCTAGGTATCGCTTAACTGTGAGTGCTGAGTAATGTGATCAATTGGGGAGAGAGCATTTCATCAAGTGGTAGGTGAAAAAAAAAAAAAAAGACAAGGTGTGGTGTCACATGCCTGTAGTCCAAGTTACTTGAGAGGCTGAGGTGGGAGGATCACTTGAGCCCAGGAGTTCAAGGCTGTAGTGAGCCATGAATGTGCCACTGCACTCCAGCCTGGCCAACAGAGTGAGACCCCATAGCCAGAAAAAAGAAAAAAACCTGTGGCTAAAGTCTGGCTTGAAGTCTCCTAGATTGCTGCCTCTAGTACTAGTTGAAATAGTAATTTATTCAGATTCTGTCATCATACTTTTGAGTTTTGGTTTCTCCCATTATTAGCTATGAGATTTTAGCTATGAACAAATCCCTTATTTCCTCAAGTCTCAGGGACACAATTTTATTTGGCACAGCTGTCTCTCTGTTCAGTTGTAAGATAATTTTGTGAAAGCACATTATGAACCATAAAGCCATATAAAGGTGAGATATCATTTTCTCAACAACCACACATCAGATGTTTACCATCCACAAATTAATACAATTAACGACATTATCATAAACCAAAAAAACTATAGGAAATATGGTTCTTTTTCTCAGGGAGATAACCTTCTTGAAGAAATAAAACTACTATGCTGGAACAATCTACAAAAATACAAGAAAATATTATTATAAATGTAACTGGTATGCCGCATTTATTCACTGGGGTAAAAAGTTATATTTATTTTCCTACACTTCTTTTTAAATGGCAAGACCTCTAAGAAGGAGTACTTCTCCCTTCAGAATTAGACTCACAGTTCTTATAGAGCAGCAGTTTTATTCATACCTACAGCCTCCAATCCTAAGGCGCACCCACCTATGCTATGTACAATGGCTCCACGGGATTCCAGCATCAGTCACACAGTGAACAAAGCCTCCGTGACAATTTTGGGTCATGGGCCAAATCCCCATCTTAAAACAAAGTTTCATTTTGGGTAACCCTGGTTTCATTTTATCAGGGCAAAAATATTTTCCTATTTTAAATATTCAAACCTTAAAAGAAAGGAGCAGATGTTACCTTCACAATACTTTTGGTTTTCTCTTTATCTCTAAGTAAATTTCTGGATGCAGAGATGTTCAGCAGGTAAGGCAGTGCATTCATAATACACCACCATCCAACACCAGCGCCTAAGCCAAAGGTCTTTGCCAAAATAAAATACATCATGACTTTGGTCATGTGCTTGTTTTTTTGGGGGGATGGGGGTGGGAGGTAATTATTGGGATGGCATTCTGGTGACATTTCCAAAACTGAGGACTTGATATCTCTATCACAAGAAAGAGAAACAGCCAAGAGTATTTAAAGAACATTTATTCTGGATAAAAATAAATAAAATTCTGCAGTTTTATTTACCTCAATAATAATCAAGGTATTGAGAAATTCAAGATAGGGAAGTGGCTAATGCTGGATAAAAATTACCAGAAAAATCATCTTGAAGGAAGTTGAAAATACAGGCCAGTAGATGTCCAATTGGTCTTCTAAGAGATAATTTAGGCATTATAGCAAACCCATACTTTCGTTTGAAATTTTGCAAGTGTTTCTCTGAATTCAGTGTCATAAAGACTAAGGAATTTATGAAGCAGGAAAAAAAACATAAAACAATGTCTTGGGAGACTAATGCAACATCAATGATTACCTCTCAGATTTAATGATTTTTTTAAAGATATTTTGGTATTAAATCATCATTTGCCTCAGAATAACAACAAAACTAATATATTAAATACAGCTGGTTTTAAATATAAAAACAGTGGTTAGATTTGTTTTAGAAAATTTCAAATGTAAGCCTTCCATTTGGAAGAGCAGCACTGTTTACACAGGTAGAACACTTGTCTGTAATTTTGGATTGGCTTAGAATAATCTCCACATGTCAAAACCACTAATTCTGCTGTCATGAACTGAATGGACACGCCACAAAAAATCACTCACCATAAAAGACAGAGCATTTTTTTTCCCCATATGATCCCACAAAGTCATGCGGAGGTAATGGCTTAGGAGTGATTCTGTAACAGGGTTACCTCTGAAATTAGTTCCTGCAAGTGTGCCTGTAGATGCAATACCATGTGGCATACATATTTTAAATGTGGAAATAAACTAGAAAAAAAGCCATGTAATTTAATATAGACATCTAAATAATAGACACTGACACTGGTTCCAAAGTGGTTTAAAATAAAAAATCTTTCTAGTTATAATTCATAATGCATACCAGAACACTACTTTCTATGTGAGTCATCAAAGGAATAAGGGTTTGGGGGATCAAGAAATATTAATAATGTATTGCTCCCACATTTCTTACTTTCTGCCTTCACAATTAAAGATGTATTTTGATGATTAAATCTATATCCCATTTAGTGAATAAGTAATGCTTAGTACCTCTCAAATACTTAATTGATACCTTATTCAGTGCATCTTACTGAGAATTTCCAAGACCACCTACATTACCATCTGTATTATATATTGTTGTTTCTTGTATTTTGGATGCAGATTTTGAAAAGAAAGCCAGGAAATTGGCTCTAGCTTCATGCTATTATTTTCTACTTTGAAATGGTTACTACTGCTTCCAAGAGAGGTTTCTCTAAACAAAAATTACAATATTAAATTAAGGAAGCAATTTAAAGAGTCACTACACATATCATATAACATGACATTTCTGCCACTTTTCAATGATCCTGAATCTTGTCTTCCTTTGTTGCCTCTATTGAGACCGCATGGTGACAGCTGTTTGGTTCTGCTCTCCCTGCATTAGGTGAAATAGTTTATCACGTCTCCCATATGATATGATTGGAGAGGTGCTCAAAATGTCTTCCATTCTGTAATTATTCTTACCCCATAAGCCATTACTGTACCTTAAGCCTACCTTAAAATCACGCTCTTTTCCATAAGAAAATTTCCAACTAATTGAGAAGACAACTTTAAGCGATAACATACTAATTCAGTACATCTTGATAATTGAGAAGATTAAGAGAGATGTTCAGAATCAAGAGATAGCCCCTTTGAAGACAGACATAGATATGGCATCATTACTTGGCAAGGGGTTATGGTGAATTGAATAGTGTCACCTCAAAAAGATACCCTGGTGTCCTAACCCATGCTATCACCAAATGTGACCTTATTTGGGGTCTTCACAAATAAGGTCTTTTTAAATAAGTTAAAATGAAATCATTAGAGTGGGCCCTAAACTGATAGGACCAGTGCGCTTTTTATAAAAAGGAGAACTTGAACACAGGACAGACTTGCACAGAAGGAAGATGATGTGAAGACACAGGGAGAACATGTGAAGATGGAGGCAGAGACTGAAGTTGTGCTGTCACAAGCCAAGGAATACCAGGGATCCACGGACACCACCAGAAGCCAGGAAGAGGCAAAGAGGGATTCTTCCCCACAGGCTTCCGAAGGAGCATAGATGTGCCAAGACCTTGATTTTGGACTTCTGGTCTCCAGAACTGTCATAGAATCAATGTATACTATTTTCAATCACCCAGTGACTGGTATTTCCTACACCAGTCCTAGGAAACTAATACAAGAAGAAAAAAGCTATCAGACATGAAATAAAAGGGAAAGATGCTGAGAAGTAAAGTAAAATATTTTTCAGACAACTGCTTTTTAAAATAATTTATCTTACTATTTATCAGTTTATTATCTCCTCACTGCAGATGATTTTGAAAATACATAAGAAGATTTTAAAATTTAAAATAAATTCGTCAACTAAAGAAAACCTTCCTTGACATTTTTATAAACATCCTTTTAGTTTTTGGTTAACTCATATGTGCATTTTTTTAAGTCAAAAGAAACCTATATACATAATTATATTTTATTTTAAAGACGTAACCTATTCTGAGCATTTCCTCATAAAATAAATCTTTGTAAACATCAATTTTAATGCCTACAGAATAGTCTATGATGTGACTGAACTCTAATTCACTTAACTGTTCTGTCAAAGAACACTTTGTTTTTTCTTCCATTATAAATTTTCTATAAAACATATCATCATTTGAACATATTTTTAAAAACTGTCATATATTTGGCTCAAATGGGTAAACACTTGGGGTATTTGAAATGCATTAGCAAACAGTTCAATTCCAATACTCATCCGCAGTACCTAATAATGTTTATTTTACCACATACTTGGTAGTATTAAATATTCTCATTACAATTTATTTTTATGTGTGAATTTAGCAAATATAAAAGTTTCTCAGTTTTTCAGTGGCTATATTGTTTACTATTTGGGTTGTACTTCTCTGTTTATTTACATTTATTTTTGTCATTTAAATTTCCAGTTAATTTTTTTATCTATTGGAACCTTAATTTTTTTATATATTCATATGAACTCTTTTTTGTTGTGTTTATTCCAAATGACCCTTTTGTATTGCTTTGTTTAATTCTATTCAATTATTTATTTTTTACTGTAATGCAGCTTTGAATTTTTAAATAAGTCAAATCTAAAGCTGATTTTATTTCTCATGTTTTCAGATGGTTTTAAACTCAGAAAGTTGTTTAAGGATTACCTTAACGTGATTAACAGAGTACACACTCTAGACAAACCTCCCTTACCAAATGCTGAACAGTATACTTTTAAAAAAAACATTCATTAGAACTAGGAATAGAAAAGTCATAACCTCAGTGGACCAGAAATAAATCATTGAAAGGTGGCAGACAACAGAATGAGATTAAAGGAGGGAGTCACTGCTCAAAAGCTATATACAAGAAAACTGATAGAAAAAATAAAGATGGTGGGTTGGGGGATGTAGGGGGAAGTTTTTCCAAGCTTGGACATGATGCATGTGTTAAGGAGAAAGGGACCATGAGTCAATTAACAGAGCCTTGGAAGACGAGACTACCCCAAAGACATGCAACCCTTCCCTCTCTGTCTTAGTTTAAGGACAAGTAGAGGTTTTTGTGGCCAGGCACAAGCCGTGAAATTGGTCATTTGGGTCAGAGAAACATGGCAATGTACTGAAGAGCTAGAGACACCCAGGAAGAAATGTAAAATGTAAAATTCTGTGACCAGAAAATTAACTTCTGATGTAGTTCTTTCTATAGCATCCTACCTCTCACTAGTTTGCCCAGTAAAATGAGCACACAAGAAAAAAAAAAAAATCTGGGCACATAAGCAACAAAACTCCATGAAAAAAAAGACATGTGAATGTCAATAAATAACACCTAATGAAACAGCATGAATAGAACACACAACTTTAGAATAGACAGAATTATCCTCAAAGTGATGAAGAAGAAATTTAATACACTTCCCAAAACACAAAAACAGCTAAGAATAAATTTGGCAAGTACTAAAATTTGTTAAAATAAATAAAATTAGCAGACAGAATCGATGTCAGAATGGACTCAGATGAGGAGTGAATTAGTGAAGTACAAGATCAAGTGAAAAATCCTTCCTAGTTCAACCCATAAAGGACAGAGAATTAAAATGTATGAAAATAGAAGTTAGAAAAAAAGGGTGATAGATCTAAAAGTTCCAATATATGTCTAAAGTAATTTCATTATAAATAGAATACTCAAAATTAGAAAGGAGGAAATAATAAATACTATCAGAATTGAAGAAAGGTGTGCATTAATCTTGTTAACTGGGTGCTTAACATGTTGTAAATACATGAAACAAAGCAAAACTTCATACCCAGACATACTGGTAACATTTTAGAAAACCCAGGATCAAGTGAAACTTACTATGAGTTTCAAGATGAACAAAATTAGAGACTCTAAAAGACAAAGTATCACATTGACATTGGAATTCTAGCTGGCAATTCTGAACATAATTGCCAGAATTCTGAATATATGATCTGATTTAAAAAAAGGTCTGATTTAGAATTTTCCAGAACCAAATGAATTATATGTGTGAGGACAATACGACTGTTTCAAACCTCTAGGACTCACAAAGCTTACTCTCAAAATTACTAGCTGAAGAAATAGTGTATGATAGATTTTTATCACAAAATTAATCCAAAAGGAAGACGAGGAAAACGAGAAACACAAAAGAATGAGGAAACTATAAAGGTTATTGAATTAGACCAGAAAATTGAGGTTAGTACAGCCTGAAGATTGTAAAAAATGATTTCAGAAAGCAGTAAGAAAAATTGGTAGTGCCTGAATAGATCCCAACAACAACAACAGAGAATTACACATACAAGAAATGAGAGAAGGCAAATTTTGCTTGAATGGAAGTGTAGATTAAAACAAAAAGATGTTTCTTTTTTGTCTACCAAATTCAAAATATATAACAAGTTTTATGATATAGGGAAAATGGAAATATTTTGTCTACCAAATTGGAAAGCTATAACAAGATGTATGGTATAAGGAAACTGGAAATATCACTGATGCAAGCTGATAGTTTTCTGAGTTATATATTAAAAGTTAACCATATTAAAAGTGATTGAAGTTCAGTCTTTTGATATAGTGTATTATTGATTGGATTCTTTAGTTGCCAGCAACAGAAACATTGGGGTGTGTGTGTGTGTGTGTGTGTGTGTAACACATAGTTAATTCTCATTATTCATGATAGCTATGTTCCATAAAGTCACCATGAATATTAATTTAGCAGATATCAAACTATTGCTCCAAGGGGAAATACAGGATTAGGTTCCTGTGAGCCTGTGGTCACAAAATTTTTGTCACTCCAAACACCACTTGTGTTACCTAGGTTTGTTTGCCAAAATCTTTGAAAAACAAGCCAGTCTCATTACCTTTGAAAACCTGCTGTTGTACATAACCCTTTTTCTGTATGACAGTTGGCAAATGTTTTTTAATTGCCTTGACTGCCAGTTTAACATTTTCCATGTAGCATTGCTTTTTGAAACATGCAAACCAGCCAGCACTAGCTGAGAATGGTTTAACATTTTCTTGACCATGGATAAGGTGACCATACATATTTTTGGGTTTTAACCTCACAACAATGCTGACCACTATGCTTCTTAACAATTCGTAGTCATCACATGAATCCACACGTTTAACTACTTTTTTTGTCTTTTCCATAGTTTCAATACATCCTGTGTCTATGTTACTGAGAAGTGACAGCGTGCTGGCAGTCCTCAGAGCCCTCGCTTGCTCTCGGCACCTCCTCTGCCTGGGCTCCCACTTTGGCGGCATTTGAGGAGCCCTTCAGCCCACCACTGCACTGTGGGAGCCCCTTTCTGGGCTGGCCAAGGCTGGAGCCCACTCCCTCAGCTTGCAGGGAGGTGTGGAGGGAGAGGCTCGAGCGGGAACCGGGGCTACGTGTGGCGCTTGCGGGCCAGCTGGAATTCCGGGTGGGCGTGGGCTTGGCGGGCCCCGCACTCGGAGCAGACAGCCAGCCCTGCTGGCCCCGGGCAATGAGGGACATGGCACCCTGGCCAGTGGCTGCGGAGGGTGTACTGGGTCCCCCAGCAGTGCCAGCCCACCGGTGCTGCGCTCCATTTCTCACCGAGCCTTAGCTGCCTTCCCGCGGGGCAGGGCTTGGGACCTGCAGCCCGCCATGCCTGAGCCTCCGACCCACTCCATGGGCTCCTGTGCGGCCCGAGCCTCCCCGACGAGCACCACCCCCTGCTCCACGGCACCCAGTCCCATCGACCACCCAAGGGCTGAGGAATGCGAGCGCACCTTGCGGGACTGGCAGGCAGCTCCACCTGCAGCCCTGGTGCGGGATCCACCAGGTGAAGCCAGCTGGGCTCCTGAGTCTGGTGGGGACGTGGAGAGTCTTTATGTCTAGCTCAGGGATTGTAAATACACCAATCAGCACCCTGTGTTTAGCTCAAGGTTTGTGAGTGCACCAATCGACACTCTGTATCTAGCTGCTCTGGTGGGGCCTTGGAGAACCTTTATGTCTAGCTCAGGGATTGTAAATACACCAATCGGCACTCTGTATCTAGCTCAAGGTTTGTAAACACACCAATCAGCACCCTGTTTAGCTCAAGGTTTGTGAGTGCACCAATCGACACTCTGTATCTAGCTGCTCTGGTGGGGCCTTGGAGAACCTTTGTGTCCATACTCTGTATCTAACTAATCTGATGGGGACGTGGAGAACCTTTGTATCTAGCTCAGGGACTGTAAATGCACCAATCATCAGCACCCTGTCAAAACAGGCCACTGGGCTCTACCAATCAGCAGGATGTGGGTGGGTCCAGATAAGAGAATAAAAGCAGGCTGCCGAGCCAACATTGGCAACCCGCTGGGGTTCCTTTCCACAATGTGGAAGCTTTGTTGTTTCGCTCTTTGCAATAAATCTTGCTACTGCTCAGTCTTTGGGTCCACGCTGACTTTATGAGCTGTAACACTCACCTTGAAGATCTGCAGCTTCACTCCTGAGCCCAGCGAGACCATGAGCCCACTGGGAGGAACGAACAACTCCAGATGCGCTGCCTTGAAGAGCTGTAACACTCACCACGAAGGTCTGCAGCTTCACTCCTGAGCCAGCGAGACCACGAACCAGCCAGAAGGAAGAAACTCCAAACACATCTAAACATCAGAAGGGACAGACTCTAGACGCGCCACCTTAAGAGCTGTAACACTCACCGCGAGGGTCCCCGGCTTCATTCTTGAAGTCAGTGAGACCAAGAACCCACCAATTCCGGACACATTGCTTTAGCACTTTCCAAAGCAATCTCATGTACACATCAGTGAGTTTTCTCTTTCTTTTTCTAGACATACGGTATTGTTGACTCATAACGTTGAACTCATGGCCAACAGCACTGTAACACATGCCTGAACAAAGATTATCTAGCACACATTTCTTCTTAAGGAACATCACAGCCTTCTTGTGCTTAGAAATATTAGACAGCACTTCAGCCTAACACATATAAAGACCATTTTATACATCAAAGTCACCCCCCCGAAAAGCACAAAAATGTGAAAATGGCATTACGTAGACTGTGAAAGGAGCACATTTACAGTGTGAGAGCTGAAACAAGAAGGTGGAGTCTTGCCTCGTTCCACCCCATCAGAGAATGTATGTGTGGGTGACACAAAGATTTCAATGCCCTGTACATGTGAGCGTATAACCACAAAACCATAGTGAATATTAATTTTGGAGTTACAGATACATTTAGCATGCAAATTCATAAGTACTGAATAATGAGGATTGACTCGTGTGTGTGTGTGTTTGTGTGTGTGTGTATGCATGGAGAGGGAGAGAGATTTATTAGAAGGATATGAGTCAACACTCATGGAATTAAAGAAAAATTGAACAATGAAGCGTAAGAAGTGGTATGAAACAGGCATGTGGGGATCCAGTTGGAAGGGAATTACAGAAAGTTTCCTCAGATGTCATAATAAGCATGAATCAGATTTATGGATTTTCAGTGCCCTTTTTTTTTTTTTTTTTTTTTGGAGATTCAAATTCCAGGAAGAGAGTCTGATGGGTCTTGTTAGGTCCATGACTCTCCTCAGGTCAGGCAAAGGCTGCGTACCAAGGCTGACGTCTCATCAAGACTGCAAGCATCAGACAATTGAGTTGCTATTACTAAAACAAAGTGCCATGAATTTGAAAATGCAAAAAATAACATATGTGCACTCTCTTCTCTATATCTATTTCCTTAAATTTATACCAAGGAAAGAATCATGGATTTAGGTTGGTGTTTATGTTAAAAATACTTAAATAATTTAAGTCTGAGTCATCTAATTGTTATTTGCACCATGATTTGAAAACACATATTTACGTGATTTCTGTTGCTGCATAAAAAGTTACTACAGATAGCAGCTTAAACCATTTATTAATTATCTCATGATTTCCATGGGTTAGGAGTCCAAGGGTGGCTTACTGAGTCCTCTTCTCAGGGTATCGCGAGGCTGCAATCCAGGTGTTGGCTGGGCTGCATTCCATTCTCAGGGTTCTCTTCCAAGCTCATGTGGTTGCCAGCAGAATTCCATTTGTGTGTATGTGTGATTATAGGAGTGAAGTCCCTCTTTTCTATGATTTTATGTGATTATAAGACTGTCAGCCAGGATTTGCTTTCTGCTCCTAGAGGCCACTTGCAGTTCCTGGCCTTATGGCCTCTCCTAGTCCCTCTCTCCACATGGCAGCTTACTTTTTCAAGACCTGCAGAAGAATGTTTCTCTTTGGGGATGGCCAAGCATTTTTTTTTTTTTCAAGAACTATCTTGATTACATTATACCTATCCAGGATAATATCCCTTTTGATGAACTCAAGGGACCTTAGTTATAGCTGTAAAATATTTGCACCTGTTATATAAAGTAGGGTAATTATGGTACTAATACCCCATCACCTCTGCCAGGTTCTATTCATTAGAATCAAATCACAGGGGAGAGGATAATGCAGGGTGTAACACCAAGAGTTGGATTCTCAGGGGCATCTTAGAGTTCTATCTACCACTTTGAGGAATATTTAATTTATTGAAAAAATGTTTTATATATAATATTTAATTTAGAAAAATCCAAAACACCTTACATAATATTAAAACAGTGTAACAGTTAAAGGACAATGTAGAACTAAACTAAATACAACCAATGGCCTTCCCCTGAGTTGTATAATTAAGAGTGATTTTTGTTTATTCTTCACAGCTTATTTATAAATTCCATATTTTCTACAGCAAGCAAGTGATGCTTTTATAATTAGAAATGTTGTATCTAGGTTAAGAGCATGGATACTGGAACCAACTGACTGAACTGTAATTGAGATCTGCAATTTAAAAGCTCTGTGATTAGGGTAAACTATCCACACTGAGCCTTTGTTTTTGTTTTTTAAACAAAGAATCTGACTCCATTTCTGTTGATTGCTATCAGCTTTCATGCCCTGCCACTCCTTATGGACCCTCTGCTTCCTTTCTAGAGAATGTGATAAGAGAGCCTGAGTGTTCCCTCCTGTGGCTCTGGTAAAAAGTTTAAACCATACAAAAACCCTAAAAGCCAAGCCCGTCTCCTTCCCTACTCTCAATCCATTTCGGGACTGCTTGGGAGCCTCCCCTCTCCTCAGAAAACCTCATTATGTGGGTAACAAATATGTTCATACCCTCTGTGCATGTGTAGTGTCATCATTCTCAACAACTCAACCAACTTTTGAGTGGGGAGAGCCCATTCTGCCTCTTCAGGGTGACCACAACACTTTATTTGTGAAATGGAGTTATTAATAGTATTGACACACTCATTTATTATAAGGAAAAAATTTATTAATGTATATAAAAGCACTTAAAACAGTGCCTGCACATAGTAAATGCAAGGCTCTTGTATCGGTTCGAACCCCAAGAGCATGCCAACAAACAACACAAGGTGGTGTGGAGCAACACACTGTTTTTAATGAGCGCCTGGGTGCAGATGGGCTGAGGCCTAAAATGGCGTCAGCAACAAATTAGGACGAGGCAGGGGTTTTATAGTCTCCTATAAACAGGAAGTGTCTCAGTCTGACGTAACTGCTACGCTGTACCGCTGTACCCGGACGGCCTCTCTTTTGGTCTTCAGCGGGTACCGTTTCTTCCAGCCAGCTCTCTTCCTACTTCTGCTGTCTTGCTGACGCAAGTGCCTTGGGACTGGGCCTGAGGAGGGGGGAGTTATTAATTCCCTTAAGCTTTCAGGCCCCTGGGAGAATCGTTCAGTAAACATCATGTAAGTAAGTGTTAACTGTAGATACTTATAAATATTATTGGTGATCTGATTATTTGCCTTATGCTGCTGATTCTGCCAACCATAATTGTTTTACAAAAGAAAATTAACATAATATTGTATGCTATAGCAAAAATTTTTTAAGTCCTTTAGAAAAGAAAAAAACTACATGCTATATACTGTAATGTAATTTAGAGAGTAAATTGTGTTTTCAGTCATTTCCAAAATTAAAGAAAATGGACTTCATTTATTATAATTTGAATTTTGATTATTTTTAGCCTTTAAATAACATATAATTATACATCAAGCACCTATTTATCTAAAACTTAAAGTTACAGCATGCTTTTACAAACACTTTTCCTTAATCTATGGATACATAAAATGTTTGTAAATGGGTTAGAATCAGGAATTTGTTCTTTAACCAGCTTCTGGAATTTATTCATGGAGATCTGTTAGGTTTCCTATTTTTAAATCTGGAGGACTATAGAATGAAAAAAATATTAGAATGATGGCTTATGGCATTAGAAATTTTTATAGCAGCTTTATTCATGATTGCCAAAACTTGAAAGGAAGCAAGATGCCCTTCGTAGGTGAACGGATAACCAAACAGAAGTAGAAGTACATCCATACAATGGAAACTACTTAGAGATAAAAAGATATGAGGTATTAAGCCACAGAACAACATGGAGGAGCCTTAAATGCACATTGCTAAGTGAAAGAAGCCAATCTGGAAAGGCTACAGACTGTATGCTTCCAACAATATAATGTTCTGAAATAGCTGAAGCCATGGTCAAAATAAAAAGATCTGTGGTTGCCCAAAGCTCAGGGGAGAGGAGGTTAAGGATACACAGATGGAGCACAGAAGATTTTTAGGGCAGTGAAACTATTCTGTATAATACTGTGATAGTGGATACATGTCATTATACACTGCTCAAAAAAGAAAACTTGAGGTCAATATCCTTGATAAACATCAATGCAAAAATCCTCAAAAAATACTAGTAAATCAAATCCAGAAGCACAACAAAAAGCTAATCTACCGTGATTAAGTAGGCTTCATCCTGAGGATGCAAGATTGGTTCAACATATGCAAATCAATAAACGTGATTCATCACTTAAACAGAACTAAAGACAAAACCACATGATTATCTCAGTAGATGTAGAAAAGACTTTTGATAAAATTCAACATTCCTTCATGTTAAAAACTTTCAATGAACTAGGTATTGAAGAAACATACTTCAAAATAATAATAGTCATCTATGACAAACCCACAGCCAACATTATACTGAATGGGCAAAAGCCGCAAACATTCCCCTTCAAAACTGGCACAAGGCAAGATGCCCTCTCTCAACACTTCTATTTAACATAGTATTGGGTGTCGTAGCCATAGCAATCAGGCAAGAGGAAGAAATAAAGGACATCCAAGTAGGAAGACAGGAAGTCAAACTATCTCTGTTTGTAGACAACATGATTCCATATCTAGAAAACCCCATAGTCACAGGCCCTAAACTCCTCTAGCTGATAAACAACTTCAGCAAAGTTGTAGGATACAAAATCAACATACAAAAATCACTAACATTCTTATATACCAACAATAGCCAAATCAGACAGGCAATACCATTCACAATTGCCACATATACAAAATTAAATACCTAGGAATATAGCTAATCAGGGAGGTGAGAGTTCTTCACAATGATAATTACAAAACACTGCTCAAGGAAATCAGAGAAAACACAAACAAATGGAAAAACATCCCATGATCACAGATAGGCAGAATCAGTATCATTAAAATGGCTATACTGCCCAAAGCAATTTATAGATTCAATGCTATTCCTATCAAACTACCAAAGACATTCATCACAGAACTAGAAAAAACTATTTTATAATTCACATGGAACCAAAAAAAGAGCCCGAATACCCAAGGCAATCCTAAGCGAAAAGAATAAACCTGGAGGCATCATGCTACCTGACTTCAAACTATACTACAAAGCTACACTAACCAAAATAGCATGGTACTCATACGAAAACAGGCCCATACCAGTGAAACAAAATAGAAAGCCCAGAAATGAGGCTGCATAGCTATGACCATCTGATCTTTGACAAAGCTGACAAAAACAAGCAATGGGGAAAAGATTCCCTATCCAATAAATGGTGCTGGCATAACTGCCTAGCCATAGGCAGATTGAAGTTGGAGCCCTACCTTTCACCATATACAAAAATAAGTCAAGATGGGTTGAAGACTTAAATGTAAAACCCAGAGCTATAAAAACTCTGGAAGATAACCTAGGCAATACCATCCTGGACATAGGAACAGGCAAAGATTTCATGACAAAAACTAGCAAACAAATCTCAATAAAAATTGACAAGTGCTATCTAATTAAGCTTAAGAGCTCTGCACAGCAAAAGAAAGTATCAACAGAGTAAATGGACAACCTACAGAATGGGATAAAATATTTGCAAACTATGCATCTGACAAAGGTCTAATATCCAGCATCTACAAGGAATTTAAACAAATTTATAACAGAAAAACAACCCCATTAAAAAGTGGGCAAAGGACATGACCAGAAACTTCTCAGAAAGAGATATACATGCGGGCAACAAGAATATTAAAAAAAGCTCAATATCACTGATCATTAGAGAAACGCAAATCAAAACCACAATGGGATAACATTTCACACCAGTCAGAATGGCTATTATCAAAAAGTCAGAAAACAACAGATGCTGGCGAGGCTGCAGAGAAAAGGGAACACTTACACACTGTTGGCAGGAGTGTAAATTAGTTCAACAATTGTGGAAAGCAGTATGGAGATTTTTCAAAGAGCTAAAAGCAGACCTACTGTTCAACTCCACAATCCCATTACTGGGTATATACCCAGAGGAATATAAATCATTCTACCATAAAGACACATTCATGCAAATCTCCATTGCAGCACTATTCACAATTGCAAAGACATGGAGAAATGTCCATCAATGAGAGATTGGATAAAGAAAATGTGATCGTGTACACCATGGAATACTATGCAGCCACAAAAAAGAATGAGATAGATCATGACTTTTGTGGGAACATGGATGGAGTGGAGGCTATTATACTTAGCAAACTAATGCAGGAACAGAAAACCAAATACTGCATGTTCTCACTTATAAATGGGAACTAAATGATGAGAACTTACAAATACAAAGAAGGAAACAACAGACACTGGGGTCTACTTGATGGGGAGGAAGGATAAGGGAGAGGATTAGAAAAGATAACTATTGGGTACTGGGCTTAATATCTGTGTGATGAAATAACATGTGCAACAAACCCTCATGACACACGTTTACCTGTGTAACAAACGTTCACATGTATCCCCGAACCTAAAATAAAAGTTAAAAAAATTAAAGTCTATTTTTTTAAATAATATGTTAGAATGATGACTTGAAACATTCTAAATTTTCTTTTAAACTATCAAAGAATGATTCAATTAAGTTGTGTTGGTCAATTTTTGCATTGCTATAAAGAAATATCCAAGGTTGGGTAATTTACAAAGAAAGGAATTGTATTTTGGCTTACGATTCTGCAGGTTGTAAAAACATGGCGCCAACAGCAGTTCAGCTTCTAGTGAGGCCCTCAGGAAGCTTACAATCATGGTGGAAAGCCAAGGTGGGAGCTGATGTATTACATGGAGAGAGATGGAGCAAGAGAAAGCAAGGGAGGAGGTGCCACACTCTTTTAAACAACCAGATCTCGTGTGCACTTGGAGCGAGAACTCAGTCATTACTCCGAGGAGAGCACCAAGCCATTTATGAGGGATCTGCCCCCATAGCCTAAACACCTCCTACCAGACTCCACCTCCAACATTGGGGATTACATTTTAACATAAGATGGAGGAGACAAATATACAAACCATATCATATGCTCATGATTATGTAAGTATCATTTTTATTACACTTATATCTTAAAACATTGTTTTGCTCATGGTTTCTATGAGGAATGAACATTCTACCAATGTTTCAGAACAATTAAATAGGTACTGTATTTTCTAAATAATCTAGATAAATGACTCACATTTACTATTTTTTCTTAAAATTAAAGATTCTCACAAAAAATCTTTTCATATGCTATATAGAATCATATACAAATGAGAACAGTAATGTACACTCAGAGGTATTTAGGTGGTAGTAAAATAGTGAAACTAGAAAGAAAATCCATTCCCTCATTAAATCACTGGCATGTACTCTTTTCCTGTGTAGAAGCAAATCATTAAAGCCAGAGAGTTATATTTAGACTCAATACCACAGTGAAAGAACTCTATTCCTCCAGGAATATTGATTCTGTCCTTGAATTTCAGTGAATGAGGCATGTATTCTTTGTAAACTTGCCATCCAAATTATTTCTTATTCATTCAAATGATTTCAAATAGAAGTGATTTAACTCTTAATTGATTTATTGCTGCCACAAATATGTTTATCCAGAGATGAATTCAGGAGTGGGGAGCATAGAGATGTGAGGGTGTGTTTACATGGCACAGGGTGTGTAAGGGAGTGGTTAGATCAAGGTCTCTGGAAATATCACATCAAAGCATTAAAGTGCTTTGCCTCTCAGTGGCTGTGGGTAGTGTGTGGCTCACTTTTTGCCTGGTGCATAGGAGAAGTTCAAGAAATGTTTACTGTACATATAGCATGGTAGTTTGTAGCCAGTGTTCTTAGAGCTAATTTGTGTGTAATATTGGCTCTACTTATCATTGTTTATGTGATTAGCTACTTGGATAAATCAAATCATAGCTCAGAGCTGAGTTCCTTCGTCTGTAAAATGAGGATAATGAGACCTACTTCTTAGAGTTTAAATGAGATGGCATTAAAACATAAGCCACACAAATTCTGGAATGTTTTGTTTTGTTTTGTTTTGCTTTTCCATTTGGTTAATTGTTGTAACCCAAGTGCCTAAAATGTGCTTCATGCCTATTTGGTGTTCTTTCTATCTATCTGTCGATCTATCTATCCACCTATCTATTAATTTAATGAGTTAAAATTGCTTAATACTTGCTAGATTGTTATAAGATTCTTCAAGTAGTTTAATTTTTACAACAATCTCATAAGGTAGGTGTTATTAGTACTTTTTTGTGATAAAGAAGTGAAGCAAAGATAAGTTAAATAGTTTGCTAGAATGCTGCATATAGAGAATTCCAAGTACTTATACTGTGAGTCATATTGTAAATATCTTCCTTACTGTAGACATGGTCATAAAGGGTTTCACTGACAGTTAGGTGAAACCTATCCCAAGTTATATTGTTAAATTTGCAATCATCCTCACCCCCACCTTGTGTGTTATAAGCCACCCCCATTGTCTTTGAACATTTATGAGCTAAAGTTTAAGAATTGTCTTTAGAGAATAAAGTGAAAAAATGAATATATAAAGATATTTTAATGTAAATAACTTTCAAAATCAAAAGCAATCTAATGGCTGCTTCCAGAAGAACTACAATATACAACCTTATTTTCTAGGGGGAAGCTGAAGGCCCTAATCTGTGAAAAGGATCAAACAATAAAGAGGACTGTATGCAGCTTACAACTAAGTCACCTGCTGTGATCTCTGTATTAGTTCATTGTCATGCTTCTGTTAAGAACTGCCCAAGACTGGTTAATTTATAAAGAAAGAGGTTTAATTGACTCACAGTTCCGCATGGCTTGGGAGGCCTCAGGAAATTTACAGTCATGACAGAAGGGGAGGCAAACATGTCCTTCTTCACATGATGGCAAGAAGGAGAAGTGCCGAGCAAAGGGGGAAAAGTCCCATATAAAACCATCAGATTTTGAGAGAACTCATTCACTATCATGATAACAGCAGCATGGGGCTAACTGCCCCCATGATTCAATTATCTCCCACCAGCTTCCTCCCATGACACGAGGGGATTATGGGAACTATAATTCAAGATGAGATTTGGGTGGGGACATGGACAAACCATATTGATCTCCCAGTTTCCTTTCTCTTCTTACTTCAATCCATAGGCTGTATACGGGACGTCCCCCTTATCTCCAGGGGATACTTTTCATGACTCCCATTGGATGACTGAAATTATGGCTAGCATCGAACCTTAGATATACTGTTTTTTCCAACCTAATAACTGAGAAGGCTACTAAGTGATTAATGGGGGGGCAGGCGCAGGGGGTACTGTAAACAGCGTAGAAATGCTGGACAAACAGATTATTTGCATCACAGGTAGATGGTGTGAGATTTTATCATGCTACTCAGAATAGTACACAATTTAAAATTTATCAACTATTTATTTCTGGAGTTTCCTGCTTAACATTTTCAAAACATGGTTGATTATAGGTAGCTGAAACTGCAGAAAACAAAACTCTGAAAGGGGTGACTACTCTACGTGGTAGCCCAACTATCGATTAGAGTCCCCAGTATTCCTTTCAGGTAACTGTGGCCATGTAACTAGGTAATTAGGCAATGGGATATGAATAGAAGTAATGTGTGCAACTTCTGCTTCAAATGATTTTAAAATGCAGGTGCCTTTTTTCTTTCTTTTAGGACAGGATGTAGATGTGAAGCTGAGGCAGATTTGACTAAGGAAAATTCAACCCTTTTGAGGATGACAGAGTTGTGAAGTACCCGATTGCCTTAGTCACCTGATAGAGCAGGATTGTTTACTCTGTTTGGATCACTTAGCTATTTTTGGACTTGTACATTTAAAAGCAAAAGGAAATTCTGTTTTGTTTTAATCATGAAACGTTGTGGTCTGTTTGTCATTGTACATTTAAAAGCAAAAGTAACTTCTGTTTTGTTTCAGTCATGAAACGTTGAGGTCTGTTTGTCCTAGCAGCTTAGCTTATATTCCAAATAATGTATTCTTCAAATTAAAATGTAGGTAATAACACTATCACAATCACCACCAACAATGAGAATAACAGTTACTTATTCAACTTATCCTTTGTGCTTGGCCTTGTGCTGTATGTTTTGAATGCATAATTTTATTTATACCTCAAAACAACCCAATGATGTATATACATTATTCTGAGACTTAGGTGAAATTTTTTTTTAAGCCGTTTGCTCTCAACCAAAAGTCAAGAAGTGAGAAAGCTAGAATTGGAACTCAGGTCAGTATGACTACAAACCTTGTGAATTTTAATGCAAAGTAATTCCACTTTCAGCATTTCCAACAATTCTTTTAGTGCCTCATTATAAAATGAGGTCTTCTATACCAAGTCCTGTATTATCATTAATTATTTCCAGCTGAAAAGAAAATGTCGTTGTGTTCTCATGGCACTAAATTAATTTGTGCTAAGTTTGTTATTTCTCATTTGATTTCATTTATTCACAAGGTATCTATTGAATACCTACTTTGTAAAGGCTGTTTCTATAGTTAGAAGAACAAACTAGTACAGTACTTGTCTGGCTCAGTAGGAAGTGGGAGAGGGCAATGTACAAGTGGATTAATACATAACACTATTCAACAATACACAATCCATGTTATCACATAACAACATTTTTGTGAAGAGCAGACCACATATACAATGGTGATTTTATAAAATTATAATGGAGCTGAAAACTTCCTAGCCTGGCTTGTGACATCATAGCTGTTCTAATACATAGCACAACACATTGCACATATATTTCTGGTGATATTTGTGTAAACAAACCTACTGCCCTGACAGGTATATAAAAGTATACAGGCTCAGCAACGTCACTTCATAGATTCCACAAAAAGAGTGTTTGGAACCTGGGGAATCAAAACACAGGTTCCATTCTGTGATATGAAAGAGCATATCACAAAGCATTTTCACAGGTAGCTTGTTTCTAGATTTTAGAGCTAGAAACTCTATTTACTATTATGTACCACATACTATTATGTATAATACACAATAGTTGATAATAAATGACTGTGTTGCTGGTTATATATTTACTATACTATACTTTCATCATTCTTTTAGAGTGTATTCCTTCTACTTATAAAAAAGAAAAGTTCACTGTCAATTAACAGCTTCGGGCAGGTCCTTCAGGAAGTATTCCAGAAGAAGGCATTCTTATCACAGGAAATATCAGATCCATGTATGTTACTGCCCCTGAAGACCTTCCAATGGGACAAGATGTGGAGGTGGAAGACAGCGATATTGATAATCTTGCCCCTGAATAGGCCTAGGCTAAAGTGTATGTTTGTGTCTTAGTTTTTAACAGAAAATTTTAACACAGCCACCTTCCCCTGCCTAAGCATTTCATCTCTGACCTGTTGTCCTTCTGGGAGCCCAGCCTCCAGAGGCCTGTTATCTGCCTTGGGGCTTCCACCACTGTCAATGCCAACATCCAGCCAAGGAGGGAGTGGGGAGAGTGGGCATCTTTGTGGATTCTGTCACTGTTTCTGTGGGAGGGAGGCCTGAGCAGGCCTGTCATGCCTGACAGCTGCTGGCCTCCACTGCTCTCATTGATGGGGACTATCCTCCCTGTCGACAGGCACTCTGTACAACTGCCCTGCCCCTGCCTAATCATTTCAGCTGTGGCCTGGTGCCCACCTGAGAGCCCAATTCCTAAAGTCCTGTGATCTTCCCTGGCACAGCTGTCATGGAATGTTCTACAGCTGCCTGAGTGTTTTGCTTGCCCCTGCCTGAGTGTTCTACCAGTGGCCTGGGAGCTAGCCCTCCCTTCCCTAACACAGCCAGCACCTGAAACCTGAGGAACTGAGAACAAGTCCACTGGTCTGGACCTGCCCTAGTCCCTGTAGGATTGTGCACACTATCCAGGGGACCATCCAGGGGCCTGAGGATTGGAGGAATGTCTAGCCCAGTCCACAACCACTGGCACCTCCACACACCCAACCAGCCAATACCACCACAGGTGACACTCACCCACACATGTTGAAAGGCAGAGCCCCTCCTCCTCTCTATACAAAGCAGCAGTATTCATGCATCAGAGTACAAGTGAGCCACAAAGATATATCCACCCCAAAGTCACTCCCATGAAGATCTTGGGACAGGTGTTTTCCATGGCTCTCAGCTACATTGTGGCCTGGAGATAGCAGTGTCTTTCTGAACTGAGAGTCTCGAGTCCTAGGACAGGGATGTGACAGAGAAACAGTTCACATTCCTGCCTGCCCAGGACAGGGAGCTGGTGCAGCCCCTTTTCATAAATGACAAAATTAAAGCGGAAACTTACAAGCCAGAGACCTCAGCACATTTCACCAGGAGCTCAACCACCCACCCCTATCAGGGCTGGTGCCTGTGCTTGTCACTGGGGTATTTATGAGTGAGCTTGGTAGTTGGTGGCCCAACTCTACCCAGCTTGGTCCTCCCCACCCTCTCCACTCCCTGCTGACCAAGGAACTTAAGGCAAGGGGCACTCCACAGAGAAGCCCATCACCTGAAATACCAGAGAACACCTCTCAATAAGCAAAGACTAAGCACACACTCAACTGCTGTTGCAGCCAGTTCTTACATGTAAGTGCCACCTACTGGCCTGGAGGTTGAACTGCTCATCACAACACAAAAACTACTGACAGAAGTGTACCAGGCTAAAAAAGTAAAGTCAAAAAAACCCTAAACAACAGACACTACAGTCATACTTTCAATAGTTAGAAAAAAAATCCTATCCAAATAAAAGTAAATTCAAAAATAAGAAGTAACAGTTTCTCCAGGTGAAAAGGACCCAAAACTCCGGCACCATGAAAAATACAGTATCGTAACACCCTTCAAGAATCACACTACCTATCTAGCAATGGATCCTAACCAACATGAAACTTCTGAAATGATAGATTAAAAAATTCAAAATATAGATTGTAAGGAAGCTCAATGAGATCTAAGAGAAAGTTGAAAACCAGCACAAATAAATCAGAAAAGCAGTGTTGGATGTGAATGCAGATAGGTATCGGAAAAAACAAACAAACCAAACAAATGGAGCTTCTGGAAATGAAAAATTTACTGAAGGAGTTACAAAATACAGCTGAATGCTTTGAGGATAGTCTAGACCGAACAGAAGAAAGAATTTCAGAGCTTAAAGACAGGTCTTTCGAGCAAACCCAGTCAGACAAAAATAAAGAAAAAATTTTAAAAAATGAAAACAATCTTTAAGAAATATGGGATTATTTATAGTGACAAAACGTACAAGTTATATGCATTCTTGAGGGAGAAGAAACAGTAAAACATTGGGCAAACCTATTTAAGAAAATCTCCCTGGCCTTGCTTGAGATACACACATCCAGATACAAGAAGCTCAGGGCATACCAGGAAGATACTTTGCAAAATGAACATCATCAAGCCATACAATCATCAGACTTTCCAGTGTCAATGTGAAAGAATCCCAAAAGCAGCAAGAGAGAAGAACCAAATCACATTTAAAGAAAATTCCTTCAGACTAACAGCAGACTTCTCAGCAAAAAACTTACAAGCCAGAAGGGACTAGGGTCCTATTTTCAGTATTCTTAAAGAAAACAATTGGCAGCCAAGAATTTTGTATCATGCTAAACTAAGCTTCATAAATGAAGGAGAAACAAAGTCTTTCCCAGACAAGTAAACGCTAGGGAATTAATCACTAGACCGTACCTATAAGAATTGCTTGAAGGAGTTCTAACATGCAAATAAAAGGACAATACTCACCATTGTAAAACACATGTGAGTACAAAGCTCACACATCCTATAAAGTAATTACACAATTGAGACTACAAAGCAGCTAGGTAATAACATTATGCCAAGAGCAAAACCTAACATATATATATTAACTTTGAACATAAATAGCTTAAATTCTCCACTTAAAGGATATAGATTGGAAAACTGTATTAAAAACAAGATCCAATTATTTGCTGCCTACAGAAGACCCATTTAATGGGTAAAGACACCCATATACTCGAAGTAAAGGGGTGAAAAAACATATATCACGCAAATGAAAAACAAAAACAATCAGGAGTGGCTATAGTTATATAAAACAGACTTTAAATCAACAACAGTTTTAAAAAAAAGACAAAGAAGGTCATTATATAATTCTAAAGGGTTCAATTCAACAATAAGGTACAACTATCCTAAATATATGCTCCCCGTACCAGAGCACCAAGGTTCATAAAATAAATACTACTAGATCTAGGAAAAGAGCTAGACAGCAATACAAAAACAGTGGGGAGTTTACACCCCACTGACAGCATTAGACAGATCACAGACATAGGAAAACAATAACAAAACTCTGGAACTAAACTGGACTCTAGACTAAATGGAAGTAACAGATATTTACAGATCATTCAATCCAACAACTGTGGAATATACATTTTTCTCATCTGCACATGGGACATTCTCTAAAATAAACCATATGCTTGGCCATAAAGTAAGTGTCCATAAATTTTGAAAAATCACAATCATATCAATTATCTTCTTGGACCACAGTGAAATAAAATTAGAAATCAATACCAAAAGGAACTCTTAAAGCTAAACAAACACATGGAAAGTAAATAACTTGTTCCTGAGCAATCTTTTCATAAATGACAAAATTAAAGCGGAAAAAAAATTTCTTGAAACCAATGAAAATGGAGACAAAGCATACCAAAATCTCTGGGATATGGCATAAGCATGCCAAGTGGAAAGTTTATAGCATTAAATGCCTATATAAAAAAGAGAGAAAGATCTAAAATTAACAGCCTAATGTCACAACTTAAGAAACTAGAAGAAGAATAAAAAATCAAACCCAAAGCTAGCAGAAGAAAAAAAAGATAACAAACATCAGAGCAGAACTAAATAAAATTGAGAAAAAATAATAATACAAATGGTCAATAAAACAAAAAGTTGGGGCTGGGCATGGTGGCTCACACCTGTAATCCCAGCACTTTGAAAGGCTAAGGCAGGTGGATCACGAGGTCAGGAGTTCAAGACCAGCCTGGCCAACATGGTGAAACCTCGTCTCTACTAAAAATACAAAAAATATCTGAGTGTTGTGGTGGGTGCCTGTAATCCCAGCTACTTGGGAGGCTGAGGCAGGAGAATCATTTGAACCCAGGAGATGGAGGTTGCAGTGAGCCAAGATGGTGCCATTGCACTCCAGCCTGGGTGACAGGGTGAGACTCTGTCTCAAAAAACAAAAACAAGAAAAATTGGTTTTTGAATCTATAAAATTAAAAATTTTTAAACATTAAAAATAAAAAATTAAAATTATTTTTTAAAATTTAATAAAGATACAAAGAAATATTTCTGCACAGCTGTAAAATGTTTTTGTGTTTTAAGATAAGTGTTACATAGGAGTTAAAAATTTAAAATATTAAAAAAGTTAAAGTAAAAAAGTTGCAGTAAGCTAAGTCTATTATTAAAAAAAGAAATTGTTTTGTAAACTTAGTGTAACCTCATTGTACATATTTATAAAGTTTATAATAGTGCACAGTAATGTCCTAGGTCTTCACAGTTGCCTGTCACTCTCTCACTGCCTCATCTAGAGCAACTTCTAATCCTCCTAGCTCAATTTATATTAAGTGCCCTTTACAGGAATACATTTTAAAAATCTTTTATACTATTTTTTTATTGTACTTTTTCTGTGTTTAGATAAACAACCACCATTGTGTTACAATAAAAGCCTACAGTTTTTAGTGTAGTAACAGGCTGTATATGTTTGTAGCCTAGGAGAAATAGCTATACAATACAGCCCAGGTGTGTAGTAGTCTGTACTATCTAGGTTTGTGTAAGTACACTCTATGATGTTGTCACAATGATGAAATCACCTAGCAATGGATTTCTCGGAATATTTCCTGTATCCTTTTTCAAGCTACTCAAGACTGTATAATTAAATTATTAGAGAATTTAGGGATCATCTAGGGTAGCTGGAAAAAACTTTGCATAGTATGAAAATTTAAGTTGATGTTGAAGATTATGTTTGATAAGATGAAAAAGAGAGGTGAACAGCATAGGCAAAAATTTGGTGACAAACTTGGGTCTAATATATTATAGAAATTCTGAGAAATCAATTTAGTGAAACTTAAGAATGTCATTAAGTAGGACAACAAGGAATGATCAATACAGATTGAGGCTAAAAGGCCAAGAAACTGTTATATGAATCTGGAACACTTGATTTTGTAAAAATCTCAAGTAAAGATATCATCAGGATTGAAAGATTAAACAGATATTTAAAAAAGATTTATTGATCTGATTTATGAATTGTGTTCAAAGAAGGAAGGACTGAAAATGGGGAAATTCGTTCAGTTATTGAAGTAATCCAGGAGTAAAATGGACATATAAATACTGATTTACTGGGTTAAAATTGGAAATTTTTAAAAATGTTAATACTATAAAAGAAAACTATGCAATAGTTGAAGACTGATTAGTGAAAGTGATATTGCAAGTGTTATCTCTAGGTCACTATTTGCTATTTCTTTCTTTTTTTTTTTTTTGAGATGGAGTCTCACTCTGTCGCCCAGGCTGGAGCACAGTGGCGTGATCTCGGCTCACTGCAAGCTCTGCCTCCCAGGTTCACGCCATTCTCCTGCCTCAGCCTCCCAAGTAGCTGGGACTACAGGCAACCACCACCATGCCCGGCGAATTTTTTGTATTTTTAGTACAGATGGGGTTTCACCGTGTTGTCCAGGATGATCTCAATCTCCTGACCTTATGATCTGCCAGCCTTGGCCTCCCAAAGTGCTAGGATTACAGGCGTGAGCCACCACGCCTGACCCACTATTTGTTATTTCTAATTCCAAAATTACAGTGCTGTGGGCAACAATTATTGGGTACCATTAATTGCTAAGTATTCTCATCCTCTTTGTTCTATTATTGAGAGGTCAGGAGGGTTGAAAATGGAAGGAGGACTTTCATGGTGGGAATATTGAAGGATAGCACAAAATGGCATGAGAGGTAGGGAGATGTGAGGGAATGACTAGGTAGAGTGGCCTTTTCTTTTTTTGCTTGTTGTTTTGCTTGCTTTGTTTGCTTTCATAATTACAGAGGCAAATTTCAAGCTAAAAATGATTGGGAAATGATCCTTGACAAAATATCTAAGTTGTCTCAAAATTCCTAATAACAAGCCACCTAGTAACAGAGTAAATGAGTAGTATTTGTTTTATGAATATGAAAATTACCACTTTCACGGCTTAAATCCTGGTTTAAACATGAGACTCCTAGATGATTTTTGCTCTGCCGTGTAGACTTCTTTCCTTTATCCCAAGAAAATTCATTAATGTAAAAAACCTGCTTACCTTTCATGTAATGTATAGTTGGATATTGCATAATCATCTATATTTTATACTTTTCCAAAAAAGGATCTTCACATTTATATGCCGCTGTATATATTTTTCAGCCTCAGGTAAAAGAAATACAAAAAGTTTTCTTCTCAAACTAAAGTTTGGCATTTTTCTACGCAGATTTAACTTTTTACTGCAGATGTACTCATATAATTTTTATACCATTTACCAGTTGGCTGCAATCCAATTCTCAACCTCTATTATTTCTGTGGCATATACCAAGAAATTTAATTTATGTATTAATCTTTTTGCTAAAGGCTTTCTTCCTACTAAGAAGATGGAAGACAGATTAACATAAATCCCTTCAAACAGAGTCCCAGCACGAATGCACCACAAAACAGGCAATACTTTTTCAAATTTCTAGTGTGATGGTCACACAGTACAAGAAAACTTCAGACTTTTCACTTGTAAAACTAAATGCATAATCAAGTACAGTATAAATACTTTTATTTTGAAGCAAAGATGCAGAGTGGAGAATTAAAAATACAAAGTTTTGTTAGTTTCTCTATCTCTCCCCTTCCAAATGAACCACATTATATGTATGCGTTTGAAGAGAGAAGAAAAAATTGACAGAGAAAATGATACTACTGTTTCTAGAGTCAGCTTGTTGGAATTTGTGTCTTCCTATCAAAAATGACAGAGGCAATCAAAATCAAAACTTCTTGATTATAAAGACATCATCTCCAATTATAAGCAGAGCAAAACACAATAGGTGTTTATTACTGAAATGTAGCTGGTGGCTGTAAGATGATAATTTTACAATAATAAAATAATGTTATTTATTATTTATACAGCAAAATCAATAAATGTAAAAGAAGAAATTAAAATTTATGTAATGAATTTAATATCTCAGGAATTAGTGGGAACAGAAAGATTAAAGTTAGTACCGAATATGAGATTTGCAGATTCAGTATGTGGCATTGAATATTCTAATCGTAGTAGTTGAATTGGTCAATATGACAAAAATGTAAATAAAAGATATAGGACAAAGAGATCAATATGTGAACATTGACCTCATTAGATCAGAGAATCAGGTGTAAAGAGTAAACAAAGAACAGTAAAAACCAGAGGTCAGCATAGTATAACACAACCCAAAAATGTTTACCGATAATGTTCAGTGAAGGTTATATCTTGTCAGTAATAGCAGAAATCATTGTGTGATGAAAGCTAATCTGAGACTGAGCACAGCACATAAGAGATCTGGGAGCTGAAGATAGCAAATGAGCGAGGATCTGTAAGAAATCCAAAAAAATTAAACCACAGGATACAGAAAAAAAAAAATAAGGCAGCACGAGGACTGAGATTATTGTCTCTAGACACCTGTGAAGAGACAACTTGCCATTCCTTTATTGTGGAAGAATTAGAAACTAATTAATACTTTACCTGTGACACATTCATGGTAATTCAGTGTATATATGCATTTAAATAATTATTACACAAAATTTTATTAAATGATACATAGGGTGTTTTCTTTTTGCATTATTCTTTCTGGTTTCTAATTCCATGGTTAATAAAGTGTCATGGCATTGCAAATGAGACATGTCTAAGATAAATTTGGCAGCTGGCCATATGATTTGTATCTTGGGGCCTAGGCAGGCGGGGTTTTTGTATAGATCTTCTGAGTTGCCATATAGGCAAACCCATATTACTCCAAGGGTGCCTGAAAACTAGTTCTATTTTGTTACTATGAAGTAATTGACTCCTACATGTGACTCTGAAAAGGGAAATGATTATTTGCTATTTCAGTGAGCCCATTGTAGCGCTTAATACAACCTTTCTGTCTAAGTCGTTTCCTTGGTTTTATATTTCATTCCTAAGAAAACACAAGTTGGCCGGGCGCGGTGGCTCACCCCTGTAATCCCAGCACTTTGGGAGGCCGAGGCGGGCGGATCACGAGGTCAGGAGATCGAGACCATCCCGGCTAAAAACGGTGAAACCCCGTCTCTACTAAAAATACAAAAAATTAGCCGGGCGTAGTGGCGGGCGCCTGTAGTCCCAGCTACTTGGGAGGCTGAGGCAGGAGAATGGCGTGAACCCGGGAGGCGGAGCTTGCAATGAGCCGAGATCCCGCCACTGCACTCCAGCCTGGGCGACAGAGCGAGACTCCGTCTCAAAAAAAAAAAAAAAAAAAAAAAAAAAAAAAAGAAAACACAAGTTATCTAAGCATACTTTACAATGAATAACCAAGAACAGAGGAAAGGCCATGGCAGGTAGAATAAATAAAAAGAAAAGTTTATTCATATATTTTTTACTTATCATTTGAATTTGGAACATGACTTTTTTAAAAACAAACAAACAAAAAACCCTACTTTACTTTCTTAGTCCACTTGGGCTGCTGTAACAAAATACCATAGGTGGAGTAGCTAACAAACAGGCATTTATTTCTCACAGTTCTGGAGGCTGAGGAGTTCAAGATCAAGGTGTCTACAGATTTGGCTCTTGATAATGATCCTCTTCCTAGCTTGCAGACAGCCACCTTCTCACTATGTACTCACATGACTGTTCCTCAGTGCATGCTCATGGAAAGAGAGAGAGAGAGAGAGAGAGAGAGAGATCTTCCTCTTCTTCTTATATAGGCACTAATCTCATTATGAGAGTGTGACCCTTGCTAATCTAATTATTTAGCTTCCAAAGGCCCTACCTTTCAATACCAACATGTTGGGGGTTAGGGCTTCAACATATGAATTGAGGGAGAGTACTAATTCTCTACATTTTTTCATTTTCTAATATTTTATTTTTTTCTTAAGCATGACTCTTCCAATATTTCTAAATTCTGGAAGGAAGAAATGGACAGATCAATGCTCTGCCCTTCTTTTTATTTTAAATTCAAATCTTAGATTACAATTTTATAGCCACAAATATTCTCTCTCTCTCCTCCCTTTCTCCATTCTCTCTATTTCTTATTATTATTTGTTTAAAGAGGATTAAAAAAATGACTTACAAGAACCCATCGCAATTTATTTTTAGAGGACAACTGTCTCAGATGGAAGACAGACTGAAACTCTTTGCAAACAAAGTTGTAAAAGGAACTTTCTTATATGCTGAAATCAGTTGTCTTTTAAAAACATTATTTATAAACAGATTTTTGTTATTCCCTGCAATGCATCATTATAGCAAATATGGTCAGTGCCACATACACATCTTTCACATTTAGCCTTTTAGGCCATGACCCCCCAAATTCCACCTTCTAGTATAGAATATTATGTGCCTGGGCACTCTCTCAGCACAAGAGCCCATTCAGGCTGAGCCCAGCACTGACAAACATGTTGAGAACTTAATGGTACAGTGGCATGGATAAAGGTCCCAACTGCCTCAGCTGTGAGCTATGTGTTCTACACTTGTTCTTAAAGTTCGCTAGAACAATCAAGTTCTAGTTGCCCACAGTAGTAATGTTCTTGATAACATATATTTAATGTCCCCTCCTCCTTTCTTCTTTCTTGTCTCACTTCCCTACACAAGTAAACTGCTTCTCCTCAAAACTTAGCTTAGGATCTAATTCTGAGAGAATTCAGACTAAGTCTGCCTCATTCCAAATATTTATGAAAATGGTGAAATAGTACTTTTGTAAGTAACAACAGAGTCTTGAAAGGAATTTTCTTTTTTTTCCCCTCCTCGAGACGGAGTCTTCCTCTGTCGCCCAGGCTAGAGTGCAGTGGTGCGATCTCGGCTCACTGCAACCCCTGCCTCCCAGGTTCAAGCAATTCTCCTGCCTCAGCCTCCCAAGTAGCTGGGATTGCAGGCAACCACCACCATGCCTGGGTAATTTTTTATATTTTTAGTAGAGATGGGGTTTCACCATGCTGGCCAGGCTGGTCTCGAACTCCTGACCTTGTGATCCGCTGGCCTCAGACTCCTAAAGTGCTGGGAATACAGCCGTGAGCCACCATGACTGGCCAGGAAAGGAATTTTCTTATGGAACTTTAAATGTAAATGTAAGGCTAGTGATTCAAAACAAGGAAAATTCTGTTAAACTGAGCTGAAGCAATGGTATTTTATCATCTAAATTTCACTATTTTCAATTAGGTTTAAAAACAAAAGTTTAAAAATGTTCTTATTAAAGGTCTCACAATACTTTTCTGGTTCTATTGACTCTTTATTTTAGTTCACTTAAATTCATTTTATTTCAGATGTTCATTATACCCAGACAGAGTGAATAATACCAGAATAAATAAATAAATAAGTAAGTAAGTAACTAAATAAATAAAGGTCACTTCCCCTGAAGAGCTTAAATAGTAGGTATGGTATCTATATGAAACAGAATTAACCATCACTGAATATCATGCTTAGGCCTTTGAAATAATTGGAATAAGATGAAAATGTAATTTTGGGCTGGATGCTGTGGCTCACTCCTGTAATCCCAGCACTTTGGGAGGCTGAGGAGTGGGAATCACGAGGTCAGGAGTTCAAGACCTGTCTGGCCGACATAGTGAAACCCCATCTCTACTAAAAATACAAAAAATTAGCTGGGTGTGGTGGTGTGCACCTATAATCCCAGCTACTCCGGAGGCTGAGGCAGCAGAATCGCCTCAGCGATTGAACCCAGGAGGCGGAGGTTGCAGTGAGCCGAGATCGCACCATTGCACTCCAGCCTGGGTGACAATGCGAGACTCTGTCTCAAAAAAAAAAAAAAAAAATTAAAAAAAAAGATAGAAAGAAAATGTAATTGTTATAATGGAAAAATTGAGAAATTCTATTTTATAGGTCCTCTACTGGGATCACTATATTTCCTCTCAATATCAGATCCTATGACTTCAACTGCCAGCCAATTGCTAATGTATCCTAAATTTATTTCTCCATCCTTGACTACTCTTCTGAGTTCTAAAATTATATATCTTACTTACTACTTTCTGTTTCTATTTTGATGTCTAACAGGCATGTCAAATCCATTATGGTTAAATTATACCTCTTTTCTTTGGCCCTCAAACCTATTTATCCCCAATTTTTTTGGTAAATATGTAGAGAATCCATTTATGTAACCAGTTGTTCAAGAACCTCAGCCTTACTAAATTCAGCAGGTAGTCATGTTGCCTGTAGCCTTCAACCTACCTTGCTAATGGACTATTCTCTCTATCCTCATTGTCCTCTGACAACCTAAGCCTGTATCACTTCTCCTTTGGGATCATTATTCTTTCATTCTTACTTCTGTATAAGCCATTCTCTGCTTAGCAGCCAGAATGATCTTTCTACAAGATAAATTCAATCACGCTTCTTCCCTTTTAAAAATCCCACAGTGACTTCTATCACAATTAACATAAAGATTCCTTGCCATTACTTCTATCTCCAATCTCATCTTCTACTACTGTTTTCCTCACTCACCATGTTCCATATAAACCATACCTAAAAGCCTTTTGATGTATTTCAAACAAACCAAATTTCTATTTACTTTAGAGTCTTCATACTTCACATCTGAAATACTTTGCATATCTGCACAGGTTGGCTTCTTCTTTCTACTCAGTTTAAACATTCCTTCCTTATTGAGGCTTTCTTAGCACCCAATTTAAAGTAGCCCCATCTGGGTACTCTTTGTGGCTCTAGGTGTAAATACCCCTAGTTTACTAGTATCATCAGATTGTCTTGTAAGTTTCACAGCTAAAGGGACCTCACTGTGCTGGCCACCACTGTATTTTCTAGCACTTATATCACTACCACATATCAAACAGGTGCTCAATGAATATATACGTATAATGAGTATATAAACGAATAAATAGAAAGAAATGAATTTCCTGATAATGAGAAATGCTGAGAGAAAAAAACAAGAGGGAAAGGGAAGATGATTGTGGAGGAACATTCATCAGGTAGGACTTTCTGAATGAGGTGAGTCACATTTGAACTTGAAGAAACATGGGCTTTGTCCTTGGAAGGGAAGACAAATGTATGCAATAGACCTGTATTTCAAATAGATATTTGGAGATGACCAGAGCTATTTCTAGAATGTGAAAAAGGAACATTATTGGAGTAGGGAGGGGGGCGTTGTTGAGCAAGATTGGTAAAAGTAGGTTTTAGTCTATAGGCTGCCTAGTTCAGATTCAGCCTAGGGAATGGAAGTTTGTACTGGTGAATGAATTACATTTTTAAAAATCTGAATAATTTAGCACCTCATCTCTGAATAAAAGCCTTATGGTGTCTGATATCTCAAGTGTTTTTCTAAATCGGTGCCTGGAACAAGATGTTAAAAGCAAGAGCTTTGGAAACAAACAGATGTGAGAGTGTATGCAGGCATCAATTTGCCAGTTGTCTGACATTGAACAGTTACTTAATCTCACCTCCTGAACTCCAAATTGCAGTTTTTTTACAAGATTAATTTTAAGAATATAAATAACTCAAAGCCATGAGTGACACCAGAAGGATTAATAAATGTGTGATCATTATCATATTAATATGTTAAAGCATAGTATCTGATGTGAGTTTCAAACCTGTTATTGAAATTGCTCATTTCACTATAGTAGTACCAGCCAGCTCATTATCTTGTCTCTCCACCCACCACACGGGTGCTGACAAACGTTGGTATCACTGATAAAAATGGTAGGGTAGGCTTAGTTTTAGAAATGTTTTGTAATGGAGAAAAATAAGTAGAATTATCTTATAGGTGGCAGAATACTGACATTTTGGATGTAACAAATTGCATTTGGCTAAACACTTAAGTGAAATTTTAAAAACTAAACTATGTAAGTTAACTTTCTTAGTCAGGTCTTTGTACTCAACTAATAATGGAATGACTGCATTCTTGAAAAGTTCATTCATTCACTCACACTCACTGAGCACTGACATTGTGCCAATCAATGGTCCATGTGCTGAGAAAATAGTGCTTAAAAGCAGACATGACCCTTGGCTCTCATTGAGCTTATGGTATTGTGGAAAAGACAATTAATAAATAATTCAAAAAACTAAAATTACACAGTGATAAGTGCTATAAAAGAGAGTTACATGATTCCATGGAATTCCATAATGAAGAAAGCTTACTAGAAATATAAATTTCTATAAAAATATTTATAGGTTCCATTAACTTGAATTAAATGCATGGCAAACTGAGAAAATGGATCTATTATAAACCTAGTTAAAAAACATTTTTTTAAATATTTTTTCTTGGTAGTTTGTTTTGTTTTCTTTTTTCCCCCCTTTATTTCTTCTTAAAACAAAAGGGGATACATGTACAGAACTTTGCTGAAGTTGCTCATCAGTTCCAGAAGTTTTTGGGCTGAGATGATGGGGTTTTCTAAATATAAAATCATGTTGACTGCAAACAGAGACAACGTGACTTCCTCTCTTCGTATTTGAATACCCTTACTTTCTTTCTCTTGCCTGGTTTCCCTAGCCAGAACTTCCAATACTATGTTGAATAAGAGTAGTGAGAGAGGGCATCCTTGTCTTGTACCAGTTTTCAGAGGGAATGCTTTCAGCTTTTGCCCATTCAATATGATATTGGCTGTAGGTTTGTCATAAATAGCTATTATTTTGAGATATGTTCCACCAGTACCTAGTTTATTGAGAGTTTTACCATGATGAAGGGATGTCGAATTTTATCAAAGGCCGTTCTGTATCTATTGAGCTAATCATGTGGTTTTTGTCATTGATTCTGTTTATGTGATGGGTTACATTTATTGATTTGCGTATGTTGAACCAGCCTTGCATCCAAGGGATGAAGCCAATATCATCGTGGTGGATAAATTTTTTGATATGCTGCTGGATTTGGTTTGCCAGTATTTTATTAAGGATTTTCGCATTGATGTTTATCAGGAATATTGTCCTGAAGTTTTATTTTTTTTTGTTATGTCTCTTCCAAGTTTTGGCATCAGAATGATGCCGACTTCATAAAAGGGGTTAGGAAGGAGTCCCTCCTATTCAGTTGTTTGGAATAGTTTCAGAAGGAATGGTACCAGCTCCTTTTTGTATTTCTGCTAGAATTCAGCTGTGAATCTGTCTGGTCATGGACTTTTTTTTTGGTTGGTAGGCTATTAATTACTGCCTTAATTTCAGAGCTTGTTATTGGTCTATTCAGGGATTCAACTTCTTCCTGGTTTAGTCTTGGTAGAGTGTTTGCATCTGGGAATTTATCCATTTCTCCTAGATTTTCTGGTTTATTTGTGTAGAGGTGTTTATTCTCTGATGGTAGTTTGTATTTCTGTGGGATCAATGGTGATATCCGCTTTATCATTTTTATTGTGTCTATTTATTTCTTTTCTCTTTTCTTCTGTATAAGTCTAGCTAGCAGTCTATTGTGTTAATTTTTTCAAAAAAAAAAACAACTCCTGGATTTGTTGATTTTTTTGGAGGGTTTTTCGTGTCTCTATCTCCTTCAATTCTCCTCTGATTTATTTCTTGTCTTCTGCTAGTTTTGGATCAGTTTGCTCTTGCCTCTCCAGCTCTTTTAATTGTGATGTTTGTATGTCAGTCTGAGATCTTTCTGGCTTTCTGATGTGGGCATTTAGTTCTATAAATTTCCCTCTTAACACTGCTGTACCTGTGTCCCAGAGATTCTGGTATGTTGTCTCTTTGTTCTCATTGGTTTCCAAGAACTTCTTAATTTCTGACTTAATTTCATTATTTACCCAGGAGTCATTCAAGAGTAGGTTGTTCAATTTCCTTGAAATTGTGTGGTTTTGAGTTATTTTCTTAATCCTGAGTTCTAATTTGATTCCACTGTGGTCTGAGAGAATATTTGTTATGATTTTAGTTCTTTTGCATTTGCTGAGGAGTGTTTTACTTCCAATTATGTGGTCAATTTTAGAATAAGTGCCATGTGGCGCTGAGAAGAATGTATATTCTGTTGATTTGGGGTAGAGAGTTCTGTAGACGTTTACTAGGTCCACTTGATTCAGAGCTGAATTCAAGTCCTTAATATACTTGTTAATTTTCTGTCTTGTTAATCTGTGTAATACTGAGAGCGGGTTGTTAAAGTCTCCCACCATTATTGTGTGGGAGTCTAAGTCTCTCTGTAGGTCTCTAAGAACTTGTTTTATGAATCTGGGTGCTCCTATATTGGGTGCATATATATTCAGAATAGTTAGCTCTTCTTGTTGAATTGTTCCCTTTCCCATTATGTAATGCCTTTCTTTGTCTTTTTTGATCTTTGTTGGTTTAAAGTCTGTTTTTCAGAGACTAGGATTGCAATCCCTGCTTTATTTGCTTTCCATTTGCTTGGTAAATTTTCCTCCATCCCTTTATTTTGATCCTTTGTGTGCCTTTGAATGTAAGATGGGTCTCCTGAACACAGCACACTGATGGGTCTTGATTCCTTATCCAATTTGCCAGTCTGTACCTTTTAATTGGGGCATTTAGTCCATTTACATTTAAAGTTAGTATTGTTATGTGTGAATTTTATTTATTTATTCATTTGAGACAGAGTTTCACTCTTGTTGCCCAGGCTGGAGTGCAATGGCACGCTCTTGGCTCACTGCAACCTCAGCTCACTGCAACCTTGGCTCACTGCAACCTCCGCCTCCTGGATTCAAGCAATTGTCCTGCCTCAGCCTCCTGAGTAGCTGGGATTACAGGCGTGTGCAACCACACCCAAATAATTTTTGTATTTTTAGTAGAGATGGGGTTTCATCATGTTGGTCAGGCTGGTCTCGATCTCCTGACAAGTGATCCAGCTGCCTCAGCCTCCCAAAGTGCTGGGAGTACAGGCATGAGCCACCATGCCCCACATATGTGTGAATATGATCCTGTCATCATTATGCTATTTGGTTGTTTTGCACACTACTCAATGCAGTTTCTTCGTAGTGTCATTGGTCTTTATATTTTGGTGTGTTTTTGCAATGGCTGATGCCAGTTTTTCCTTTCCATATTTAGTGCTTCTCTCAGAAACTGTTGCAGGGCAGGCCTGGTGGTAACAAACTCCCTCAGCATTTGCTTGTCTGGAAAGGATTTTATTTATCCTTCAATTATGAAGCTTAGTTTGACTGGATATGAAATTCTGGGTTGAAAATTGTTTTCTTTTTTTTTTAACAATGTTGAATATTGGCCCCCCATCTCTTGTGGCTTGTAGAATTTCTGCTGAGAGGTCTGCTGTTAGTCTGATTGTCTTCCCTTTGTAGGTGACCTGGCCTTTCTCTCTTATTGCCCTTAACAGTTTTTCCTTCATTTCGACCTTGGAGAATCTGAAGATTATGTGTCTTGGGGTTCAACTTCTTGTGGAGCATCTTAATGGTGTTATTTGTATTTCCCGAATTTGCATGTTGGCTGTTAGGTTGAGGAAGTTCTCCTGGATAATATCCCGAAATGTGTTTTCCAGCTTGTTTCCATTCTCCCCATCTCCTTCTGGTACTCCAATCAATCATAGGTTTGGTCTTTTTATGAAGTCCCATATTTCTTGGAGGATTTGTTCATTCCTTTTCATTCATTTTTCTCTATTCTTGTCTGTATGTCTTATTTCAGTAAGGTGGTCTTCAAACTCTGTTATCCTTTCTTCCGCTTGGTTGATTTGGCTTTTGATACTTGTGTATGCGTCACCAATTTCCCATGCTGTGTTTTTCAGCTCCATCAGCTCGTTTGTGTTCCTCTATAAACTGGTTATTCTAGTTAGCAATTCCTCTAACCTTTTATCAAGGTTCTTAGCTTCTTTGCATTGGGTTAGAACATGCCCCCTTTAGCTCATCATAGTTTTTTATTACCCATCTTCTGAAGCCTACTTTTGTCAATTTATCCAACTGATTCATCCAGTTCTGCACCCTTGATGGAGAGACATTGCAATCATTTCCAGGAGAACAGAAACTCTGGCCTTTTGGGTTTTCAGCATTTTTTTCTTTGATTCTTTCTTGTCTTCATGAGTTTGTCTAGTTTTGGCCTTTGAAGCTGCTGACACTTGGATGGGGTTTTTGTGGGGGCCTTTGTTGTGCTGTTAATGCTATTGCTATTGCTTTCTGCTTGTCTGTTTTTCTTTCAGTAGTCAGGTCCCTCTTCTGTAGGGCTGCTGCAGTTTGCTGGGGTTTCACGTTAGGCCTTATTCATCTGATTTGCTCCCATGCCTGGAGATGTCACTCAAGGAGGCTGGAGAGCAGCAAAGATGGGTGCCTCCTCCTTCTTCCGGGACCTCTGACCTCAAAGGGCACCAATCTGATGCTAGTAGGATCATTCCTTTATAGGGTGTCTGACAACCCCTGTTGGAGGGTCTCACCCAGTTGGGAGGCACAGGGAGCAGGACCTGTTTAATGAAGCACTTTGTCCCTTGGTGGAGAGGGTGTGTTTTGCTGGGGGGAAACCCACTTGTCTGGGCTGCCTGGATTCCTCAGAACTACCAGGAGTAGAGGCTAAGTCTGCTGGTCCACAGAGACTGTGGCCACCCCTCCCGCTAGGGGTTCAGGACCAGGGAGAGCCAAATTCTGTCCCTGAGCCCCTGGCTGGAGTTATTGGAGATCCTGCAGGAAAGCCCCACCCACTGAGGAAGGATGGGTCAAGGCTAGACCTGAAGAGGCACTCTAACTGCAGACAGCCACAGCCGGTGACTTGGGCTGTGGGGACAAGTTTTGGGACCTAGCCATCCAGCCTCCCTGGCTCCAGAAGGGGAAAAGTGCAGCCTGTAACTATGGAAATGGGTGCTGCCCTTCCCCCCGCCCAGGGAGCTCAGCGTGTTAGGCAGTTGCAAGTCCCAGTGCTGGCTGCTACCCCTCCCACAAGGAGCTCAAATGGCTTAGACAGCAGGCAGCTGCAGCTTGTTCTGGTCGCCCCTTTCCCCGGGAGTTTGGTAGGCTTAAGCAGATTCCAGCTGAGAGGCTGAAGAATCTTCACATTCCCGGGTTGGGAAGCTAGGTCCCAGTGGCGTGGGTTCGTGAGTGGGATCTTCCGATCCAAGGGTTCCACAGTTCCGTGGAAGAAGCAGTCTCCCTGGCTGGGTAGCGCGCTCACTCACCGCCTTCCTTGGCTTGTGGGGACAGGGTACCCCTTTCCCCTGTCGCTCTCAGGTGGGTCGCCACACCACACTGCTCTTCCTTTTATCCGTGGGTCACGCCAGCCTTCTAGTCAATTTTGATGAGCGAACTTGGATACCTTGGTTGCAGGTGAAGACTTCACACGCTTATTATGTTTTTTTTTTCTATGGTAGACTCCAAGCACCGCTGCTTTTAATTAGCCATCTTGGCCCCACCCGAAGTTAATTTTTTTTTTCTTTTCTTTAGACAGGGTCTCACTCTGTCGCCCAGGCTGGAGTGCAGTGGCACGATCTCAGCTCACTGCAACCTCCGCCTCCCTGTTTCAAGCGGTTCTCCTGCCTCAGCCTCCCGAGTAGCGGGGAATACAGGCATACGCCATCGCACCCAGCTAATTTTTGCATTTATTGGTAGAGACGGGGTTTCACTAAGTTGGCCAGGCTGCTCTCAAACTCCGGATCTCTGGTGATCCACCTACCTCGGTCTCCCAAAGTGCTGGGATTACAGGCATTGAGACACCACACCCCAGCCTAAATGTTTTTAATGAGAATTTACTGAGACTATATTTAGCTGTTTTTCATGTTGACACAGTACAAGAAATTAAACATGGTCATTTGGTCTTTATCATTTACTATATATGCACGCACATGTACATATATGCATGTATGAATGGATGCATGTACATATATAAACACTTGTGGTGCTTCATTCACGCCAGGATTTCTCAACTTACCTTCTCCAATAGAATGTTTACCTCAATAAGAATATGTAGGAGCTGAAAAGTTAATCTCATGGAGGTAGAATAGAAGAGTATTTACCAAAGGCTGGGAAGGGTATGTATATTGGAGGGAGATGAAGAGAAGTTGATAAATAAGTACAACCATACAGTAAGACAGAAAGAATAAGTTATAATGTTCTATAGCAGAGTGGGGTGACCATAGTTAATAACAATGTGTTGTATATTTCAAATAGCTAGAAGAGAGGTTTTGAAATGTTCCCACCACATAGAAATGATAAGCGCTTGAGGTGACGGATAGCCTAAATACACTGACTTGATCATTATGCAATTCTATGCATGTAACAAAATATCACAGGTATTCCATAAATATGTACATTATTATATATCAATCAAAAAATAATTAAATATCAATCAAAAAAATCTACAATTCCTAGTGCTTGTGCAACACAAGTTCTCCCTCCTGTTTGACCGTTTTGAGAAACTGCTTGTGAAGTGGTGCTTTTATATCAAGCATCATCAGACTTCACTTCCATTTGTAAGTCAATGACCCATAATAAATTCTACAGTTTAACAATTTTTCGTAAGTCTAGAACTATATATGCAAATTGATACTAGATATTGGCATCTAAGTGTCACTTCTTTGGGGACTAAATTCAAAGTATCTGAAACTGTTATTGTTGTTCTTCAATTTGGATTCTCCTCATGTAATCCAATACTTGGTGAATATCCTCACCATCCATCTCGGTACCTATGTAACTTTGCTAAAACTTCCATAACAAAATACCACAGCCTGGGTGGCTTAAATAACACGTTTTGGGGTTACAAGAGCAAGGTAAAAGTACTGGAAGGTTTAGTTTCTTCCAAGGCTCTTCTTCTTGGCCTACAGGTGGCCCCCTTCTCACTGTGTTCTTGCTTGATGTTTATCTCTGTGCATCCCTCATGAATCTTTGTGTGCCCAGATTTCCTCTTCTACAGGCTTCCAATCAGATTGAATTAGGGTCCACCCTAATGGCCTCATTTTACGTTAATAATTTCTTTAAAAGCTCCAAATACAGTCACATTCTGAGATACTAGGGGGCAGGTCTTCAATACAGGAATTTTTGGGGGACACAGTTCAGCCCATAGTAGTACCCACATCAGAGTGTTAGAGGCTATTCTAGAAGCTTTACTTTTCCTCATTACTTAATATTCAATTTGTGAACAGGTATTATCAATGTCAACTCTTGAATGTTATCATATCTTACCTCTTCTTTCTATTCTCACTGCTGCTGCCTTAGATACATTCCTAATCCTCTCTTGGCTATATTGCATAAATATTCTAATTTTTCCCTCCTCCAATCTAGTTCTGTCTCCATGTTGTCCTCTACATTATTATTAGAGCAAGCTTCTTAGTTTTCAACATTGAAGCCCTTCAACGGCCAGCCCTTGCCATTGCCCTTGCTGCTGCCTGTAGAAACTATTCCTAGCACTGTTTCACCCTAATGATTTCAGGTTGGTTCTTTTAAGGGTATGAGGCAAGTTCTTTCCACGAATATGTACACATCATTACTCAGGCAAAGAATCCAAGAACGTTCTCTATCATTTCTGAAACCCTTCTCTGGGCAGCTGACTTCTTTCTCTGTTATTCTGTTTCATAAAGTTTAGCTTCCTTCACCTTTTTGAAATAGAATTTTCTGTCTTCTCAACTCAATGACACTGCCATGCTCTGTTTAGATTTCCCTGTTCTGCACTGTGGCCTGGAAACTGCCTCCAGGCATTAAGCTGGGACAAGCCTTGTGCTCGTCTCATTTGTTTTTCTGCTGTCAGGGATCACAATTCCATGCTTCCTGATGTCCAGTATCTGAAAACTGTGGCTTCATATATTTTTATCCAGTTTTTTTTTTAGTTGTTTGAAAGGTAGGAGAATGAATACAGTCCCTGTTAAAATTCTATTATAATCAGAAATAGAAATTTAGCAATATGTATTTTTTAAAGACAAAAATATGGGTTTATATTGATATTTACAGTCATATTTAAGAATATGCTCTCTTTTTTAAAATGTATGCTTCTTTGTTAGCATAATTATTTTGTCATACAGCATGTATATAATAATTTCAAAATAACAATTTTATTGTAACTAGAAACCAATGAAAAAACTGAAATATGATTAATTTTTTTAGCATATATCCCATTGAAGACACTATGATCTAAGTCAGATGGAATTATTGTTTTCTTCTCTGACAGATTCCAATAGAGGAACATTTTGCATTATACAGGTATTTCTCAAAACTGTCAAGGTCATCAAAAATAAAAAAAGTCTGAGAAACTGTCACAGCCTAGGAGAAACCTACAGGAGACATGATAACTAGATATAATGGGATGAGATGCTAGCATGCGCATACACACACACACACACACACAAGTAGATAAAAACTAAGGAATCTGAATAAACCATGGATATTATTTAATAGGAAAGTATCGGTTTATTCGTGGTAACAAATGTACCATACTAATGTAATACGGTAATAATAATGGAAAGTATATGTGTGGTGAGGGCATCTATGGAAATTCTCTGTACTATCTACTTAATTATTCTGTAATTTTAAAACTGTTCTAAAAATAGTCTACTCAATTTTTAAAAAGCTGATTTAAAACCAAGTAGTTTCATACCATTATACTCCAGACTGGGCGACAGAGCAAGACCCTGTCTCAAAAGAAACAGACAGACAAAAAGCTTAGTAGCTGTTAATAGTAGTGAATCTTTGTTTTCCTTTACTTTCTCTCATAAAATTACATATTGCTTAATTTGAAATTATTTTATAACTTAAATGAATAGAATATATATTAATTTCAGAATATATTTTAATATATACACATAAAAATAAATCTGTTTATATTTTCCCAATATGTTAATTCTATGGTGAGAACAATTAAAGCATTTTAAGTGGAAAAAAAATCATAGTTCTTTCACTAATTGTACCAACATTTTTAATGTAAAAATTTCCATGAGTTCTGAGTCTTTTTAAAAAATTTTCTATTCTATTTACTTTCTCTTCTTGTTTAATTTAATTTTATTATAATTATTTATTTTATTATTTCTGATCTATTTGCTTTCCCTGCTCATCTGTTAATACTGCACTGTTTAAATTACAGAGATGTTTAATATTTATTTAAGGATCATGGTATTTTTATACATTGATATGTAACTTAGGAGCCAAGATGCCATATGCATTAGTTCATGGAATTGCCAATTTACAAAGAAGCCAACATTATTGAAATGATATTTCTTTCTAGCTAAAGAACTTGACACATATTTCCATAGTAAATGTATTACTACAGCATTCTCAATATAGTTTTTGCAATGGCTATATTTAGGTTTCCTGAAAATGAAAGTTTATTTTTTAGGTGTGAGTTTGTTTACATATTTAACTTTTAAAATATCTTGATATCCACTTTTAGCTAGGTGTGTGTACAGTTACAAGTTACTTTAGAGAAGTCTAATTGAATGTGTATTACAGTTCTTATACTATAAAATAAAATGTTACATATTCAGAAAATGTTCTACTCATCTTCAAATTGGATAAATCAAATAATACTATTAACTTATTTAGTTTTTTATGCTGTTAGCTTGCCTTGTATGAGGCTTGAATCACACACGCTTTGAAGACTATATGCTCAGATAAAGTATGTTTAAGAAGATCACACTAAAGCATGGTGCCTCCGAAATAAAAAAAAGTTGAGGGAATAGCTCTCTGGGTTGCAGATAAATAAATTTGTATTCAATACCAGCTGTTGATAGCTATTTAAATGTTACTTGGGCCTTTGGAGTATTAAAGGGCAGGCATCACATTTATAATGTTAAAAGTTTCTGAGTAAATTAAAGGTGCAAATGTGCTTAGCAATTAGCAGTGCTGAAAACACATATTACTGATTTAAAGTTCTTCCATATCATGTATTTTATAAGAAAGTTTTAAATTTTAATGTTGAGGTTATTCATATTTTAATTTAGCCTGAGGCAGACACAGCAAGATTTGGAATGCATAGCTTCCTTCTGGTTGTATTATAGTCTTTCACTGATATCAGCCAAATTGGATTTTGCAAAGCTTACATTATTGCATTTCAGAAATTTTAGGTCATGCCATGTTCATTTTTTAACTTTAATTTATGCATATTTGCCTTTCACTGTTCATTTAATGAAAACATAAGCCAGCTGGAAGTTCTCAGTGTTTCTCTAGTCAGAAAAGCCAGCATCAGGGACAGAGTTGTGTGAAGAGGAATATACTATTTCAGAACTATCCCAGCATAATTGGAAAGCCTATATATAGACTGTTATCCAGTACAATAAATTGGCATCTGATCCAATCTATTAATAAACAGCATAACCAAGTCAATGGCAGAGTAGAGGAATAAGAGGCACAAGAGGGTGGCAAAAGACAGTTTGAGAAGAATGCATATAAAAGACTACTGCCTCATCCCTACTTCCTCATGAGGTGTGCCATCTCCTGCTTTCAGAGTAGACTCTAAACTCATTATCTTGCTTAGGGTTGCTCTAATGAGTCAGTGAGGTGACAAGACAGCAGATGGGATGAATAAACAATTACACAGCTCCTTAAAAATTTGTCCCCTCTGCCACTTGAGTAAGAGGAAATTTAGTCAGGGTGAGATAATGAGTTAAGGTGGAAAAATGCTTGCTAGGTGGCATCCGCCTCAATAGTTGATCCCTCACCCCACCAATGCACAAAATATGATAACTTGCCCAAAGAAACTGTTCATTCTCATGAAACACAAACTTAATTGAAAACCATGTGCTTTATTGTACATAATTTTGTGTCCTGGGTGCATAAGTATTTCGCAGAATTCTTTTTGGTTAGTATTGACAAATATAGAAAAGACCATTAAGTATTTCATAAGTATTAAATCTGACACGTTGTTATTTTATAGCATCAGTGTGTGTATACTCATTGCCAGAAAATGGTGGATTAAAGACAGTTACTACAAAAGTTGGCATTTGTTATATTGTCAAGATTTGCCAAAAAAAATTTTAATATCTAAAACTTAGTCTTAACATTAGAATTACTATTTAAATAAATAAATGCTTAAATACATATTTACACATACACATAAATATTTCTTTAAGTAGATATTCTATTATATTAAATTTCTATTTTCTGTAGTTGGAAAAGCCAACATCATGAACAGAGTTGTGTGAGGAGAAATATACTGTTACAAAACTATTTTAGCATATACCAGACTGTAATCTAGCATAATAAGTTCACATCTGATTCAATCTGTTAATGGTAAATACTAATATTTTAATTAAAATTTAAGTGATTATTTTAATTAATACATTGATATTAATATCTATTTAAATAGATGTTTTGATAAACATTTATATAATGAATATGATAGCATTAAATTGTAGGGTAAATTAAACATCTCTTTGATATTTGTTTGAGACTATGAAGTTGACATATGTGGACAGATAGCAAGAGTAATATTTGTCTTTATACTCTAAAAATTGCAGCTGTTCATACATTGAAATATGTGTTGCATTTTAACCAGCAACAGATTTGTAGAACCATTTCATTATCTGAAAACAAAAAAAAGTTGTTATTAAATATTTGCTGTATACTATTTTTAGAGTCCTTTTTAATGTGGTTTTTACTCTAGCTTTTTCGATGGCATGTTTTTATTAAAGGATCCACATTTTTTCTTGCAGCTGGACCACAGCAAAGTTCATAGGCAGCCAAGGCAAGGAAGAAAATTTGCTATGTGTAAAATAAAATATTTGACAGTAAATTGAATCTTGGCTAACTGATAAACCATATATATATTTACTATAAGTCACTGAGTAATTATTAGGAATTTGCCTTTATGTTGTAAAAGAGAAATCAGATGTTGACATTATTTCTCTTAAATACATTGTGCTTTCCTTTGCATTGATAAAAACGTGAAGAAAAAAATAGAATTTTAAAATTTCTCTTAAGAATGGTAGCAATGCCATTTATGTCCCCTGTATATAAATTTTGGATGCTGGAGATAAAGCCCTGTTCCTTGGCCCAGGGCTCAGCAATCTTTGGAACAGAGCTTTCTGGACTCTCTGGCACATACCACACCCCAAACTGGCAAATGCTCATATCTGCAAAGGTCAATGTACTATGAGGGTTGGAACAATCCCTGATGACTAAGATGGGAAAAGAAAAATCAAAGTACAAAGCAAGCATAATGTCATTGATCAAATTTTGTTTGAGAAATAGCTGTGATCCAAATCTTTAGTTCAGTCTGACATGCACTTTCTATATGTGGTGTAGACTCATAGTTACAAAAAAAGTACGTAAAAAGTTTTATTCACAAAAAGTTAAATCTGTTGGTAGACACAATGTCTGTCACACTTGGACAAACCACCCATTTGTTAATCACTCCCAGATTAATATCTCTAGGTTGGAAATCTTCCCTAAACTGTAGACTCAACGTCCAGCTATCTACTTGACACTAGAGGGTTTAATAGCCCCCAATTAATATGTCCTCATAGAACCCCTAAAACTTTCTTCACACTCAAACTTCTCCATGCTGGTCGATGGCAATGCCATCCTTCCAGCTGGCTCAGGCCAAGAGCTTTGGAGCCTTTATAACCCCTCCCTTTCTCTCATCCTGCCTACCTGGTCCATCATATAGACTCTTGGCATCATTGTCACTCACCTGGATATTCTGAGAGCCTCCTAACTACTTTCGCTGCATCCGTCGTAACTGCCTTCCCACACAGTTTTTTTCAATACAGCAGTTAGAATGATTCTTTAAAAACATCCGTCTGATTATGTCATACTTCTATTCAAAACCCTCCAATAGCTTCCATATCACTTGGAGTAAATACCAAAGTCCTTAAAATGGGCACAAGATCCTACCAAATGAAACTCCCTATTTCTTCTCTTGGGAAGAAAGTACAGAGAGTTTCCATATCCCCCACACTCAGTTTCCTCTATTGTTAATATCTTACATTATTATGGTACAGTTGCTACAGTTAATTTATGAATATTGATACTGTGTTATTAACTACAGGCCATCCTTTACACAGATTTCCTTAGTTTAAACCTTGTGCTCTTTTTCTGTTTCAGGATCTCATCCAATACACCACATTATATTTATTTCTTATATCTTCTTAAGTTCTTGGCTTAAGGAGAGTTGAGTTTCTCAGACTTTCCTTGATTTTGATGACCATGACTATTTCTGTTTTGAGTAGTAGTGTACATAGTTTGTAGAATTACTCTCAACTGAGATCTGTCTGATGTTTTTGTCATCATTAGGCTAGGGTTATGGGTTTTGTGGAGGAGGAGGTAAAAAGCCATTCTCAACACATCATTTCAAGGAGATACACTGTCAATGACAGCACAATTGATGGTAACCTTAATCCATGACTGAGTTAATGTTTGTCATATTTATCAGCTGTAAAGTTAATGTTTTATGCTCCTTTCCATATGCTATTCTTTGGAAGGAAGTTACTGTATGAGGGCCACATTTAAGGAGTGAGTAGCTATGCTTTTATAAGGGCTGGAAATCTACATCAGATATTTAGCTTTCTTCTGCACAGGGAGTTTGTCTCTTCACTCCCATTTATTTATTTATTCGATTATTTAGGTTATGAGTATGAACTCATGGATATTTATAGTTTGGATTATGATCCAATACTATTTATATACTTTACTTCTCAAATTATTCCAGCTTTGTTTACTGGGAGCTTTTTTAGTTGGCTCCTATGCTTCTTTGACTGTATGTGTTAGTACTTCCTTATGTTTTGGCACTTACAAGTTGCTCCAGGATTGTATTTTTATTCTTGCTTCAGTTCTAGAATTAGGCATTTCTTTAAGATTCCTGTTGTAGACTGAATGTTTGTGTTCCCTCCAAAATTCATATGTTGACATTCTAACACCCAATGTGATAGTATTAGGAGGTGGGGCCTTTGAGAACTAATTAGGTAACAAGGGAAGAGTCTTTGGAAGTGGGATTAGTGCCCTTATAAAAAAGACCACAGAGCTCTCTAGTTCCCTTCCCACCATATGAGGATACAAGGAGAAATCAACATTCTGCAACCCACAAGAGGGGCCTCAGCTCAGAACCTAACCATCCTTGTGCCCTGATCTTGGACTTCCATCTTCTAGAACTGTAAGAAATACATTTCTGTTGTTTATAAGCCCCCAGTCTATGGTACTTTGTTATAACAGCCCAAATTGACTAAGAAAGTTTCTTTTATTGGAAAATTCTATTAGAAACCACAATCTGAGTACTGGGTGTGCTTGCTATTACTAGGGTGGCATTGCTTCTAGGCCCACTCAGCTGACCGAGCAAGAAGATATATGAATATCTACTAAGCTTTGTACCTGTACATCTCTACAAATATTTCTATATGTATCTGTGTTTATATTAAACTAAACATGAGTTCAGAGTTCATACTGATATCTTCAATGCTAAGCTAGTACCATACAGATTATTCCAGCCCCCTCCTCATTCTTATCTATAAATTCTCACTCTTGGTTCTCACTGTCCACTTACCTAATTGTTCAATTCTTGTATACATGTATAATGGTCTCAGAGTTGCTAACCTGTACTCCCATGAAACACAACTTTATGAACTAGAGTACAGGCTTGCATATAGCTTCTTTTACCTGTAGTCTCACAAACTCCACTTATTTCCAAACTCAGCACATTTTTCTCCTATCCTTTTCAGTTAGGCTATTTTTGTATATTTTTAATATAGCTAAATTATTTTGTCATAGTCTGCATTTCATGCTGGGATCAGCTGACTTCCTACATTAAAAAAATTGTAGACTTTAAGATACAATCTTTTTATTGTAAATTTCTATTTTACAAATTGTTTTCACAAATGCTTAGTGTTTTGTATCATACATTATTGTCTTATAGGTTATAGTTTCACCACCCTAAACAATCCCCTATGTGACACTTATTAACCCTCTCCAAATCTCTGGCAACCACTGATCAGATTACCATTACCATTATCATTAGTTGCCCTCCCAGATAGTCCAATAAAGAGAATCATGTATTAAATCATTTTCACACTTTGTTCATTGAGCAATATGCATTGGCATTCATTTACATCTTTTCACAGTTTGATGGCTCATTCATTTTTTATCACTGAATACCATTCCATTGTATGGATGTACCACAGTTTGTCTATTCATATCTAAGGACAATTTTTTATACCTCCAGTTTTTGGTAACTATAATGAAAGCTGCTATAAACACTTACATGCAGATTTTGTGTGGACATGAGTTTCCATATCAGTTAGATAAATACCTAGCAGCAGTATTGCAGGATCATATTGTGAGACTATGTGTAGAAAGAAATTGCCAAATTGTCTTCTAAATTGGTTTTGGCACTTTGTATTCCCACCAGCAATGAATGTGAGTTCTTATTTCTCTACATCCATGCCAGCAGTTGGTATTGTCAGTGTACTGGATCTTGGCCATCCTAATAGTTGTGTAGTTGTATCTTGTTTTAATTTGCATTTTCCTAGTCACAGTTGGTTTTGTTCATCTTTTCATATGCTTATTTGCCATCTGTTTATCTTCTTTGGTGAGATTTGGATCTATTTCCTCCTTTTTAAAATTGATTTGTTTGTTTTCCCAGTTTTTAACAGTGTTTTTGTATATTTTGGGTACAAGTCTTTTACTAGACCTGTGATTTGTAAATATTTTCTTTCAGTCTGTTACTTGTTTTTCTGTGTGTTTTAAAAGTGTGTTTTACAGAGGAAATGTTTTAATTTTAATAAGGTCCTACTTCTCAACTTTTTCTTTCTGGTAGCATACTTTGAGTGTATCTAAAAACTAATCCCCAAACCCAATCTCACATAGATTTTCTCATATGTTTTTATTTGTAAGTTTTATGGTTTATATTTTACATTTAGGTCAGAAATACATTTTGAGTTATTTATTAAGGTATAAGGTCTATATCTAGGTTTTTTATTTATTATTAATTTGTTGCTTATGCATGTCCCACTGTTTCAGTGCCATTTGTTGAGAAGACTCTCCTTTCTCCATCTAATTGCCTTTGCGTCTTTGTTAAAAATCTGTTTCTTATGTTCGTCTGTATCTATTTATGGGCTCCTTATTCTATTAATCTGTGTGTCTATTCTTTCACCAATACTATGTTATCAATACTATACTGCCTTGATTACTGTAGCTTAATAGTCGTTATTGAAGTTAGGTAGTATCAGTCCTCCAACTTATTTCTCTCCTTCAATATTGTGTTAGGTATTCAGTTTTTTAATATTTTTTTTTGTAAACTTCATTAATAGAGTCAGTTTGTTTATACCTGCAAACAAACTTGTGATTTTGTCTGGAATTGCATTGACTCTATACATTAATTTAAGAATAATTGACATGTTAATAATATTCAGTCTTGCAGTCTATCAAGTAGAATATCTGTCCATTTACTTATGTCTTTGATTTATTTCATCCAAGTTTTGTAGTTTTACACATAGAGTTCCCTGTTTTTGTTTTTTTCTTTAGATTTTTACATAAGTATTCCTTTTCTGATACTGCTATAAATATTCTTGTTGTTTGTTTTTATTTTCAAATTTCAATTGTTCATTACTGGTATATAGTAAAACACTTGCCTCTAGAATATTAACTTTGTATCCTATGGCCTTTCTATACTCAGTAATTTCAGGAGATTTTCTGTAAATTGTTTGAAGTTGTTTACATAGACAATCATGTTATCTGTAAGTAAAAACACTTTTTTCTTTTCAATCTGTAAATATTTTACTCCTTTTTCTTGTCTTATTGCAACAGTGAGCTCTTCCAGTATGACTTAAATAGGTGTGGTGAAAGAAGACCACCTTGCTTTGTTCCAGATTGTAGATGGAAATCATTTTTATGACTGAAAGCTCATTGTAGAATTTGTGTGCCACAACTTCTTGCGCTTCTAATACAATTTTTTAAATAATAAAGTCACCCAATTCATTGAGAAAATTTATAGCACAAAACGATTTTCCTACGAGGGCAATGGAGAAAGAAACTCTATTGTTAAGACACTGGGAAAAAATACAGTTATCTGTGGTCAGCTGAATGGAGTGAGTTGCTTGTTTTTTTTTTTTTTTTTTTTTTGAGATGAAGTTTTGCTCTTGTTGCCCAGGCTGGAGTGCGATGGCACAATGTCAGCTCACTGCAACCTCTGCCTCCCAGGTTCAAGTGATTCTCCTGCCTCAGCCTCCCAAGTAGCTGGGATTACAGGCATGCACCAACACGCCCAGCTGATTTTGTATTTGTAGTAGAGATGGAGTTTCTCCATGTTGGTCAGGCTGGTTTCGAACTCCTGGCCTCAAGTGATCTGCCCGCCTCAGCCTCCCAAAATGCTGGGATTACAGGCGTGAGCCGCCACGCACAGCTGAGTTGCTTCTTAATATTCTACTCTTGTTATATTTTATTCGTGAGATATATTTATTCCTACTTTATTTTTAATACTTTCTGTTAAACAAGTGGTGACAATGATTTTCCCACATGACAAACATTTATTCTTATATTTAAAAAATGAATCATAAAAGTTAGCAGAGAGGTATTTTGTTGGCATTATTTTTAAATAATGTTGTTTCTTTCTGATCATTGAAAAAACATATTTTATGCTCTATTTTGTTCTATCAAATTAGCTACTTTGGGAACATATGTAAACACAAAAACGTAAAAAGTTATAACAAATATTTTATGTTTCATCTCCCTAATGGTAATTCAGTGTTTAACAATCTAGTGTATTTTTACAAATATTTTATATAAATACACACATCTACACACACAAACTTTTATATAATTGAAACTATAATTGTTCTTATATATTTTATATATTTAATACTTAGGAATTTTCCACAACTTTGCTTCTCAAGAAAGATAAATTTTAATGGCTTCCTAACATTTTATCATATGAATGTGCTAGAACGACTTAGTCTTTTTTATTATTGCATATTTGTTTTTTCTCAAAAAAGTACAATGCAGCAAGTGGCGTTGAGAAAACTGCATATCCACATGCAATAAGAATAAAGTTGGATCATTATGTTACATTATATGCAAAAATCAACTCAAAATGCATTAAAGACTTAAACATAAGTCCTGAACCATAAAGCTTCTAGAAAAAAACATAGGGGAAAAGCTCCTTGACATTGGCCTTAGCAATGATTTTTTTGAATATGACACTAAAAGCATAAGCAACAAAAGCAAAAATAAACAAATGGAACTATGTCAAAATAAAAAGCTTCTGTATGGTGATGGAAAAATCAACAAAATGAAAAGGCAACCTTTGGGTTTGGAGAAAATATTTGCAAACCATACATCTGATAAGGGATTAATATCCAAAATATACAAGGAACTCACACAAGTCAATAGCAAAAAAAATCAAATAATTCAATTAAAAAATGGGCAAAGGACTTGAACAGATATTTTTCAAAGAAGGACATATGAATGACCAACAGATATCTACAAAGGTGCCCAAAATTATTAATTACTAAGAAAATGCAAATCAAAACCACATTGAGCTATCACCTCATGCCTATTAGAAAGGCAATTATGAAAAAGAGAAGAGATAACATCTTGGCAAGGGTATGGAAAAAGGAGAACTCTTGTACACCGTGGGTGATAATGTAAAATGGTACAGCCATTATGGAAAACAGTATGGAGGTTCCTCAAAAAAAAAAAAAAAAGAACTACCTTATAATGCAAGAATCCCTCTTTTGGACATATCTCCAAAGAACATGAAGTCAGTATCTGAAAGAGATGCCTGTGCTCCCATACTCACTGCAGCATTACTCATTATAGCCAATATATGGAAACAACCTGTGTCAATCAACAGATGAATTGAAAAAGAAATTGTGATATATATATATCATATGTATATCATAATAATATATGAATATTATTCACTCTTAAAAAAGAAGGTGTTTGTGACAACGTGAATGAACCTGGAAGATATGATGCTAAGTGAAATAAGCCAGATACAGAAAGAAAAATAGTGCATTCTTTCACTTGTATGTGGAATCTAAAAAAGCCAAACACATAGAAACAGGAAGTAGAATGGTGGTTACCAGGGTCTGGGTGTGGGGGAAGTGAGAAGATGTTGGTCAAAGTGTACAAAGTTGCAGTTATCTAGGATGAATAAGCCAAGAGATATAATGTACAACGTGATGACTACAGTTAATAGTATTGCATTGTATACTGAAAATTAGCTAGGAAAGTAGAATTCAGGTCTTCTCACCACAAAAAATGGTAACTGTGGGGCAATGGATATGTTAACTTGCTTAACTGCGGTAATCATTTTACTGTGTATATGTATATCAAAAAATCATGTTGTACACCTTAAATATGTAAGATTTTTATTAAAAACAGTAATTAAAAAACTCAAAATATCTCTATGTGTTTCATGTCAAAATTTTCAATTTCTTATATGGCTTTGTAGAGATAAAAATATAGAATCCAAGTGCATAAGCATTTTCAAAACTCTGGGTAGATTTTAACAAATTATTTTCTATTTAGAAGGGTTAGATCAATCTGTATTTCATATAAAACTAGTACATGAGGTACTTTGTTAAATCTAATTCAAAATTAGGTAGCATCACTAATAAAAAGGGTAAAAGTATCTTTGCCAATCTAATAGTCAGGAATGGTATTTTATTTTGATTTACATCTTAGATCTAACTGAATCTTCTTGAGGTTTATGTTTTGCTTTTTTTTCTGGCATGGGTTTAGGGCTTCCCTTTTCCACTTTTAGAAGGTCTTTTTTAAAGAGATGAAGTGTTTAGCTTAGAATGAGTATGCATATTTTATCCATCTTCCCACTCGCCTTTTACATTTATGGCCATTTATCAGGAAGCAGTTAATTAGTGTAAACTGACCCTTTCCTCTGCACATCTTCTACATCATTCATTGCTTTTAAGCTTACATCATTCATTGCATTAACTGATTTTTACCCGGTTAGAGATCATTTGTGTTTTCATCTTTTAAAAATAGCCTTATTTGTAAACTTCAACCAGAAGTTTGTTATAAGATGAATATTTAAATTCTTTTTAAGGTACATACTTAACTTAGTATTTGAGCAGTATCTTTGGAAGAATTCTGTCAAATTATACATATGTGTGTGTGTATGATATGGTTTGACTGTGTCCCCACTCAAATCTTATCTTGAATTGTAGTTCCCATAATCCCCACATTTATGGGAGAAACACTATGGGAAGTAATTAAACCATGGGGGTGGTTACCCTCATGCTGTTCTCGTGATAGTGAGTGCGTTCTCATGAGATCTAGTGGTTTTATAAGAGGCTTTTTCCCCTTTTGCTCATATATCTCCTTGATGTCACCATGTGAAGGAGGACATGTTTGCTTCCCCTTCCGCCATAATTGTAAGTTTCCTGAGGCCTTCCCCGCCATGCTGAACTGTGAGTCAAGTAAACTTCTTTCCTTTATAAGTTACCCAAACTTGGGTATATCCTTATAGCAGTGTGAGAATGGACTAATACACTATATGTGTGCTTGCATTTGCATGTTTTCATTTCTTCCATTTCATTAATCTGCCTGTCGGTTTTCATATTGCCAACATATTATGTTAATTATTATAATCTCATTAAATATCATATTTTAATACCTTATAGGTCAAGATTCCCATTACCATTCTTTTTTTGATATGTTTTCACATTCTTACCTATTTTTCACTAGACAAAATTTAATTATCATTTAATCATATTTTAAGATGTGTCTTACTGATATTTTAATTAGATATATATATTTTAAATCTTGGTAACAGTTCACTTTTTGTATTTTTTTATTAATCTATTTTATCACCCACAGAACACATTCTGTCAAGTATCATCCAAGTAGTAGGCATGGAGAACACACTGGTTAACAATACTCTTGCAGTCTACTGGGCTATATCTTTCAGTTTATTCAAGCTTTTAGTATTATTCTGAATGGTAATTTATAATTTATTCTTATAAGTATTTCACATTGTATAGTAAGACCATTTTATACTTTACAGTGTAAGCTATAATATATGTGATAAATATTGTTTTGACTGTATTTTACACAATAATTACCATTTTCAAATTTTTTCCTTATTTTCTTTTTTGGCATGTGAACTATATGATAGGATTCATTTGCTTTAATCTCATTTGGTAGTTTGGAAAATGTTTATTTTCTATTTGTCACCTTTTCAAAAATGTACAATTATCTTTGCCTGGAAATAGGAATTTTGCCACATTTTAATTTCTTCCGTTTATTGTGTTCCTGGCCAATCGTGTATTTTTGTGCTCTATGAATCTTTTCATTGTTAATAATTTATTTGTATTTGGTAGAACATATTGTCTTGGCTGCAACATGGTTTATTTCTTTACCCAGTCTTGAACTAGGCAAGAAATATTCATACAGTTTGTTAACAAATTAAATTTGTGACACTTTGGAAAGTTTTTTTTTGAAATAATAATTATTTTTTCTTTATCTCATTGTTTTAGGTGATTTTAATAGAAAGATAAATATTTTCTACATTCCAAAATATTGCAAATATTTGTGGGTTGAGGCTGAATGTGACTCTGCAGTTACTTATTGGTTTCATTTTCTGAATTTCATAGGCAAAGCAGACTTTTGCATTCAAAGAATACAAAGCCCAAGAGAACTGTCATATAGGGGTCTAGTCCCATTGAAAGAAACAGATTCTAGGAACTCAGGAGAGTGTAGCCATGTCTCAAAGGGGCAAGTGGATAGTGTTTTGTTTTCTTTATTATTATTATTATTAATTTTTTTATTTCCTTAGGTTATTGGGGAACAGGTGGTGTTTGGTTATATGAGTAAGTTCTTTGGTGGTGATGTGTGAGATTTTGGTGCATCCATCGCCTGAGCAGTATACATTGCACCCAATTTGTGGCCTTTTATCCCTCACCCCCCTCCCACCCTTTCCCTCTGAATCCCCAAAGTCCATTGTGTCTTTATTATGCCTTTGCATCCTCATAGCTTAGTTCCCACATATGAGTGAGAACATATGATGTCTGGTTTTCCATTCCTGAGTTACTTCACTTAGAATGATAGTCTCCAATATCATCCAGGTCACTGTGAATGCCATTAATTCATTCCTTTTTATGGCTGAGTAGTATTCCATCATATATACATACCATAGTTTCTTAATCCACTCATTGATTGATGGACATTTGGGTTGGCTCCACACTTTTGCAATTCCAAATTGTGCTGCTATAAACATGCGTGTGCAAGTATCTTTTTTCATATAATGAGTTATTTTTCTCTGGGTAGACACCCTGTAGTAGGATTGCTGGATCAAATGGTAGTTCTACTTTTAGTTCTTTAAGGAATCTCCACACTGTTCTCCATAGTGGTTGTACTGGTTCACATTCCCACCAGCAGTATAGAAGTGTTTTCTGTTCACCGCACCCATGCCAGCATGTATTATTTTTTGATTATGGCCATTCTTGCAGGAGTAAGGTGGTATTGCACTATGGTTTTGATTTGCATTTCCTTGATCATTAGTGGTGTTGAGCATTTTTTCATATGTTTGTTGGATATTTGTATATCCTCTTTCGAGAATTGTCTATTCATGACCTTAGCCCACTTTTTGAGGGGATTGTTTGTTTTTGTCTTGCGAATTTGTTTGAGTTCACTGTAGATTCTGGATATCAGTCCTTTGTCAGATGTATAGATTGTGAAGATTTTCTCCCACTCTGTGGACTGCCCATTTACTCTGCTGTTTCTTTTGCCATGCAAAAGCTCTTTAGTTTAATTAAGCCCCAGCATTTGCTTTTGGTTTCCTGGTCATGAAATCCTTGTCCAAGTCAATGTCTAGAGGGGTTTTTTCAATGTTGTCTTCTAGAATTGTTTTTCAATTTTTATTTATTTTTCTCAGATAGAGTCTCACTCTGTTGCCGTCTCGGCTCAGTGCAACCTCTGCCTCCTGGGCTCAAGCTATTCATCTGCCTCAGCCTCCCAAGTAGCTGGGACTACAGGCACCTGCCACCACACCCAGCTAATTTTTTTAGTGTAGATGGGATTTCACCATGTTGGCCAGGCTGGTCTCGAACTCCTGACCTCAAGTGGCCCACCCACCTTGGCCTCCCAAAATGCTGGGATTACAAGTGTGAGCTAGCACATCCGGCATTGTCTTCCAGAAGTTTTATAGTTTCAGGTCTTAGATTTAAGTCCTTGATCCATCTGAAGCTGATTTTTGTATAAGGTGAGAGATGAGGATCCAGTTTCATTCTCCTACATGTAGCTTGCCAATTATCCCAGCACCATTTGTTGAATAGGGTGTCCTTTCCCCACTTTATGTTTTTGTTTGCTTTGTCAGAGATCAGTTGGCTGTAAGTAATTACGGTTTATTTCTGGGTTCTCTATTCTGTTCTGTTGGTCTATTTGCCTATTTTTATGCCAGTACCATGATGTTTTGGTGACCATGGCCTTATAGTATAGTTTGAAATCAGGTAATGTAATGCCTCCAGATTTGTTCTTTTTGCTTTGTCTTGCTTTGGCTATGAGGGCTCTTTTTTGGTTCCATATGAACTTTAGGATTGATTTTTCTAAGTCTGTGAAGAATGATGGTGGTATTTTGATGAGAATTGCATTGAATTTGTGTACTGCTTTTGGCAGTATGGTCATTTTCACAATATTGATTTTATCTATCCATAAGCATGGGATATGTTTCCATTTGTTTGTGTCATCTGTGATTTCTTTCAGCAGTGTTTTGTCATTTTCCTTGTAGAGGTCTTTCACCTCCTTGGTTGGGTATATTCCTAAGTATTTTATTTTTTTGCAGCTATTGTAAAAGGGGTTGAGTTCTTGACTTAATGCTCTACTTGGTCACTGTTGATTTATAGAAGAATTACTGATTTGTGTACATTGATTTTGTATCCAGAAACTTTGCTGAATTCTTTTATCAGTTCTAGGAGCTTTCTGGAGGAGTCTTTAGGGTATTTTAGGTAAATAATCATGTCATCAGCAAACAGTGACAGTGTGACTTCTGCTTTACCAATTTAGATGCCCTTTATTTCTTTCTCTTGTCTGATTGCTCTGGCTAGGACTTCCAGTACTATGTTGAAGAGGAGTGGTGAGAGTGGGCATCCTTGTTTTGTTCCAGTTCTCAGAGGGAATGCTTTCAACTTTTCTCCATTCAGTGTTATGTTGGCTGTGAGTTTGTCATAGTTGGCTTTTATTACATTGAGGTATGTCCCTTGTATGCTGATTTTGCTGAGAGTTTTCATCATAAAGGGAGGCTGGATTTTGTCAAATGCTTTTTCTGCATATATTGAGATGATCATGTGATTTTTTGTTTTTGGTTCTGTTTATGTGTTGTATCACATTTACTGACTTGCATATGTTAAACCATCCCTGCGTCCCTGGTATGAAACCCACTTGATCATGATGGATTATCTTTTTGATATGTTGTTGGATTTGGTTAGCTAGAATTTTTTTAAGGATTTTAGCATCTATGTTCATCAGGGATATTGGTCTGTAGTTTTCTTTTTTTGGTTATGCCCTTTCCTGGTTTTGGTATTAGGGTGATACTGGCTTCACAGAATGATTTAGGAAGGGTTCCCTCTTTCTCTATCTTGTAGAATAGTGTCAGTAGGATTGGTACCAATTCTTCTTTGAATATCTGGTAGAATTATGCTGTGAATCCATCTGGTCCTGGATTTTTTTTTTGTTTGTAATTTTTAAATTACCATTTCAATCTCACTGCTTGTTATTTGTCTGTTCAGAGTATCTAATTCTTCCTGATTTAAGCTAGGAAGGTTGTATCTTTCCAGGAATTTATCCATCTCTTCTAGGTTTTCTAGTTTATATGTGTAAAGGTGTTCATAGCAGCCTTGAATGATCTTTTGTATTTCAGTGGTGTCAGTTGTAATATCTCCTGTTTTGTTTCTTAGTGAGGTTATTTGGATTTTCTTGTTTTCTTTGTTAATCTTGCTAATGGTCAATCAATTTTATGTATCCTTTCAAAGAACCAGCTTTTTGTTTCATTTATCTTTTTAATTTGTTGTTGTTTCGATTTCATTTAGTTTTGCTCTGATCTTGGTTATTTCCTTTCTTCTGCTGGGTTTGGGTTTGGTTTGTTCTTGTTTCTCTGGTTTCTTGAGGTGTGATCTTACATTGTCTGTTTGTGTTCTTTCAGGCTTTTTGATGTAGGCATTTAGGGCTAAGAACTTTCCTCTTAACACCACCTTTGCTGTATCCCAGAGGTTTTGATAGGTTGTGTCACTATTGTCATTCATCTAGAAGAATTGTTAAATTTCCCTCTAGATTTCATTTTTGACCCAATGATCATTCAGGAGTGGGTTATTTAATTTCCATGTATTTGCATGGTTTTGGAGGTTCTTTTTGAAATTGATTTCCAGTTTTATTCCACTGTGGTCTTAGGGAGTGCTGGATATAATTTCAGTTTTCTTTAATTTATTGAGGCTCATTTTGTGGCCCATTATATTGTCTATCTTGGAGAAAGTTCCATGTGCTGTTGAATAGAATGTATATTCTGCAGTGTTGGGTAGAATGTTCTGTACGTATCTATTAAGTCCATTTGTTTCAGGGTATAGTTTAAATCTATTGTTTTTGTGTTGATTTTCTGTCTTGATGATCTGTCCAGTGCTGTCAGTGGAGTATTGAAGTCCCCCACTATTATTGTGTTGCTGTCTATTTCATTTCTTAGGTCTATTAGTAATTGTTTTATAAATTTGAGAGATCCAGTGTTAGGTGCATATATATTTAGGATTGTGATATTTTCCTGCTGGACAAGGCCTTTTATCATTATATAATGACCCTGTTTGTCTTTTTTAATTGCTGCTGCTTTAAAGTTTGTTTTGTCTGATATAAGAATAGCTACCCCTGGTTGCTTTTGGTGTCCATTTGCATAGAATGCCTTTTTCCATCCCTTTACCTTAAGTTTATGGGAGTCCTTATGTGTTAGGTGTGTCTCCTGAAGGCAGCAGATAGTTGGTTGGTGAATTCTTATCCATTCTGCAATTCTGTATCTTTTAAGTGGAGCATTTAGACCATTTACATACAATGTTAGTATTGAGATGTGAGATGCCATTCCATTTATTATGCTATTTGTTGCCTGTATACCTTATTTTTATTTTTTTAATGTATTTTTACTTTGTAGGTCTTGTAAGATTTATGCTTTAAAGAAGTTCTGTTTTAATGTGCTTCCAGGATTTGTTCCAAGATTTAGAGCTCCTTTTAGCAGTTCTTTTGGGGTTGGCTTGGTAGTGTTTCTTTGAAAAAGACTATATCTTTCCTTCACTTATGAAGCTTAGTTTCACTGGGTACAAAATTCTTGGCTGGCAATTGTTTTGTTTGAGGAGGCTGAAGATAAGGCCCCAATCCCTTTTAGCTTGTAGGGTTTCTGCTGAGAAATCTGCTGTTAATCTGATAGGTTTTTCTTTGTAGGTTACCTGGTGTTTTTGCCTCATAGGTCTTAAGATTCTTTCTTTCATCTTAACTTTAGATAACCTGATGACAATGTTCCTAGGTGATGATCTTTTTGCGATGAATTTCGCAGATGTTCTTTGAGCTTCTTGCATTTAGATTTCTATTTCTCTAGCAAGGCTGGGGAAGTTTTCCTTGATTATTCCCCCAAATACATTTTCCAAACTTTTAGATTTCTCTTCTTCCTTAGGAATGCTGGTAATTCTTAGGTTTGGTCTTTAACGTAATCCCAGACTTCTTGGAGGCTTTGTTCATATTTTTTTATTCTTTTTTCTTTGTTTTTGTTGGATTAGTTTAATTAGAACACCTTGTTTTTGAGCTCTGAAGTTCTTTCTTCTGCTGGCTTGATTCTATTGCTGAGACTTTCCAGAGAATTTTGCATTTCTATAAGTGTGTCTATTGTTTCCTGAAATTTCTATTGTTCTTTATTTATGCTATTTCATTGAATATTTCTCCCCTCACTTCTTATATCATCTTTTTGACTTATTTACATTGGGCTTTGCCTTTTTCTGGTGCCTCCCTGATTAGCTTAATAACTACCCTTTTGAATTCTTTTTCATGTGGATCAGGGATTTCTTCTTTATTTGGATCCATTTCTGGAGAGCTATTGTGAAACAAGTAGAACCTTGTTTTTTCATATTACCAGAGTTTGTTCTCTGGTTCCTTCTCATTTGGGTAGCCTCTGTCAAAGGGAAGTTCTAATGCTCAAGGCTATTGTTCAGTTCCTTTTGTCCCACAGGATATTTCCTTGATGTAGTACTCTCCCCATTTTCCTAGAGCCAAGCTGCAGTGATTGTTATCTCTCTTCTGAATCTAGCTATCCAGCAAGACTACCAGGCTCTGGGCTGGTACTGGGGGTTGTCTGCAAAGAGTCCTGTGCTGTGAACCATCTATGGGCCTCTCAGCCATGGATACCAGCACTTGCTCCTGTGGAGGTGGGAGGGGGTAAAATGGACTCTATGAGGATCCTTAGCTTTCGTTGACTGGTGCACTATTTTTGTGCTGATTGGGCTCCTGCTGGTAGCTGGCGCTTTCAAGAGAGCATCAGTTATGGTAGTATGGGGAGGAACAGGTGGTGGGCAGGACCCTAGAACATCCAAGAGTATATGTTCTTTTTCTTCAGTTACCAGGGTGGGTAGGGAAGGACCATTAAGTGGGGGCAGGGCTGAGTATGTCTGAGCTCAAACTCTACTTGGGCAGGCCTTACTGTGGCTGCTGTGGGGGTTGGGGGTGGTTTCCAGGTCAATGGACTTATGTTCCTGGGAGGATTATGGCTGCCTTTGCTGTGTCTTGCAGGTTGTCAGGGAAGTGGGGAAAGCCAGCAGTCACAGTTCTCACCCAGTTCCCATGCAACCCAAAGAGACTGTCTCATTCCCACCTTGTCCCCAACAACAGCACCAAGTCTGTTTCCAGGCAGTGGGCGAGCAGGGCTGAGAACTTGCCCCAGGCTACCTGCCTCCCAGCTGTGAAAATAAATAGGACTTTCCTTCTTTTCCCACCTGTGGAGTCTGTACACTGGATTAATACCTTCCCCCAAGTTCTGGCCAGGAGACTTCTTGATCAGTTCAAATTGTTAAAATGTTCAGCTGGAGGTTTCCTTCTCCCTTGGCCTTTTCCCAGTGCATCCAGCAGCCCTCCTCAAGGACCCCTGTGAGGCAAGGCAGAAATGGCTTGGTAGGGGACCCAGCGAGCCTACAGGGATTTTTCTGCTGCTTCCTCTACCCCTGTATTTCACTTGGCTCTCTAAACTGACTCAACTCCAGGTAAGGTCAGAATCTTCTCCTGTAATCTAGACCTTCAGGTTCCCCAGTGGGGGATGTGTGTTTTGGGGTGGACGATCTCCCTTTCCCACTTCCATAGTTTGGGCACTCACAGTATTTGGGGTGTCTCCCGGGTCCTGCAGGAGCAATTTGCTTCCTTCAGAGGGTCTGTGGGTTCTCTTGGATTTCCTAATGTATTCCTGCAGACATTCTGGAGCAAAAGTTCATGATACAAGCCTCCACATACTGTTCTATCCATCTGAGTGGGAGCTGCAATCTAGTTCTGTCTCCCGTCCGCCATGATCCCCAGAAGTTCTAGTGTTTTGTTTTCTATATTGGTGTGAGCACTATAAGCATCAAGAGTTTATATATTTCCTCATGCTTAATCTATTTTATGATATAATAAAATGTAATCTGACAATAGGGTTTTCTGCCCCCCCCCCCATTAAAATGGATCTTGCATTCTTCTAATTTGGGAAATATGGTACTAAGAGTACTGAGGAGGACAGTTTGAAAACCACTAATCTAGTTTGTCTTTTTGTAGTGGTAAATGGGACATTTTTTAAGTCACACCACCAGATTCTCTATATCCTAAAGGAAGAGCCATGGCACAGTGCTTTACTTTGAGAAATTCCATCTCCATGACTGTATGAACCTCTGTATACTCTGTCTTTCCAATCCCTGTTTTCTGGTCTTTGTGGGATCCCAATGGCTGTAGAAATGTGCATGTGTGTGAGAATGAAAAGGAAGAAGAAAAAAGATGAAGAAGCACAGAAGCAGTGGTGAGATTACTTTCAGTTTCCTAATTAATGCATATAGTTGGGTAAATGGGTCAAGAGACAAAAAAAAGTAAACAACAAACAACAACTTTCTTCCTAGCTGTTCTAGGCAATTAAGATTTCTCTCTTTTATGTAGTAGCACTTAATTAGTACTCTTATATACACATTTTTCAAACTTGTTTTATTGATAAAATAGTTTTATATGTGTGTGTGAGAGAGATAACATTCACATATATTAACACAAGTGTATATGTAGGTTTTATTTTCATACCGATGTATACATGCATACACACATATATTTTATACTAAATAAATATATACTTCCAAATGGAAAATTAAAATTTTTTTTAATACATATATACTTTATATTGGCATCTGCCAATAAAGTGAGGTTAAACTCTAATTCAATTAAGAAATGCGGTTGCTTAGTGCAAATTTTTTAAATGAAGTGTGGACATAAGCTCTGAGGTTTGTGAGTTTGAGAAAAACATAAATCTTAAGAAGGTGACATATTCCACTGTTCTGAAATCTGTTGAGAAAAATGAGATGGAGACACGAATAACAAAGGCTAAAAGATACAGTTAGAAAATATTATATTCTATAAAGTTCTAGAAGCATATAAAAATATTCCAAATACAATAATATCTCCCTTACTATAAACCTGTTTTCTAAACTCCTTGTATTTCAAGTTTTATTTTAGGCATTTGGATTTTTTTTCTTTTAAAAATAGAAAATTAATATAATGGGAATCTACAATCAAATAAAAATTAATTTAACAATAGGCAATCAATGAGCACCCATTACATACCTGGTATAGTGCTGGAAGTTGATGGCAAAAATATTAAAAAGATATGGTGTCAGCATTAAAAAATCTTACAGTTTACCTGGGAAAACAAACACATGTGAAGGAGTCAAATCACTTTATAAATATGGCCTTTTGATCACTTAGCTGAAACATATTTTTTGGGGGGCAGGGGGTGAACTGTAGAGGACTTTTGCTCTGTTAAATCTCTAGCTTTTATCAGTCTGTACTGAATATTTACACCAAAATAACAGATACAGCAATCCCTTTTCATGCTTCTTTCTCATTTTCTTTTTTTTTTTACTGAGTCTAGCTTTAATCTAAAATTTCCTTTCTAGCTATTGCCATCATTTTTCTCTCTGAAGTTGCTCCGGCCTCTCTTTTCTTATCAGGCTCACATATGTCAGTCTTCACCTCCCACTGCATTTCTTGCCCTCTAAACTGACTTTTTACATTTGGCTCTTTGTTTTGCATGTGCTTTCAAATTAGACATTTTCTTTTATTTTCTTTAAAATACATTTTTATTGACATTTACTTATAGCCAATATACTCCTGAAAAAGTATTTTTAATAGCTTTATTGAATTATAATTGATACTAAAAAATGCACATATTTAGAGTATATAATTTTATAAGTTTGGGTATATGCCTACACCCATGAAACCATCGTCTGAGCTCCGGTCTCATTCATCAAAATATCAAATCTCTCCTTTTTGGTGCTGAAAGGGTGTAGAACAGAATTGTAGTTTGTTTTTTTTCTTCTGCCCACAAACTGTAGACTTCCTCATATTCTTTATTTGCTCTGTTTCCCAGGCTGGTGTTCAGTGGTGTGACCACTGTTTCCTTCCGCCTCACTCTCCCAGGCTCAATTGATCCTCCTGCTTCAGCCTCCTGAGTAGCTGGGACCATAGGTGTATACCACTATGCCTGGCTAATTTTTGTGCATATATATCTATATATATACACATACATATATATATATACACACATACATATATATACACACACATATATATATACATATATACACACAGATATATATATATACACACACACATATATACACACGTATACACACACACACACACACATATAGTAGAGACACGGTCTCCCTATGTTGCCCAGGCTGGTCTTGAACTCCTGGGCTCAACTGATCCTCCAGCCTTGGCCTCCCAAAGTGCTGGGATTACTGGAGCGAGCTACCGCACCAGGCCCCTCCTCATATTCTTGATCATGGCTCAATTCTAAGATTCCTTCTTTTTTTCTAACTCTATTTTACCTCGAATCCAAATTTAGCCCTCATGGCTGTATGATAAAGGAACTTCAAACTGGACCACTTGTCACTACTGCAATTAGTACTAGCTTTGTTCCAGTCACTCTTTACCAAGCTACTTGAATCACTCTAATTTCTTAATGGTCTCCAGTTTTCTACATTTGCTTTTCTATAGTGTATTCTCTTCAGTCTTTCCTTCTCAGCCAGAAGCATATTCATTATAAACACATGTAATTATATCACTCCTCTGGTCTAGCACTCTAAACTTGGCCTCCCCGACTCATTTAAAATAAAGATCGGAATCCTTGCTAAGCCCTACGGGGTCCTACATGATCTGGCCCCAAAAATTCCTCTGCTCTCCCTCTTTCTACTCATCCCCCTCCTTCCATGCACTAGACTGCCTTCTTTCAGTTTCTCAAACACCTTGAGGCCATTCTTATCTCAGAGCTTTAACATTGGCTCTTCTCCTGCCTGGAAAACTCTTCCAATGGCCTTTATATCATTTAGGCCTCATCAATGGTAAGCTTCCCAGAGATGCCTTCCCCGCACACACTTTTACCAATAGCACTGCTCAGCATGTTCTATCCCCTTACTCCACTTAGCTATCATCATAGTATTTATAACAGCATAAAATTATATCATTTATTTATTTGCATTTTTTATCTCTCCTCCTCCTGCTAGAGGGCTTTCCCCATAAGACAGAGACGACTTAGATCATGTTTGCTTTTCCTTTGACAAGAATAAGGCTGATACATGGTAGACAGTCAAAATATTGTTGAATGAATAGTTGTTGTTTCTATGGCTTTATTAGTGGAATAAAGAATATCATTTATGGAATTTAAAATACTTATAGAATTGTTCTGTATAGAATATGCTAGTATTCACTTTTCATACGTATAAAATATTTCATATATCTTTCTATATTTCTCAATATAATTTCCTAATTTTAATATATGATATTTAATATCTACCTTTCATTTACATTTTTTCTTTTTTTATTATACTTTAAGTTCTAGTGTACACATGCACAACATGCAGGTTTATTACATAAGTATACATGTGCCATGTTGGTTTGCTGTACCCATCAACTCATTATTTACATTAAGTATTTCTCGTAATGCTATCCCTCCTCCAGCCTCCCTCCCCCTAACAGGCCCTGGTGTGTGATGTTCCCCACCCTGTGTCCATGTGTTCTCATTGTTGAACTCCCACTTATGAGTGAGAATATGCAGTGTTTGATTTTCTCTCCTTGTGATAGTTGGCTTAGAATGATGGTTTCCAGCTTCAACCATGTCCCTGCAAAAGACATGAACTCATCCTTTTTTATGGCTGCATAATATTCCATGGTGCATATATGCCGCATTTTCTTTATCCAGTCTATCATTGATGGACATTTGGATTGGTTCCAAGTCTTTGCTATTGTGAATAGTGCCACAATAAACATATGTGTGCATATGTCTTTACAGTAGCATGATTTATAATCCTTTGGGTATATACTCAGTAATGGGATCAGTGGGTCAAATGGTATTTCTAGTTCTAGATCCTTGAGGAATCGCTACACTGTCTTCCACAATGGCTGAACTAATTTACACTTCCACCAACCCTGTAAAATTTTTCCTGTTCCTCCACATACTCTCCAGCATCTGTTGTTTCCTGACTTTTTAATGATCGCCATTCTAACTGGCGTGAGACGGTATCTCATTGTGGTTTTGATTTGCATTTCTCTGATGACCAGTGATGATGAGTATTTTTTCATGTGTCTGTTGGCTGCATAAATGTCTTCTTTTGAGAAGTGTCTGTTCATATACTTTGCCTACTTTTTGATGGGGTTGTTTGCTTTTTTCTTGTAAATTTGTTTAAGCTCCTTGCAGATTCTGGATAGTAGCCCTTTGTCAGATGAGTAGGTTGTGAAAATATTTTCCCATTCTGTAGGTTGACTGTTCACTCTGATGATAGTTTCTTTTGCTGTGCAGAAGCTCTTTAGTTAAATTAGATCCCCCATTTGTCAATTTTGGCTTTTGTTGCCATTGCTTTTGGTGTTTTAGTCATGAAGTCTTTGCCCATGTCTGTGTCCTGAATGGTATTGCCTAGGTTTTCTTCTAGGGCTTTTATGGTTTTAGGTCTTACATTTAGGTCTTTACTCCATCTTGAGTTAATTTTTGTATAAAGAGTTAATATTTGGTATCAATTTTAATATGTGATATATAATATCAACATTTCATTTACATTTTTTCTTAATTATTTAATAATGGCATTGGTAACATTATGGAAGGGAGATATATCTTTAAATGCTCATTTTAATCCATGCTGTTGCTAAGTCTTATATACATTACCCACATTACCAAATTTTCTTCATTTTATTTCTATTAAGAGTATCTTTAATATTCTACATATATGTGCAGCAGCTTCATTTTCAAATTCTCTTATTAATTTTCTTTTTTATTAACAAAATATCTTTAATATTCTTTTTTCTCTATATATTTGTAAACGAATATGTCTCTTCCAAATTTTATATCAAAAATTTATCTTTCTGATTGCATAGATTAAAAGTATCAAAACGAAATAAGCATCATGTAAAATGTTGTTCAGTTTCAAAATAACTGAGCATCATGTGAATGTCTTGAATATTTTCTGTTCCTGTGTCTTCTTTACTACTTTCTTTTCTATTAGATGAATATTCTCTAGTGTAGCATTTTAATTCCTTTAATAATTATATTTTTAAAATTATTTTCTTAGTGGTTTCTCTAGGGTTTACAATAATAATCTTAACTTATCTATATCTACCTCAGCACCATATTAACATAATCTAGTGATACGTAGAAACTTTGCTTCTATATAGTTTCAATTGCTTATTATTTTTATGCTTTGTTATTAGTGATTAACAGAAAACCAAAGATGTTCAAAGTCCTTCAAATCTGGCAGTATTCTATTGCTAAACTCTATAGGATTTGTAGAATTTTATTTTATTTTTTTTCAGATGGAGTCTTGCTCTGTCACCCATGCTGGAGGGCAGTGGCGCGATCTCGGCTCACTGCAAGTTCCGCCTCCCGGGTTCAAGCCATTCTCCGCCTCAGCCTCCCAAGTAGCTGGGACTACAGGCGCCTGCCACCAAGCCCAGCTAATTTTTTGGTATTTTTAGTGGAGATGTGGTTTCACCATGTTAGCCAGGATGGTCTTGATCTCCTGACCTTGTAATCCGCCTGCCTCGGCCTCCCAAAGTGCTGGGATTACAAGTGTGCGCCACTGCACCGGGCCAGCAAAGGACTTTTAAGAATTTTTTCTGCCTTACCTTGTTGAAAATCTGAAGTTTTTCTATATTTCTACATTTAATAATAAGTCTGATGTTCAAATAATCTCGTCAGAAATCTTCTTTCTTTGGCATTGACTTCATTCTCAAGTAGGACATCAACCAGTATCTTCAGGCTTGCAAAAAAACAATTTATTATCTCTGTGGGGGGGTGGGGGGGAGTCCCCAATAGGTCCAGTTGAGGTCCCTGCATCTGTGGTTTTTGTCCTAGATTAGGTTATATGAACATCTTAGAACCAACATTGGAGCCAGGAAAATGAATTGCTCTGAGTGACCTGGTTGGGAACATGTTACCCAACTGAACTCAGGTGTGCCTGCTCAAGGCAGTAAAGCCAAACATGGTCATTGGTATTGAAGTGACAGAAACTGAGACATTTATTGGAGAGCACCAAGTAAGGAGAGTTGGACAGATAATGTTTAAGACCCAAACTCCCATATGGCTTATAAGATAAGGGCTTTTAAAGATTGAGAGGCAGAGGTTATGGGCAAAGTTATAAGTCAACATAGAGGGGCTACACGTTGTTTTGACCTAAAGTGGGAGACATCTCAAAGCGAGGAACCACAGGTCCACAAGTTATAGGTGGATTTAGATTTTTTGATTTGAGATTGGTTACGGAAGTGAAACTTTGTCTAAAAATTTGGAATTAGCAGAAGATAAAGTTTGCTCTGGCTCATGAGAGTGACTTTTTTGGGCCTCCACAGGAAGAAATTTAGAACAAAGGAAAGTGGTCAGAGTTTAGTCTTCATCTCTCTCTTATTTGAGGTCTATGTGTCAACACATAAAGACATAAACCTCCTTATCTGAGATATATGTTTGGTGGGGGTCTGGGTTTTTTGAAAAACAGCTCAGGGACGTATGTTAAGATGTTATCTTCAGTTTTTATAGGGAATTATTCTTGTGACTCTGTTATATTTTGGCTATTATTTTAAGCTACTGTTATCTTTTTGTTATTTATTTTGTGGGGCTTGCTAGGTGTCTGGAATTTCCTTTGAAAAAATTCGAGATTTTTTTTTTTTTAATTTTCGTGTTTGGGAGGGGATACCTAGCACCTTCCTAAGAGGGGTCCCTGTTTCATTTCAATGTCTACCATAATTGTGGATTAGGAGTGGTGCAAGCTCTCTGAATTACGGGGGTTAAGAACAGGAAGAAATGCTTTCCCCAAAAATTGGAATTATTACTTACATGAAGAATGAATGAGTCCTTGTAAGACAAAATCAACAGATGTGATCTATGTATAAGCTTATATTATTATTTAATACATAAACCAGGAAACTTTTGAGGGTGAAAGTTTTAACAAAAACTATTTTTTAAGAGGCATTAGTCATCAAAATAAGTGAGTCTTAAACTTATACTGACTTGTAAAACAGAAGAACTAGATGAAACTGACATACAACACAAACTAAATTCCAATTGAACATCAACAGTTCAGACCCATATATTCCAAGTTAAAATAAAAGAGAAACTGATATAACAGGACTTAACGTGTTCCAAAGCCCACTGACTGGTTGAGCAACTTCAGTAGTTTACAAATTCTCACCAATCTCTGCTAGATCTTCTTTACTAACTTTTTCCCTAAAACCACTCTATATGACTAACTTCAACCTTCAAATTCCCTAAAACCACTCTATATGACTAACTGCAACCTCAAATTCCTCTTTTGAGACACTTCTGAGACTCTGCCAAAGCAGTGCTCTCCTATGTTCAACACATTTAATAAATTCGGCTTCATATGGTCAACAGCTTTCACTAATGGTCTTTGTAAGGAGACTTCATGATGCCCAGGAAAGTGCCTAGACTTTTAAAGTGAAAACATGGAGTTTGGTGTGGCTGAAGCTGAGTGAATAAGAAGGAGTATAGTGGGAAATAACGTGAGAAGGTAAGAGGTGCACACCATGGAAAGCCTTATTGGCCATTTTAAGGATTGATGTTATTGTAAGTGAAAAGTGAGTCACTGAAAGATTTTGAGAAGAGAAATGATATGCATTTACTTCATGTCAAAGGTCTTGCTCTAGCTGTTGAGCTAGGAATAGAATATAGGAGGACAAAGGTGGAAGAAAGTTGGCCAGTTAAAAAGCTATTGAAATAATCAAGGCAAGAGATAGTGATAGATCAGCTAATGTCATAGCAGTAGAGACAGTGCAAAAATATCAGACTTTGGGTATATTTTCTAAGTGTGGACCAGTGCGATTTACTAATGAGCTAGATGTGGGAATAAGAGAAAAAGAAGAGTCAGGGATGATTCCAAAGTTTATGACCACAGCAACTAGAAGGATAAAATTGCCACTTCCTTCTTGGAAAAGACTGGCACATTACAGGCTTGTGAGAGAATTTGAGTAAATTGGTTTTGGACATTACTATGGGAAGAATTGTGGTCTTCTCAAAATTCATGTTGTGAACACCTAGCTCCCCACATAAATTGTAAGTTTACGTGGATATAGGGCCTTGAAAGAGATAATTTAGTTAAAATGAAGTGATTGGGATGGGCCCTAATCCAATGACTGGTGTCATAGATGAGGATATTAGGACACAGACACACACACAGAGAAGGCAGCCATCTACAAGCCAAAAAGAGAGGTCTCAGAAGAAACCAACCCTACTGATACCTTGATCTTGAATTTCTAGTTTCCAGAATTGTGAGAAAAATGAATTTCTATTGTTTAATCCACCCAGATTGTGTTGCTTTATTATGGCAGCCCTAGCAAACTTGGGAGTCATTGTCATACAGAGGGTATTTAAGGATATTAAACTGGGTGAGGTTACAAGGAGAATGACTGCAGATAAAGAATAGAAGGTATCCAAGAAACAAGCCCTGCAAAATTTCACTTTTAGAGGCTGGAGATAAGAACAAAAATGTCTCAACAAAAGAAACTGTGAAAGAGTGACCAGTCAGGAAATTAACAGATTGAAATATCCTGGAAACCAAGTCAAGAAATTGTTTTCTATACAAAGGAGTAATTAATTAATTGTTTTAAATGCCCCTGATTGTGCAACAGGTTGAAGATTGTGAATTTTTAATTATATTCAGAAATGTGGAGATCATCGGTGACACTATCAAGGAAACTTTGATGAAATAGGAGAGGAAGTAAAAGTCTAATTAAAATAGATTTAAAGTGGAGAATGAGAGATGTGGAATTGAGACTAATTTATCTTTTTGTTTTATTATGTGCCTAGCACAGAAGTCTCATTGAATCTATATATTAGATCTTTTAAAAATAAATGTTTTTATCTGATTTCCAAATCTGCAAAGCTGAAGCACAGAGCCTTCATGGAAGTGATCTTTTAAAATACCTTGAGAAGTTCCCTGCTGAGTTTCTCAGAAACCTTTCAAAACATTAGTCATGACATGCTTTTATAGAGAAATTTACTTGTAGAGTAGCATCCCTATCAATAATGTAATATCAGAATGTGCTTCAAATTTTGTTTACTATAAAGAAGTAATAACTTCTTTAGGTAATTATTTGCTGTTTTTCATTTGATACTTTAATGGATTTCCTCAGAGCACAAATAAATTACATTAAATAATTTCAACTGAAGAATTGGTTATATAAATTAGATTTACTAGTAAATCCTATTAATATGCCTTTTTATATCAAGACATAAAGGCATTGTTTTAGAGATACAGACTTTCAAGAGAATGAAAACATTATCTAATGCCATATGGAACTTTTCTGTAACCTAGTAGCTTTAACTACATTAGGTTGTATCTGTTGGTTATTTAGTACATTTTAATAGCAATCTGAATAGTGACATTTTGGTTAATGCAATTTTCAGCTGATAACAAGTGGGTATTCTGTGGTTTATTTTTAAACTTTTTTCTTAGACGTTATTAACTCATTATTAAAAACACTTTATTTTGTAAATAAACATAGTACACATATATATTTAGGAGGTACATAAGTGATATTTTGATATATACAATGTGCAGTGACCAAATCAGGGCAATATGCATATCTGGCACCTAAAATAGTAATCATTTCTTTGCGTTGGGAACATTCAATATCCTCTCTTCTAGCTATCTGAAAATATATAATAAATTATTGTTAACTATAGTCAGCCTCTAGTGCTATAGAACACTAGAACTTATTCCTCCTATCTAATTGTAATTTTATATTCCTTAACAGATCTATCCCTACCCTATCCTCAGTCCCACTTTCTCAGTCTCTAGTAAACATTAGTCTACTGCTTACTTCTGTGAGAGCAACATTTTTAGCTTCTGCATATGAGTGAGAACGTGGCTTTCTCACTTTCTGTTTCTAGCTTATTTTACTTAACATAATGATCTCCAGGTTCATCCATGTTGCTGTGTATTTCATTCTTCCCCACGGCTAAATAGTATTCTATTGTGCATATATGCCATATTGTCTTTATCCATTCATCTGTTGATGGACGCAGGTTGATTCCATATCTTAGCTATTGTGAGTTGTGCTGTAACAAACATGGGAGTGCAGATATCTCTTCAATACACTGATTTCCTTTTCTTTGGATATACACCCAGTAGTAGAATTGCTGGACCATATGATAGTTCTAGTTGTAGGTTTTTGAGGAAATTCCATATCATTCTCCATAATGGCTGTACCAGTTTACATTCCCTCCAATAGTATGTAAGAGTTCCTTTTTCTCCACATTCTCACTACCATTTTGTTGTTGTTGTTGTTGTTTTGTTTTGTTTTGTCTTTTTGGTAATAGCCATTTTAACTGGAGTGAGATGATATCTCATTGTGGTTTTGTTTGCATTTCCCTGAATGAAATGTTGTTAGGCATTTAAAAGATAAATTTGTTGTCCATTTGTATGTCTTCTTTTGAGAAATGTCTTCTCAGATTGTTTGTTCATTTTTAACTGAATTATTTGTGTGTTTGTTTGTTTTGCTGTTGAGTTGCTTGTGTTTCTTGTATATTCTGGATATTAATTCCTTGTTGGATAAAAAGTTTGTAAATATTTTCTCCCGTCCTTAAGTTGTCTTTTCATTCTGTTGATTTTTTCTTTTGGTGTGCAGAAACCTTTTAGTTTGATACAATTTCATTTGTCTATAAAATTAATACTTAAGAGACGATTGCAAACTAAAGACGTTTCTAATATTTAAGAGCAAAAAGAGGCTATATGGTAGATGTTATTAATGTATCTTCACATTTATTCATACATTAAACATGTTTTTGTAGGTTCCTCTTTTGGGCCCTATATTATGCTGGCTATTGTAAATAAATAGGCTAAGCAAACAGGCATGGTCCCTACCTCACAGACCGTGTAATCTAATGGACGAGAAGACTAACAAATAACCAAACAATACATAATTAAAGTTTGTGATAAGCTCTACCATAGTGATAATATTAGGAGTATAATTCCTAAGGTCAAATAATAAAAATGTAATTGCTACTTGGGAAACATTTTATGAGAGAAACTATAAAAAGACTTCAGTGGTCTATAGAATGTAAAGGAAAATACTTTAGATGGCACGATCAAGAAAAATCAGAGATGATAATTAATTTGAGATATGGATGATAAGAGGAAACCCTCTAAGCAAAGAGTGGAAGACAGAGTGCTCCTAGCAAAGTCTTGAGTTAAAAAAGAGATTAGAAGCTGAAAAAGAACAGGAGCTCTCACTCACTAAGAGTGAGAGCTCAGTGGTTTGAAGTAAAATTATAAAGACAGGGAGAAAGATCATCTTTTTTGGCCTTGTAGGATTTCATGCTAATCCCAATGGGAGACCTTCTAAAGGTTTTAAACAAAGAAAAATAATGTTTTAGAAAGGTCACTCTGCTTTCTGTGTGAAAAATGAATCAGAAAAGTACAGTCAAGGAGACTGGCTGGAAGGCTCCAGAAATATTCTAAAGTAAGAAAGGGATTGTGTGGAAGAAATGGTTGTAGAAGTAAGTAGTGGACTGAGCAAATATTGGAAATAGAATTAAATGGACTTACTGATAAATTAGATATAGGAGATGTGGCAGTACACTTCCATAGGAATTACATAATCTTCCACTGAAGAATCCAGTATTTTGTGTGCCTCTCCAATGAACTGAAGAGCAGTTCTTTGCTCTTCTAGAAATATGTCTAAATAAATGAAAGCACTATTTATGATGTTGATGCTTGTTTCCCAGTTATTATGTGCTCACATTCAAAATTCCTTAAAGCATAAAAATAGAATTAAATATACAACTGAGAAATAAGGATACATCCTATTAGTCAAAAAGGAAAGGAATGCTGAATAGGAACTCTCTATAAAACACATATACATGCAAACAAAACACACCCTTTTAGAATGCAACTCTTAAAACATTTTTTTTTCACTCACAAGAAAAAATATATTACCTCAACTTAGAGTTTATTGCGTAAATCATTCATCATAGTGGCCCAAATGAAAGTCATGGCCTTCTTATAAGTAGAATCACTATTAAAAATCTCTTCTTGAATTTCAGATGTGCCAAACTAGTTTAAATATATTTAAAGCTTATATTCATGCTGTTGTATTGTAAAAAGAAAGAGTATTTCTTACTGATTACTTTGGAATTTCATTCTAGCTAAGACAGCATAGTTGAAACCAAAGAGAAAGTTTTACTTAGTCAATAAAACTGCATTTTAGCTTATTTTTAAGGACATTTTTCTTCAATTAAAGATTGAAGAGAATAAATTAGTAATTCTCTCGTTTCTCTCTCTCTTTGAAAGAAAATTTAAAAAAGCACCCCTTTTCAAGAAAATGGTGTAGGAAGGCAAAATGAATATAACTGGTACCGTTCACTTTAGTTTTGTCTTTAAATCGAATTCTTATTCAAGGAGAAAGATCTTTCTGGAAATCTGAGAACCAAATCAGTACAATTTATTCAAACATTATATGACTCTTTTAAAATAACGTAACCCAATGGAGAATCTACTTTTGTCTTTCTTTTCTTTTCCTTTCCTTTCCTTTCCTTTCCTTTCCTTCTTTATCCTTCTTTCTTTCTTTCTCTTTCTTTTCTTTCCCTTTCTTCCTTTCTTTTTCTCTCTTTCTCTCTTTCTTTCCTTCCTTCCTTCCTTCCTTCCTTCCTTCCTTCCTTCCTTTCTCTCTCTCTCTCTCTTTCTTTCTTTCTTTCTTTCTTTCTTTCTTTCTTTCTTTCTTTCTTTCTTTCTTTCTTTCTTCTTTCTTTCTTTCTTTCACAGAGTCTTGCTCTGTCACCTAGGCTGGAGTACAATTGTGAGATCTCAGCTCACTGCAACCTCCACCTCTTGGGTTCAAGTGATTCTCCTGCCTCAGCCCCCTGAGTAGCTGGGATTACAGGCATGCACCATCATGGCTGGCTAATTTTTGTATTTTTAGTAGAGACGGGGTTTGGCCAGGCTTCTCTCAAACTCCTGACCTCGTGATCCGCCCGCCTCAGCCTCCCAAAGTGCTGGTATTATAGGCGTGAGCCGCTGCGCCTGGCCCTGTCTTTCCTTTAAAAATTTGATTTTATTGAAAATAGTTTTAAATTTATTCTCAACTCATTCTCCACAAAACTTAGACTATATATAGAGCAGTTGATGACACAGAGATTTTAAAATGGCAGAGAAATAGGTGTTTATTCTAGGAAGTCTGGTGCACATTTCAAAATACCAGAAATAATTTGTGAGAAAAGTAAAGAAAATTTATTTTAAAAAATTGTTTCTGAGTGCAGAAAAAAATGTTTTCATAAAGACACACATCACAGTGGCATTCTTGTTCACCATTATTTTAACTTTCCTAAATAAAAAACAGAACAATGTATTTTTAAAAAAGTGCCAGAGCAGCAGAGGATTTGAAATAACAGATTAGATATTATTTCATTTAATACATTTTTTAAAGGCAGCTAATTCTTTTGCCCAGTTGGGGAGATGGGAGAATGGGGGGGCAAGGTGGAGTGAGGGTAGAGGTTAAGAGGGAGGGGCCTTAACCTTAAATATGGAAGAAAGGGAAACAGGATTTTTTTTTTACATCAAACTTCTCTGAAAGTGTAGTTTCAAACGTAGACATCATCATTACTCCAGAAGGTCATGGAAAGGCAAAGCATAGTTGAGCTAAACTAGCTGTGATCTCCAATAAGACTACCAATATTGTGTAAATAACACCTAGTTGACAATGAGTTGGAAGATCAGTATCATGAGTAGATGTCAATCATAGGTCAGGTTAGGATATCCAGAGAGGTTATGGTTTAGTCATCATCGAAGCATACTAGGTACACAGTCCCAAGCTCTACAGGGTTTCCAAAGCATTTAGGTAAAGAGCGAGACCAGCCTAGGAGCAAGCCCATCTCAATTCAATGTGATTAACTCTTATAGTAGCTCTGTTCCCCAGTAACAGAGGTCAAATTCTTATCTTTCGTTGTCCCAAACAGCAGGAGCTGCAGCAACTGCTTAACACTTGTTAGAAATACAAACTCTTGGATCCCAGCCCAGACCTAAATCAGAAACTCTGGGGCTTAGGGCCCAGGAGTCTGTGTTTTAACAAATCCTCCAGGTGATTGTGATGCAAGCTAAAGTTTGAGAAACACACAAGAAGAGTTTTCGACCTTAACAGCCTTAAAAAAAATACTGATTCGTGAATCCCAACCTCAGAGTTTTTAATTATTCTTAGGTGCAGCCTGGGCATTGCAATTTTTAAAATCTCTTGAAAGGTTTCTAGTGTTCAACAGGATGGACAATCATTGACAAAAGCAAGATTTGAGTCCCCAAAGGGGCATGTCACTTCAATGGGGCTGGCCTTCTAGGTCATTGTAAGCAAGTCTTTCTTTACCCATATAGCCCACACAATCCCAGTTTTCACCCTCACTTTGAAAACATAATATTGCTACAAAAACTGTGCAGAATGAAACTCTGAAATACTGTGTAATTTCTTACAGACCCAAAAAAGGAAGGTGGCAGCAAATGTCACAGGTTCCTCAAAACTCTTTCTGAGTAAGGGTTTCCTCTTCTCCTTTTTTCTTTTCGCAGAGAATGTGACTCATTCCTGTCTATTCTTGGTGTCCACATTTAAGTTCATTAATAGGTTCTCTCACATGGTGGCTTTGTGACTTTGTGGACTTTAGGGAGTCACTTTTCAGTCATATTCTATTATATATCTAGGAAATCTGGCACTAGATAAAATGATTCATCCTTCTAATTTTTTACTTAAAATATTAAATTACACTATAGTCTGTGGTGTTCTGTGACACCCATTTCCTCTCAGCGGTGACTGTGACTGTCAGCTTTTACATCCCTTATCTTTGTTCATAGTGTCCTATATATCTACAGAAAGAATATAAATTTATATATATATATGCTTTTAAATTGTCACAGTTCTACTTCTAATGCTTCATTCAGTTGATGAAAATTACCAGGTTTTATTGATCATTTTCATGATGAATGACTCAGCCATTTGTACAGATGCTTTGTTTCAAAAATACTTGTGGAAATGACATTTTGAGATAATGGGATGGCAAGCAGATATTCAGAAATATAATGGGTCATGTGTATATATAGCAGTGGCTTCTCTGGACCTTCCAGTGGATGTTTTGAGACAAGATAAATAATCCTTTGTCACTTGGATCATTAGTTCCCTTAAAAAAATCAGCTCCCTTAAAAAAAAAGTACAGTTTAGCGGCTGGGGAGTATAGATTGTGGAGCCAAACGGTATGAGTGAAGTGTGAAGCCCAGCTCTGTTGTCTACTACATCTAGTCTACTACATACAGTGTGATCTCAGATAAGCTATTTAATCATTTAATGCCTCTATTTTACATCTTTAAACTGGGAATGAAAATTATATATTCTCAGTTATGAAAGTCTTATGGATTAAGCCAGTTAACATATGTAAAGCACTTAGAACAAGGCTTTTCACATATTAAGATCTCAATACATCTTATTGTGTGTGTAAAGATCTTGCTATTCTCACATTCAGATTCACGAATCTAAGTTTTGAAAAGTTGTATTCACTGAATAGTATGAGACAAAACATGAACTCAAATTAGATTGCAATCATCTTTATATCTTGGAGAAGATTTTAAACAAATGTGATAAAACTCCTTGCTTTTCACTGTTGTATCAAAGCTCAGCTGATTTGTTCCTGTGGAGACCAGTCACTGGGATTCCTCCATGCCCTCCACTAAATCCCATAAAGATGTGATGCTCCCACAAGGCAGCAAGAAAGGAGAGGGCAAACAAAAGTATACAGTTTTGCTTCAGATTTTTACAGTTTTGCCTCAGATTTTAAGTGCTGGTTATGGACAGTGTCATTACTAGAGTAGAAATTTAAATAACAGTAATAATTGAGAATCACCTGTCCAACAAGAACAAAAATTCATGGTTGAAATTACATCGAAAGCATCAAGCCCATCTAATTATATGGAGTGCTGAAAATAATGAAAACACATTTCTTGCATGGCTTATAGCTCATAAAGCATTCTTTTTATAATAATGCATTTTATTTGTAAAATGTATTATGCTTTACAAATTGTTTTTAAATGTTATTTCATTTCAGTCACCCAACAGCAATGTGAAGGTAAAAATAAATGTCTTATACACAGAGCAAAGGACAATACCAGAACTAGACATCATACCCTCTGAGTTCTAGCCACCTTTTCAACAGAGTGCATTCATGTCATCAATTCTGGTGCTCCATAAAACCTTAATTCTACACATATGTAGAAATTTTTGGATAACCAGTCAACATTAACATTAGTAGTTTTATATTACACAGCATATGCCTTTTAATCATTTATAATTTGCTATTAAATAGTATATACAAAATACTCTGATGGTCTGAACTATTCTACTAGAACATCGGGAAGATAATTTGTATTGTACAAAGGGTTTTTTTTAAAGTTTTTGTTTCTAACATTTTTTGAAGTATCGTCAGTAGTTACATACGTTTTGTGGGAGAAAAGCATTGCTCTTAGAAGGAAAAGCATTGGAAAGTTACTGAGGATAATGGAAAACAATTGACTACACACTTCCTTCCAGAGTAACTACAATAAGTCAATTATACTGAATATATATATATATATATATATTCATATATTTATATATATAGGATAAAATGTATGTGTGTATATATATATATCTTTAGATATTTCTTACATATTCAAATATGGTACTTATTGCTTCTGTATACACTTTTAAAAGAAGGAATCTTAAAACAACTGCTATTTGGGTTTTCAGTTAATTTTGTATTGGCTTACTAATTAAATAACTATAGCATTTGAAGAGAGAGACAGAGTATGGAAAAGTGATGTTTTCTTCATAAGTATGTTGTGGGAAAAGCCAAAGAAACATAAGAAGAAGACCATGTAAAAGATTAGGAACATGTACCATATCAAGCTATTTTTGTGACTGACTGATTGGGACAAAAGAATCAGATCACATCCATGTGGGTATGGGAGGACAGAGCTGCCTTTAGGAGAACAAACATTTTCACTTTCAGTTCTACTGGGAAGAGGTTATTTGTGAGGAAGGATTAAATGGACAGAATTTAAACTATGAATGTCAAGTAAAGAAGTCGGAGAAAAAACTTAGTGTCTTTGAGCAGAGTATTGTCCAGTTATTATTATTATTATTATTATTATTATTATTTTGAGACAGAGTCTTGCTCTGTCATCCAGGCTGGAGTGCAATGGCGCAATCTCAGCTCACTGCAACCTCTACCTCCCGGGTTCAAGCAATTCTCCTGCCTCAGCCTCCCAAGTAGCTGGGATTACAGGCACCCACCACCACACTCGGCTAATTTTATTTGTCTTATTTAGTAGAGACGAGGTTTTGCCATGTTGGCCAGCCTGGTCTTGAACTCCTGACCTCAGGTGATCCACCTGCCTCGGCCTCCCAAAGTGCTGGGATTACAGGCGTGAGCCACCACACCCAGCCTGTCCAGTTATTATTAATAGGAGTAGAGAGACCTAATGTCACTGGGGATGGTGGTGAATTTCTCCTAGCTATTTAGAAAGGCTGGGTTACTAACAAGGGTTTGTTCAGGTAAGGGGGGCTGTGGATGTTTGGGCACTAGTCAAGTAGTATGGATGGTCACCAGTAGGAGAGAGCTTTGACCAACAGAAACAAAATTACCAGCATGGCAGAAAAATGTGGAAATGGGACCAAAACACCAAAGGTCTTATTTGTAGGCTCAGGAAAGAAAAGTCCCTGGAAAACACTCAGAGTTAGCTTAAGCACATTTTGATGAGGACTACATTTTGTTACTAGGATATTTCACTGGTAATTTGGCTATATTTTAAATAAATGAGACCTTTGTTTTCACGTTTGTAGAACTGTGCCAAAGGGATTTTAGATGTTAGAGTCACGCTTCCCAAAAGAAGCAAGGTAACAACTCCTCTCGGTTTCAGTGAGCTTTGTAAGTCTAGCAGGGCAAATGACATCTTTTAAATTAGCTTTCTTAGAATACAGGGCTCCAGTTGTACATAACCATTTTATCCTTTTGAAATGATTAGCAAAAAATATAGCATGTATGCTCCTCTTCAACTTACGTTTAGTGTTGTTGTGTATTCACTGTAATAAACAAAAGAATATTAGAGGTGAGAATTCAAGGCCTAGATAATTAAGTTACTTGTTCAGAGTTTAAAATTAGTTAAACTATTTTTTTTTTTTTTTTTTTTTTTGAGACGAGTCTCACTCTGTCATCCAGGCTGGAGTGTAGCAGTGTGATCTGGGCTCACTGAAACCTCTACCTTTTGGGTTCAAGCAATTCTCCTGCCTCAGCCTCCCAAGTAGCTGAGATTATAGGCATGCACCACCAGGCCAGGCTAATTTTTTTATTTTTAGTAGAGATGGGGTTTTACCATGTTGGACAGGCTGGTGTCAAACTCCTGACCTCAAGTGATCTGCCCACCTTAGCCTCCCAAAGTGCTGGGATTACAGGTGTGAGCCACCACGCCTGGCCAAAAAACACTCTATCTTAGAAAAAAGTGGTATAAAGAATTGGTTATTTAATTTTGTGACTCTTCACTAACATGAAATAATTCTAAATAAGTCACTAGGACATTTTGTCATTATTGAAATAGATAATCACTGCAATTTACAAGATTTTCCTGCTGGACATGTTTGAACAGAGAAGAAAATATATCTTCAAAATAAGTCTTAGTTTTATTTTTTGTAGGCTTAAATTAGGGAGAAGGGAGCGAGTAACCTGTACCATTATTAACTGGGACAGGCAGGGAGATGCCTAGATTGACTTTTGGACTGATGTAGCCTAGAATTCTTCTAGGGGTTTCTCACACACACTGGGGTATCTCTGGATGATTGAATCCTTTCTATACTTTATAGGGTATTCTCAGGCAATCTAGGTCAAATCGAATATCTGAAGCATAACACAAATTCTTAAAGGAAATTCAACCGCAATCTAATCAGATTCCTGGTCTTCATTTCCTAATACCATCCCCTTGAAGACTAAAATGCTAGAAAAACCTGATATATACTAATCTTTCTTACTTCTCTGCCTCCTTACCTCCCTCCCTGCCTTTTTTTGCTTCTTTCCTTCCTTCCCCTCTCTGCCTTCTACCCTCCTTTTTGTCCTTCTACAAGACTTTATTTATTGAGTAGCCACAGTGTCCTTAGATTGCTCTGGACAGATTCAACTAAATAAATTACATAATGTGTGTCACCAAGATGCCTGAATTGCCATACTAAATGACAATATTTCAACACGAAATATATCAAAAGAAAGTATGTATTAAAATAACAAATGAGTGGCATGTAAAGTTTTCTCTAAAGTCTGCCACTTTCTCTGCATCCATGCTGTCAACCTTAATTTATAATAGTATCTTCGGTAACATGAACTACTTCAAATAGTCTTTTAACCATTTTCTCTACCTCAAGGTTGAATTCTTATCAAATAATTTTCTATCCTTCTATTAGATGGCTTTAAAAATACTTAAATAATAGTGGTTAGAGTTTATTCTGCATTTACTTGGTACCAGGTAAGTTATCTTAAAAAACTCTAAGATGGAGTACTATTGTCATTTTCTTTTTCAGACACAGCCTGACACGTGGAGAAGTTAAACATTTGGCCAAATTCACCCTAAAACTAGGGAAGCTGGGGAGCAAGCCTAGGTTGCCTGACTCAGGGGCCTTTACTTTAACTGATCTCTACAGTGCTTCAAATTTAATTTTAAGTTCTACTGCTTCAAACAAAAGCAGCCCGATTTACAGAATGGTTCCCATTGCCTGTTGTTTCAAAGCCCAAATCCTTTTCATGGCTCACAATTAACTGACATCTGATTTATCCCTGGTTTACACACTCTGGTCCCTGCTTTACTCCCAGGTCTCATCTTATTTCTCTCTCATTCCAATTCCATGAACTAAATGCAGATCTGAAATGTTAGCTTCTGCCTGGGAGCTTTTGAGAATACTGTTTGCTCTAACATTCTTATCCATATTTCACAATGGCTAACAATTACTCATTATTTAGGGCTTGTTTAGAGCATTGGATTTTTCTCTCTAGGGTCTCCCCTCTTACTGGAGTGCATTTTCTGCCCTAAGTTTAGCAAAGTCCTCCTGTAGCACCACAGTGTTCTGAGTCTGCACTGTCATACAACTCAAGTTAGCTTATTTGTTATTAAGGTCAATGTCCATCATTAACACCAGATTTTTGGTTCTATGGGCATCCAAAGAGAATTAGGAACTAACCCTAAAGGAGATTGCAACTATATAGATAACAAAAAATAAAATTTTGTACTAAGTGATTTATCAAATTTTTCAGAAAAATACTGTGACATTAAATATGCCTATGAATGGGTAAGACTCATTCCAATTTCAGAAAAATTAAAATGTGAAAAAATACATTTTAGATTTTAAAAATATGGAGTTATAAATAGTTGCCAAATGTTCAGGACACTTTCTGAAAGTTTTTTTTTTTTTTTAATCTTTTAATTGTGATAGTAGCCACAACCATAATGACAAAGATGCAGGCTTAGATATTTAGGAGGTAAATAGATATTTCAGAGGTAAAAAAATCAAGCCCAAACTTCCATATATGTGGTATACATTTTTCTACAAATGTGTACTGCTATTAACATCCTGTTCTAAGTTAGTTATCTATTTTCTTTTTTAAAAAGAGTGATAAATAAGATATAAAAATATAGATGCCTGAGAATGTTGCTGATATTAGTAACCTCTAGCATTGGAGTTTTACGAAGTGCACAGAGGAAAGGAGATGAAGCTTCAAGTTCAGGACAGACATAAGGCGTATTTAGAAAAAAAAGGAGCAGAAAATAATATGCCCACGATAATCGATACTTCAGCGTTGTGGCTTCTGCTGTGACTTAAATAGATAGATACATACATACATACACATTTACCCTTGAAAAGTAAAACCAAATCTTGGCTTCACATGGGTTAGGGTTCACTTTATATGTCACACACATTGTAGGAGAGCCTAAGCTGAAATATGAACCTAAGATTGTCCAGGATTGGTAGAGTCCTGGGGTTCCAAGGATTGGTTCCAGGACTCTTGTGGATACCAAAATTCTTAGAAGTCCCTCATATGAAATGATGTTGCATTTGTATATAACCTGCACATATCTCCCATATATTTCAAAATCTTCTTTAGATTACCTATAATACCCAATACAATGCAAATGCTATCAACATCGTTGTTATACTATAATTTTATTTGTATCTTTATTGTTGTATTGTTATTTTTATTAATTTTCTTTGAATATTTTTAGTCTACTGTTAGTATCATCCATGGATGTAGAACCTGTGGATGTGAAGGTCTGACTGTGTTAGTTTGCTAGGGTCGCTGTGACAGAATACCACAAACTGTGTGGCTTTAACTCATTTTCTCACTCTCTGAAGGCTGGAAGTCCGAGACTAAAGTGTTAGCATGTGTGCGTCCTCCTGAGATATGTTTTCTTGGCTTGTAGACAGCTGTCTTCTTGCTGTGTCCTCACATGGCCTAGAGAATACATGTACAAACCCTTAGCGTATCTTTCTCTTCTTATAGAAGCACCAGTCGTATCATATTAGGACCCTACCCATATGACCTCATTTAATCTTAATTGCATCTTTGAAGTCCTTCTTTTCAAAGATAGTCACACTGGGGATTAGGGATTCAATAAATACATTTAGAGGGGACACAATTCGCTTCACAATAAAATACATATAATTCTTCTTTGAAATAAAGTAACTTCAGCACAGGCCTTAAAAATATCCATGAATTTACATCAGGCAGTTGAATAAACTCTCCAATAAAAAGAGCTACAAAACACCTAAGGAAACAAACCGAGTGAGTATGAGCAGAAACAATAGATGTCAAAATAGCTATCCTAAGGATTTTACAGATGAGAAGATAGGATATATTTAGAATATATAAAAAAAAGTTTAGTCAAAATAGGTAAACTTTAAAAGGAATGAAAATAGCAAAGAACAAGTGAGTATAAGCAAAATAGACTTTTTTTTTTAGTTTACATGATAATTTCAAACTTCTAAAAATTATAAAGACAAAAATAATATAAGGAATATCTCTATAATATTTTCCTAGATTTGTCTATTAATATTTTATACTATCTTGCATATACAAATGTAGCTCGATGATGTTACATCTCAATAAACCCATCATAAGTCAAAAATATTGTAAATCAAAATGCATTTAATACTCTGATAAACCCATTGTACATTGAAAAAAAAAGTGAATTGAACCATCATAAGCCTAGATGCTCCTTGATCTATGATGGGGTTTTATCGACTTTTCTGAGTTCAATTGATAAACTCATAGTAAAGTTGAAAAATCATAAGTCAAAACCATCTTAAGTTGGGAACCATTTGCATGTGTATATATCACGAAAATAAATAAATCATATATATATGACAAGTGAGGGAAACACAATATATGTTTCCATAATGATTAAAAATTGCTAGTATTTTTTAACCCATGAATCTTTAGATTCTAAAGCTTAAAGAATTTTAAAAAGGATAAGTGAAATTTGTTGGTAGGAATTTTAGTGAAAGTTCAGGCCACCAAAAAACTTGAAAGCTGAATGAGTAGAACTATCATCAACAACAACAAAAAAACCCTGACAATTTGAATTGCAGGGGATTCCTCAACATCAACCATGAAAATCAGAAGACAGTAGAACAACTTCCTTTGAATTCAGAGGGAAAATAATTGCTAATCTATAACTTTGTTCCCAGATAAACATCCATTTAGAATGAGGGCAAATAAAAACATTTTCAGATGAAAGAAACAACGATAATTAAAACAAAAATCTTTCCAGAGATATTCCTACTAACAGTACTTTACTATAGGCACTTGTAAAGAATACAATTAAGAATGGAAGAAAATAATCCCAGAAGGAGGACCTGAAGTATGAGAAGTAGGTGGTAAAATGTTGACAAACATGAGTTTAAACCTAAATAAATATTGACGGTAAAAAAAGAACCATTTGTAGATAATAAAAAGCAAGGCAGAACTAAAATACTGTATAGCAGCTTTATGAGATGGAAAAGGACTCCTGTAATGACTGGAATAATGAAAGAGGTATGAAAGAAGAGACCAAGGGCTACAATAAAAATGAAACAGTGGACAATACCAAATGTGAATATAAATGCATATAGATACAAATTATAGATTACTACCAAATTATATTAATGCAGTTTAAAGGTGGAAAAACATGATCTCCCAAAGGATGCAGAAAAAAAAAAATCATTCAGCCAAATTCAGCCCTCATTTGTGAAATATATATATATATATATATATATACATATATATATATATATATTTTTTTTTTTTTTTTTTTTTTGAGACTGAATCACGCTCTTTCGCCCAGGCTGGAGTGCAGTGGTGCTATCTCGGCTCACTGCAAGCTCCGCCTCCCGGGTTCACGCCATTTTCCTGCCTCAGCCTCCCCGGTAGCTGGGACTACAGGCTCCCGCCACCGCGCCCAGCTAATTTTTTGTATTTTTAGTAGAGACGGGGTTTCACCGAGTTAGCCAGGATGGTCTCGATGTCCTGACCTTGTGATCCACCCGCCTCGGCCTCCCAAAGTGTTGGGATTACAGGCGTGAGCCACCGCGCCCGGCCGTGAACTATATTTTTAAAATCGATATATAATAATTGTACATATTTATGGGATGACGTGATATTTTGATACCTGCATAAAATGTGTAATAATCAAATCTGAGTATCCATCACTTCAAATATTTATCATTTCTTTTTGTTGTGAACATTTCAACTTTCCTAGCTATTTTGAAATATAAAATAAATTATTAACTATAGTCACCTTACTGTGTTATCAAACACTAGAGCTTATTTCGTCTATTTAATTGTATGTTTGTACCCATTAACCAACCTCTCTTCACCTTCCTCCCATCATGGTTCATAGCCTCTGGTAACCATCATTCTCCTCTCTACCTCCTTGAGATCAACTTCTTAAGCTTCCACATATGAGTGAGAACATGTGATATTGTTTTTTTGTGCCTGCCTTATTTCACTAACCTGACCTCCAGTTCCAACCGTGTTGCTGCAAATGACAGAATTTCATTGTTTATGGTTGAATAGCATTCCATTAAGTATAGATACCACATTTTCTTTATCCATTCATCCATTGATGGACACTTAGGTTGATACTATATCTTAGCTATTGTGAACAATGCTGCAATAATCATGGGTATTCTTTTGATATACTGATTTCCTTTTCAGTAAATACCTAGTAGAGGGATTGCTGGATCATATGATAGTTCTGTTTTTAGCATTTGGAAAATATTCATACTCTTTTTCATTATGGGTGTACTGATTTACATTCTCTCTAACAGTGTACCAGAGTTCCCTCTCCCCATATCCTTACCAGCATCTGTTATTTTTTGTCTTTTTGATAATAGCCATTCTAACTGGGGTGAGATGGCATCTTGTGGTTTTGATTTGTATTTCTCTGATGATTAGTGATGTGAAGCATTTTTTATATACCTGTTGGTCATTTGTACATCTTCTTTTGAGAAATGTCTATTCTTGATCTGTTGTTGAATTTAGTTTGCTGGTATTGTATTGAGTACTTTTGCATCAATGTTCACCAGGGATATTAATATGTAGTTTTTGGTTGTGTCCTTGTCATAGTTTGGATATCAGGATAATGCTGACCTTGCAGAATGAGTTAAGAAGATTCCCTCCTCTTCAATTTTTTCTTTCTTTCTTTCTTTCTTTCTTTCTTTCTTTCTTTCTTTCTTTCTTTCTTTCTTTCTTTCTTTCTTTCCTTTCTTTCTGCCTGTCTTTCTTTCTTTCTGTCTTTCTTTCTTTTTCTTTCTTTCTTTTTTCTTTCTTTCCCTCTTTCTTTCTTTCTTTCTCTTTCCTTCTTTCTTTCTTTCTCTCTTTCTTTTTTTTTTTTAATAGTTTGAGAAGCATTAGTGCTAGTTCTTTAAAAATTTGGTAGAATTCAGCAGCAAAGCCATCTGGTCCTGGGCTTTTCTTTTGTGGAAGACGTTTTATTACTGATGCCATCTTCTTACTTGTTATTGGTCTGTTTAAGTTTTCTACTTCTTCCTGATTCAATCTTGGCAGGATTTATGTGTCCAGGAATTTATTCATTTTCTCCAAATTTTCTAATTTGTCAATTATAGCTGTTCATAGTAGTCTCTAATGATGTTTTGTATCCTGTGGTATCAGTTGTAATATCTCCTTTTTAATTTCTGATTGTATTTATTTGGGTCTCTCTTTTTTTTTGTCCTTTTCTAGTCTAACTAGTGGTTTATTGATTTTGCTTTTCTTTTTAAAAAACCAACCTTTTGTTTTACTGATGCTTTGTATTGTTAAGTCTCTATTTTGTTTAATTATGCTTTAATCTTTATTATTTGTCTCTGAGTAATTTGGGGTTTGGTTTGTTGTATTTCTAGTTCCTTGAGGTGCATCATTAGGTTGTTTATTTAACATCTTTCTAATTTTTTTTATGTAGCTGTTTATTGCTATAAATTTTCCTCTCAGCACTGCTTTTGCTGTATTCCATAGGTTTTGGTATGTTGTATTTCGATTTTTATTTGTTTCAATAAATTTTTAAATTTTCTTCTTAATTTATTTTTTGAGTTAATGATTGTGCTGTAAGCTTGGATGTTTGTCCCTACCAAAAATCATGTTGAAATATGATTCCCAATGTTGGAAGCAGGCCTAATAAAAGGCATTTGGGTCATTGAGTGGATTCCTCATGAATAGATTAATGCCCTCCCTTGGGGGTTGAGTGAAGGATTAGTTCTCATTCTGTTAGTTCCTGTGATAGCTGGTTGTTAAAAAGATCTTGGTGCCTCCCTCTCACCCTCTTGCTTCCTGATTTGTCATGTGATCTCTGCACATGCTGGCTCCTCTTCACTTTCTGCAATGGGTGAAAGTAGCCTGAGGCCCTCAGTAGACATAGATACCTAATCTTGAACTTTTACAAACATCAGAAACATGAGCCAAGTAAATCTTTTTTTCTTACAAATTATCCAATCTCAGATATTCCTTTATAGCAACACAAAATAGACTAAGATAGTTGTTCAGGAGTATGTTGTTTAATTTCCACGTATTTGTACAGTTTCCAAAGTTTCTTCTCTTACTGATTTCTAGTTCTTTTTTCACTGTGATCTGAGAGATACTGGATATGATTTAAATTTTTAAATATGTGTTAAAATTTGTTAAGACTTGTTTTGTGGCCAGCATATGGTCTATCTTGGAAAATGTTCCATGTGCTAATGAGAAGAATGTGTATTTGGTAGTTGTTGGATGAAATGCTCTGTAAGTGTCTGTTAGGTCCATTTGGTCTAAAATACAGTTTAAATCCAATGTTTCTTTGTTAATTTTCTGTCGGAATAATCTGTCCTGTGTTAAGAATGTGGTGCTGAAATCCCCAACTATTATCGTATTGGAGTCTCTCTCTCCCTTCAGATATAATATTAGCTTTATATATATGGGTGCTCTGTTGTTAGGTGCATATATATTTAGAATTCTTATATCCCTTTGCTGAATTGATTCATTTATCATTATATAATGACTTTATTTGTCTCTTTTTACGCTTGGTGATTTGTCTGTTTTTTCTGATATAAGTATAGCTACTCCTGCTCACTTTGGGTTTCCATTTGTGTGGAATGTTTTATCCATCCCTTCACTTTCAAGTCTATATGCGTCTTTAGAGATGAAGTGAGTTATTGTAGACAGCACAGAGTTGAATTATGGTTTTTATCCTTTAATTCAGTTTATACCTTTTAGATGGGGGATTCAATCTATTTACCTTCAAGGTTACAGTTGATAAGTGAGGACTTATTCCTGACATTTTGTTAATTGTTTTCTATCTATTTTGTATATCCTTTCTTTTTTTTACTTTCTCTCTTATTGTGAGTATATTTTCTGTAGTGGTAACATTTGACTCTTTTCTCTTTTTCATTTGTGTCTTTTCTCTGCCAGTGAGTTTTATACTTTCTTGTTTTTTCCTGATGGTAGATATTATTCTTTCGCTTCCAGATATAGGTCTCCTTCAAGAATTTCTTGTAAAGCCAGTCTAATGGTAATGAATTCCTTCCATTTTTATTATTTGTTTGGAAAAGACTTTATTTCTCTTTCATTTTTGAAGGACAACATTACTTGGTATAGTATTCTTGACTAGCAATTTTTTTTCAGCACTTTGAATATATCATCTCGTCCTCTCTAGACCTATAAAGTTTTTACTGAGAAATCCAGTGTTAGTATGATAGAGATTCCCTTATATGTGACTTGAATCTTTTCTCTTGCTGTTTTAAAAATTCTTTCTTTGTCTTTGACTTTTGGAAGTTTGACTTCTGTGCCTTGGAGAAGGTGTTTTCAAGTTGAATCTATTTGGGGACATTTGAGTTTCCTGTATCTGAATGTCTTCCAAGACTTGGGAAGTTTTCAGCTCCAATTTTATTAAATAGATTTTCTATGCTTTAAATTATCTCTTCTCCTTCTGGAAATCTCCGAATTCAAAAATTTGGGTGCTTTATGGCACCCTATATGTTGTATAGGCTTTCTGCATCCTTTTTTTTTCTTTTCTTTTTGGTCTTACTGGGTTATTTCAAAATGCCTGTCATGAAGTTTAGAAAGCCTTTCTGCTTGATCTAGTCTATTGTTGAAGCACTCAATTGCATTTTTATTTTATTTATTGAATTATATAATTCCAGGATTTCTGGGTTTTCATTTTTTAAAAAATAACTTCTGTTAAATTTCTCATTCATATCATAAATTAGTTTTCTGATTTATTTGCATTTTTTATCTGTGTTCTCTTGTATCTCACTGAGTTTCTTTAATATTATTATTTTGATTTATTTTTCAGACATTTCATAACTTTCCTTTTTGGAGGAAATTTGTTACTGGTGAATTATTGTGTTCTTTTGGAAGTGTTATGTTTCCTTGCTTTTTCATATTTTTGGTGTCCTTCTGTAGATATTTGTGCATCTAGTGTAACAGTTGCTTTTCTCATTGTTTATGGATTGGCTTTCTTAGGAAAATTTTTTTTTCTATAGATGGATTTATAGTGTTGGTTGGGTAAGGTGCTTTGGCTTTGATTCTGTGTGGAGGCAATAGTGTAGTATCCATATGATTTCTTCAGCTGTAATCAGCATGAGTGGTGTCTGTGAGTTCCTCAGTGGCTTGCACTGCACTTGTTAGAGGAGGCCGTTGTTAGGCTTTGCTGGGGATGGGAATGCCAGGCAGGCTGGCAATTGGGCACCAGTGGTAGCAGTGGTGAGCAGGAAGGCCTGTCCTCAGGCCCCCAGATGGCATGTGCAGATGCTTATAGTGGTAGGTGAGGTGGATCAATCACCAGGCTCCCAAATGTTCTGTTCAGATGCCAGTGACAGTGGGTGAGGTAGGCCTGTTCTCAGGCTCCTGAATGGTTTGTATAGGCACTAGCAGTAGTGGACAGAATGGGTGAATCTTTGTGTCCCCAGATGCTGTGTGTGAAAGCTGGTGGCAGCATCAGCCGGTAGTATGGGCTTGCCTCAGGCCCTGATGTTGTGTGGAGGCACAGGCTGTGGCAGGTGGGTAGGATTGATTCCCAGACCTACAAACAATATGGTTGGGCACAGGAAGCAGTGGGTGAGGTAGACTTGTCCTCAGGCCCCAGATGTTAAGCACAGGTGCTGGCAGTGATGACAGTGGACATGGCAACCCTGTCCTCAGACACCCTGAGGGTGTATGTTAATGGCAGTGGCAGCAAGTGGGGTGAGTCAATTCCTAGGCCCCCATAAGATTTGTGTAGGTGCCAGCAGGTGGAGTCGCCTCTCTTCAGTGTGCTATGGGTACCAGTGTCAGTGGGTTGATGTCCAGGCCCCCAGATGGCATATTTGTGTTCAGAAAGTAGTGGTCATGGCAAGCTTGTCCTCAGGATCTGGATGAAATTTGTAGGCCTGGCAATGTCAGCTGTGGGCAGGGTGGGCTTGTCATCAGGACCCTGGATGGTGCATGCAGGCACAGGTTATTGCAGATGGAGTAAGTAGATTCCCAGGGCCCTGGACAACATATGCAGAGACTGATGGTAGCAAGTGGGGCAGGCCTATCCTCGGGCCTCCAAACGGTGTGCGTGGAAGCCCACAGTGGCAGGTGAGGCAGGTTGATCTCCATTGCCCCCAGATGACATGTACCAGATGACATGGCACCAGTGGTAGCAAGGGCAGACCTCTCCTCAGTAACTCAGCTCTGTAAAGCATTTTCCTCATTCCCTGCCCTGCTTTCATGCTCAGGGCCAGAATCTGCCAAGGAGGTGCATGCAAATCATGACACCAGGAGCTGCCATGGGGATTGACCATGTTGCTGTGGTGTGCGCCCACCTGCTCTGGCCAGTGCAGCCAGGATATCCGAGTCATCCAGTGCTTCACACTAAGAGTCAAAGATCTGGCCGGGCACAGAAGCTCATGCCTGTAATGCCAGCATTTTGGGAGGCTGAGGCGGGAGGATTGCCTGAGCTCAGGAGTTCGCGACCAGCCTGGGCAACATGGTGAAACCCCATCTCTACTAAAATAATAATAATAAAAAAATTATCTGGATATGGTGGAGTGTACCTGTAATCCCAGCTGCTTGGGAGGCTGAGGCAGGAGAACTGCTTGAACCTGGGAGGCAGAGGTTGCAGTGAGCAGAGATCATGCCACTGCACTCTGGCCTGGGTTACAGTGAGACTCCGTCTTAAAAAAAAAAAAAAAAAAAGAGCGAAAGAGTTCCTTTTTTTTAGTAAACTAAAACATATGAATTAAATATTTACTTCCCAAAATCATAGGTTTTTGAAATCCTAACTCCCAGTATCTCAGAATGTGAACCTAATTTGGAAAGAAAGTTATTGCAGATGTAATTATAAAAGTTCAGATGAGATCCTACTGGAGAAGGGTAGGTCCTTAATGCAATATAACAGATGTCCTTATAAGAAGAGGAGAAGAAACACAGAAACAGAGACACACAGAGAGAAAACAGTCATATGACGATTGAGGCAGGGATTGGAATGATGTACCTACAAGCCAAGGAATCCTAAGGATTGCTGAGAAACATCAGCAGCTAAAAGAGGCAAGGGAATATTCTCTCCTACAGGTTTCATTGAAAGCATGTGCCTGCCAAAACCTTTATTTCAGACTCTTAGCCGCTGGAGCTGTGAGATAATACATTTTTGTTATTTTAAGCCACTTAATTTGTGGTACTTCGTTATAGCAGCCATAGAAAAACAGTGCACCAAGAATATAAATATTTAAATTAACCTGATAAATTGTATGTGCCAAAACCTATAAAACAATATACTTAATGCTGACATGATACAGTCATTTATTTTATGATAAAACTGCATTTTTCCCCTTACACCATGCAAAAAACTCAAATCCAAGTAGATAAAGCCACTAATGCAAAAAGAACACCTTCCAAATTCTTAGAAGAGTAACTTGAAAATATATTTAAGACCCCCCTTTAATGGTGTAGGAATAGATTTATATTTTTAAAGGCAAACACCATAAAGAAAATATAGTTATGTAAAGACATATCAATTATAACTTTTCATAGCTGCATGATTTGCAATAGCCTCCAACTAGAAATAGGACAAGGAATAATTGGACTGTGGTATTTTTATGCAATACAATATTATACAGTCATGAAAATGCATGAACTAATAATATGCTACCCTTATTAATGTGGAGGAATTTATAAGTATAATCTCAAAAGTAAACATAATTTGCAAAAGAATGCAGAGTATATAGTTTATATAGATGTTTTGAAACATTTGAAATAATAGTATATATTACTTTATAACTTATACTACAAATTTATGTAGAAAAATGCATAAGTAAATGATGGTAATGGTAAATTCATCTCTAGTAGTGGGAGTAGGGCTATGGCCAGATGAAATCTAAGGGAGTTTCCTCTATAATGCCTGATTTTGTGTTTATTATACTTTTCAGGTTCTTCTTTGTGTTATAATGATTTTAAACAATGACACATCTACAGTCCAGGTTGATTACTTCTGACCTACCTGAAATTTTAGTAATTTCACAGAATGTTTGTATATCCTTGAAGGAGATATTTTCTTGGTACCTCTCAATTTTTTTCTCCTTTCTTCTATTCAACAAATAGTTATTGAGTCTCTATTATGTGTTGGATCTAGTATTAGGTACTTAGATTTTTCCCCCAAAAGAAATAGAAATTTATTATAGATCATTATTCTAATTCCTCCCAGGTCTAATAATGTTTGATCCATTTGGCTCAAATTTGGGATGACTCCCTTTTTTCACAGAGATCTCTCTGGAATAGCCTCTCTGAGGGCACTAGACGGTAGATGGATACCTCCCACTTTAGCTCCTTCCTTTTGCCTATAGGTCACCAGCTGAAAGCTTTCCTAGCTGCTATGTTTCTAAAACATGGCTTTGTTTTATATCCCTCTGAAATGAGTCCTTACTTTTATTTATCTCTCTGAACAGAAAAACAAATAACTCCTTTATTAAAAACTTTTCTCTTCTTTTTAAATTGCCCTAAACCTGACAGACATGGAAATATACACATGGTTCATTGCTGAGGACTTTTACATGTTCAGGTAAAGCTTTTGCACCTATAGCCACTACTACAGGCTGAGTGCTAATCATTTTCCAATTCCTACCTGCTCAAAATATGTTTTATTGTAAATATTTCTAATTTCCAGGAAATCTGATAAGTAGCATTCATGCTTTTCATATTTGCTTTTTTAAAAAATGTGGCTTCCTTGTCCCATTGTGAAAAGCTAAAATGACTTGAGGAAATTCATTACTTTTTTTGTACATTCTTACTTAGCTATTTCCTCACATGACATTTGTCTTGAAATCCTCCCACATACCCTTTCAGAACCTTGCTAAGAAGGAGTTGTCATTCATTGGTCATGCAGAAAGGTTATTTGAGGCAAAATACATTTGTAATTTAGGAAAGTTATCTAAAATATATTACTTTTTGAGATTTTTCTATATTGAAGTCACAAAACAGTGGTTCTGCTCAGTCTACCATAGGAATAGATATAGGACATTATATTTAACCTTCCAAATGTATTTTTCCAGTGTTTTTGCCTGCCATTGCAAGCATCAGATGACTGGACAGGGCACCATATAATGACATCATGGAGCTGTCAGTCTTTTTATCGCCATCTGAGGCAGGCTTCCTGGACCTTGGATTAAGTGTGCTGCTCTTGTGAGGAGGAAGAATGACACCAAACAGTGGCTGTATAAACAGCTAGAGCGGAATAATCCAAAGAGGGTCGGTCAAACTCATGCTATATACAAGCACTGAAGATCAGCTTAATGAACTACTGTTGAATTAGAGTTATGGAAACTGTGTTGTCATAAGGGAAACAGAGATGGAAGACTAGACCTGAGTGTTTGTAGAAACATTTCAGGGGGTAAATTTTAAAATCACAGAGAATATAACTGCAGTGGAAGACCACAAGTTGTGTCAAACGCTAAGTGTTGTGTTAAAAGCTAAGTAAAGGGATCTGAGACAAATAATGTGGAAAGAGTCTGTAAGACTTCATTGTAAAAAAAAAAATCAAACTCATTCAGCACCTGTAGATAGGGGTGTATGTGTGTGTGTGTGTGTGTGTGTGTGTGTGTGTGTGTGTGTGTGTGTGTAGGAGGTATAATTGAGCCCTGTTCCAAAAGGTAGTTTGTGCAGTGATTATACTCAAGGTCAAAATCATTCATCAAAGACAAATGCATAGTCATTTAATTTAACAAGGACTTAAGATTACTCACAGGCTTTTTAGCTACATTGGTACTTGTAATGTTTGATTCAAACCACATTTGAAGAGGTTACAGTCATGGCTTTTTGGCTGAATGCTGCAGGTCAGCCCAAGAAAAATAGGCAAGCTAAAGCACTGGGCAAGGAAAAGGGCCCAATGGAAAGCAACAGCTAATATTCTAGACTTGGCAGCAGTCAGGAGGACAGGTGGCAAAAATCTTTCATGCTGAAAACCAGTCTGAAAGGTGACATTGAACATGGGCAATAGAGAAAGGTTTAACAGTCTGATTCCTCAATTTAGAAATGCTACTGAGAACACAATGTTCCATAGAACAAGGATCAAAATTCTCAGCTAAAGACACTTTGTATGTAGAAAGAAAAAGGGCATTGCTATAAATATCAGATGCTTTATTGCATGGCATGCCAAAGGGAAGATAACGAAAGCAGTATCATATTCTCTAACAGTGAAAATGAATCTGGGGTGAATACTTCTACCAGAATCACAGAAGTGTGGATGTTAAAACATAAATGTGGGATCTTTAGCATTTTACAAGTATAGTTGCCTTTAAAATTCAGACAAATTGTGTAGTACTGATAACATAAATGTATAATATAGGGATAAAATGTTCAGATTTTAGGACAATATTAGAGACCTTCTTCCAGGTTTCATGCAGGTGATTAAACTGCCCAAGGACTTTGAAAAGATACATAAGAAAGCTAAAGAGAAAGGGTGAGAACTGGCAGCAGTTATCTAAAGGAGGATGTAGAGAAGGAAGATGACAAAAAATTGAAGGTACTGAAGTAAACAGCCAACCCATGTAGTATTTGATGTAGAAAACTACTGAAATGTAGACTCATGGGTTGTACAGGCTGGAGAAAGGTAAGAAGAAGAAATGAGACTACTGTATCGCCAGAGCTGTAAGTATCCACGCCAAAACCCCAGACTGGCTACCCTCAGTGCCAGAAGAGGCAGGAACAGGATTTCGGATCAGTATTCAAATGCTGCAGATAGCTACCAAGTGATGTAACTTTTGCCATCAGTGTGGCTCTTTTTTATGCCTGGATATTATTTAATTTCCCTGTAACTTGGGAATATTTAGGATTTCATACACTTCTTTTTCCTTCTTCCATCATTGGCACTCGTTATTTTGCCCCGATCCTTTATGATAAGCACTTGGGTTTCTGAGTGAAATATACTGATATTCTGAAACCTGTTTTTTTGTTTTATTTATTTATTTTTTGTTTTGTTTTGTTTTGGTCTGTGATATTTCAGCAGCTTACATTTCTTCAAGGGAACTTTAGATTTCTGAAATTTCTGCTCCAAGATTTTGCCTTTATTCAATTATTTTTACTGCATACATTTAAGGTGCACGACATGATGTTTTGATATACTTATCCTGATATACATACACATAATGAAGTGATCACTACAGGCAAACAAATTAACATATCTATCATCATATAATTACTTTTTTGTGGCCAGTGTATCTAAAACCTACTCTTTTGGAAAATTGTCAGTATATAATGCAATATTTTTAACTATAGTCCTCAAATTGTACATTAGATCTCTAAATATATTCATCCTACATAACTGCAAGTTTGTATTCTTTGACCTGTATTTTCCCATTTCTCCCTTGCTCCAACCCACCCCCGTTAACCACCATTCTATTCTCTGTTTCTATGTCTTCAATTATTTTTTAAGATTCCACATATTAGCAAGAACATGAATTATTTTTTTTCTGTCTTTGGCTTATTTTACTTAGCATAATATCCTCTAGGTTCATCCATGTTGTTACAAGTGGCAAGGTCCTCTTTTTTAAGGCTGAATAATATTCAATTGTATATACATAAATTTTTAATTCATTAATCTGTCAACAGATACTTCAGTTGTTTTCAGATCTTGACTATTGTGAATAATTGCTGTAACTAATATGGAAAAGCAAATATCTTTACTAGGCGGTGCCTTTACTCCTTTGAGTATATACCTAGAAGAGGAATTACTGGGTCATATGGTAGTTTCATGTTTAATTTCTTTAGGATTTCCATACTTTTTTCCATAATAGTTGCACAAATTGAATTCCCCACCAACAGTGTACAAGGGTTTCTTTTCCTTGATGCCCTCACCAACACTTGTTATTTCTTGTCTTTTCGATAAAAGCCATCCTGACAGGTGTGAGATGATATCTTGTTGTGGTTTTTATTTGCGTTTCTCTAATGATAGTGATGTTGAGCACATTTTTATATAATACCTGTTGCTCATTTCTATGTCTTCTTTGGAAAAATGTCTATTCAGGTCCTCTGCTCATTTTTAATGAGGTTATTGTTATAGTTATTCCTATTATATGCTATTGAGCTGTGTGAGTTCTTTACATATTCTTATGTTAACCCCTTATCAGATATATGGTTCACAAATATTTGTTTCCCAACACAAGCCATTTCATTTTGTTTAGTGTTTCATTTGCCCTGGAGAAGCTTTTTCTTTCTTTCTTTCTTTCTTTTTTTTTTGATGTAGTCCTATTTGTTTATTTTTGCTTTTCTTACCTGTGCTTTTGGTGTCATATCTGAAAAATCATTGCCCAGACCAATGTCAAGAAGCTTTTCTCTTATGCTATTTTTCTTTCAGAAGATACAGTTTCAGATCTAATGTTGAAGTCTTTAACACATTTCCAGTTGATTTTTTAAAAGATAAGGGTTCAATTTTATTCTTTTGCTGTGGATATCCATTTTTTCCTATGCCATTTATTGAAAAGACTATCCTTTCTCCATAGCATCTTCTTGCTGCCCTTGTTTAAAATTAATGGACTGTACATACCTGGGTTTATTTCTGACCTCTCTATTTTGTTTCATTGACCTACATGTCTCTTTTTATGGCAGTGCCACACTGTTTTGATTACTATTGCTTTGTAGTAGAGTTTGAAATTAGGTACTATGATGCCTCCAGCTTTGCTCTTTTCATTCAGGGTTGCTTTGGCTAGTCAGAGTCTTTTGTGGTTCTGTATGTAGTGAATTTTAAGATTGTCTTTTCTATTACTGTGAAAAATGTCATTGAAATTTTGGTAGAGACTGCATTGAATCTGTTGGTCACTTTGGGTAGAATGAACATTTTAACAATATTGAAATGTCTTCCAATCCATGAACACGGGATATCTTTCTGCTTACTTGTGACTTCAATATTTTCATCAATGTTTTATAGTTTTCTGTGTACATATATTTTATCTCTATGGTTAAATTTATTCCTAAATATTTTATTTTATTTTATTTTATTTTATTTTATTTTTGGAATAGCATTCCTATACACTAAAAATAAACTATCTAAAAAAGAAATCAAGACATTGCTTTTTAAAGGGCCTGAAGGGCAACCCAGTGCCTTCTCTGGACTGGACTCCTGGAGTCTTCTTGGCATTCCTTCCCTTCTCCACGTTCCAATGAGCACACCACAGTCTCTTCTTAGACTAAGTGCAGGACCCAGACTCTTGGACTTTTTTCAGAACTTCTGTTCTATTCCTATTTGTCTTTTCTCCAGCTGCCTCTCAACCCTCCATCTGTACTGCCATCTGCTGGTTACGAACAGCCTTGTTCTTTAACAGCTTTGTTTTGGATCTAGTTAATATCAAGAAATAACCACGGTAATAATAAACAGTAAAAGATGATATATATTTAAAAATTATTGTGGACAAAACAAAAATTTTTTTATATCATGGAACTTTAACAATAAAATAAATAAAAATGCATTTGATATTAGATAGAGATAACTGCTAACAAGAACAAAATAAAAAAGAGAAAGGAGTATAAAATGTCTTGGAGGTTAAAATTTGTGATGGGGTATGTAGGGAAGATCTCTTTAAGAAAGTGACTTTTGAATAAACATTTGAGGAAGTGAGGAGCCAGCCATGTGGCTACCTTGTGAAAGACCATTCTAGACAAAGAAGAGCAGGAACAAAGGCCCTGAGGTGACAGCAAGCCTGGCATGTTCAAGACACAACAGAGGAGAAGGCATTGTAGATGGAGAAGGAGTGGTAAAGGTTGTGAGTGGTAAGAGAAGTTTTCAGAGAGGTCATTAGAACCAGTGCATGTAGGGCTCTTGTGGTCATTGTAGACATTTTGCATTTGATTCTAAAGCAGGGTTCTGGACAAAAGAAAGATATGACCTGTTTCATTTTTTAACAGTACTACTCTAGTTGCTTTATGGATAATATATTGTGTCTTAGAGATGTCAACAGATTTACTTAACCTTCTGAGACTTAAAGCCTAGGTGCCTAACCAAAAATATATCTAAACTAGTCAAATTGGTAACAAAAGTGGTTTAACCCAGAGCCAGTGAGTAAGACTTACCGACTTTATAGAATAATCATGCTTCTTAAAGCATCACAAGAAGATTGAAAATGCAACCTAAACCTAGGAGGGTAAAGTAGAATGCACAAGCCAGGGAAGCCTTACCTGAAATGCCTCTACGGCAGCAGTTCTCAAATTTCTTGATTTGGAGACTTCCCGGAACTTCTTATTCTTTAAAATTATTGAAGACCCCAAAGACTCTATGATTATGTGGGTTAAATACATTGGTATTTACCATAATGAAAATTATTAATAAATTAAGATACTTTAAAAATAGTTATATGTTTGTTCACTCAGGAAAGACAATAATAAATCCATTATGTTTACATAAATAACATAACTTTTTGAGCAGTAACTATATTTCCCAAATAAAAACTTGAGTGGGAAGAGTGGCATCATTTTACATTTATGTAAATCTCCTTGACACCTGGCTTAATACATAACAGTTGATTTTTTCTAATCTGCTTCACCATTTCTTCTTTTAAGAAAACACACACCATGTAGCTTGTGGAAAACTACACTGTATAATAAAGAAAGTTTGAGAGCAAAAAACACAGATAACACCTTTTTTGATTATTAAAATATTTTTGACCTGTGGATTTCCTGAAAAACAGGTCTCTGAACTACACTTTAATTTTTACACTCCTGTAAAAAAAGACAAGTTGTTATATGTATAAGGATCTACTTTGCTCCTTAAAACCTATGCCAGTGTCTCAGTAATAGAGGTAAGATGAATTATTATAAATCAGAATAAAGCATAATGAATATAGTAAAATTGTGCTTGGAAAAATATCCTAACCACGTGAGATTTGCACACCTAAATTGTCTTATATTGTTTAATTTGGCACATTCTTTGTTTTTCAAGTTTTATTATTTTTATTAGGAAATACAAAGAATATTAAGTTATTTGCGGGGGTTGGGGCACAATCTTTGTCTTGAAGTATAACATTTTGGCAAGAGATAGGGTGAGAAAAGAAAAATTCTAAGGAAGTAAAATGATTTGGGTAAAGACCAATTCCCTGTGAGTAATAATTGGTGAAAGATACTTTTTTCCTATTTTTCTTCATGACTTGGGACAGAGTTTTAGCCATGAGGGCAGTATTTATTATAATTCAGTGGACATGATGAGGTCTCCAAAAGTACTTAAACTAGACCTCTAGATTCAATTTAAAGTCGTATTCTAATATCTCAAACTAAAAAGAAAATTGTGACTTTTAATTCTACTTCTTTGAATTTCTGAGGCAAATTTCAACAAAGATTCAATCATATTTTTAAATTAATTCAATCTTACTTTAAAAACAGTAACGTTTGATACAAATAAATATACAATAAGGAAAAATCTCTACTTCAGGAAAAAAATCTATCAGCTACTGTTTTATAGTGATCTTAATTTCTTTTAGCACATTCAGTGGCAGAAATTATTTTATTTGATTGTGTTTTCTTTAGAAAAATATCCTTTTATTAGTTCTTGAACTATTACTAGCTTTCACAACACAAAATTTAAAAGGATTAACTTTCTAATTTGTCAAAATTATAATAATAACCCATATTTAAAAGATAATCAGAAAAAAACTTAAGATTTGGACATTGTATTTTTAATTTTTATATTACATGGTAGTTATATCATGTAGTGACTTCATTAACAGAGAACTTAGTTCAATAGTTATTTTCATTTTATGTTAATTCCTCAATTATTTGGTTTTATATTATGTAGGACATATAAGGATAAGCAGGTTATATGTAATTTTTTAATCAGCATTTTAATAAAAATAATTGAAGTCAACACTGAAAAGAAATGTGACCTACAACATATCACGGCATAGCAAAGCTTATTTTTGTAGCATGTGCCAGCAAATACAAGGCACTTGCCGTGATGCACACATACATATCTTCCTAGGCACCTTCATTCATTCTGCTCTCAAATTGTTACCTTCAACACTTCGTGCTTTCTTGTTTCCAAACATTGAGATAATAATATTAGCATGATTGTAGACCATTGTTACCAGCCTGAAAGCAAAAAGGGAATTATGAGAGTGGTTATCAAGTATTTTGGCAAGAGGAGGGGAAGCTTAGAGTAGAAGTGCCTTTGTATGTTAGAGGTGGGCCTTAGGAAGAAGAGGAGAGCAAAAGAGATAAATTTGAGTGTGGTTATTCAGAGGAGTTGATATCCGATGTCACAATGATTCTAACAAAATAGATTTCATCATAGTGCTTGACTTTGATACATTTCGCATTTATCAGGAACTGGGCTCTATCATCTACAGTTTCCCTCTACTCCATCCTTAATCCTCAACACCTGTACCCTTTTCTCACCATCTCCTTATGTTAATTTTGAGTTTAAGAATGTATTGCGGTTTTAAAATAATATTTCAAAGGGCCGGCGCGGAGGCTCACACCTGTAATCCCAGCACTTTAGAAGGCCAAGGCCGGCGGGTCATGAGGTCAGGAGATCGAGACCATCTGGGCCAACATGGTGAAACCCTGTCTCTACTAAAATACAAAAAAATTAGCTGGGAGTGGTGGTGCGCGCCTCTGGTCCCAGATACTCGGGAGGCTGAGGCAGGAGAATCGCTTGAACCCTGGAGGTGGAGCTTGCAGTGAGCTGAGATTGCACCACTGCACTCCAGCCTGGAGACAGAGTAAGATTCCGTCTCAAAAAAAAAAAAAAAATCAAATATATCACCCTTTTTTGATTACAAATAGTTTAGTAAATTCACTATGCTAATGCTTTTATTTTCTCTTTAAAGATTTGTAAAGAAAGAAAGAAAGAAAGAAAGAAAGAAATTATATTCTCCCAGTTTCTGGTCTAACATGTAAGGAGCTTGGATGTCACCACTCCACCCTAATAAATGTGGAGATGAACGAACTGAAAAATCAACTCTTCTTGGATCTGCAAGAGAAGTGAGGATTCAGGGCAAACCAGTGCCCCCAGGATTGGAAAGACAAATAGGCAAAGACAGAGAGTCATGGCTTACTGGAGTACCGATTCATGAACTGAAACATGGGAACAAGTGCTGGGGTAGGAAAAACGGAACTGTAATTGACTAATTGCTGGAAACTTAGTGTGGACAAGTATGATAGACAAAAGCTTCCGGTAGACCTAGTCATAGGGGAGCCCATACAATTTTGTGAGTTTTATCTCCTGGAAAACTACTGAGTTCTCATAGTCAGTACCTGAGAAAAATCCCCTCATGATTCCTGCGGTTGGAAGAGTAAAGGAACCATCTTGAAATATGTCAGATAATTATTTCCTGAGCAAGGTTTGCCCTCAGAAGAAAGTATTTAACTAGAGCTAACTTATCTGGGAAAAGGGAAATATTTAATTCCAGCTGGCTCTAGCCTTCCACTTGTAAGAAGAGAAATACTAAACTCAAGCCCACTCTAGTCATTAAGGGGTAAGGGGAGAAGATTGAGAAGCACTTGTGAAGTTTAGTCCTGAGACACACGCTTACTAAAAGACTGAAACCTAATCATAGGACTGTAGAATGCTTTCCCTCCCTACACTCTACCAGCACATTACTAAAGTTCTGTTTACAGCAGTATCTTTTACCCAACACATCATGTCTGGCTACATAGAAAAAATTACCAGGCATACTAAAAGGCAAAAAATACAGTTGGAGGAGACAGAGCAGTCTCCTCAGAATGAGACAGATACGGCAGAGATACTGGAATGATCAGATTGGGATTTTCAAACAACTATAATTAATATGCTAAAGGCTCTTATAGATATAGGAGACAGAACACAAGAACAAATAGGCAATGTAAGCAGAGAGATGGAAATTCTAAAAAAACCTTAAACGTTAGAGATCAAAAACACTATAACACAAATGAAGAATGCCTTTGATGGATTAATTGGTAAAGTGGACATAGAGGAAGAATCTCTGAGAATGAGGATATCTCAATGGAAACCTCCAAAGCTGAAAAGGAAAGAGAAAAAAAGACTTAAAAATGCCCAGAATATGCAATAGCCATGGGAAACTACAAAAGGTGTAAAATACAGGTAATGTGCATAACAGAATAAGAAAAAAGAGAGAAAGAAACAAATGTTTGAAACAACAATTTCTGAAAACTTCCCCAAATTAATGTCAGACACCAAAACACAGATATGGGAAGTTTAGAGGACACCAAACAGAGTAAGTGCCCCCAAGCCCACACACCCAGGTATGTCATATTCAAACTACAGAAAATCAAAGATAAAGAAAAAATCATGAAAGAAGCTAGAGGGCGGGGAAACATACGCTTAGAGGCCAAAGATAAGAATTACATCTGACTTTCAGAAACCAGGCAAGGAAAAAAACTAAAAGCAAAAACAAAATATTTAAAATATATTTAAAGTGTGAAGTTAAATATTTAAAGTGTTAAGAGTAAAAACCCACCAACCTAGAATTCCATTCCCTGAAAAACTATTCTTTAAAAGTGAGGGAGAAATAAAAATCTTTTCAGATAAACAAAAATTGAGGGAATTTGCTGCTAATAGATCTACCTTGTAAGAAATGTTTTTAAAAAGTTATTTAGAAAATAGGAAAAAGATACAGGTCATAAACTCATGTCTACATTAGAGATTAAATAATTGAAGGTAAAATAAAACTTTTATTTTTCTTATTACTAATTGTTCTAACAGATTTTGTTCCAAATAATAATGACAACAATGTATTTGATTATGTATGTTTATGTGTATATATGACATATATAATGTATGTATAATAGATTATATATATGCTTATATACCGTGAAATGAATTACATCAACGATACAAGGGATGGGAGAGAGGAATTAGAATTATTTTGTTATTATAAAGTATTTACGCTTCCCATGAAATGGTATAATATAGAGTTATTTGAAAGTGAATTTGGATTACTTGTAAATGCTTATTGGAAACTCTATGGCAACTACTAAAAAAAAATTAAGAGAATAATATATAGTTTCAACTTGTTAGAAGGAGGATGTCGAATGTTCCCAATACAAAGAAATGATAAACATTTGAGATGCTAGATATGCTAATTACCTTGATCTGATTACTATAAAATATATGTATTAAAATAACACTAAGTACCCCGTAAGTATGAATAATCATTATTTGTTGATTAAACGATACAATTTAAAAAGCAAAAAAGAAGTATAACTGATGTACTAAGAAAAGAGATAGCGTGGAATTATATAAGATACTCAAAACCACTTTTGTGGTATTTTGCCTTTTGGCAGAGAGAGTGAAAGACAAATGTAAGAAAAATGAATAAGAGCAACACAGAAGAAACAGTAACAATTATGGTAGATTTTAATCCAATCATATTAATATTACTTTGAATTTCAGTGGTCTAAGTACACCTATTAAAAGACAGAGATTGTCAGAGTATATCAATAAACAAGACCCAACTATAAGTTGTCTATAAGAAACCCACTTTAAATATAAAGACACATATAGATTAAAAGAAAATCGATGAAGAAAGGTTTGCTGTGCCAACACTAATGAAAAGAAATTAAGAATACCTATTTTCATTTCAGACAGAGCAGACTTCAGAGCAAAGGAAGTTATCATGAATAAAGAGGGGCATTACTTAATGATAAAGGGGTCATTTCTCCAAGAAAATACAACAATTCTTAATGAATATGTGCTTAATAAGTATGCATCATTGCAACAAAGTGTCAAAATACATGAGAAAAAATGTTATAAAATCACAAAAAGAAATAGAGGATTCCACTATTATAGCTCTTCTATTAGAAATGGACAGATTCAGCAGGCATAAAATCAGAAAGCACATAGTTGAACTGAACAACACTATCAAACAAATGGATATAATTGACAATCTATAGATTATTTAACTTAACAACTGCAGAATACACATTCTTCTTAAGCTTATGTGGAACATTCACCAAGAGAGATCACATTCTGAACCACAGAACACACTTTAACAAATTGAAAGAATAGAAAACAAATGGCTGCTCTAAAACTACAATTGAATTTAACTAGCAGTCAATAACAGAAAGATAACTGGAAAATCCCAGAACACTCGGAGGTTAAGCAACACGCTTCTAAGTAATACATGGGTGAAAGAAGTCTCAAGAGAAAATTTTAAATTATTTTTAACTAAATGAAAATGAAAACACAACATATAAAAATTTGTGGGATATAGTATAAGCACTACTTAGAGAAAAATTATAGCATTAAGTGTACATATTAGGAAAGAAGAAAGATCTAAAATCAATAATTTAAGATTCTCCCTTAGAAAATTAGAAAAGAAGAGCAAATTTAATTCAAAGAGAAGAAATCCAACAAAAATCAATAAAATTGAAAATTGAGAAGCAATAGAGAAAAACGAAGAAAACAATAGCTGACTTTGTTGATCTTTAAGAAGATCAATATATCAATAACCCCCTAACCAGTCTAAAAAAAAAGAGAGAAGGGAAAAAAATGACTAATAGCAGAAATGAAAGAGGAGTATTACTGTGGATTCCATGGATATTAAATGGAAGGTAAAGGAGTACTATGAAGAGCTCTATGCCCTTAGATTTGATAATTCACATAAAATTAATCAATTCCTCAAAAGACACAATCAGCAAAACTTACACAAAGAGAAATAAGTGATCTGAATAGGCTTCTATGTATTAGAATACTTAATTAACAACTTTCCAAAGGAAAAAGCATCAGGTCCAGATTGGTTCACTGGTGAATTATAAACAACATTTAAGAAAGAAATTATACCATCTCTTTCAGAATATACAATCTCTTTCAGAAGACAGAAGCAAAGAGAATACTTTCTAACTCACCTTATTAGACCAGAGTTACCCTAATACCAAGACTTGACGATGACATTACAAGAAAATACTGCAGATCAAAATCTTTCAGGAACATAGGTGCAGAAATTCTCAACAAAATATTATGGAATCCAACAATGCATGAAAAACACTACACCACAACCAAATGGTATTTATCCCAGGTATGCAAAACTGGTCCAACATTGAAAAATGAACTAATGTAATCCATCATATCAAGAGGCTAATACAAATCACATACTCATAGATGCAGAAAAAGCATTTGATAACATCTGACGCTCATTCATGATGAAAACTCCCAGTAACATATAACCTGCAGAATGAGAGAAAGTATTTGAAAACTATGCATCTGACAAAAGTCTAATATCCAGCATCTATATGGAGCTTAAACAAATTTACAAGGAAAAACAACCCCATTAAAAAGGGGGTGAAAAAGATAAACAGAGACTTTTCAAAAGAAGACACAGATGCAGCAAACAAGCGTATTTTAAAAAGCTCCATATCCACATGCTTACCTGTGTAACAAACCTGCAGATCCTGCACATGTACCCCATAATTTAAAATTTAAAAAAAGCTCCATATCATTGATGATTATAGAAATGCAAATCAAAACCACAATGAGATACCATCTCACACCAGTAAGAGTGACTATTATTAAAAAGTCAAAATGTAACAGATGATGGTGAGCTTGCCGAAAAAAGGGAATGCTTATACACTGATGGTGGGAGTGTAAATTAGTTCAACCATTGTGGAAAGCAGTGTGGTGATTCCTCAAATAGCTAAAAATGGAACTATCATTTGACCCAGCAATCCCATTACTGAGTATATACCCAAACGAATATAAATCATTCTACCATAAAGACACATGCACACATATGTTCATTGCAACACTATTCACAATAATTCCAAAAACATGGAATCAACCTAAATGCCCATCAATAGCAGACTGGATAAAGAAAATGTGGTATGTATACATGATGGAATACTATGCAGCCATAAAAAGAATGAGATCACATCTTTTACAGGAACATGGATGGAGCTGGAGGTCATTATCCATAGCAAACTAATGCAGGAACAAAGAAACAAATATTGTGTGTTCTCACGTGTAAGTGGAAGTTAATGATGAGAACACATTGACACTAAAAGGAGAACAATAGACACTGGAGCCTGAGGGTGAAGGTTGGGAGGAGGGAGAGAATTAGAAAAAAATAACTATTGGGTACTAGGCTTAGTGTCTTGGTGATGAAATAATCTGTAAAGCAAACTCCTGTGACACAAATTTACTTGTATAACAAACCTGCATATATACTCCTGAACCTAAAATAAAATTTAAAAAAAAAACGAGTAAAATAGGAATACAGGGAAACTTCTTCAACTTGATAAAGAATATCTACAAAAAATCCTGCAACTAACATAATTCTTTTTGGTAAAAACTACAAGTTTTCCCACTAAGATCAGGAACAAAGCAAGGATGTACCTTCTTACCATTGCTTGTCAACATCATACTGGAAGTACAAGCTAATGCAATAAGACAAGACAATAAAGGAAGAGGATACATATTGAAAAGAAAGAAGCAAAACGGTCTTTGTTTGCAGCCGACATGATTGCCTATGCAGAAAATCTGAAATAATTGACAAAAACTTCTGGAACTAATAAATGATTATAACAAGGTTGTAGGATACGGGGTTAACATATAAAAGTCAATAGCTTTCTATGTACCAGAAATGAACAAATGGAATTTGAAATTAAAAACACAATACCATTTACAAAACACTCCTGAAAATGAAATGCGTAGATATAAATCTAACAAATGAGAAAAATGAGAGAACATAGAAAAAGGTCTAACTAAATGGAGAGTTATTCCATGTTAACTGAGAGAAAGACTCAATATTGTCAAGATGGCAGTTGTTTCAAACAATCTATAGGTTCAATGCAATCTAAATCAGAGTCTCAGCAAGTTATTTTTTATGCTATGTATTTCAACATTTATTTTAGATTTGGGGGTATTTTGTGTGATGCTGATATTTGCTGTATGAATAATCCCATCACCCAGGTACTGGGCATAGTACACAACAGTTAGTTTTTCAACCCTTGCCCCCTCCCTCTCTCTTTCCTCTAGTAGTCCTCAGTTTCTGTTATCATCTTCATGTCCACGAGTACCCAACTTTTAGCTCTCACTTATAAGTGAGAACATGCTGCATTTGATTTTCTGTTCCTGTGCTAATTTACTTAGGACAATGGCCTCCAGCTGCCTCCATGTTGCTGCAAATGACATCATTTTATTCTTTTTTATGGTTGTGTTGTATTAAATGGTGTATACATACCACATTTCCTTTATTCAATCTACACTTGATGGGCACCTAGGTTTATTCCATGTCTTTGCTGTTGTGAGTCATGCTGCAATGAGCTACTGCATGTATCTTTTTGGTATGATAATTTGTTTTCTTTTGAATGTATCTCAGTAAAGGGATTTTGGCAAGACACACACACACACACACACACACACACACACACACACACAAACTGATTCTAAAGTTCATATGTATAGGCAAAAGAATAGCTGACATAATACTAAGAACAAAGTTGAAGGGCTGATACTACCCTACTTCAAGATTTAGCATAAAGCTATACTAATGAAAACAGTGCTGTATCGGCAAAAGAACAGATAAGTATATCAGTCGGAAAGAATGAAGAGTCAGAAGTAGACCTACATAAATATAGTCAACTGATCTTGGACAAAAGAAGAAAGGCAATACAATGGAGAAAGTCTTTTTAATAAATGATGTTGGAACAATTGGACACTTGCATGCAAAAAAAAAAAAAAACTAGATGCAGACTTTACAACTTTCACGAAAGTTATCTCTAAATGAATTGCAAATCTAAATGTAAAACATGAAACTGTAAAGCTCTGAGAAGATAACATAGGAGAAAATTTAGGTGACCTTGCTTTTGGAGATGATTTTTTAGATACAACACAAAAGTCGTGATCCATGAAAAACGGATTGGTAGGCGGGACTTCATTAAAATTAAAGTGATTTTTTTTTCTGCAAAAGATACTGCCAAAGAATAAAATGATAGGCCACAGATTAGGAGAAAATATTTTCAAAAGATGTATCCAATAAAGAATTGTTATCAAAAATATACAAAAACCTTTAAAAACATAACAATGAGAAAAGTAACAAACATTTAAAAATGAGCAAGAGATCTGAACACATACATTGCCAAGGAAGGTATACAGATCACAAATAAGCATTTGAAAAAATGTTCCACATAATAAAAAATCAGAGAATGTAAATTAAAATAATAATGAGATATCATATACTTATTAGAATAATCAAAATCCACGACACTGATAGCACCACATGCTAGTGAGGACATGGTTCGACAGGAGCTCTGATTCATTGCTGGTGGCAGCACAAAATGGCACAGCCATGTTGAAAGAAAATTTCACAATTTCTTACAAAACATAACATATTCTTACTATGCAATCAGCAATTGAGCTTCTTGGTATTTACCCAAAGTTGAATACTTATGTTCACGCAAAAAATTGCACAAAATCATTTATAGAAGCTTCATTAATAATTGCCAAAACTTGAAAGCAACCAAGATGCGCTTCAATAGGGAAATGGATAAATTGTAGCACATCCTGACAATGGAATGTTATTCAGTGCTAAAAAAAAACAATGAACTATCAAGCCATGAAAATACATGGGTGAAACTAAACTGCTTATTTCTAAATAAAAGAAGCCAGTTAAAAAGGCTACGTCCTGGATAATTCCAACTATTTAATTAATATTCTGGAAAAGCCAAAACTAAGACAACTGTAAAAATATCAGTGGTTGCCAGGAATTGTGTGGAGGAAGTGATAGGAGGGGCCACAGCATGTTCTGGGCAATGAAACTACTCTGTACAATACTGTAATGGTGAATACATGTCATTATACTTTTGTCCAAGTCCACAGAATGTACAATATCAAGAGTGAACCCTAAGGTAAACTATGGACTCTGGGCAATAATGATGTGTCAAGACAGGTTTATCAGTTCTAACAAATGTACCCCTCTGATGGACTATGTGGGTAATGGGGACGACTATGAATGTGTGGAGTAGGGAATGTATGGAAAATTTCTGTCTTTTTTTCTTTCAATTTTGCCGTGAACCTAAAACTGTTCTAAAAATGTGAGGTCTAATAATTTTTAAAAAATATTTCAAATCTGAATTAAAATACTCTAATATTCTGCTTTGAGGATTATTTTGCACATTTTCTGGGACATACAATTCTTGTTGGAAACAATCAAAGAAAGCTGAGCTTTGGTTTCCTGAATGCTATATGAGATCTGCCATCAAAATACTCTGGTTTTGATAATACCCCAGGGTAACTTTCCTATGTACTCGACTCTGTCATGTGGGGAAAGATTTTCTTGCTAACTGTACCAATAAATAATTAGACCAATAGCAAAAGATTCTGTGGAAGGTCTTAAAGAGTCTCAGCTGAGAAGAACCAACAGTTATTCTTCTGTTCCCGTAATTACTGGGGCATTGTTGTGGATCACAGAACTTGACAAGCAGTCCCTAGCTCACAGGTCATAGCTATATTTTCCTTCTGCTATGGAAATACTGAGATTTGTCATTCTCCCGTAGTTCTATTATGGTCATACTTGACATTCCCTTGTTTCCTTAGCATGCAGATGGCCATAGTACGCAACTAGGCAAATTCCCAGAAAGGGTCAGCTGTGAAAGTCCAGTTTAAGATTTAAGGTAGGTCTCCAGAGCAAGTTGGCAAGTTTAGGTAACTAATTAAGATAAGTACTGTACATGAAGAGGGTTGTTTTAAATCTATGCCTACTAAACTATAAGTTCTATGAGGACAATAACATTGCTTCTCTGTTTTCCCAAAGTATTTGACTAGCTTTACAGCACCACACATATATTTGGCACTCAGTCAATTATATTAAATGTATGAATGATTGAATAGGCAATAGATGAGTATCAGTTTGTTTCTTTGTTTTTTGAGACAGAGTCTCACTCTGTCACTCAAGTGTGCAGTGTCATGATCTTGGCTCACTGTAGCCTCAACCTCCCATGCTCAAGTGATCCTCTCACCTCAGCCTCCCTAGTAGCTGAGAGTATGTGCACACACCACCACGCCTGGCTAATTTTTTATTTTTTATTTCTTGTAGTGACAGTGTCTCACTATTTTGCCTAGGCTGGTCTTGAACTTCTACATTCAAGCGATCCTCCCACCACAGTCTCCCAAAGCGACTCAAGCAATCTTCTCACCTAAGTCTCCCTAAGTGCTGTGATTACAGGCATGAGTCACTGCACCCAGCCCCATGAGTGTGGGTTTTTATGTCTGTAGTTATTTACTACCTTCTTCCAGAAAAGACAAAAGGCAAATAAGTATTTAAGAGAAACTTAGCAAATTAGAGCTTTTGAACCCTGGGACCTGGGTTATTTGCTCTAATCCCAGTTTCATAACACTTGTCAGGTTGAGTGAAGACTAGGTCCACTGGTATAAACAGTGGGAACTCTGAGGACAGCCAATAACAGTCGAGTCAGATAAAGATGCAAAATCACAGGAATCTAAAGTAGAATAAAGAAAGTAAAACACTACGGAACCTAAACATATTTGTAGTGACAATTTTAGTGTGCTGCTCTTTGATGGCTCTTATGGCCCACTGGCTTTATTTCTCATTGTAGAATTTACATCATCTTGTATCATTATTTCAAACCCAACAGGGAAATTAGAAGATGAGCTTAAATAGCACTGAAATATTCTGAGACAAAAAAATTAGGTAGTGGCTAGACACCTATTTAAATGCTTATGCCTGGAGACAGATTCTATATTGCATTTAAATGGTACATGAGAAAAAAATGAGGAAATTTTAATGACAGAGACAAAATAGTTTTAAAATTTAAAGCAAAACACTTCTGTAATTAATACTTTTTCCTAAAATATGAACAGCATGTGAATTTAGTAAATTATATAGTTTCTAAAACTAATGCAATTTAATTATAATGCTTCCCTTTTGTGTAATACTTTGTCTTACTTTGCATATATTTCTATTACCAACTTATTGATTCTTTTTGCCAGGAAGACATTGGTTTTTAGTTTTTATTTGTTATTTTTACCTCTTACTTATATAGGCAGTTTCTCTTTTCTGAACATGTTTAAGCTTATTCCATTCCTGTAGCAATGTGTGTTCTACAATGAGGAGCCTGTTTTTTCCTGTGGGACACAAAATGATTAATGTCAGTGGAGAATAATGTATTTTCATATATCACAAATTGTCTAAGGTTGCAAGAACTCAGAATGCAATGATATTAAAGAGATACTGACAATTGGTCATTATAGATAGAAATAGTGCCTATTCAGATATACTTCCTGTGATTTCAAATAATAATGGTTTACTCTTTTTTTTTTTTTTTTTTTTTTGAGATGGAGTCTTGCTATGTCACCCAGGCTGGAGTGCAGTGGCACGATCTCAGCTCACTGCAATCTCCACCTCCCGGGTTCAAGAGATTCTCCTCTTTCAGCCTCCCAAGTAGCTGGGATTACAGGCACCCACCACCACACCCAGCTAATTTTTGTATTTTTAGTAGAGATGGGGTTTCACCATATTGGCCAGGCTGGTCTCGAACTCCTGACCTTGTGATCTGCCCACCTTGGCCTCCCAAAGTGCTGTGATTACAGGTTGGTTTACTCTTGAGGTAAAATAATATATCTTCCCAATCAGAAAACATGAAGGTTATTTCAATTTAATTTTTATAAATGTTATAAAAGAAACCAGACAAGTCTAAAGATTCGGGGCATCATATATTAATTTGTTTTAAAGATTGGAAAGAAAGATATATTTTTCTTACTCCTAGATAAAATAAATAATTTTGTTTATGAGGTACTTTCAAATAGTAATCTTTTGTATGCTTAATAATTATGAAGCAATGAGTAGAAAAGACCAAGACCAAACTGATTGAAAACGTTAACAAACATACGCATAATCCAGAAGTTTCTCAATCAGTAAATTACTAAGAAATTATTTTGTTTTTAAGGAATTAGAACAATTTACAATTTCATAATGCATGAATGTTTTCTCTGTCCCCTCCTTTTTTGTTGTTTTGGTTTCAGCATATACAGTATATATGGTCCTGAGTTACAGATATATTTTATAGTCAAAACAAAATTGGATTTTAAGAGGTATTTTCTCTTGCACTTTAGATTGCTTTATCATACCCTTAAACTTCAGAGAGAAAACGGCTCCTCCAGTCTAGCAGTTTCTTTGACTAAGCAGTCATTATATCCAATATTTGCTCTTTGCTATCTATTTTCCTCTGAAAGATATGCGAATTTACATATCTATGGCTAAAAGTACTGTTATTCGAAGACATGGTATCAACCTAAATGCCAATCAACAATAGACTGTTAAAGGAAATGTGGTACATAAACACCATGGAATACTATGCATCCAGGAAAAATAACAAGACCATGTTCTTTGCAGCCACATGGATAGAGCTGCAGGCCATTATCCTAAGTGAACTAATGCAGGAACCGAAAACCAAATACCAAATGTTCTGACTTGTAAGTGGGAGCTATGTGGGCACTTATTGAGCAAAATTTCAGGATACAAAATCAATGTACAAAAATAAGTATCATTTCTACATACCAACAAAGTCAAAGCTGAGTGCCAAATCAAGAATGCAATCCCATTCAAAATAGCCACCAAAAAAATAAAATACCTAGGAATACAGCTAACCATGAAGATGAAAGATCTCTAAAGCGAGAATTACAAAACACTGCTGAAAGAAATCAAGACGTCACAAATGGAAAATAATTCCATGCTCTTGGACAAGAATGAATATTGTTAAAATGGCCATGCTGCTCAAAGCAACTTATAGATTCATTACTATTCCTATTAAACTACCAAGGAATTTTTTTACAGAGTTAGAAAAATCTATTTGAAAATTGATATGGAACCAAAAAAGAGCCTGAATAGCCAAAGCAATCATAAGCAAAAAGAACAAAGCTGGAGGCATCATGTTACCTAACTTCAAACCATGCAACGAACCTATAGAAACCAAAACAGCATAGTACTTATACTACAACAGACACATAGAACAATGGAACAGAATGGAGAGGCCAGAAATAAAGCCACACACCTACAGCCATCTGATATGCAACAAAATTGACAAACAAACAAACAAAAAAGAAATGGAGAAAGGGCTTCCTATTCAATAAATGGTGCTGGGATAGCTGCCTAGCCATGTGCAGAAGATTGAAACTGGACCCATTCCTTTCACCATATAAAAAAATCAACTCAAGATGGATTAAAGACTTAATGTAAAACCTAAAACTATAAAACCCGTTGAGGAATACATAGCAAATACCATTCTGGACACAGGCCCTGACATGGATTTCATGATGAAAATGCCAAAAGTGATGGTAACAAAACCAAAAATTGACAAATAGGATAGAATTAAACTGAAAAACTCCTCTACAGGAAAAGAAACTATTAACAGAGTAAACAGACGACCTCCAGAATGGGGAGAAAATGTTTTCAAACTATGCATCTGAAAAAAGGTCTAAAGTTCAGAATCTTTAAGGATTTAAACAAATTAGTAAGCAAACAACAAACAACCTCATTAAAAAGTGGGCAAAGGACATGAACAGACACTTTTCAAAAGTAGACATACTTGCAGTGAACAAGCATATGAAAAATGCTCAACATTATTGATCATTAGAGAAATGCATATAAAATCACAATGAGATACCATCACCCCAGTCAAAATAGCTATTATTAAAAAGTCAAAAAATAACAGATGCTGGTGAGGTTGTGGAGAAAAGGGAACACATATGCTGATACTACACTGATGATGAGGGTGTAAGTTAGTTCAGCTATTGTAGAAAGCAGTTTGGAAATTTCTCAAGGAACTTAAAAGAGTTACTATTCAATACGGCAACCCCATTATTGGGTATATGCCCAAAGGAATAAATTATTCTACCATAAAGACACATGTAAGCATATGTTTGTTCACTGCAGCACTATTTGCAATAGCAAAGACATGGAATCAACCTAAATGCCCATCAACAGAAGACTGGATAAAGAAAATGTGGTACATATACACCATGGAATACTATGAGGCCATAAGAAGAATGAGATCATGGCCTTTGCAGGAAGATGGATGGAGCTAGAGGCTGTTATGCTAAGTAAATTAGGAACAGAAAACCAAATACCATCTGTTCTTACTTATAAGTGGGAGCTAAACTTCGTGTTCACATCGAGGCAAAGAAGGGAACAACAGACACTGGGGCCTACTTGAGGGTGGAGGGTGGGAGGAGGGTGAGGACTGAAAAACTACCTATTAAAGCTACCTTTAGAGACCATGCTTATTACCCAGGTGATGAAATGATCTATATACCAACCCCCCCATGACATACAATTTACCTATTTAACAAATCTGTAGGTGTACTCCTGAATCTAAAATAAAAGTTTAAAAAAAACTTGGTCAAAGAAAAGGAGGTATTAGGAAAGCTTCCCAGAGAAGTTTATATTTAATTTGCATCATAGAGGAGCCATAACTAAGAAAGACAAAAACAAACTAGATGGCATTTAAGTATCTAAAGTTCTAAATTTCCATTATTTTATTAACACATTAGGATGAGTGGTTAATGACAGGTAGGTATTGAATGCTTACTAATTTTCAGTCATCATGTTAAGAACTAAATGGTTTCATGTCATCCACTTGTTGTAGATTTGATTGTGTCTCCCCCAGTTCATATGTAGAATCTGTAACCCCTAATGTGACTGTATTTGGAGATAGGGTCTTTAAGGAGATATTTAAGGGAGTCATAATGTTGGGACCCAGATCCAATTCTATTGGTGTCCATATAAGAAGAGGAAGAGGTACCAGGGATTCTTGCATGCAGAGGAAAGACAGTATGAGGATACAGAATGAATGTGTCTGTCTGCAAGCCAGAAAGTGAGATGTCACCAGAAACCATTCATGCTGGTATCTTGATACTGAACTTTCAGACTTCAAACCTATAAGAAAATAAATTTCTTTTTTTTTAAGCCACTAAGCTTGTGATATTTTGTTTTGACAGTCCTAAACAGACTAATAGAGATTTTAGAAACCTGACTAATAAACCTCTAAACCACCATATGTTGTATATGCTATAATGATTCTCATTTTCAATATGAGAAATCTGTGGTTCCAACACTTTATTATCCATCACTATGATCCCTAATCACATGGATTTCAATCCAGAGAATATGACATCATAGCATATACTTGTTTTCCTTCTACTTTAGTTATTAAATTCTAATTTTATTATGTTGTGATGAAACTCTGTGATTTGAACGATTTCAACTTTGGAGAATAGTTAGAGGCTTTTAATATTGGGTCAATTTTTTACTTAGAGAGCTTGAGTGTAAGCATCTGTTAGAACAAGTTTGTTAATCATATTAATTTTTATATATCCATTTGTAGGTTTTATTTACTTTGCTTCATGTACTTCATGAATTTTGATGCTGTGTTTATTCTATGCATAAATATTCATGTCAGTTAGTTGTTTATTGTGGTGTGTAAATTTTATCACTAAAGTTTTTTTTGCTTTATTGCTCTCTGCCACAAGTTTATTTTTATCTGATAATTATATTATGACCCTACTTTAAAAAAATTCATTCCTTAATGTTTTTGCCAATATTTTATGCTTTATATATTTTCATTCACTTTAATTTAAAAGCTTTTCTCATATATAGCATCTTCACTTTTGCATTTTTAATCAATTAAGGATTAAAATTTTAACCATTTATCACTAGTGGTTTTACAGGTATCTTTGATTTAACACTTTTATTAATTTTATACTAGGATTTCTGCTTTTAAAGTTCCTGTTGCTCTTTTTTTTTTTAACATTTAACTCTGCAGCCTGTATTTTCTTGTCTTTAAAATAAATGATTGAGTGTTTTCCTTCTGGTAATTTGTAAGGTTTATGGCTGTTTTAGCACTTTTGGTGATTAACTTTAAAATCTTAAGTATATTTACCATAAATATTTGATTTAGCAGCTGTGAAGATATCTTTGGGTCTCTGCTCTAATTGAAAAATCATCCGTATTTACAGAATGTACCTCTCTGACTCTGACATCAAGAGTCTGATTATTTCTGCATTATCAAAGTTTATAACATTTATATTATTTCTTGTAACCACATTTTGCAGAATTGTTTACTTACAGCCAGTCCCTTTACCACAAGTAGGCCATCCTTCTATTTATATTTTGTGTGGTTAGAGTTCATCAAGAAATAGCTCTTTCAGGCTGGGCACGGTGACTCACACCTGTAATCCTAGCACTTTGGGAGGCCAAGGTGGGCGGATCACTTGAGGCCAGGAGTTCGAGATCAGCCTAGCCAACATGGTGAAACCCTGTCTCTACTAAAAATACAAACGTTTGCCAGTGTGGTAACCCAGCTACTTGGGAGGCTGAGGCAGGAGAATTGCTGGAACCCGGTAGGTGGAGGTTGCAGTGAGCTGAGATCACACCATAGCACTCCAGCCTGGGTGACAGAGCAAGACTCTGTCTTAAAAAAAAAAAAAAAGAAAGAAATAGCTCTTTTAATGAGGGCAGGTTTTAGGTTTCGGACTCCCTTAGTTTATATACATTTGAAACAGTCTGACTTAGGCTTCAAACTGATTAATATTTCATCAGTGCTTAAGATGTGCAAGCCATTATTTTGAGGATATTACAAATATATAGTTTAATTTCATATGAAATGGATAATGTTATTTCAAATGTTCAGATGAGAGCACTGAGATCAAGCAAGGTTAAGTAAATTACTCAAAGACACAAAACTAGAATTTTACATCCTGTGATGACAACTTGTCTGATTTTATAGTTATTAGAATTCACTTTATTTCTCTGAGGACATTGCAGGTACTATGTGTTAGTCCACTTTGCATTCCTATAAAAATACTTGAGATGGGATAATTTATAAAGAAAAATGTTTATTTGGCTCTCAGTTCTGCTATCTGGAAGATTGGACATCTGGTGAAAACCTCAGGCTGCTTCCACTCATAGCAGCAGGTGAACAGGAGCTAGGGTATACAAAGATCACATGGCAAGAGAGGGAAGCAAGATTAGGAGTGGGAGGAGGTGCCAGTCTCTTTTTAACAACCAGCTTTTACAGGAACTAATAGAGTGAGAACTCATTCATTACCATGAGGATGAGTCACCAAGCCATTCATGAAGGGTGTGTCCCTAAGACCCAAACACCTCTCATTAAGCCCCACCTTCAACATTGAGGACCAAATTTCAATATGAAATTTGGGAGGACAGACATCCAAACTATAGCATGTTGCTATAAAGGAGTCAAAATTTCCTCACTTATAGATGGCTTTATTTATTTATTTTTGCTTTACTATACCTACATTCCTTTTTAAAAATAGAGCATAATATAGCTTTTATTAATTAATAAAAATATTTTATTTCTTACTTTTTATGTTTCACTCCTTTTGTTACACTCCAAAGGTGTTTTACCTAATTTTGTTTTGTGTCTCTTTTATTAATGTATTCTGTTAACTTCTCTAATAAACTTAAAACATAACACATTTTCTCGATTTGTTTACGTAAGCATTATCTTCTGCTCTCCCCATTATGAAAGATGGGAATATTACTATCATTGAAGTTCCACATGCCATCTCTTTCTTCCTCTGCTGCCCTCACCTCCTCTTCCTCTTCTTTTCATTCCTTCCCTTCTTCCTCCTCCATCCTCTTTCAATGTCTATTAGCAATTCTTGGTATTCCTTGGCTTGAAGCTACATAACTCCAATATCTGCACGCATCTTCACATGGCCTTCTCCCCTGTTTCTCTGTATCACAAACTTACCTCTCCTTTCTCTTATAAGGGCACCAGTCACTGGGCTTAGGACCCACCCTGAATCCAGGATGATTTTGTCCCACAATCATCAGAGGAAGGATTAGGCAGCAACATCTGCTGTTCTGCAGCCTCTGCTGGTGATACCCAGGCAAACAGGGTCTGGAGTGGACCCCCAGCAAACTCCAACAGACCTGCAGCTGAGGGTCCTAACTGTTAGAAGGAAAACTAACAAACGGAAAGGACTTTCACACCAAAACCCCATTGGCACGTCACCATCATGAAAGACCAAAGGTAGATAAAGCCACAAAGATGGGGAGAAACCAGACAGAAAAGCTGAAAATTCTAAAAATCAGAGCACCTCTTCTCCTCCAAAGGAACGCAGCTACTTGCCAGCAACAGAACAAAGGTGGATGGAGAATGACTTTGACGAGTTGAGAGAAGAAGGCTTCAGATGATCGGTAATAACAAACTTCTCCAAGCTAAAGGAGGATATTCGAACCCATCGCAAAGAAGCTAAGAACTTTGAAAAAAGATTAGACGAATAGCTAACTACAATAACCAGTGTAGAGAAGTCCTTAAATGACTAATGGAGCTGTAAACCATGGCATGAGAACTATGTGATGAATGCACAAGCTTCAGTAGCCGATCTGATCAAGTGGAAGAAAGGGTATCAGTGATTGAAGATCAAATGAATTACATGAAGCAAGAAGATAAGTTTAGAGAAAAAAGAGTAAAAAGAAATGAACAAAGCCTCCAAGAAATATGGGACTATGCAAAAAGATGAAATCTATGTCTGATTGGTGTACCTGAAAATGATGGGGAGAACAGAACCAAGTTATCCAGGAGAACATCCACAACCTAGCAAGACAGGCCAACATTCAAATTCAGGAAATACAGAGAACGCCACAAAGATACTCCTTGAGAAGAGCAACTCCAAGACACATAATTGTCAGATTCACCAAAGTTGAAATGAAGGAAAAAATGTTAAGGGCAATCAGAGAGAAAGGTCGGGTTACCCACAAAGGGAAGCCCATCAGAGTAACAGTGGATCTCTCAGCAGAAACTCTACAAGCCAGAAGAGAGTGGGGGCCAACATTCAACATTCTTAAAGAAAAGAATTTTCAACCCAGAATTTCATATCCAGCCAAACTAAGCTTCATAAATGAAGGAGAAATAAAATCCTTTACAGACAAGCAAATGCTGAGAGATTTTGTCACCAGCAGGCCTGCCCTACAAGAGCTCCTGAAGGAAGCACTAAACATGGAAAGGAACAACCCGTATCAGCCACTGCAAAATCATCCCAAATTGTAAAGACCATCGAGGCTAGGAAGAAACTACATCAACTAATGAGCAAAATAACCAGCTAACATCATAATGACAGGATCAAATTCACACATAACAATATTAACCTTAAATGTAAATGGGCTAAATGCTCCAATTAAAAGACACAGACTGGCAAACTGGATAAAGAGTTAAGACCCATCAGTGTGCTGTATTCAGGAGACCCATCTCACGTGCAGAGACACACATAGGCTCAAAATAAAGAGATGGAGAAAGATCTACCAAACAAATGGAAAACAAAAAAAGGCAGGGGTTGCAATCCTAGTCTCTGATAAAACAGACTTTAAACCAAAAAAGATCAGAAGAGACAAAGAAGGCCATTACATAATGGTAAAGGGATCAATTCAGCAAGAAGAGCTAACTATCGTAAATATATATTTACCAATACAGGAGCACCCAGATTCATAAAGCAAGTCCTTAGAGACCTACAAAGAGACTTAGACTCCCACACAATAGTAATGGGAGACTTTAACACCCCACTGTCAACATTAGACATATCAACAAGACAGAAAGTTAACAAGCATATCCAGGACTTGAACTCAGCTCTGCACCAAGCGGACATTACAATAGACATCTACAGAACTCTCCACCCCAAATAAACAGACTATACTTTCTTCTCAGCACCACACCACACTTATTCCAAAATTGACCACATAGTTGGAAGTAAAGCACTCCCTAGCAAATGTAAAAGAACAGAAATTATAACAAACTGTCTCTCAGACCACAGTGCAATCAAACTAGAACTCAGGATTAAGAAACTCACTCAAAACCACTCAACTACATGGAAACTGAACAACCTGCTCCTCAATGACTACTGGGTACATAACGAAATGAAGGCAGAAATAAAGATCTTCTTTGAAACCAATGAGAACAAAGACACAACATACCAGAATCTCTGGGACACATTTAAAGCAGTGTGTAGAGGGAAATTTATGGCACTAAATATCCACAAGAGAAAGCAGGAAAGATCTAAAATTGACACCTTAACAACACAAAAGAATTAGAGAAGCAAGAGCAAATGCATTCAAAAGCTAGCAGAAGGCAAGAAATGACTAAGATCAGAGCAGATCTGAAGGAGATAGAGACACAAAAAACCCTTCAAAAAATCAATGAATCCAGGAGCGGTTTTTTGAAAAGATCAACAAAATTCATAGACCACTAGCAAGACTAATAAAGAAGAAAAGAGAGAAGAATCAAATAGAAGCAATAAAAAATGATAAAGGGGATATCACCACTGATCCCACAGAAATACAAACTACCATCAGAGAATACCATAAACACCTCTACACAAATAAACTAGAAAATCTAGAAGAAATGGATAAATTCCTCGACACATACACCATCCCAAGACTAAACCAGGAAGAAGTCGAATCCCTGAATAGACCAATAACTGGTTCTGAAATTGAGACAATAATTAATAGCCTACCAACTAAAAAATGTCCAGGGCCAGATGGATTCACAGCCGAATTCTACCAGAGGTACAAAGAGGGGCTGGTACCATTCCTTCTGAAATTATTCCAATCAATAGAAAAAGAGGGAATCTTCCCTCATTCATTTTATGAGGACAACATCATCCTGATACCAAAGCCCAGTAGAGACACAACAAAAAAGAGTATTTTAGACCAATATCCCTGATGAACATCAATGCAAAAATCCTCAATAAAATACTGGCAAACCAAATCCAGCAGCACATCAAAAGGCTTATCCACCATGATCAAGTTGGCTTTATCCCTGGGATGCAAGGCTGGTTCAACATACACCAATCAATAAATGTAATCCATCATATAAACAGAACCAAAGATGAAAAGCACATGATTATCTCAACAGGTGCATAAAAGGCCTTTGACAAAATTCAACAGCCCTTCATGCTAAAAGCTCTCAATAAACTAGGTATTGATTAGACATATCTCAAAATAATAAGAGCTATTTATGACAAACCCACAGCTAATATCATACTGAATGGGCAAAAACTGGAAACATTCCCTTTGAAAACTGGCACAAGACAGGGACGCTCTCTCGCACCACTCCTATTCAACATAGTGTTGGAAGTTCTGGCCAGGGCAATCAGGCAAGAGAAAGTAATAAAGGTATTCAATTAGGGAAAGAGGAAGTCAAATTGTCCCTGTTTGCAGATCACATGATTGTATATTTAGAAAACCCCATCGTCTCAGCCCAAATTCTCTTTAAGCTGATATGCAACTTCAGCAAAGAGTCAGGATACAAAATCAATGTGCAAACATCACAAGCATTCCGATACACCAATAACAGACAAACAGAGAGCCAAATCGTGAGTGAACTCCCATTCACAATTGCTTCAAAGAGAATAAAATACCTAGGAATCCAACTTACAAGGGATGTGAAGGACCTCTTCAAGGAGAACTACAAACCACTGCTCAGTGAAATAAAAGAGGATACAAACAAATGGAAGAACATTCCATGCTCATGGATAGGAAGAATCAATATAGTGAAAATGGCCATACTACCCAAGGTAATTTATAGATTCAATGCCATCCCCATCAAGCTACCAATGACTTTCTTCACCGAATTGGAAAAAAACTACTTTAAAGTTCATATGGAACCAAAAAAGAGCCCACATTGCCAAGACAATCCTAAGCCTAAAGAACAAAGCTGGAGGCATCACACTACCTGACTTCAAACTATACTACAAGGCTACAGTAACCAAAACAGCATGGTACTGGTACCAAATCAGAGATATAGACCAATGGATCATAATAGAGCCCTCAGAAATAATACCACACATCTACAAACAACTGATCTTAGAGAAACCTGATAAAAAGATGAAATGGAGAAAGGATTCCCTATTTAATAAATGGTGCTGGGAAAACTGTCTAGCCATATGTAGAAAGCTGAAACTGGATCCCTTCCTTACACCTTATACAAAAATTAATTCAAGATAAAGACTTAAATGTTAGATCTAAAACCATAAAAACCCTAGAAAAAAACCTAGGCAATACCATTCAGGCCATAGGCATGGGCAAGGACTGCATGACTAAAACACCAAAAGCAATGGCAACAAAAGCCAAAATTGACAAATGGGATCTAATTAAACTAAAGAGCTTCTGCACAGCAAAAGAAACTACCATCAGAGTGAACAGGCAACCTACAGAATGGGAGAAAATTTTTACAATCTAACCATCTGACAAAGGGCTAATATCCAGAATCTTCAAAGAACTTAAACAAATTTACAAGAAAAAAATCAAACAACCCCATCAAAAAATGGGCAAAGGATATGAACAGACACTTCTCAAAAGAAGATACTTATGCAGCCAACAGACGCATGAAAAAATGCTTGTCATCACCGGCCATCAGAGAAATGCAAATCAAAACCACAATGAGATACCATCTCACACCAGTTAGAATGGCAATCATTAAAGTCAGGAAACAGCAGGTCCTGGAGAGGATGTGGAGAAACAGGAACACTTTTACACTGTTGGTGGGACTGTAAACTAGTTCAACCATTGTGGAAGACAGTGTGGTGATTCCTCAAGGATCTAGAACTAGAAATACCATTTGACCCAGCCATCCCATTACTGGGCACATACCCAAAGGACTATAAATCATGCTGCTATAAAGACACATGCACATGTATGTTTATTGCAGCACTATTCACAATAGCAAAGACTTGGAACCAACCCAAATGTCCATCAACGATTGACTGGATTAAGAAATTGTGGCACATGTACACGATGGAATACTATGCGGTCATAAAAAAGGATGAATTCATGTCCTTTGTAGGGAGTTGGATGAAGCTGGAAACCATCATTCTGAGCAAACTATCACAAAGACAGAAAACCAAACACTGCATATTCTCACTCATAGGTGGGAATTGAACAATGAGAACACTTGGACACAGGGTGGGGAACATCACACACCGGGGCCTGTCGTGGGGTGGGGGGAGGGGGGAGGGATAGCATTAGGAGATATACCTAATGTAAATGACAGGTTAATGGGTACAGCACACCAACATGGCACATGTATACATATGTAACAAACCTGCACATTGTGCACATGTACCATACAACTTAAAGTATAATAATAATAATAAATAAAAATAAAAACAAACAAAACAAACAAAAAAACAAACAACAACAACAACAAAAACTCAGTGGTCTCACTGGTTCTCCCTTCCATGACCTCATAGAGTTGAACCCACATATGTCTATCTTATGGGACAGCAAGGAGCCCATGGAACTCCATGCAAATCCCTGGAGCTCTTTTGTTTTGTTTTTAAATCGAACTCCCTCCAGTCTAAAACTTAACTCTGCAACTTCCAGCTGCCTCAGCTTCCCTGAAATCTGATATCTGTCTACTCAACTCAGTGAAACCAACATGCTCTGCAGTAAGGTATTTCCTTGGGCAGAAAGTTAGAGTGATTATAGGTCTTTCTTTACTTTCTTTCTCTTAGAGATCAAATCATATTTTTAGTAGAGACGGGGTGGTGGCGGGTGCCTGTAGTCCCAGCTACTGGGGAGGCTGAGGCAGGAGAATGGCGTGAACCAGGGAGTCTGAGCTTGCAGTGAGCAGAGATCGTGTCACTGCACTCCAGCCTGGGCGACAGAAAAAGACTCCGTCTCAGAAAAAAAAAAAAAAAAGTGATCACATAATGGAAACTGTTATTTGATAAATTTTGTCTAGTTTTCTGGTTGCTTAAGATGAGAAAAATATTCGCTTTTTGATCCTAGTGTCCCTGTTATATATTCTTACCTCTTTAACATTTTTTTTTTTACTGTGTCTTCAAATTCTATAGCTGTTTACTTATGTCTATTTTCATCTTTTGAGTTTGTTTTCAATGTATTTAAATGTATCTTTCCTTCAGTAAGCCTTTTACTAAAAGACATTTGCCTGCCTCTTTTGTTGTTATGTTCACTTTGTGGGGGGTTGCTGGGGAAGTAGTATCTACGTTTTTATTTCTTTCCAGATATTTTCTGTTCATAATTAATGAGAAAGAGATTTTGTTTGGACCTCCTCTTTTTCAGACTTGTATAATGATGGTCAGAGGAATGACTTGGGCTAAATGTCCATTTGGTCATTCAGTCTTGAAACACTTTCTTATTAACTTTACCATGTTCTCTGCCTTTGTGTTCACTTTTTCCATCATATTTCCACATTTTTTTTTTAATTTTTATTTTTATTTTTGTAGAGACAGTGTCTTGCTCTTTTGCGCAGGTTAAGAGTGCAGTGGTGCAATCATATGGCTCACTGCAGCTTCAAATTCATGGGCTCAATGAATTCTCCTGCCTGAACCTACTGAGTAGCTTGGACTACAGGCACGTATGATCATACCTGGCTAATTTTTTTTACAATTTTTTTTTTGTAGAGACAGGGCTTTGTGATGTTGTCCAAGCTTATCTCAAACTCCTGGCTACAAGCAATCCTTTTGCCTTGGCCTCTCAAAGCACTGAGATGATAGGTGTGAGACACCATGCCCAGTTACCACATTTTATTTTATACATCAGCAGATGAATCACCCAGATGGTAAGTCTGTAGTAACACTTGTGTCTTACAAGTAACAGGTCTTTAGTTTGTATTTTATTCATTTCTTTTTAGCTCACATTGATCATCAGCTGCAAAGCTAATTTTATCTTCTGTTTGTTTCTCCACCCGATTCACAGACATCCAGTTTCTCTGATTTTTAAGTGTTCAGATTGAAAAGCACAATGAGCAATGCCACTATTCAAAGGAATGATAACACCAAAACTTACCTCTCTTTCTGTCCTCCTTCATTTCTACCTGCCGCGAATTCTGCAGTCAAATAACTTATTTAGTTTCCTGTGGCTTGTTCATAATCTGTCCTTTCATTTTTGAATTAAAACCTTATTGATTATGGTTTCTCAACAACTGTTTTCTTTCAATCAAATAAATCCACCCCCTATTGAGATTCATAGAGATAAGCACAATTTTTGTGTCCTTTCTTCTTTTACTAATATAGCTTGAAGATTTTTCTTTTTGTGGTCTGTGGTTGTCCATTCTCTTTTTCTCTATATATAAGATAGATAGATAGATTAGATAGATAAATGGATAAATAGATAGATAGATAGATGGACAGAGTCATTGTTGTTTTTGTTTCTTTGCTTATTTGGGTTATTTCCCTTGATTTTTGAAATGTCCAACTATTCTATGCCAGAATAAATGTGAAATTATGTTTGCACCACATGCTGCGGTGTATATAGCATGAGAGAAAAGCCAAGGTAGATATACCATATCTTAAATCATTTGACTTATTTTACATTGATAAGGTAATTTTTCTGATTCACATAGATTGGCAGATACATGCAGAAAGTAAAGTTAATTGCTTTCCTTGATTTTGAGAAATTATCTTAGCAAAGTTAAAGCCCTACTTTCAAGTGAAGAGTTTGTTTGTATATGCATGTATAAAAATGGAAATGCAAGATAAACATTGCTTCAGCTACATCAAAGAAGATGTTAATGGAGCTACCCTTTAAGGCCTTGTGCTTCTTATTTGTAGTATTATCACAGGTTGGGAATCCACTCTGATTTTTTTTGAGACATGACAAAATTGCATTAACTGTTGTATACCGAAAACTTTTCATCTCTTGAGCATTTATTAATCATTCTACTTCTGGCTAGGAAAACTAAGTTCCCTGTAGCCCTGACTCTTGGGATCTCTCAAAAGAATATTATATGAATCCTGGGTCGTTTAACTGTCAGAATCTCAGTACTACCTATTGTTAAACTAAATATCCTCACGCCCTGGTTGTGGAGATACATCCTGGTCTAAGCATTATTTTCTTCCAAGTGCCTTGTTTCTTTGTTACTTCAGAAAGGCTATAGTCAGCCACTTTGGCAACCGTATGTCATATATCTCAAATCATAAATTACCTTGATTTTGAAGACTGAGTAGGAGAGGCATCTATTCTCCTATTTTATTCATATCTTTCTTCCTAAGAAAAGCTTAATTGTCTCTAATAGGGATATCTCCAAATCAAAGTTTTATAATGCAGTGTGTTAGGCAAACAACAAGAACAAAGCCTGCAGAACATCCTTTATGCTAACACTAACAATGTATAGCTACACCATGCTAAGTGCACTGAGCAATAACAGGAGGAAGCGTAGTGAATTGGAAAGAGGTTTTTCTAGTGTTTGAAATCCTTTCCAATTTTGTTTTAATTATTATATTTCAATATAATATATTCATAGTTACTATCAGATTTCAATCAAGTCTGAGTTTACAGTGAACAAAATTTAAATAATCTTTTATTAGTTTACCACAATTAGAGACAATTGATGAATTAACAATGGGTGATATATGTTTGGATATAGAATAGTGTGCAAATTTTTGCAATCTTGGTGATATAAAGTAGATGAGTAAAAGAGGTATGATGGGAGAAGAGAAAAAAGAAGAGGGAAGTGTAGAGGAAGAACATTCTCATTTTTCATAGAAGAGCCCACAAATTACTGATTGAAGTTAATGGAACAAAAATAGAGCTATAAGAGTATAATTTAAGCCAGGCACGGTGGCTCACGCCTGTAATCCTAGCACTTTGGGAGGCCGAGAAGAGCGGATTGCCTGAGTTCAGGAGTTCAAGACCAGCCTGGGTGACACAGTGATACCCTGTCTCTACTAAAATACAAAAAATTAGCTGGGTGTGGTGGCTTGTGCCTGTAGTCCCAGCTACTCGGGAGGCTGAGGCAGGAGAAATGCTTGAACCTGGGAGGCGGAGGTTGCAGTGACTCAAGATCGTGCCACTGAACACTCCACCCTGGGTGACAGAGCGAGACTCCATCTCCAAAAAAAAAAAAAAAGTATAATTTAAGTTGTAAAAATAACCAAAATAAGGACTTAAAGGACTTAAAATGTGTATGTGTGTGTACATATATAGACAATACACATACATACGTATATAATGGTAGATTAGGAGTGTAGTGTGAGAAATTCCTCAGTTTTGCAGTAGAGAGTGAATTATGTTATTTAAAAGTGATTACTCAATGCATATATATTTAGTTATATTTATATGACATTTAAACAATGATATTGTCTAAAATTGATGCCTCAAGACATAGAAACACACACACATATATATATTTAAAGTGATGGGACCAACTGTTGAAAAGGCTAAATCAAAGGAGGCACACGGTTTTTGCCTCTGGGGGTGGGCTTTCCATAATAAATTCCTTGCGTTTTTTTTTTTTTAAGCTTGTTAATTTGGAATTTTAAGCATCTCTTCATGGTTTCATGAGTACGTGTCTTTAGCTCAGGTTGAAGTATTTAATTCTGATCTCATATCTTTTAATGTAAAAATTAGAAATCAAAAATAAGAATAGATTAACAACACATATCTTCAGGATTTTGTAAATCCAACCACCCCCTTAAAAGTGAACACACACATACTATGTAGGACATTGTCTGGAACGTGTCTTATTTATTATGATGCCATCTTGAAGTAGTGGAAATAGTGTGAACTTGGGGTTAAAGTGACCTGAGTTTGAATACTGGCTGCACCATCTAGCATTGTTACCTTCTGATGCCACCATGAAGATTAAAAGAGGTAGTTCATTTTAAATGACTAGTTCAGTGTCATATAGACAGTACCAATTAATATTAGCTTTCCTCAGCCAATGTAAAGCAGCACATAGTAAAGGAATCCAGTTGAATGAGCACCTCTCATTTAAATGCTGAAGAAAATAAATTGTATAGACTACTAGAAACCAACTTTTGGAAAATAGTAGGTACATTCATATTTTTGTCATGCAAAAACAAAGATAAAAATGCAAATTATTAGTCAACAAAACAATGTGACAGGAAAATAACAGTTGCACCTTTTTCTCTTTTTCTAAAATACAATATAATATGAATGAGAATAGGATACCTTTCTAAACATAATTTATAGCTTTGTATGAGAAAGCTCATTTAACCACATTTATTAAAATAAAATATTCAAATATGTTCCTTTCTCATTTTAATACTCAAAATAAATGATCTTTCTGTTGTGCCTCACTTTATTTAGAGAAAAACATCCAAAGGCACATTTAGGAAGAAAATTAATTATTTCACTTTGGGAATGTTGTGTTTAACATGATGGAAAGATAAATATCTATTTGGGAAGGTATTTTTTTTTATAATAAGACATAAGGGCCTAAAATAAAGTCAGAGAAAACGGGATGTAGAAAATGAGGGATCTATAGCTTCAGATAGAATCTTGTGGCACAGATTCAGAAAATGAAAAGAAATTGAAAAATCAAATGTCAGTGATGCAGGAGAATTAGAGAAACTTAGGGTCACAGAAACTGCAGGATGGAAAGATTTTTCCCAAGTAAGTAGGTAAAACTGTGAATGTGCTCAATAGTGAAGAAAAGGCCATAGTTATAACGAATCACTTACTTTTTAGAGAAGTTCTGTCAGGGTTTAGGTAAGTGACAAATGGGGCTGTGGGAGTCAATCCAGGAAACCACACACTGCTAGTGAGTTGTCCTTGGAAAGATCAAGCTCTAAAACAAAATAAAATTTAGGTAGCTTTGATAGACACATTTTGGTACAATTTGGTCTATTTTCCATAAAATCAGTGTAGTAAAACTGTGTTAGAGCAAGCACAGAGTTGTTGTTGATGAAATTGCCTTAATCTATGTCTTGGTTTTTGAATCTGCTTTAAAATCAGTCAGTGTTAAGCATGACTCCTTGAAAAAGCATCACAATTTGAACGCTGGCACCACTTTAAAAAGTAACTTGTTACTTTATCAACTCGCTGAGTTCATAATTTCAGAGTCAAGAGAGTGATTGCCAAACCCAGCAAAGATCAGAGGCATGAAGGAGTCTGCCTCAGAAGTGCCTATATACAGAACAAACCCAGAAGTGCCACTTAACTCTGCCACCTGGGCAGCATACTGCTTCAGAGCTGTGCTGAAAGACAGAAGAAGAGAAAATAAAATTGTGAATGTCATCTTTGCTTTGGAAAGCAAGGGCTAGATATTTTTATTCCGTGTTTTGCCAGAATTTTGGTGACAAAGTAAATCAATACAAATATTCTCCGGCTGGTTTCTCATTCTTCATCAGATGAAATTCAACAAATATGTGTTGCGTATCTTGCATGTGAGAAGCATTCTCACATAAATTCAATATTTTTAATTTGAGTAGCGCTATTTAAATTGTAAACTTGACCTATTTACATTTCTTTTTAACATCAGTTTTATATAGTGTATTGCTCTCTCTTTTTCTTTTCTGCATTCTTTCTACCAACCACCACACTGGTCAAAACCACCATCATCTCTCACCTAGTCTAGTAGTCAGCACTTTCTAGTTTCCAGTGACTGAAATCCAAATGACCACTTAGCTCTCCTTTCTGCTGGATTTAGCTTGGTTAGTATGCACCCTCAGAAGCTCAGATTGACATGATCTTTAGCATCAGCTTTCCCCAACAAGGGAAGATTTTCTTCCCTCAGCATCTGTATTAGCTCCTCAAAAAGAACTGGTTTTCCCTCTTTGGGTATATTATTAAATCCAGGACCAATATAATGATGAGAAAAGTGGCTACTCTGGGCATCCAACCCCTGGATAGAAAGAGTGGAATTAGCTTCAGCATACCACTTAGATTAGAAATAGGGGTGAGATGGTTCCCCAAAAAGATAAAGGATGAAATTAAAAAAAAGAAAAAGACTCACTCTACCTAAATCACTAGAGTCATACTCATTTCTTCACATTCATTTTTTTTCTCCCTTATCACTTCCTAAGCAAAGGCCTTTTTGTAAAATAATTATGACAATTATCTCAAAATAAAATAAATTTTCAAAACCTTGAACCAATAATAAGAGGCAATATGATTATATGCTCCCCGTATTTGAAGTATCTCAATGGATTCCTATTGCACTAAAAAGCTATATCCAAAATTCTGAATGTGTTTGTAAGACTTTTTTAGGGTAGTCTCTGCCTCTCCAGCTTTTCTGTGTGCCACCCCTTAGGCCCATGCTCTCCACTCAGCCATGTGGGCCTTCTTTCTGTGTCATTACAGTGTACCATGAAGTTAGCGGGTTTTTTTTAGAAATGTCTCCTAAACACATCTCATTCTTTCATTCCCATGCTTACTCTAATCCTCACTTCTCTCCCCTGAACCCATCTTTTTGCCCAGTCCACATTTACTGATTTTCAGATCTTAGAATAAAGATGACTTCTCAGGGCATTCCTTTCCTGCTGTATTAGATTCTTTTGATATATGTTGCCACAGTACTGTGCATTTCTTCCTTCTAACACTTAGTAACACTTGCTATTATTTTCTAAATGTCTGCCCCTATTTTCTTCGACAGATTATTAATCCCATGTGGTTAGAAATCAGTTCTAGTTTTTCTCACCACAATATTGTCACTGTCCAGCATAGTGCTTGGCACAGAGCAGTAGATAAAGAAATATTTGTTGTATAAATATATAGGGATCAACAGGTGCTTTTACTTCTTTGCATGTAGAACCTAGAACCGTTAGCTATGAAGGTGATGAATTATATTTGAATGATCTTACTTTGGTTGGCTTTTCCGAAATATAATTCTAATATTACGAGGTACTCCATGTGTGCAGAGCACGGTCTATAAACAGCCAGTGTATTTTCATGTTAAGTAGATGAACATATTTCATTCTTGAGATACTTTGGGAGGCTGATATTATTATTCTGAATAATTAATTTCAGTTTATAACTGAGGACTATTAAATTCTGATCTTAAAGAACTTAATTCTGGTTCCCTAGCTATTAAGCAGTGATTCGGATCCAAATTAGATTCAGACACTATCTGTTTTACTTCAAAACTTAAATGTGTTTCAATGCCTCATTCTCTGCATTGCTGGTTCCTTTTTCTAGTTTAAAAATTCTTTAACTTGGTCAAAAATTAGGCTGGGGAGTAGTATTTATGATTTATATAATTTAATTCACTTCATTTCAAAAATGTATTGAATATTCATGTTCTGTCAATCACATTGCTGAATACACAGAAGAAAACATACCTCTTACCATTTAAAAGTCTTGATTATCTTAGTTTATTTGAACTGCTAACAAAATGCCATAAACTGGGTGGCTTGTAAACAACAGGCATTTATTGCTTACAGTTCTGGAGGCTGAGAAGTCCAAGATCAAGGTGCTGACAGATGTGATGTCTGCTGAGGTCTAGTTTCCTGGTTCACAGATGGCGCTTTCTCACTGTGTCCTCATACGGTGGGAGGGACAGGCAGCTCTCTGGAACTTTTTTGTACAAGGGCTCTGACCTCTTGATCTAACCACCTCCTAAAGGCCCTACCTGGTAATACTATGACATTGGTAATTCAGTTTCAACATATGGATTTGAGGGGTAACCGTAATCTTAATCATTCAGACCACAGCAATGATATATTAGGGAATAGAGAATTAGGGAAGAATGAAACAAAAACTGAGAGGAGATAATTAGTAAGATCTTCAAGAAAGGAGAGGTCATTGATCATAAATGGCAAAAAAGGAAAGCTCCAAGTCTTCCAATAGCAGTCATTTGGAGAAGGTAGCAAAAATAACTTCAGGTTAAGATAACCATCCATAATAAGATACTTAGGAACCCGAAATATATTATAGTACTAAAAATAAACAACAGCATACCTTGGCAAGATTAGTAAGTACACATAGGTAAGTAAGAAGGTGAAAAAAATTGGGAAGATGACTCTGGTTAGTAATGGCTTAAGTTTGGAAGAAAGGAGAATCAGAAATTAAACTAGGAGGGCTACTGACAGTTATCCAGCCATGAAGTCTTTGGTCCTGGATGAGGGCAGTGGTGGTATGTCTTACAGACACGCAGACTCTGTGACTGATTAGAGTTGGAATTAAAGAATAAAATGGGATAAAAAAAGGTGTTTGGAAAATTGTTTTTGCTTAAACTCTATAGAAATATGTGTGCTATGAACAGAAATGTGGAAATTAAATGATGAAACTTGGGTAAGTGCAAGGGTTGTTAAACTCAAATGTTTTCAAGAACCAGTCAAGCAGTAGGCAGGCATAAAGCAGGCTGAGGGAAGGAGGAAAGAGAATGATGGGAGGCAAGGAGGAGCCAGTTGATATTCAGCTTCAGCCATTGGGAGATAGAAGTAATCAGATCATCTGACTTGCCAAGAGAACCTAAAAATTCAGAGATACTCTCACTTTAACTGTTGGTAAATAATTCATTTTTTAAAATGTTAACACTGTGTGCTCCAAATAAAGTATTTCCATGTGCTTTAGGTAAGCTTTGGGGAATGGTTAATGATATCTGGCCAGGAAACAAAGGCCTTTGGTTAGGTTCTATGGCATTACTATTAATTCAGTGGTTTTCAGGCGTCGCTCTTGATGGGACTCAATGAATTCCTATTTCACAACTCAAGAAAGCAAGAACAAAGGAAAACAAAACCATTTACATGCTTTTTTCTTGTCCTTTGAAGTTCTGAAATATATTGCAGTTTTGAGTGGCTTTCTAAGCCTTTGTATACAATCTCAAATGGACTATATTATACAACCTAAGTTACTCAGACATCTATTTTTTGATATTTTTGATACAAATTCAGTAACAGCTTTGATATGTATGTTTTGTGATGATCTGCTGTATACATTTAGTATGCTTTCTTTAAATGTCTGAAAATACAAATCCATGTTATATAAGGGATACTATTTTGTAGAAATATTCAAGTAGAAACAAATATAGCACATCCTCTGGAAAAAAAATGTATTTACTAAGCAAACATTTCTTTCATAGAAAGTATTAAAAGATGAACTGGTTTGCATGTTAAAAGAAATGGCTTCCTTTTTATATATTAATGGAAAATCTGAAAGATATACATTTGAGGGAAGAAATACAATGACTTTAAGATCATTGATTTGAAAATCCTGTATCTCTCTTTCTGTTAAGTCCATATTTAAAAATGATAGTTTCACCATATGTCTTATTAGAATCTCTTGACTAATTTACACTACCTTTTAAATGTAGCTGCAACTTTAGGGACATATGGTTGTTATGGGGTGGAAGAAATTACTCCCTATTTTTATGCCCTTCCTTCAAATTTGGGATGGATCAAAGAGAAACATAAGCAACAATAATAATTATGCCAGTAGCAATGCCTCTTAATCTTTTCCGTCAAGAAATGCAAGACTACGGAGACAAATGCACATCTCTGAAAATTTCTTTGAAGTTTTATCACAAAATGTGATATTTTACAATCTGCTCTATAATATAAATACTTTATTATCTTAAATGAGTTACCATAAAAACAATAAAGTTTCCTATCCATCTCAGGGAGTTATAGAACAAGGTTTTTCCTGTAGTTAGAACAGGGAGTCAAACATCCTGGGTTCAATTTTGTCTTCACCACTTACAGTCTTGGGCAAGCCACTTACACAATTGGGAATGAAATAGTATGTCCTACATACAGTTGTTCTCCCTTATATAATTAGGAAGAAAGCAGCACTTACTACATAGCAAGTGTTGCTCTGAAGTTTCACTGTAACGTCACATGCAGAACTTAGCCTATTGCCTAGAACAATATTAAACCCCCCTGTATGGATCAGGCAATATTTTATGTGAATTTCAGGCAACTGAATTTTCATTTCATATCATTTGCAGCTTCTTGGAAATTCCTACTATCTATCTAGGTATCATACTATTTTAAGAGTTTTGATGTATATACATGTATGGATTCAAATTATATCATATTTTCACTGATTAATGAATATCTCATAGTAATCACTGAAGAGAAGTATTCAGCATAGCATTTACCAAAGGATAGGGTAAAGCAATATTTTTAGGTTACTGCTGAAAATATCATTAGAAATATCTTCCTTTCGAGAGTAGAGTCGCACATATATATGAGAGTAAAATGGTTTTTGAGCAACCAGTTAGTATTTTCTATTGGTCAAAGGAAATCCCAGCTCAAGTGCTTTCCTCAACTAAATCAGATTACTAATTATGCCTTTTTTAATGTGTAGATTAATATACTCAAATTACTTATACCACTGCAAGAAGCTTTCTAGATTGAAATCTAAAATTCTGTCTTCACTGGAGTGGTCTTGTTAAGTGTACTTAAAAAAGAAAAGAGAAGAATATTATTATAATGCCTTGTAGTGTTAATGGAAATTCAGTCTTAAAAAATTCTGCTGAGTTTGTCAACTATGGACCATTCTTCACTCTTAAAAACGCATGGAATTACTCACCTCCTATAGCTCTTACCCCTTTGTGCTGACTATTTTCTCCCACGGAGACAGATATTAATTCAACCTTGAGTTTAAAAACTCTTACCAGCAACTTCCCTGCCAACCTATCAGAGCACAGCAAGATCTCAAGGTTACTGCTTATGTAATTACAAAAGATCTTATTACGTATAATAAAAGTTACTGTTTTCAGCATTCCTTTTGACTCACTGAAACAAATCAAGAGGTGAATATATTGAAGTGAGTTATTTTTAGTGAAGGTGGAATTTGAGCATTCAAGGTATGTACTTTAATTCATTTACTCTATATTTTTTCTATTTATTCAAGTCAATTCAATAAATATTTATTGAATAGCAACCATGTTTTAGAAATCGTCCTAAGGAATATTCTGATTTATTAAAGACAATTTATTAAATATTTTGCCACCATTTTTCAACTTTTTGTTAACCACCAAGCATTCTACAGATTCCGTTTTCTCAGACATCATCATGGTAAATATATGAAGCTAGTCCTGACAAAACCCTGGGTTAAATTCAGCCTATGTGCTGTTATTTTATACAAATCTTTTGCACATGCCTACATGCCCCTTTTGCTCATATCACTCATGTAGGCTGTAAAGGGGCCTGTGTTTAGCTTGTTTATTGAAAAAGATACTTAACGTTTTCAATCTCAGACAGAGGTGACTATCTGTAATTCAAGGAGTCATGAAAGCACCTTCTAGTGTGACTCTCCAAGGTGATTGTAAGTGATTGCTATGACTGTCTTTCTTTTCAAGGTGATTCTGCAAGTGATTGCAAAGGGCACATAAGCAAATTACTGCTTGCTGGTTTATCTACATTTGTCATTTTCTTACTTTCCGTGTAGATGTCTTGTTTGTAGGTGCAAAATATTTTCTGGTAATTATTCTTTAAAATTTTATGATTTTTAAAAATTGATCATTTATAAAGTCTTATAGCATTATCTTTGAAATGGAAATGAGCATGCTTGAAAAAATATTCAAATACTATAAAAGGATATATGACTCAAAGTAAGTCTTCTTCCTACTCTGACTTCTTGCCTCCCAGTTCTTTGCTCCCCAAAGCAACTCCCGTTACTAGCTACTTGTTTTCGGTTTCAGAGATAATCCATACATTTATGAATATATAGGTATCTTTATTTTTATCTCTGTCTCTCTGTCTCTTTTCAATATATAAAGGGAAAGGCATAAGGCATAAGTACTTACTTACTATACAAATATATGTATTTCTCCCTTTTTTTCTCCCCATAGGTTCTGTAACATATACACTATAGTTTCTCCTTGACCTTTTTAAAAATTGGCAGCATATTTTAAAAGGTCTAATCTTTAAAAAAATGTATATATTAGTATTGTTGCAAAAATAATAGTTTCACAAAATGTTTGACTTGCTTCAGTTTCCTTTCTTATCAAGTTTTACACATACATAAATTTCAAACAATAAGAATAATATTTTAAATATACATCCTGGTATAGTTTTGATTTTCTAAATTTACTGCTGATTTTTACAACCATCTACTCATTGTAATTAGATGAGTGCTTATATCATTTTCTGTTTTACTCACAGTCAGCCTCTGGAAGTATGCTATGACTATTGTAATACTTCATGGGTGTTTCTAAATACCCTTCATAATTTTGTGCATATTCATTGCTTATGATTTGCTGTGCTTAAAATTTTCTATTTTAAACCACCTATCCATACTTTTGGTTGAAAATATAATAGCACTAAAATCAGAAAAGAAAAAAATTGATACATGTTAACTTTTATTATTATCAATAAATTCATGATGATAAGAGGTAAAACTAAATGAAATTTTAAAACTGCATTTAAAAATTGTTTTAAAACATGCTACATGAAATCAAACTCCTATATGATAATCAGTGGTTTTATTCTGAAGGCAACTTTTTTTATTGCTTCATAAGGAGATAAACTTTATACCCTTCAGATCGGGAAAATGGTGGATAGGAGGTAGGACTAACTTGCAGCTCCCACTCGGATGGACAGAACAGTGGGTGGAGACTCACATTATGAGCTTTTGCTCCAAGAACTACCACAGGAACATACCAGTAAAACCAAAAGAATTCACAGACCCTTTGAAAGAAGCAGCTTGTTGCTGCAAACTCCGAGAGACAGCTGAAAAGCTGTGAGTGCCCAAAATGTGAGATGGGGAAAGTCTACCTCTGAACACACATCCTCACCCCAATTCATTTCAGCTCTAGATAAGGTTAAATTTTTCTAGGTAAGGTTAAATCCTTCTAGGTTAAATCCTTCATGAGAGAGAAGGATTTAACCTTACCTAGAGCTGAAATGAATTTAGAGAGCTGAAAGGAATATAAAAGTAGAAGCAGCAGCAGGAAGAGCCCTGTAGGCACTTCTGGCCCCTAAGGAAGCCCAGGGAACCCATTTCTGACTTTATTTCACAGGTGTCCTTGGGGAGGGCTGCCAGTGGAATTGGGGAAAGGCCACAGGGAGAAGAAAACATCTGGCTTTTTGTAATTTTGTAATAATTTCAACAGAGTGCAAATTTTCCAGGGCAGAACTGGGGGGTTGGGGTGAAGGGAGAGAGCACAGAAAGCATTGTGGGGAGGGGCGAAGCCTGAAATCCTGCTTGTTTTCTCAGCAGGGAGGCTTGTAGCCTGGGGCAAGTTCCCAGCTCCACTCACTGGCTGCCTGCATATAAACTCGGTGCTGTTGAGGGAGCATGGCAGTCCACCTCACTCCCCTCCTGCTACCTCCACTGGAGCAGGTGCTGGTATCCACGGCTGAGGGACCTGAAGATTGATCATATCACAGGACTCTGCAGACACTTCCCAGTACCAGCCCAGAGCCTGGTAGCTCCACTGGGTGGCTAGACACAGAAATAACAATCACTGCAGTCCAGCTCTCAGGAAGCCCCATTCCTAGGGGAAGAGGGAGAGCACCACATCAAATAAACACATATTGGACAAAAGAACTGAGATCTTTTCTCTGTCATAATCTACCCAAATGAGAAGGAGTCAGAAAAACAATTCCTGTGCTATGACAAAACAAGGTTCTTTAACAACCCCAGAAGATCACACTAGCTCACCAGCAATTGATTTAAACCAAGATGAAGTATCTGAATTGCCAGAAAAAGAATTCAGAAGGTCAATTTTTAAGCTACTCAAGGAGGCACCAGAGAAAGGTGAATACCAACTTAAAGAAATTAAAAAAAAAAGTTATAGGATATGGATGGAAAAATCTCCAGAGAAATAGGTAGCATAAGAAACAATCACAACTTATGGGAATGAAGGACACACTTGTAGACATGCAAAATACCTGGAAATTCTCAACAATAGAATCAAACAAATAGAAGAAAGAATTTCAGAGCCCAAAGACAAGGATTTGAATTAACACAATCTGATAAAGACAAAGAAAAAAGATTTTTTTTTTAATGAAAAAAGCCTCCAAGAAGTTTGGGATATGTTAAGCAGCCAAACCTAAGAATAATTGGTGTTCCTGAGGAAGAAGAGAAATCTAAAAGTTTGTAAAACATATTTGAAGGAATAATTGAGGAAAACTTCTCTGGAGGTGCTAGAGACCTAAACATTCGAATACAAGAAGCTCAAAGAACATCTGGGAAATTCATTACAAAAGGATCATTGCCTAGGCACATAGTCATCAGGTTATCTAAAGTCAAGAAGAATGAAAGAATCTTAAGAGCTGTGAGTCAAAAGCATCAGGTAACCTAGAAAGGAAAACCTAGCAGATAAACAGCAGATTTGTCAGCAGAGACCCTACAAGATAGAAGGGATTGGGGTTCTATATTTAGCCTCCTACAACAAAATGATTATCAGCCAAGAATTTTGTATCCAGTGACTAAGGTTCATAAATAAAGGAAAGATAGTCTTTTCCAGACTAATAAATGCTGAGAGAATTCGCCACTATCAAGCCAGCACTACAAGAGCTACTAAAAGAAGTTCTAAATCCTGAAACACAAACCTCAAAATGCACCAAAATAGGACTTTCTTAGAGCATCAACCTCACAGGACCTATAAAACAATAACACAACAACAACAACAAAAACAAGGTATTCAGGCAATAACTAGCATGATGAATAGAATAATACCTCACCTCTCAATACTAACACTGAGTGTAAATGGCCTAAAGGCTCTACTTAAAAGATACAGAATGGGAGAATGGATAAAAATTCACCAACCAAATACCTGCAATCTTCAAGAGACTCACCTAACAGATAAGGATTTATATAAACTTAAGGTAAAGGAGTAGAAAAAGATATTCCATGCAAATGGACACCAAAAGCAAGTAGGAGTAGCTATTCTTATATTAGACAAAACAAACTTTAAAGCAACAACAATTAAAAAAAAGACAAAGAGGGACATTATATAAAGATAAAAGGTATAGTGCAACAGGAAAATATCACAGTCCTAAATATAAATGCACCTAACACTGGAGCTTCCAAATTTTTGAAACAATTTATAGTAAACCTAAGAAATGAGATAGACAGAAAACAATAGTGGGAGACTTCAATACTCAACTGAAAGAACTAGACAGGTCATAAAGATGGAAAGTCAACAATGAAACAATGGACTTAAAGTATACCCTAGACAAACAAACTTAACAGACATTTACAGAACATCCCACTGACAACTGCAGAATATACATTCTATTCAACTGCACATGGAACATTCTTCAAGATAGATCATATGATAGGTCACTAAACAAGTTTCAACAAATTTAAGAAAATCGAAATTATATCAAGTACTCGTTCAGACCAGAGTGGAATAAAACTGAAAATCAACTTCAAAAGGAACTCTCAAAACCATGCAAATACATGGAAATTAAATAACGTGCTCCTGAATGATCTTTGGGTCAACAATGAAATCAAGATGGAAATGGATACAGCAAAATGGTGCTAAGATGAAAGTTCATAGCCTTAAATGCCTACATCAAAAAGTCTGAAGGAGCACAAATAGACAATCTAAGGTTACACCTCAAGGAACTAGAGAAACAAGAACAAACCAAACCCAAACCTAGCAAAAGAAAAGAAATAACAAAGATCTGAGCAGAACTGAATGAAATTGAAACAAAAAACATAAGATAAATGAAACAAAAAGCTGTTTCTTTGAAAAGATAAAATTGATAGAACATTAGTCAGATTAACTGAAGAGAGACGATCCAAAGCTAAATTAGAAACAAAATGGAAGATATTAAAACTGATACCACAGAAATATGAAAGATTATTCAAGGGTACTATGAACACCTTTACATGCACAAACTAGAAAACCTAGAGGAGATGGATAAGTTCCTGGAAATATACAAGCTCCTAGATTAAACCAGGAAGAAATCAAATCTCTGAACAGAACAATAACACGCAGTGAGATTGAAGTGATCATTTAAAAATTGCCAACAAATAAAAGTCCAAAACCAGATGGATTCACAACTGAATTCTATTAGAAATTCAAAGAATAATTGGTACCAATCCTGTTGATACTATTCCAAAAGATAGAGGAAATCCTCCCTAAATCATTCTATGAAGCCAGCATCATCCTAATACCAAAACCAGGAAAGGACCTAACAAGAAAATAAGACTAAAGACCAATGTCCCTGATGAACATAGATGCAAAAATCCTCATTGCAATTCTAGCTAACTGAATTCAAAAGCATATCAAAAAGATAATCCATTATGATCAAGCAGGTTTTATAGTAGGGATGCAGGAATGGTTTAACATATGCAAATCAATAAATGTGATGCACCACATAAACAGAATTAAAGAGAAAAATCACATGATCATCTCAATAGATGCAGAAAAAGCATTTGACAAAATTCAGCATCCCTTTATGATTAAAACCCTCAACAAAATCAGCATAGAAGGAACATATCTTAGGGTAATAAAAGCTATCTATGACAAATGCACAGTCAACATTATACTAAATGGGGAAAAGTTGAAGGCATTCCCCCTGAGAACTGAAGCAAGGTGAGGATGCCAACTTTCACCACTTCTATTCAACGTAGTACCATAAGTTTTAGCCGGAGCAATTAGACAAGAGAACAAAATAATGTGAATTACAGTTGGCAAAGAGGAAATCAAAATTTTGCTGTTTGCCAGTGATATGATTGTATACTTAGAAAACCCTAAAAACTCATCTTAAAAGCTGCTAGAGCTGATCAATGAATTCAGTAAAGTTTCAGGATACAAAATCAAGGTACACAAATCAGTAACACTGCTTTACACTAACACGACCAAGCTGAGTCAAATTCAGAATTCAACCCCTTTTACAATAGCTGCAAAAAAAAAAAAAAAAAACCTTAGGAATATACCTAACCAAGGAGGTGAAATACTTCTACAAGGAAAACCTCAAAACACTGCTGAAAGAAATCATAGACAACACAAATGGAAAAACATCCCATGTTCATGGATATGTAAACTCAATTTTGTGAAAATGACAATACTGCAAAAGCGATCTACAAGTTCAATGCAATTCCCATCAAAATACTATCATTATTCTTCACATAACTAGAAATAAAACCTTCAATTCCTATGATACCATGAAAGAGCCCACATAGCCAAAGCAAAAAGAATAAATCTGGAGGTATCACATTACCTGACTTCAAACTATACTACAAGGCTATAGTCAACAAAACAGCAGGGTACTGGTGTAAAAGTAAGCATATAGACCAAGGGAGCAGAACAAATAACCCAGAAATAAAGCCAAATACTTACAGCCAACTGATCTTCAACAAAGCAAACAAAAACATAAAATGGGGAATGGTCACCCTATTCAAGGAATGGTGCTAGGATAACTGGCAAGCCACATGTAGAAGAATCATACTGGATCCTCATTTCTCACCTTATACAAAAATCAACTTAAGACAGATCAAAGACTTAAATCTAAGACCTGAAAGCATAAAAATTCTAGAAGATAACATTGGAAAAACCCTTCTAGACATTGGCTTAGGCAAAGACTTCATGACCAAGAACCCCAAAGCAAATGCAACATAAGCAAAGATAAATAGATGAGACTTAATTAAACTAAAAAGCTATTACACAGCAAGAAAAATAATCAGCAGAGTGAACAGACAACCCACAGAGTGGGAGAAAATCTTCACAAACTATGCATGTGACAAATGAGGAATATCCAGAATCTACAAGGAACTCAAACAAATCTGCAAGAAGAAAACAAATAATCCCATCCAAAAGTGGGCTAAGGACATGAATAGACATTTCTCAAAAGAAGATACACAAATGGCCAATAAACATTTGAAAAAATGCTCAACATCACTAATTATCAGGAAAATGCAAATCAAAACCACAATGTGATACCACCCTACTCCTGCAAGAGTAATTTTATCCATTTTAACCATAATTAAAAAATAAAAAAAAAATAGATGTTGGTGTGGATGTGGTGAAAAGGGAACATTTTTACACTGCTGGTAGGAATGTAAACTAGTACAACCACTATGGAAAACAGTGCAGAGACTCCTTAAAAAGCTCAAAGTAGACCTACCATTTGATCCAGCAATCTGACTGCTGAGTATCTACCCAGAGGAAAAGGAGTCATATGCAAAAAAGACACTTGTGCATACATGTTTATGGCAGCACAATTCGCAATTGCAAAAATATGGAACCAGCCCAAATGCCCATGAACCAGCAGTGGATAAAGGAAATTTGGTATATATAATGGAATACTACTCAGCCATAAAAAGGAATGAAATAATGGCATTCATAGCAACCTGGATGGAATCGGAGACCATTATTTTAAGTTAAATAACTCAGGAATGGAAAACCAAACATCATATGTTCTCACTCTTAAGTGAAAATGCAAAGGCATAAGAATGATACAATGGACTTTAGGAACTTTGGGGGAAAAGTGGAAGGGTGAGGGTTAAAATACTACAGATTGGGTACAGTGCACACTGCTCAGGTTATGGGTGCACCAAAATCTCAGAAATCACCACAAAAAACTTATTCATGTAACCAAACACCACCTGCTTCTCAAAAACCTATTGAAATGAAAAAATAAAATATATCATTCAAATTAAAAAAAAGTGATAAACTTGTTCTACACACAAAACAACACAAAATAGAACAAACAACTACCTATGTGAGCTACTTGGAAACTTCAATCCCTTTTCTCCCCTGATTAGTTAGCGTTCATCCTGCTCACCAACACTGTTAACAGTATTTCCTCCCAGTAATGCTCCTGTTTCCCTGAGCTGAGTACAATCAAATGACAATATGTTTCCACCAAATTCCGATAACCCAGATTATCCAAATATTTGAAAGCCATTCAGAATTTCTACCCTCTGTATTTGCAACATCCACCTACCTTGCACAAAAACAGGATACTAATATGGAAAAGGAAAATGCTGCTAGTTTTGCTGTCTATACAATAGTTGCTTAAAAATTTATAATTTGTCTCCAAAATTTTCAGATGATGAGTATAAAGTGCTGATGCTATAAGAAACACTCCATATTCCAATAAATTAATGCTCGTATTTTTATAATTTGACCTACACAAAAGCATTATTTGAGCTGGTTATCTAATACAGAAACATAGTGCCTATTCTGTAGAGTAGAAGATACTTACCCTAATCAGAGTACAAAGTGCAGCACTCAAGTCTAAGTTTATAATTAAAGGGTGAGTGGGTGTGGAGAAGCAAGGTTTTCACTACCAAAGACCCTTGTTTTCCAATGACACTGCTGCACTTTCAGAGGCATGCAGACATACAAATTAGAAATGTGCAAGCTAAGGTTTTGGAACTGTAGTCAAGTGACAGAGAACAGAGCTGTGGGTGAGAATTTTCCAATAGTGTTTGCAGAATTAAGGTGTACTACCTTAGCATAGTTAGTATAATCCTGAGTTTATTACCTTATCTCTTCTACTTCTGTACCTTATCATTCAAACATTTCTATCTTTCATTTATCCATGTATATTCTATTGATTTTATTAACTTATGAGTTCTCCAACCTACTTATTCAATTTTGACTCTTGTGGCTTGAGCACAGAATCTAGGTGTTGATCACTTCTAGTTCTCAATCCTAGAGATTCAGAGTAGAGACTTTTCATTTAAAAGAATAATCAATCAGGCCAAGTTCAAGTCCTTCAACTGCTAAAGTAGTTGTATTAAATTGGGCTATTTAATCAATTTTCTAAACTTCTGCTTAGTCAACTGTGGCACAAATATAGTAATATCAAATGCATTGTGTTGCTAAAGAGTGTGTGTGTGTGTGTGTGTGTGTGTGTGTGTGGTAGTAGTAGTAGTAGTACTAGCAGTAGTAGCAGCAGGTAAAGTGCTTAGCGTAGTGCCAGGAATATTCTCTAAAATGCTTGCTACCATTTTATTCCAGTGGAATTTTAGAATGGTAGTTACCATTTTTATTGTTGTTATTGTTATTCCATAATCTTTATTAAGTCAAATGGAAAGCAATTGACATGTCCACCTCAATTTTATGTAGATTTTAGTAGATTTAGGGATATCAGCTGTTACTTAATCAGAAAATGATAATAGCTGAACCATGAGAAGATGAAACATAAATAATACAGAGATATTCATTCAAACTATTACTCTAAGTTAAAATTTAAATATATATATATATTTGTATTTTTCAATTACTACATCTCTTTTGTTTGAGGTTGATATTGTTTCCATGATGTATGTGTGTAAAATATCAAATTATCTATGCATGCATATGTTTCCATAGAGCTTCAAAATGTCTCAGGTATTCAAGAATTTTTAAATCCAAATTTATTTCTTGTAGCCTCATGGGATTTTTTGTCTCAAGACATTTCCATTTTTTTTAACTTTTACAAAATATTATCAATATATTGGCTTGTGCTGTGGTAATAGAAATTTACTAACTCCAAAGAGAAACAGAATTATATGTAAAGCTTGAGAAGTTTTCCTCATCTGGAATCTATGGTCTGAATGCAGAAGTTCTTTTATTTATAAGAAATGGCCAGTAAAACAGATAGACTGTATCACATAGTATAACATTGTTTACTGGCATGTATGAGACTTAAATTATTTTGTTAATGCAAATTATTTGAGTCGACTAATTTTTAGTCTGCATAATCTTGAAAATACTTCGATGTATTTAGATTTAATTAGGGAATATATATATTTTTCATCACTGGTTTTTAGTTTTAAAAAATACTAAAAGAGGCTAAAATACTTCTAGGGGGAGATAGAAAAAGAGAGAGTTGGAAGAGGAAGAGGGAAAGAAAAAAATGGGAAGAGGAGAAGAAAGGAAAGAGGGAAGAAGGGAGAAGCAAGGAGAGAAAAGAATCACCAATTTGTGGTTAAAATTAAAAATATTTCTTCTTGAAATACCTAGAATACAATTGATCTAAAAAAAATTCTTTGTTCATATTCAATTAGACCTGGACATCTGCTTCCAAATGATTGTATCAAAAATAGTGGTTATTCTGAACAGTACTGTAAAGAGAGAGAGAAAAAAAAAAAAACTCTTATTCCAGTGGCAACAGATCAGAAGCCTCTCCTCAAAGGTCATAATTATGAAAGGTACTAACAGTCTAATGATGAGCTCCAAGTGACTAAGTTGGTTCAGAAACTCCCCAGAACTCTAATTTGTGGTAAAAGGAAAGTGTGAAGAAGTCACAGGCCACAGGCAGCAGATTTCCATCCTTGCTAAACGTGCTTTCCTCACTCATTAGAGATTGGACATTAAATAAAACATCTGACAAAGACCGGGGCACTCCATCTACAGTTGTATATAAAAGAGAGAACCAATGAAAAACCTACATGTACAGTATGATGTCAGATGATCAAATAACAATTGCATTAAATGGACTGAGAAAAGCTAAGTCATGATAATTATCTGAACTTGGACACCATTCAAATAGTGTCTGGAATATGATCCATATTGTAAAAATGTCAAAGTTCATAAACCAAGGAAAATGTAAATGTGAGCAATACTTGAGTACAAATTTATAATCTTTTAAAGCACTCAAATACCTTGCTATATTAGATATTTGTCATTGCTCTGATAAATTAAGTGAGAAAGTATCATGGTAGCTATTTCATTTTACAAGACAAGCTAAATGCTCAAAGAGGTTGAATCAAACAGATCTAAAGTAGTAAACAAGGGATTAGAATCCAATATACTGAATCTCAGACAAGTGCTCTTTTTTTGTTTTTGTTTTTTTACTGATACACAATCGTTGTACATATTCATGGGGTACATGTGATATTTTGCATTGTGCATACAATGCATAATGGTCAGATTATTTAGAATATTCATCACCTCAAACATTACTATTTACTTGTTCTAGGAACCTGTAAAATCTTCTCTTTTAGCTATGTTGAAACATATAATAAATTATTAACTATAATCACCCTATTGTGCTCTCTTTAATTACAGAGCAATTGCACCTGTTGTAATTATTTTCTGCATACTCTCCATCCACAGGATTTCACTTCCTGATTCCACTGTGTAGAAACTGGAATTTCTATTGAGGTTTTAGCCAACATGCTGCACCTGCCCTTGGGATAAAGTCTCAAAAAAAAAAAAAAAAAAAAAGGGAACTGGAAAACTTATCCTCTTGCCAGTTACTTCTAATTTTTACTTCCCTCCACAGACTGTTTGTTTTTTTTTCTGTTTTTCCTTTATTTAACTTTTATTTTAAGTTCAGGGGCACATGTGCAGGATCTGCAGGTTTATAATGTAAGTAAACTTGTGTCATGGAGGTTTGTTATACAGATTATTTCATTACCCATGTATTAAGCCTAGTATCCACTTGTTATTTTTCCTGATCCTGTCCCTCCTCTCACCCTCACTCTCCACAAGGCCCCAGTGTGTGTGTTCCCCAATATGCGTCCATGTGTTCTCATCATTTAGCTCCCACCTATAAGTGAGAACATGTGGTATTTGGTTTTCTGTTCCTGAGTTAGTTTGCTTAGGATAATGACCTCCAGCTCCATCCATGTTCCTATAAAGGATATGATCTTGGGTTTTCTTATAACTGCATAGTATTTCATGGTGTATATGCACCACATTTTTTTATCCAGTCTATCATTGATGGACATTTAGGTTCACTCCATGTCTTTGCTATTGTGAATAGTGTTGCAATGAACATATGTGTGCATGTGTCTTTATAATAGAATGATTTATATTCCTTTGGGTACATACTCAGTAATGAGATTGCTGGGTTGAATGGTATTTCTGTCTTTAGGTCTTTAAAGAATTGCCACACCGTCTTCCACAATGGCTGAACTAATTTACACTCCCACCAACAGTGGATAAGTTTTCCTTTTTCTCCACAACCGTGCCAGCATCTGTTATGTTTTAACTTTTTAATAATAGCCATTCTCACTGGTGTTAGGTAGTATCTCATTGTGGTTTTGATTTGTATTTCTCTAATGATTATTGAGGATGAGCTTTTTTATTTATATGATTGTTGGCTGCATGTACGTCATCTTTGAAAGGTGCCTGTTCATTTTTTGCCCACTTTTTAATGGGGTTATTTGTTTATTCTTGTAAATTTTCTTATTTATTTATTTATTTATTCTTTTTTAAATTATACTTTAAGTTCTGGAGTACATGTGCAGAACCTGCAGTTTTCTTACATAGGTATGCACATGCCATGGTGGTTTGCTATACCCATCAACCCGTCACCTACATTAGGTATTTCTCCTTATGCTATTCCTCCCCTATCCCCCAACCCCCTAACAGGCTCCAGTGTGTGATGTTTCCCTCCCTGTGTTCATGTGTTCTCCTTGTTCAACTCTCACTTATGAGTGAGAACATGTGGTGTTTGGTTTTCTATTCCTATGTTAGTTTACTGAGAATGATGGTTTCCAGCTTCATCCATGTCCCTGTAAAGGACATGAACTCATTCTTTTTCATGGCTGCACAGTATTCCATGGTGTATATGTGCCATGTTTTCTTTATTCAGTCTATCATTGATGGGCGTTTGGGTTGGTTCCAAGTCTTGGCTATTGTGAATAGTGCCACAATAAACATACGTGTGCATGTGTCTTTATAGTAGAACAATTTATGTGGGTATATACCCGCTAATGGGATTGCTGGGTCAAATGGTATTTCTAGTTTTAGATCCTTGAGGAGATGCCACACTGTCTTCCACAATGCTTGAACTAACTTACACTGCCACCAACAGTGTAAAAGCATTCCTATTTCTCCACGTCCTCTCCAGCATTTGTTGTTTCCTGACTTTTTAATGATTGCCATTCTAACTGGCATGGGATGGTATCTCACTGTGGTTTTGATTTGCATTTCTCTAATGACAAGTGATAATGAGCATTTTTTCATACGTCTGTTCACTGCATAAATGTCTTCTTTTGAGAAGTGTCTGCTCATATCCTTTGTTCATTTTTGATGTTTTTTTTTTTTTGTAAATTTAATTTCTTTGTAGATTCTGGATATTAGCCCTTTGTCAGATGGATAGATTGCAAAGTTTTCTCCCATTCTGTAGGTTGCCTGTTCACTCTGATGATAGTTTATTTTGCTATGCAGAAGCTCTTTAGTTTAATTACATCCCATTTGTCAATTTTTGACTTTTGTTGCCATTGCTTTTGGTGTTGTAGACATGAAGTCTTTTCCCATGCCTATGTCCTGAATTATATTGCCCAGGTTTTCTTCTAGGATTTTTATGGTTTTAGGTCTTACGTTTAAGTCTTTAATCCATCTTGAGTTGATTTTTGTATAAGGTATAAGGAAGGGGTCCAGTTTCAATTTTCTGCATATGGCTAGCCAGTTTTCCCAACACCGTTTATTAAATAGGAAATATTCTCCCCATTGCTTGTTTGTGTCAGGTTTGTCAAAGATCAGATGGTTGTAGATGTGTGGTGTTATTTCTGAGGCCTCTATTCTGTTCCATTGGTCTATATATCTGTTTTGGTACCAGTACCATGCTGTTTTTGTTACTGTAGCCTTGTAGTATAGGTTGAAGTCAAGTAGCATGATGCCTCCAGCTTTGTTCTTTTTGCTTAGGATTGTCTTGGCTATGTGGGCCCTTTTTTGGTTCCATATTTTTTCCAATTCTGTGAAGAAAGTTAGTGGTAGCTTGATAGGGAGAGCATTGAATCTATAAATTACTTTGGGCAGTATGGCCATTTTCATGATATTGATTCTTCCTATCCATGAGCATGGAATGTTTTTCTATTTGTTTGTGCCCTCTCTTAATTCCTTGAGCAGTGGTTTGCAGTTCTCGTTGAAGAAGTCCTTCACATCCCTTGTAATTTGTATTCTTGGGTATTTTATTCTCTTTGTAGCAGTCGTGAATGGGAGTTCACTCATGATTTGGCTCACTGTTTGTTATTGTTGTATAGGAATGCTTGTGATTTTTCCACATTGATTTTGTATCCTGAGACTTTCCTGAAGTTGCTTATCAGCTTACGGAGATTTGGAGCTGAGATGATAGGGTTTTCTAAATATACAATCATGTCATCTGCAAACAGAGACAATTTGACTTCCTCTCTTTCTATTTGAATACCATTTATTGCTTTCTCTTGTCTGATTGGCCTGGCCAGAACTTCCAATACTATGTTGAATAGGAGTGGTGAGAGATCTGTTCTGTTCCATTGGTCTGTATCTCTGTTTTGGTACCAGTACCATGCTGTTTTGCTTACTGTAGCCTTGTAGTATAGTTTGAAGTCAGGTAGCGTGATGCCTCCAGCTTTGTTCTTTTGGCTTAGGATTGTCTTGGCAATGTGGGCTCTTTTTTGGTTCCATATGAACTTTAAAGTAGTTTTTTCCAGTTCTGTGAAGAAAGTCATTGGTAGCTTGATGCGGATGGCATTGAATCTATAAATTACCTTGGGCAGTATGGCCAATTTCATGATATTGATTCTTCCTATCCATGAACATGGAATGTTCTTCCATTTGTTTGTATCCTCTTTTATTTCGTTGAGCGTGGTTTGTAGTTCTCCTTGAAGAGGTCCTTCACATCCCTTGTAAGTTGGATTCCTAGGTATTTTATTCTCTTTGAAGCAATTGTGAATGGGAGTTCACTCATGATTTGGCTCTCTGTTTGTCTGTTATTGGTGTATAGGAATGTTTGTGATTTTTGCACATTGATTTTGTATCCTGAGATTTTGCTGAAGTTGCTTATCAGCTTAAGGAGATTTTGGGCTGAGATGATGGGATTTTCTAGATATACAATCATGTCATCTGCAAGCAGGGAAAATTTGACTTCCTCTTTTCTTAACTGAATATGCTTTATTTCTTTCTCTTGCCTGATTGCCCTGGACAGAACTTCCAACACTATGTTGAGAGAGGGCATCCCTGTCTTGTGCCAGTTTTCAAAGGGAATGCTTCCAGTTTTTCCCATTCAGTATGATATTGGCTGTGGGTTTGGCATAAATAGCTCTTATTATTTTGAGATATGTCCCATCAATACCTAACTTATTGAGAATTTTTAGCATGAAAGGCTGTTGAATTTTGTCAAAGGCCTTTTCTGCGTCTATTGAGATAATCATGTGGTTTTTGTCTTTGGTTCTGTTTATATGCTGGATTATGTTTATTGATTGGTGTATGTTGAACCAGCCTTGCATCCCAGGGATGAAGCCCACTTGATCATGCTGGATAAGCTTTTTGATGTGCTGCTGGATTTGGTTTGCCAGTATTTTATTGAGGATTTTTGCATCGATGTTCGTCAGGGATATTGTTCTAAAATTCTCTTTTTTGTTGTTGTGTCTCTGCCAAGTTTTGGTATCAGGATGATGGTGGCCTCATAAAATGAGTTAGGGAGGATTCCCTCTTTTTCTATTGATTGGAATAGTTTCAGAAAGAATGGTACCAGCTCCTCCTTCTACATCTGGTAGAATTCAGCTGTGAATCCATCTGGTCCTGGACTTTTTTTGGTTGGTAAGCTATTAATTATTGCCTCAATTTCAGAGCCTGTTATTGGTCTATTCAGAGATTCAACTTCTTCCTGGTTTAGTCTTGGGAGGGTGTATGTGTCGAGGAATTTATCCATTTCTTCTAGATTTTCTAGTTTATTTGCATAGAGGTGTTTATGGTGTTCTCTGATGGTAGTTTGTATTTCTGTGGAATCAGTGGTGATATCCCCTTTATCATTTTTTATTGTGTCTATTTGATTCTTCTCTCTTTTCTTCTTTATTAGTCTTGCTAGCGATCTATGAATTTTGTTTATCTTTTCAAAAAACCAGCTCCTGGATTCATTGATTTTTTGAAGGGTTTTTTGTGTCTCTATCTCCTTCAGTTCTGCTCTGACTTTAGTTATCTCTTGTCTTCTGCTAGCTTTTGAATGTGTTTGCTCTTGCTTTTCTAGTTCTTTTAATTGTGATGTTAGGGTGTTAATTTTAGATCTTTCCTGCTTTCTCTTGTGGGCATTTAGTGCTGTAAATTTCCCTCTATACCCAAAGGATTATAAATCATGCTGCTATAAGGACACATGCACACATATGTTTATTGTGGCACTATTCACAATAGCAAAGACTTGGAACCAACCTAAATGTCCAACAATGATAGACTGGATTAAGAAAATGTGACACATGTACACCATGGAATACTATGCAGCCATAAAAAATGATGAGTTCATGTCCTTTGTAGGGACATGGATGAAGCTGGAAACCGTCATTCTCAGCAAACTATCGCAAGGACAAAAAACCAAACACCGCATGTTCTCACTCATAGGTGGGAATTGAACAATGAGAACTCTTGGACACAAGAAGGGGAACATCACACACTGGGGCCTGTTGTGGGGTGGGGGGAGGGGGAAGGGATAGCATTAGGAGATATACCTAAAGTAAATGAGGAGTTAATGAGTGCAGCACACCAACATGACACATATGTACATATGTAACAAACCTGCATGTTGTGCACATGTACCCTAGAACTTAAAGTATAATAAAAATGTATATATATAAAATAATAATAAAAAATAAAAATTAAAAGTTAAAAAAAGGAGTGGTGAGAGAGGGCATCCTTATCTTGTGCTGGTTTTCAAAGGGAATGCTTCCAGGTTTTGCCCATTCAGTATGATATTAGCTGTAGGTTTGTCATAAATAGCTCTTTTTTTTGAGACATGTTCCATCAATACCTAGTTTATTGAGAGTTTTTAGTATGAAAGGGTGTTGAATTTTGTCAAAAGCCTTTTCTGCATCTTTTGAGATAATCATGTGGTTTTTGTCATTGATTCTGTTTATGTGATGGTTTGCATTTACTGATTCGCTTATGTTGAACCAGCCTTGCATTCCAGGTATGAAGCCAACTTGATTGTGGTGGATAAGCTTTTTGATGTGCTGCTGGATCCCATTTGCCAGTATTTTATTGAGGATTTTCCCATCCATGTTCATGAGGGATATTGGCCTGAAATTTTCCTTTTTTGTTGTGTCTCTGCCAGGTTTTGCTATTAGGGTGATACTCGCCTCATAAAATGAATTAGGGAGGATTCCTGCTTTTTCTATTGTTTGGAATAGTTTCAGAAGGAATCCTACCAGCTCCTTTTTCTACCTCTGGTAGAATTCGGCTGTGAATCCATCTGGTCCTGCACTTATTTTGGTTGACAGGATATTAATTACTGCCTCTATTTCAGAACTTGTAATTGGTCTATTCAGGGATTTGACTTCTTCCTGGTTTAAACTTGGGAGAGTGTATGTGTCCAGAAATTTATCCATTTCTTCTAGGTTTTCTAGTTTTTTGTCTAGAGGTGTTTATAGTATTCTCTGATGGTAGTTTGTATTTCTGTGGGATCAGTAGTTATATCTCCTATATCATTTTTATTGTGTCTATTTGATTCTTCTCTCTTTTCTTCTTTGTCTGTCTAGCAGTCTATTTTGTTAATCTTTTCAAAAACAGTTCCTGGATTATTTGATTTTTTGAAGGGTTTTTTGTGTCTCTGTCTCCTTCAGTTCTGCTATGATCTTAGTTATTTCTTGTCTTCTGCTAGCTTTTGAATGTGTTTGCTGCTGCTTCTCTAGTTCTTTTAATTTTGGTGTCAGAGTGTTGATTTTAGATCTTTTCTGCTTTCTCTTCTGGGCATTCAGTGCTATAAATTTCCCTCTACACACTGCTTTAAATGTGTCACAGAGATTCTGGTATGTTATGTCTTCATTCTCACTGGTTTTACAGAACAACTTTATTTCTGCCTTCACTTTGTTATTTACCCAGTAGTTATTCAGGAGCAGGCTGTTCAGTTTCCATGCAGTTGTGTGGTTTTGATTGAGTTTCTTAAGCCTGAGTTCTAATTTGATTGCACTGTGGTCTGAGAGACTGTTGCAATTTCCGTTCTTTTGCATTTGCTGAGGAGTGTTTTACTTCCGATTATGTGGTCAATTTTAGAATAAGTGTGATGAATTGCTGAGAAGAATGTATATTCTGTTGATTTGGGGTGGAGAGTTCTGTAGATGTCTATTAATCTGCTTGGTCCAGAGCTGAGTTCAAGTCCTGAATATCCCTGTTAATTTTCTGTCTCATTGATCTGTTTAATATTGACAGTGGGGTGTTAAAGTCTCCCACTATTATTGTGTGGTAGTCTAAGTTTCTTGTAGGTCTCTAAGGACTTGCTTTATGAATCTGTTTGCTCCTGTATTTGATGCATATATATTTAGGATAGCTGTTCTTGTTGCAGTGATCCCTTTAGCATTATGTAATGCCCTTCTTTGTCTCTTTTGATCTTTGTTGGTTTACAATCTGTTTTACCAGAGATTAGGATACCAACTCCTGCTTTTTTTTTTTTTTCACTTTCCATGTGCTTGGTAAATAATCCTCCAAACCTTTATTTTGAGCCTATATGTGTCTTTGCACATGAGATGGGTCTCCTGAATACAGCACATTGATGGGTCTTGACTCTTTATCCAATTTGCCAGCCTGTGTCTTTTAATTGGAACATTTAGCCAATTTACATTTAAGGTTAATATTGTTATGTGTGAATTTGATACTGTCATTATGATGCTAGCTGGTTGTTTTACCCATTAGTTGCTGCAGTTTCTTCATAGTGTTGATGGTCTTTACAATTTGGTATGTTTTTGCAGTGGCTGGTACCAGTTGTTTCTTTCTATGTTTAGCGCTTCCTTCAGGAGCTCTTGTAAGGCAGGTCTGGTGGTGACAAAATCTCTCAGCATTTGCTTTTCTGTAAAGGATTTTATTTCTCCTTCACTATTGAAGCTTAGTTTGGCTGGATATAAAATTCTGGGTTGAAAATGCTTTTCTTTAAGGATGTTGAATATTGGCCTCCACTGTCTTCTGGCTTGTAGGGTTTCTGCAGGGAGATCCACTGTTAGTCTGATGGGCTTCCCTTTGTGGGTAACCCGACCTTTCTCTCTGGCTGCCCTTAACATTTTTTCTTTCATTTCAACCTTGGTGAATATGATGATTCTGTGTCTTGGGTTTGCTTTTCTCGAGGAGTATCTTTGTGGTGTTGTCTGTATTTCCTAAATTTGAATGTTGGCCTGTCTTGCTAGGTTGGGGACGTTTTCTTGGATAATATCCTGAAGAGTGTTTTCCAACTTGGTTTCATTCTCTCTGTCATTTTCATGTACACCAATAGAACGTATGTTTGGTCTTTTCACATAGTCCCATATTTCTTGGAGGCTTTGTTCATTGCTTTTTATTCTTTTTTTTTCAAATCTTGTCTTCTCACTTTATTTCATTAAGTTGACCTTCAATCAATGGTACCCTTTCTTCCACTTGATCGATTCAGCGATTGATACCTGTGTATGCTTCACGAAGTTCTCGTGCTATGTTTTTCAGCTCCATCATGTCGTTTATGTTCTTCTCTAAGCTGGTTGTTCTAGTTAGCAATTACTCTAGCCTTTTTTCAAGGTTCTTAGCTTCCTTGCATTGGGTTAGAACATGCTCCTTTAGCTTAGAGGAGTTTGTTATTACCCATCTTCTGAAGCCTACCTCTGTCAATTCGTCAAACTCATTCTCTGTCCAGTTTTGTTCCCTTGCTGGTGAAGAGATGTGATCTTTTGGAGGAGAAGAGGTGCTCTGGTTTTTGGAATTTTCAGCCTTTTTTGCACTGGTTTCTCCCTGTCTTTGTGGATTTATCTACCTTTGGTCTTTGATGTGGGTGACCTTTGAATGGAGTCTTTGAGTGAGCCTGCTATTCCTTTCTGTTTGTTAGTTTTCCTTCTAACAGTCAGGCCCCTCTTCAGCAGGTCTGCTGGACTTTGCTGGAGGTCCACTCCTGACCCTGTTTGCCTGAGTATCACCAGAGGAGGCTGTAGAACAGCAAAGATTGCTGCCCTGTTCTTTCCTCTGGAAGCTTCATCCCAGAGATCCCCTGCCAGATGCCAGCCAGAGCTCTCCTGTATGAGGTGTCTGTCAGCCCCTACTGGGAGGTGTCTCCCAGTCAAGGGTTAAGGACCCAGTTGAGGAGGCAATCTGCCCCTTAGCAGAGCTCGAATGCTGTGCTGGGTGGTCCACTGCTCTCTTCAGAGCGGTCAGGCAGGGATATTTAAGTCTGCTGAAACCCCTTGCCCCAGGTGCTCTGTCCCAGGGAGATGGCGTTTTATCTATAAGTCCCTGACTGGGGCTGCTGCCTTATTTTCAGGGATTCCCTGCCCAGAGAGGAGAAATCTGGCAGTTTGCAGCCTTGCTGAGCTGCAGTGGGCTCCAGCCAGTTTGGTCTTCCTGGCTGCTTTGTTTATACTGTGAGTGTAAAACTGCCTACTCAAGCCTCAGCAATGGCAGATACCCCTCCCTCTACCAAGCTCAAGAGTCCCAGGTTGATCTCAGACTGCTGCTGTGCTGGCAGCAAGAATTTCAATTCAGTGGATCTTAGTTTGCTGGGCCCTATGGGAGTGGGACCCACCGAGCTGACCACTTGGCTGCCTGGCTTCAGTACCCCTTCCAGTGGGAGTGATTGGTTCTGTCTCGCTGACATTCCAGGCGCCACTGGGGTATGGGAAAAAAAAATTTCTGCAGCTAGTTCAGTGTCTGCCCAAACGGCCACCAAGTTTTGTGCTTGAAACCCAGGGCCCTGGTGGGGTAGGCACCAGAAGGAATCTCCTGGTCTGCAGGTTGTGAAAACCATGGGAGAAGCACAGTATCTGGGCTGGAGTGTGCTTGGTTCCTCAGGCTCAGTTCCTCACGGCTCCCTCAGGTAGGGGAGAAAACTCCCCGACCCCTTGCACTTCCCAGGTAAGGCGACACTCCACCCTGCTTCAGCTTGCCCTCCAAAGCATTCACTGTCCAACCTGCCCCAATGAGATGAACCAGGTACCTCAGCTGGAAATGCAGAAATCATCTGCACTCTGCGTTGGACTTGCTGGGAGCTGCAGACCAGAGCTCTTCCTATTTGGCCATCTTGTCAGAATCTTTCTTAAAAGCCTCTCCTGCAGTATTTTGTGATTGATCTGTGAGGTCTGAGAAATCTTTGTTCTTGCTTTCTTGTTGTTGTTTTGATTCCTTCCTTAATTGTCTTATGCCTAACTAACTAGAAGCAATTTTCAGCATCTTCCTCACACTTAGGGCAAAGCTACACAGATGAGTAAAATCAGTATCAGCCTCTTGCATTATAGATCTCTGGGGTTTGTTTCAAGGCATGTCATATGCTTGAGCCAGAAGCCAGAAACAATCTCATCAATGTCCAAAAGGAGACTTGCCTACATTTATCACTAGATGAATAGTTTGTAAAATTTTTCTCCAATTTGTTAGATTGTCTGTTTACTCTGTTGGTAGTTTATTTTGCTGTGCAGAAGCTCTTTAGTTTAATTAGATCCAACTTGTCAATTTTTGCTTTTGTTGCAATTGTTTTTGGCATCTTTGTCATGAAATCTTTGCCTATTCCTATGCCCTGAATGGTATTGCCCAGGTTGTCTTCAGAATTTTTATAGTTTTGTGTTTTACATTTAAGTCTTTAATCCATCTTGAGTTAATTTTTGTACATGGTGTAAGGAAGGGGTCCAATTTCAATTTTCTTCATATGGCTGGCTAGTTATCCCAGCACCATTTATTGAATAGGGAGCCCTTTCCCCATTGCTTGCTTTTGTCCGGTTTGTCAAAGATCAGTTAGTTGTAGGTGTATGGTCTTATTTCTGGGTTCTCTATTCTGTTCCATTGATCTATGTGTCTGTTTATGTACCAGTACCATGCTGTTTTGGTTATTGTAGCCCTGTAGTATAGTTTGAAGTAGGGTGGGGTGATGCCACCAGCTTTGTTCTTTTTGCTTAGGATTGCCTTGGGTATTCACGCTCTTTTTTGGTTCCATTTGAATTTTAAAATAGTTTTCTCTAGTTCTGAGAAGAATGTCATTGATAGTTTAATAGGAATAGCATTGAATCTATAAATTGCTTAGGGCAGTATGGCCATTTTAACAACATTGAATCTTCCTATCCATGCTCATGGGAATATTTTTCATTTGTTTAGGTCATTTCTGATTTATCTGAGCAGTGGCTTATAGTTCTTGTAGAGATCTTTCACCTTCATAGTTAGCAGTATTCCTAAATATTTTATTTTTTGTGTGAATCTGCCTGTTTTTTATTTACTTTTCAGAATATCCATGTAGTTTAGTTTTAAAAAAGATATTTTACAGACATTTTAGGTGTAATCAGTAGGAAGAATAGGGAATAGTTAGGTTTACACCACTGTAGCACACTAGTATTTATTTAATATACTGTGGCACACTAGTATTGATTTAATATAATAACATGATCATGAAGAGATTTGGAAACATCTAAAATTTATCAGGAATAGATGTTAAGTATTCCATGCACCATGCTTCCAAATCTAATGGCTTATTTCTGCATCTGATACAGAAGACTTCTCATTCTTGAACATTTTTGGCTTCTCCTGGTTCCCTTCAACAATTCTGATCTTTGTTTTGTTTTGGTTTTATTTTGGTCGTCTCTTTGTCAGCCTAAATCTTAAAACCCAAGTTCCCTAGAAAACAGTCTTTGACATGATGCTTTGTTTATGCTAATTATGCAATTTAATCAACTCTCCTACGTTTGATTACTGCTTACATGCTGATGACTCATAAATATTTCTCTCCAGCTCAAACCTTGTTCTAAGTTTTCTCACTCATGGATCAAAATGTTGACTAATCATATCCCCTTGTGTTTTCAAATCTCCTCAAAATCAACATATCAGAAATTGAAACTCCTTCCTAAATGTGCCAACTTCCTTAATGTATAAGGTAAGGGCTTAAGCCTTACTTGTGGAAATCCAACTCAGTTTACATCTAAAATGGGTTTTGAAATGTAAGTAAGAGTTAATCAAATGAAGATGGCATGAAATCCCATCATAGATCTAGGAAAATATGTGTGAGTTGGTGTTATTAAAATAGTGATGGAACATTGCCAAAAATGGCAGTATTAGTCATAAAAACTAGAAATTTACAAGTTATTCCATGGTCTCCTCTTTTCCAGTCTTTGTGTTCTGACATACACAATATCATGTTCCATAAATATTTTTTAGCACTTTTTTTTCTTTTCCAATTATTCCTTCCACTAGCATCTAGTCTGGATAAAAGCAATGGCCACTTATCTGGTTCTCCTGATGCCAGTCTTGTTTGTTCTTAAATGCATCCTCTAGGCTCTTTTTACTTTGTCCCTATAAAATACAAATCTGATCACATGTCTTCTCAGCCAATATTCTTCAATCATTTCACTTTTCCTGCAAGATGACATTCAAATTTCTATAGAAGTTGCCTTTGAGAATAAGTTCTCTTTTACTTTAACCCCTTAGTCTCCCTACTCTTCTATTTCCGCTGCTTTTCCCTTACTTTGTATTTAGTAATGCTAACCCACGTGTATTTTCCTGGACCCACCAGTGAGTTTCACACCATCATGTCCTCATTTGTTTAACCCCTACTAATGTTTCAAACTCATTTTAAGTGTCAACTGAGATAGACTTCCTCAGGTAAGCATTAATCCCTTCCCTCATCTGTCAGTACTTTCATCCTTATCCATTTCAGAGGCATTGATCTATACTCAGTGACTTAAACATTTGATCACTAATCTAAGGCCTTTCTCTAAATTATGGACCTCTATATCTAGCTTCCTACCTGATCTCTTCACTTGTGAATCTCAAAGGCAGCACAAATTCAGTGGGACCAATATATAATTGCTTCCACTGCTGATTATTTTCCAGTATTCCCCATGCGATGAATGTTACCACAATGTAGTAACTTTTACCAGTTGGAGAATTGGTAACCTTTTTTTTGTTGTTTTGTTTTTTTTTTCATTTTCTTCTCCTTCATTCTTTAAAAGTAATCCAACCAGTTTCTATAAATTTCATCTCCAATATATTCCTATTTCTTTCAAAGCTATCATCACCTGTCACATGGGCTATGGGTTGTCTTCATCCACAATTCTCTTCCTTCTGTTTATTTCCAAGGCTGAAGCCAAAATGATACTTTGAAAGTTAAAATCTGATGGTATCAATCCTCTACTTACAATATTTCAATAACTTCTCATTACTTTTAGGGTAAAGGCAAATATTCTTAACAAAGCACATAGAACCTGGCCTTGGCCTTTAAATCTCCAATCTCTTCCTTGAAGACTAAAATGTTTTCTCCTACCCCAGGGATTTTCTATATTTTATATAGTTTTCTTCTCCTGCATTATTAATATCCCACCCCAACACACATATACACAGAAATGACTTGTAAACACTACTGTTTTAATATCAGGTCAATTATTTTCTCAATGACAGCATCTCTGGCTTGGGCAAATCTTCATGTACAAAATAAAGATTGCTTGAGATTCATGAATCATAACCATCAGGATTTAACAATTTCCAGAAGGAACTGGAAAGAACTAGAGCTAGGTGAATTTCAAAAGGAAAAACAAGATTCCAAGTGGTGAGATTAAGCTGATGATTCAGTAAGAGTGAGGTTGACTTGAATAAAACTAGCACTATACTTCTAATCAACAAGGCTTAAGGGATAGTTTCAAATATACTTAATAGCATGTCAGCATTTTCTGCAATTAAAGATCTTTTTTTTCATGATGTCAAGGAGGTCACATCTTTAGGGATCAGTTGAGTGGTTTTACATATATTATTATTTTATTATTGATAATGAATACACAGTAGTTCCCCTTTTATAAGATTTTACCTTTTCAGATTTTACCTGTTTGGGGAATGTATTTGGGTTAAGAAAAGAAAAACAAATGTAATTTATCTTTAAAGAAAACATTTATTTCAAACATTCAAATTCTAGATGTTCCTCAGAAGGTCCAAAGATGATTTAATTTGTTTGAACTTCTTCAAAGATGTTTGTAACTTAACAATCTTGTGTAGGTATTAAAGTTTTTACCGTCTCCTAAATTCCTGCAATTACTTATGTGGTTTTAAGGATAATAGCTATGAAATATTTTCAAAATTTAAAGTCATTAATACCATCAAGTTTATTCATATAACACTAAAGTCAGTTAATTTAACATTTCGACAAGCAAAAAAAGGCAAAAATTTTAAGTGGAAATAACAATTTTGAAAATAGTCCTTGTACAAAATTTCATTGGAATAAGACAATTAAAATGTTTTAGATGTGCTAAGAATAGAATTAATCTCATGACAACAGAGTAATATAAGAGCACTTGTTGAAAAATAACATCTTATCCACTTAGTCAATTATTTACTCTTTAAGTATTTGTCATGCCAATACTATGTGAAAAACTCTGCATATGGTGCTGAGGAAAATAAGAAACTCCTGTTTCCAAGGAGCTAGTAAATGAACCTGGAAATGAAGCAACTATGAAACCATGTGGCAAGCTTTATAATCAATTTAAAGGCAATGCGTTTTAGGGGCAAAAATGACAGAATAATGCCTTAAATTCATACTCTCAGCAAGGTTTTTCTGTAGACTAAATAAATAGCATGAGTTGTACATGTGTTTGTGGCCAATTCTAAACATATATAGATATCCCTTTAATTAATAAAATTAATAATCTTTGAATAACACTTTAATTTTATATTTTTGAATAAACATATAAAAGTTAATGACTATCACAAAAGTCTATTAAACACATACATATATATGATTTGTTAATTTAATAACAAGTTGTCATAATAAAAGTAAATTTGAGGGCAATCATTGTGTCTCCTAAACTCTTTCATAAAATGCACACATTTTAAGTGAGAATGAGTAACCTAAGGGTAGCAAGTAGGTTTTAGCCTTGATTAACTGCTATAGACTGTCTGAAGTGCAGTAGCGAGAAGGATTCTAAAGATGTCTGGGCAAAGTGGAAAAGAATGTAGTTATTGATTATCTATATGTGCCAGGGGCACAAGAAAAAGGAATATTGACACACTATGCATGCCAATCCTGGAGTACGTTAACAGCATTAGATGTTACACAATTAGCCTCAAGAACAGAGAAACAGATGGAATGTGGTGCATTAAAGTTAAATGTTTTTTGGGAGACATAGATTATAAACAGTTATTCAAAGATGAGCTACCCCAGTAGGACATACGTTTCAGATTGAGGTCAGCTCTTAAGCTTAAGGGAAAGAAGACATGGTTAGGGAGCAAAGGAATGGGACAGTGGAGCCCTACTCAGACCAACTCCATTTATACCTCTCCCTCTCTCTCTCTCTTTTTTTTTTTTTTTCGCTGAAAATTATAAAGAGAAACAAACAAACAAAGTGTTTGAAAGTGGTATTGCTTTATGTTTAGATGGGGTTGATCTTCATGAATCATTCTTTGGGGAAAATAATCAACCAAACAGTTTTTTACATAGACACCAGAGACCCATGATGACCACAGCTTTTAAGTTACAGAAGACTTTTCAAAACCAATAGAGGATAAACTAGTGTTTTGTGCAGTTATATTCAAACAATCCTTAAAAACTGGGATAGCTGATAATCTCAAAGTAAGATCCCTGAAATGCTGATATCCACTGTGCAACATTAGTCTTAGCTTGGTAAGATAACAAGGTTGATTTAATCGTTAATTGATACAATATGTTTGTGTTGAATACAAAATCAAATTACCACCAATAAGTAAAATGGTAGGACTTATTTTTAGAGTAAATTTTTTTTACCTCGGTACAGTCTAGCAAGCCTGACATTTCCTGTCTCCTATGTCTTCTTTGCTCTTGTTTTCAGTCCTTTCTCTCATACATTTTTATGCATGCAAAATTGAAGCTAACAGACATATTCTTCCCCCTTGCTTTGTTTCCATAAATGTATGTGTGTGAGAGAGAGATCATATACACATACACACACACAAAAAAACACACACACACACACATCAAGGCATTTCTAAAATTCAGAAGGGGTATGCATCAAGTTAGGAATAACAAATGTCCAAAGTAAAATTATGATATCCATTTCAAAGCTTTCTTCAATTGCTGCATAGTGATCTGAAAGTCAGGAATAACTTATTGATGACCTCACTAACATCAATTTTCATGCCAGTATGGATATCTGTTGGCAATGAAACATTGTACGTTCTAAGAACGAAGACATAGCTATATATCTACATGTATTTATCTATCTATCTATCATCTATCTATCTATCTATCTATCTATCTATCTATCTATCTATATCTCCATCTAGGCATGTTTGTCTGTCTTGGTATTCTTTTAAGCTCAAACATAGCTTTTTATATTAGGAATAAATCTACTACTTGGTTACCTTTAATATTTCTTTCTTAAATAATTTAATAATTTTAGCAGAAGTGAACCTATATGGCTGTTTTTCTTTTATAAAAAATTTCTTGATTTCATTCTATTGCCATAACATAGTATAAAAAGTGGTTATTACAAACAGTTTTTCTTATACAGCAAGTGAGAATATTTATCATTTAGTTAACTGGTCAAATGTCACTTAGTAAATGAAATTGTCCTAATGAAAATTCACACATCTTAGGAACATATACATTTCTTATTTCTTTTCTTTTTTCTTTGATTCCCCCACTTCTTACGTACCTCTTCATTTCTCCACCAAAATTGTGGCAAAACAAACTAAGCACATTTTATTTCTATGGTTATCTAGTGAATTTCATAAGTTGGGTGATAGTCCTTTTAAGTTGAGGAGACTGATTATTCTGTTTTTGTTTGTTTGTTTGTTTGTTTTTTGCTTCAACTCACTCTAAAATTTTCTATCAAAATCTTTTCAAGCAAAACAGAACACAGTATGATAAAGAAATTTATATTTGTCATTATTTATTTTTCCAGGTTTATTGAGATATAATTGGCAAAAAATTTATAATATGATAACTGGATGCCCATATATATAGTTATATGATTAAAATTACATTAATTAACGCATGCATCATCTCACATAGGTACCATTTGTGTGTGTGTGTGTGTATGTATAGTGAGAGCATAAGATTTACCCTCATAGCAAATTTCAAGTATATAGTACAATATTATTAATTATAGTCACTATGCTATATATTAGATCCCCAGATCTTATTCATCTTATAACTGAGAGTGTGTATCTTTTGACCAACATCTCCCCATTTTCTCCACTGCCCTCCCTCTCCCAGACCCTGGTAACTACACATTTTATTCTCTTTCTATGGGATCAACTTTTTAAGACTCCACATACAGGCGACATCATACAGTATTTGTCTTGCTGTGTCTGGCTTATTTCATTTAGCATAATGTCCTCCAGGTTCATCCATGTCATTGCAAATGGCAGGATTTCCTTCTTTTTTGTGACTGAATAATATTTCATTCTCTCTCTCTTTCTCTGTGTGTATATGAAATATTTTCTTCTTTATTCATTTGTCAGCACTTAGGTTATTTCCATACTTTGGCAATTATTAATAATACTGTGATGAACATGGAGTGCAGATATTTCTTCTGAAATCTATATCCTTGGAAGGAAAAATAAAAACCAAGTCTTCTATTTACTTCAACAAGGATGAAGAAAGCTTCGCTAGTAGCAAAGAATGTGGTGGAAAGCCCAGAGTAATGAAGCAGTGGAAAGATGAGGAATTAATGAAATGGCAACAGAAAGTGAATGGTAAAGACTCTACTGTAAAAAATATTTGTCCAAATTTGGCCATTAATTGGGTTTGGAACAAGGAAATATACAGGATTAAAAATGACTTTGAGGTCTCATGCTAGAGTATCCAGCAAAACACTTAGACTTTTGTTGTAAATAAGGAGAAAAAGATAATTTTGTAGAGAGATTTCAGTTTAGATAAAACCCATAATTAGTTCACCTAAATGTGGTCTCCCATGAAAAGAAACACAAATCTAAGGCCGGAAGATTCAGGACTCTTAAAGACCTCTAGCTAATCAGAATATCGTAAAACCTCTATAATATCACTACTCATCTGTTATGGTTTAAATGTATTCCTGAAAGTTGCCCAAAAACCCATTTATCTCTCCTCTCACAAACTCCTCCATATTTTAGAGCAATCAGTTGCTTCAGTTTGTGTTAGTTGGAGTTTGGAATTTGGGTTAAAAATTTCAAATTTGATTAAAGGAGACAATAGATAAGTAAGCCTTATAGTACTTGCTATATCTTGATCCCCTTTCTAAACACTTTACATATATTAACTCCTTGGTTTTCAAAACAACTGTGTAAGTTATTTGCTATCATTTACCCATGTTATAGATGAGAAAACAGGCATAAAGAATTTACATACTCAAGGTAACTCAGTAAGTAGTAGAGCTGGAATTCAGCCTGATTTCAGAAAGCCCACTTTTAACCACAACCTAGAGGGTCTCTAAGGACCGCAGTAGCGTTGCTTATTCATGGAAAAGGAAATTTGGTGATAACTTGAGGAGTCAAACCATATCCCCAGCATTTCTTATGTTGAGAGGACACAAGACATGGTCAATTTTCATGGCTCTAAAACGTAGAACATTAATTGCATGCCTGCTTCCCTTCTCAGTCTATTTAATTAATAAAGGAAATATCTAATTAGTGCCTAGAAGCTTTGCTGGTCTATTTGCTTTGCTAGATTAGGGAATAGGGTTTAACTATTCCAGAATAGTAGAAATTGATCTCATACTCTCTTAACACAAAATTTACTTTGTATTCCACATTGTGCTGAAAAAAATATAAGGGAGTGTCTTTATTCTCTGAAGCTCAAAGGTACTTAAATGAAAAATATATAGACAATTTTGAAACAGCTGGTTGTCATGGAATTGAGCTTGAGTCTTCAATGCCTGATTCTAAACCTTGAATTTAACTACTAGAGCCGCAGTATGATTATAATAATGAGTCAAACTAACTAATGAAAAATGGCATCCTGTTCACATACACACTCTAACTTTGGTCTTTTTATTTACTTTGTCTGTGGAGTAGAATGTTAGACACTGGGAAAAGAAATTCCTTCAATTGGGAAATCACAATTACAAAAGAATAAAAAATATGTCACCACATTTATGAATTGAATATAAATTACAGAATAACTCTGCGTACACTGTGTAATTTGATTTTCCTAATCATTCTTTCAAATAGATAAAATATATTATATCATCTTGGTTTTAGGAAGGAATAAAATAAACTCAAATTTAGGTGACTTACCCAAGTTGATAAAGCTAAGTTGGATATAATTCAAGTCTCCTGCATCCAATTCCTGTGCACCTTTGACTATTGCCTTAAAATTTTTAATTAGGATAAGCAGTAACAGAGTAACCACCAAATCTCAGTAGCTGGAACCTACAAGGCTCCTTTCTCACTTGCGCTTACATGGCCTTCTGGATTGGCACAGTGTCCTACTGGACATGGGGACCCTGGCTGAAGGAGCTTCTCCACCTTGTGGCTATGGCATCTGGAACTTGATGTGTCCTCAGTTGCTGATACAGGGGTAGAGGGCATTGAAGGGTCTCAAACCAGCAATTAAATGTTTCATCAGTTCTGCTCACAAACCATTATCCAGAAATAGTCACATGGTGGAAAATCTCATTCCTCTGTGGAACCAGAAAGGGAGGAGAATTGGATGTGGGTAAGCATTAGGAGCCTTCTTTCAAGATGACCTTGGATGACTAATAATCAAAGGTATGCAAATGAGCATTAAAAACCCTTATGAAATGATTCCCCATAGCAGGGCTTTCTGCAATTAATTTCTATTTCTATGACAGGAATGCCAGAACTAAGAAATAAAAAACCCTTCAGAGTAGATACAAAACACATCAAGCATGCTAGCCACCTTTAAAGTGCAAACAGCCTGAAAGGCAGCCAGCTAAAACCTTCCTTACACTCTGAAAACAGTAGCCTGTATTGCTCTGAGATTACGGACAATTCTTATTTAGGGACTGGTCTTTTAGGTGCATCTAACTGAATGTCAAAAAAGAGAGAAAAAATAAATATATTCCTTTTTTGCTTTTAGTTAATTAATTAAATTTTTTCCTGAGAGCAAGACATTACAAATTCCAAGATCTACTGTGAAGTATTGTGATACTTCAGACAGGTAGGGCTGTGATTATTAATCAGTATTGCCTTGAACTCAGGAAACCTGAGAGAGTAGCTAGGTAAATGACCTGGACCAATTTATATCTTGGAAATCCAAGAGACAGTGTGATTTAGTGGAAAAAGAGTGATCTGTAGGTCAAATGTCCTTGCTCTGGTTCTTGATTATGCCATTCACTGAGCCTCAGGCTGGCCAACTACAAAAAAGACAGAATATTAACACTTTACCTACTGGGTAACTGTGAGCCACCAATGTGATAGTTTTTATGAAAGCACTCTCTAGGCTGTAAAGAACCAAAAATACCTTAGTTGTTATTGGAAATGTTTGAGGTTTATATAAATTTTAAAAAGACTAAATTTCATGACACACAGGAACCACCATCTGACCATTAAAAATGTGGCCATAGGAACTTTAGCCTTCAGTTTCTTCATTTCCTATTTCTTACTGCTGGCACATTAAATGCAAGACTTGCATACAGGAAGGGAGAACGGGATATACTGCATTTAATGTGCCAGCAGTAGAGCTTATTTTATGATTAGGAGCAATGATCACTTTTAGAAATATATTTTTAAAGCTTATTTTGCATGATCAGCAAATAAACCATGTATTCAGTTAAAAATAAATTAAAAAAAAGAAGCTTTAAGCTTTTAAGCAAGATGAAAAGATAGAATAGTTAATTTTTTTTTGTCCTGAAAGATTTGCCTATAAAGACATTTCATATGATCAGTGTGATGAGACTTAATCCATTTTAAGAAAGATATAGTCTTCATGTTTGCCTCTAGCAAGTAAGATAAACTTCTTTTAACAAAATTCTGTAAATCTGAGATCCTGCTATTTTAACTGCTAAGGTGAACTTGATCAAATTAATGAATAACTTGGTCAAATAAATGAAGACACTATTAGTTCCTTGAATGTAAATCTCTACTGCTTAAAACATGTGGCCAGTGTTGCAAAGCAATATGCGCATGCTGCTTGCCACGGTAGTCGTATTTTATTCAAGCTAGCAGATTGAGAAATAGATGTTAAAACTGTATTTTTTGTTACAATCACTGCTTTACATATATGAATTCCTTCTAAAATCCAGTCCTCACCTTTACATTTTATTTAGAGCCAGAATTTTTACTGTGTCATTTTAAACTGCTTAAGCAGAGGGTTAGAGAGCTCCTGAAAAGAAAGTCATTCTTTCTATAGTTACTCTCCGGCACACTTATTCAAATATTTCTAAATGGGTAGCCTAACATGAGCAAAAACTCAACTTTGCTATATCTCTTTCCTCTCAACTATATATGTTTGTTCATTTATTCATTTAACATATATTTATTGAAACCCATCTTTGCTAGGCACTCTTCCAGATGCTAGGAATAAAGCACAGTAACAGGACAGAAAGTGCCTTTGGGTTTAGGGGACCCTTGACATATGGAAGCCCTCTCTGAGGAGTTGGTAGTAAGCAGAGACCTAAATCACTCAGCCAAACAAAATTGGAAGTGTAAATTGGGAACACAAATTTCATTTGTGTCTGGAAGGAGAAAGTTTCAGGCACAAACATAGAAACCCAAGGTAGGAATGGCCTTGGTGTGTTGAAAGAGAAGTAAATGTGGCTATCCTAGGGTGAGGAAGTTAAAGAAGGGTTCCAAACATAGGTCCTGGAAGTCCTCATAGGTCAGAATGAAAATTGTGGATTCACCTTTAGACGTGGTAGCAGCCGTTTGAGGTTTGGGAATAGGGGAAACGTATGAGAGACTAAGTTTATGTTTTAAGGACTACACTTGCTGCAGCCTAAAGAATAGACTAAAATAAATTAGTGCACACACAGGGACATGAGTTAGGAGAAAACTGAAGCAAGTCAGAAGCCCTCCCCTATCTATCTGAGATTCAATTATTGGTATTTATGGGAAGATTGATATACTAAATTAACTGAAGACTGGAAACTCCAAAAACCTAGTTTTGATATCACTGAGCTTTGTGACTTTATTTGGTTATTTGTTTAATATTCCTTGAGAGAGTTGATAAATTCCAAAATCTTTAAGGTCTCAGCTCCACTTATCAGTAAAATATGATAGTTATGCTCCCTTCCATATGCAATGGTGGCAAGATCAAAGGAGGTAATGTGTAATAAAAGCACCGGGTAAACCATAAACTTCAAAGCATGATGCTTTATAAATGTTGGGCATTATTATGCATAACTATTGGTCTTGATTTGATTTTCAGTTAAAAAAAACCCTGTTTTCTCTAGATTGGTCAAAGAGGAGCCAAGCAACATTCCAGATTACTTGAAATCTTGCTAACTAGTACCCCTAGTAAAGTAGGTAGACTCAGAAGATGACCATTTGAGATTTTTTTCTAGAAAGTGAGTTCTTCCTTGAAATTCAAGAGGCATAAAATTGACCTATTTGAAATACTTATAGCTGTTGGGGTAGCTTTTAAAAATGTCTCTGTGAAATGTCAGAGTTGTCATTATGAAAGTGAGCCATGGTGGTTTAGTAGACTATGACAAAGCTGCATCTCGGGATATGAACACACCCATGCATAGTGGATATTATTCCTGGGCACCCTGACCTCTTATTGAGACCAGCTGAAAAGAAAAAGGATATGGTGCTTTGATTTTTGTAGAATTTAATCTGACCCTTTTTTTAGTGAATGGAAAACCAACCAGATATCTCCCACAATCTCCCTGTCTTTTATTTTATTTATTGCCCAGCCTCCTTTTTTCCATTATATTGAAAATATTAAGGCCTATAGAAAATATTAAGGCCTAGAATTGACTTGACTAGACAAGGAGTTCTAGTCTGTCCTTGTGAGTTTTAGTCTATTAGGGTCCTTTGCTCTGTATTGACTAATTGTTTTCTTATGATTAGATTCAGTTACTCTCCAAGCTCTTCACTCAAATCTTGCCAAGATTTTCTGAGGGATGACTCCACAACCAAAACCTTTCTTTTCAGAAGCAAATGGAGGTGAGGAAGGGTAAAAGGAGAAATCCCTTTTGAAAATGTTGCCCTTCATTCCCAAAAAGACTTTTTCAGCTAGCATCACAGCACATTATTTATAATCACAACTGGCATTTATAAATACTTAGATTTTACAAAATTTTTAACATATATTATCTGTTAAAAAATACTCTCTCTCACACAAACACACTCACACAAAATGAAAGATCTAACATCATTTTGTGATGCAGAAACTGAAGTACATATACAAAAGTATATCATAGAACCAGGAAATTAACCTTTCAATTTTAATTCCAATTTTTTTCTACTGATTCATAGTTGCTTAGAAAAAGTGTTAGTATAATCTTGCAAATGTATACCTACAAGTAATTTAATAATTTACATACAGGCATATCTGCCCTGATGGAGATTAGGCACGTAGAGGAAAAGAGAGTTCGGAAGCTGGTTGTGCCTGAGTTAGAATCCCCATGCTCTTTCGCTTACTAGCCCTTCAACAAGTGCTTATTTATTCAACAAATATTTATTGATCATATATCAAGTGACAGACAATGTCCTAGAAAAATGTGTTAGAGGCCGGGTGCGACGGCTCATGCCTGTAATCCCAGCACTTTGGGAGGCCGATGTGGGTGGATCACGAGGTCAGGAGATCGAGACCATCCTGGCTAACACGGTGAAATCCCCTCTCTACTAAAAATACAAAAAAAAAAAAAAAAATTAACCGGGCGTGGTGGCAGTCACCTGTAGTCCCTGCTACTCGGGAGGCTGAGGCAGGAGAATGCGTGAACCCAGGAGGCAGAGTTCGCAGTGAGCCGAGATTGCGCCACTGCACTCCAGCCTGGGCGACAGAGCAAGACTCTATCTCAAAAGAAGAAAAAAAGAAAAAGAAAAAGAAAAATGTGTTAGAAATGGCTGTTTTTCATGGTCTGGATGAGAAAACCAGGAAAGAGAGGCAGATACCTAAGTTTACAAAGTGAAGTTAGAAGAAGAGATACATATAAATTCTATTTTAATTATCTGTCTCTTATGTCAAACTGTGCTCTTACTGGTAATAAGTATACTAATTTTATTTGTTTAAAGAACATTACTTTTGTAAAATATTATTTCTAGAGAAGAGCTTATAATTTATTTAAATAAAGATATATCCCAAATGGATAATATAGGTTGTGAGATGTTTGAACCCAGCTGTTGGATGTTCAAAAATCTATAATACTGATATCTAAAGAAGCCTAGAGAACAAACAATACAACTGGACAGAATTTAGAGAAATAAGGCAGGAAATAAAAAGGGTATTTTTAACAGAAAATATATTAGGGGTGACTAATAACTTGTGCATGCACATTCAGAACATTGCAAATATTACACATGTACAAAGGAATTATTGCTAAAGAAAAGTAAAAGCTATAGAAACCCATGTAAAATACATGCAAGAATTATTCTTCATAAATTAAAGATGTCAAACACCAAGAAATGGGAAATAAATTGTAAAATTATGTTGATAAAATATTCCACATTATAATCAAAGAAAGTACAAAAAAGTTAAATGTGGTTAATTAAATAGTAAAATCAAGATGTGACATATGCCAACATAAAGTAAATTAAATAGTAAGTTTTATCTCCCAAAAAACTGAAAACAACTTATTGAAGAGAATTAGTTAAATAGTCCTTAAGAGAAATGATGGCATTTGTCAGAGTACTTTTCAACTGACCATTTAAAAAAAAATTTTTTTTTTTTTGAGACGGAGTCTTGCTCTGTCGCCCAGGCTAGAGTGCAGTGGCACGATCTCGGCTCACTGCAAGCTCCCTCTCCTGGGTTCAAGCCATTCTCCTGCCTCAGCCTCCCGAGTAGCTGGGACTACAGGCACCCGCCACCACGCCCTGTTAATTTTTTTTTTTTTTTTTTGTATTTTTAATAGAGAGGGGATTTCAACGTGTTAGCCAGGATGGTCTCGATCTCCTGACCTCGTGATCCACCCGCTTCGGCCTCTAAAGTGCTGGGATTACAGGCATGAGCCACCGGGCCCGGCCTCAACTGATCATTTAATGTTTAAATATTTTTATATTTAATGCACATTAATGGTATGTTTATTTTCTTGGATATAAAGCTGTGTGTCAAAGATTTTTAAAACTTACTATATAAGTATATGTAAGTAGTTAATAGAAAACATCATTTTTGTTGTTTTTGCAGCATCGTTTTCCACATGTGTAGTTTAGCATTTTTTTGAATTAAAGAGGTAGCACAGATAAAATGCACACACCGAGATTTAATAATAATGTATTCTTTCCCCACTGTGTATGTTACCAGACCCATGAATCATCTATGTTTATTTCTATACAAGGAAACACCTATGATTCAAGTCCATTAAAAGTGGTCAACAGAAAAAAAAATTTAGGGTGAAGAAATAACATTTTGAATTGTACATATTTCTATTCCCATAACACCTCAGAATTTGGGCACAATCTACAAATAAATAGATGGATAGAGGCAGATTATGATAGAAAGATGATAGATGATAGATAGATAGATAGACAGACAGACAGATAGAACAGCCTGAATATTATGTGAAACATTATATATAAAAATAACTATTTCTAGATAATCATAAGGGGTTTTAAACTATTTGGCAAAATGTGACCATTCAAATATTTTTTAAGTTAATAGAATAAAAGTTTCCAGTATTTACCAATTATAATATAATTAAATAATGTCCTGGATACCTTAGAAAGTCAACCCTTGAATTATCCTGACTTCTTATAGTATGTTCTAGGTATCTAGCTTTTTAGTTTAGGAACTCTGTCATCCTTATCTACAATGTCTTCTTTTGTATTTTTCCCTAGAATACAGAATAAAATGCTTTTCTCCAGTTTTTGTAATTATGTCAATACAATGTATCCCACAAACCCATCATTTGGGTCTTGCTATTGAAACTTTTATTCCAAATGTCTTTGCCTTCCCTGCAAGATTAAAACAAAAATCAATTTATTCTAAAAGAGGATTTGCCTAAGACCAGAAAGTTATTGCTTTGCTTAGAAAATGTTTTCTATTCCTTTTTGGTTTTTTGTCTTATTTGGAATTGTGTGACTGATGTAACCTTGCAGGATCGCAGCCAAGCTAATGAAACATTTTTATTATAATAATAGCTAACATTTATTTAGTGAATGTGCATTATGCCAACTCTTTCCAAATACTTGACTTTTAGCATCTCATTTAATCCACACAATAATTTGATGAGGATGGGTAACAATGAGATCCATTTAATACATAGAAAAATGAGGCATACTGCGGGGTTAGCACCATGTTCAGGATCACTTATGTACTGTGGGTAGAGCCAAAATATGAACGCAGGTAGCCTGGTGCCAGGTCTCACTGCAGCTTTTCTATGATATGGATTGAAGCCAAGTTTTAGGCAGCATTTAGTAATTATCAGCTTTTGCTCTCAATCTAGCCTTTTATATTAGTTTTATATAATTCTCAAGCCCTTAAGAAAATGAATAGAAGTCACATATTAGTCATGAATCATGTTTGGGAAAAGGGAACCACAACAGAGCTTGATAGCGATGCATTTCATTTCAGTTCTTTTATAAAAATCAGTGTGTGACGCCATTCTTTCCCGTCCTGCCTTTTTTTTTTTTTTTTTTTTTTTTTTTTTTTTGACGGAGTTTCGCTGTTGTTGCCCAGGCTGGAGTCCAATGGCGCGATCTCGGCGCACCGCAACCTCCGCCTCCCGGGTTCAAGCAATTCTCTTGCCTCAGCCTTCCGAGTAGCTGGGATTACAGGCATGCGCCACCACGTCTGGCTAATTTTGTATTTTTTTTTAGTAGGGACGGGGTTTCTCCACATTGGTCAGACTGGTCTTGAACTCCAGACCTCAAGTGATCCACCCGCCTTGGCCTCCCAAAGTACTGGGATCTGTTCTGCCTTTTCACCTTCCACCATGACAGCTCTTTCTCTGTCTTCTGCAGACTCATCTTCTACGCGTCATTCAAATATTGGTGGTCTACAGCAGCGGTCCCCAAACTTCTTGGTACCAGGGCCAGTTTTGTGGAAGACAATTTTCCTAAATACCAGAAAGAGGAAAAGCTGGGGTTTGGTTTCAGGATGAAACTTCCACCTCAGATCATCAGGTTAGATTCTCCTAAGTAGAGCGCACGTTGGATCCCTCGCATGCGCAGTTCACAATAGGTTCACGCTCCTGTGATAATCTGCTCCCTCGCCTGCCCACCCACCCGCCAGTACCCCTGGTCTAGAGGATCTTTGGCTCAGGACCTTTCTCCATAAATTTCCAAGTGATATGACCAGTGGGCACCAAAGACTACCTGTGTGCATTAGTGGCTTCCAAATCCTCTCGTCTAGACCATGCTTATCTTGTGAGCTCTGGATTAATATATATCATTGTTTCTTTAAGAGTTATTCTAAGATCTTCTACAGGAATAAAATGCCAAAATTAAACTCGCCCGTGTTCTCCCTATTCAAACTGTCTTTTCTTCCCATTTTTCTTTTTTAAATTAATTATCCTCTCCATTAGCATATAACCCCAGAGAAAAGCTACCCGTCTACTTTGTTGCTTCTTTTACCGCCCTTCCCAGTCATATTCTTCTAGTTACAAAGTACGTAGATTTTACTTACCAAATTCTGTTTAAATGTGCTCCCTCCTTCTCATTCCTTGTTTTACTCATTTACCTTGTCTTCATATTCTGATATGTCAATTGTGTAACAGACCCTAAATGGTCTTAGTTTTCTTTTCTCAACTGGTTTCATTTTCACCTTAAAACAAGGTATCCCTTTACAAAACAAAGAAAAACCAAAACACATTCTTGACGTTGTTGCATGTCAATGTCTACTCATTCCACGTATCCACGGAAGATGTCCTGGCTCTCTAATGAGGCATACAAAGTCGTCTCATAACATTCTTTGTTTTTTTTTTTGTTTTTTTGTTTGTTTTTTTTTTTGAGACGGATTCTTGCTCAGTCGCCTAGGCTGGAGTGCAGTGGCGCGATCTCGGCTCACTGCAAGCTCCGCCTCCCGGGTTCATGCCATTCTCCTGCCTCGGCCTCCTGAGTAGCTGGGACTACAGACGCCCGCCACCGTGCCTGGCTAATTTTTGTTTTTGTATTTTTAGTAGAGACGGGGTTTCACCGTGTTAGCCAGGATGGTCTCAATCTCCTGACCTCGTGATCTGCCCGCCTTGGCCTCCGAAAGTGCTGGGATTACAGGCTTGAGACACTGCGCCCGGCTGTCTCATAACATTGCTAACCAACCTCCTTTACACTTTCTCCCCTCACATGACACCATAGCCACATACCATACCATATTCTCTCCCCTGTATATAACACTTCTTACTTATTTTTTTAAAAAAAGCTGGTATCCAATCTCTTGGAGCTCTCTTTCCCCATATACTTAGAATAATCCTACATTTCTACTCATCATATAAGTTGTAATCCCTCAACAACAAAAAAATGACCATCAGCAGGAAAAATATTCCTTTTTTTTTTCTCTGTGATAGCACTTTGTTTTCCATCTACTGCTGGAAATGAGTTGTTGAATTTTATTTTTCTTAATTTATTGATTTTCCAACCTAAATTCCAAGTTAAAAAATATAGTATTAGCTGCACAGGCCATGTAAAAAACTTCCCCTGTAAAATTGCTTGGTACACAGTAAACATGCAACAAATGCTACTAAGCTAATAAATGATTGAATAGTGGAGAACAATTATAAGATTTATATGGAATTGGCATATATTCAATGTTTATCTCAGAAAGGGATAATATACAGTATAAGACATCTAGTTTGATGCCATAAAACCTAAAGGAAGGACACTGGCATTAATGCAAAAGTAATAATTCATTTGTATAGTAGCAAACAAATGCCACATGGTTATAGAATTCTTATTACTGTACTAAAAAAGACTTGCAGGCATTAATTTTCACAATACAGATCTATGACAAAACAATGACATTTCAAGGTCAAAAATGCTAATTCATTCCTGGGCAAATGCAAGAATGCCTTATTGGAAAGAAGTTGGAATAATTAATGTTGCAGATAAAGTACCTGACATTTGATTAATAAAATCAGAATATCAGATTAAAGCAAAGGTTAGTTAAAAAAAAAAAAACAAGCTTTTTTTTTCTCCTTAAGATGACTGTTACAACCATGTTTGATGCCAATGTATTTGTCCAAACTAATTTCTCTACATTATTCTGCCTAGGGATTTTGTTTAATTTCTCTCAAAATTCAAACAGTGTTTTTCAAACTTTAGCATACATATGAATTACTTGGGAATCTTGCTAATAATATAGTCTCTGATTTAGTAGGTTTGGAGTGGGGCCCATGATGTTTCTGCTTATCTAGCAAGCTCCAAGGTGATTCCAATGCTTTTGGTCTGTGCACCATACTTTGAATGAAGAGTTTAGGGCAGTACTTCCAAATTTTGTTGTACCTTGGAATAGCCAGGGGATCTTTAAAAACAACTGATGCCTAGTTTTCTCTGCCATACACTCTGATTTAATTGGTATGGGATGCTACCTAAGCACTGAAATTTTTTTAAAAATCCCAAATGTTTCTAAGAGACAGCAAATGTAGGGAGCTATCAGCTTAGGGGATATTTAAAACTATTACATACTTATTTTCTCCCAAAATGTAAGGTAATAATCTATTCTAATAAAGGTCTTTTAATTACTTATATTCAGTTATTATAAATACAAAATATAGCTATTTTATTAGTTATATTTGTAAATTATTTGTGAATTCATATTTGGATAAAAGTATAATATATACATTAATTCATATTTTACCAAAAATCTACGTAATTGATAAAAATAAATACTATGTTGTTACTCTTTCTAGTGAATGTACAAGGGGAATATATGCTAACTAATAAATACAGTGGCTTAAGAATACTATAAATTTGCACAGACATATGCATACACACAGCTATTTACTGATGTATATAGCACTTAGGAGTCAGATAATGACTTAAGTCCTTTACATATAAACTCACACCAACCTTATGAAATAGGTACTGTTACTATCCTCATTTAAGGGTATTGAAACAGACACAGAGAGGTATTTTGGCTAAGTGACACAACCAGCAAGAGGCGGAACTGAGATTTTAACTCAAGGGTCTCTCAGGTTCAGTACAATAGGCTGCTCTATGATGTTATCTTTCTATAATTCATTTTGATGATCTGTCGGGTGGGTTTGATACTTCTTCTTTTTAATGTAGTGTCCCTTTGAAAGTATTTCATAAAGATGATGATGATATATAGTTACTTGCAATAAGAAAAGAGTTGATTGTATCTTACATGACTTTGTATAGGCTCTGGATGTAAACAGTTTAGCTCTGGGAAAGATGTTTTAGTGAAATTATGATGGGAGGTAGAATGAATTTGTAGAATCTGCCTAAATGGAATTGTTAGAGTTTGTTGTTAGAGATCATTTCTTTTTCAACAGAAACTAATGTCATTGATGTTTCCAATGGGAAAGGTGTTTTAGTGAAATCATGATGGGAGGTAGAATGAATTTGTAGAATCTGCCTGAATGGACTTTAGTTAGAGTTTGTTGTTAGAGATCATTTCTTTTTCAATAGAAACTAATGTCATTGATGTTTCCAATGGTGAGGCAAACCAAGGTTTATAGTACCTTTATATAAATTAGCCAAATTATCTAATATTGAAAGAGTGTTTAAAAATGGCAGCAAAGGGCAAAATTAATTTCAAATGTTAAAATACTCAAAAATTGTTTTCTACTGTGAAATGATCGTGTGTGTGTGCGTGTGTGTGTGTGTTTCTACTCATTTATTTTTGTGGGAACTGTATCAATCTCTTTTAAAAGTAAATGATGACCAAAAGAATTCTAGAGGGTCTGTTTTGGTAAACAGCAGCTGTCTTCAAAACTCAGTTCCTCCCACATTATTCATCTAAAATTCTGGATTATCAGTCATTGATTGGAAATTATAGAAGTGGGCATTCCTTGCTCTTATATCAGATGGATGTCAGGCAGTAACAGCCTTACTTGCTACCCACCTACCATGTGCTTCTCCATGCTACTTCAAACTTGAGTGTAAGAATTGTTTCAGAAGGAGTTGACTAGAGTAGCCTGCAGGAAAGCTGCTGAGGAAACTCTGGGATGTGTTGGGAAGCCAATATGCTTCTCCCACAAAGTTTTAGTTAATGGGAGTATCTTATTATGGCTAGAAAATACTGTATCTCTGAGATGCTTCCAATTAAATCTCTATAAGGCTGAGATTGTGAACATCAGATCATGGCTGGGATTCAGGTAATATATGTTTATATGAGCATTTGAAGAGGGATAGATCTATGACATTTTATTTCATGCTTAAACACATATGGGAATCACAAAATTTTAAGAACCAGCATTTTACAGGTATAACTGCATTGCAGTGTAATTTTACAGACAGAGAACTTGAATGATAAGAAAATAAAATGACTAATTCTGATACTTTCTTTTTCTTTCCTGCTTTATGCTTTAGTTGTGAACCTACATATTGCCATAAAATGTGGAAAGTTAATATCTTTCACTCAAAACATTTGCATGAATACTTATAACCTTAAGGCAATTGTCTAGTTGATTAGTGTGAACATAGCCAGAGAACCTTATAAAAAAGTAAGCTTTCCCACCACAGAGACCCTTTAAATCTTCTGTTCCCTGTCATTTCTTATGTTTGCTATTCTTCTAAAGCTGTTTTATTTTTTTTCTCAACCAAATACAGTTTTGTTTTGTGGAAAAAATTACTTTAATGCTAAAAGTCCAAAATATGTTTGCTCATAACTGTTACTGTATTTCAAAAGAAGTCATCAATATGTTTCATATTTGTACCACTATGGTCACCCAACAGGGTTTAATACTACACAGCAGGGATTTTCTCTGAGACAGTGCAGATATGGCCACTCTTTCCAACAAGTGAAAGTGGACACAACTGTGGGTAAAAAGTGAGGTGAGCAAATTGCTATTATGATTAATATTTACTGTGCTTTCTGTTCTCTTCTTTCTATAAAGCATGAGTACAAGAAAGGTCAATTGAGGACATATCAAAATATCTAGACAAAGCCAAACTGGTCATCCATAAATAAACAATAAATTAGAAATTGAATGTAAACCCTTTAATGCAGGTTTTAAATAAAGTTTGCAAGCCAGCATTTATATCTTGATATCATGAAACCAACACCTTGACCATATAAAGAACTTTTAAAAATATTTTAATGATAAAAATAAATGTAAACGTAGTTTGAGGGGGTATTCACTCATATTTAATTCCTATATTTAATTACATCTGTATAAAATGTGAAGACCTACTCTCAGAAAATATTTGAATACATTAGTTAAACAAGACAAATGTACTTGGCTTTCAGAACTTCTGACTGGAAATCATTTAGAATGTTTGATAAAGCTAAATCACTTTAATGTTGTATTTCACTAAACTTTAAACTTTTAAATTCTAATCAATGTTTTTTGTTAAAAACAAAAAATAGATATTGCAATCAAATTAAAGATTCTATCTTTTACAGAAGCACTAAGGAACATTACACTCTCATGATGTCACCTTCAGGTCAACCTCAGTTTCCAGGATGCAGTCCTGAAGTGTGCTTATCAATCAGCTCTCATTCTGCTGGCAACACATCACATACATTTAATATTCTACATTAAAAAAACATTTTATTAAGATATTATTGACATTAAAAGTTGACTATAAATATATACAATGTATACAACTTGATGAGTTTGAAGATTAGTAAACACCCAGGAAGTTGTCACCACCGTCAAATCCATAAACACATTCATTACCTCCAAAAGATTCCTCCTACCCTCCTTGTTCTTTCTTCTTATTATTATTATTATTGGTGTGATAAGAACACTTAGCATAAGATCTACACTCTTTGCAAATATTTAAGTATACAATACACATTGTTAACTGTAAGCACTCTGCTATACAGAAGAACCCTGGAACCTACTCATCTTCTATAACTGAGACTTTCTACCCTTTGGTTACACCTCCCCATTTCCACCTCCCCCGGCCCTGGATACTTCTGTTCTACTCTCTGCTTCTATGAGTTTGACTTTTTCATATTTCTTGTATAAGTGGGATAGGAGTATTTGTCTTTTTTATGTCTGGCTTATTTCCCTAAGCATAATGTCCTCTGGTTCATCCACATCATTGCAAATGGCAAGATTTCCTTTTTCAAGGCTGAATAACATTCCATTTTATGTATTTATCATATTTTCTTTATCCATTTTTCTATTGATGGAAATGGAGGTTGCTTCCATGCTTTTGATATTATAAACAATGTTTTAATAAACATGAGAGTGCAGATAATCTCTTTGAAATTCTGATTTCAATTCCTTTGTCCCTGTACACTTTCCTTAGAGGATACTGCAGGTTTGTTTCTAGACAACTACAATAAAGTGAATATCACAATAAAGTGAATCCCACAAATGTTTTGGTTTTCCTGTGCATATGGAAGTTATGTTTATACCATACTGTAGTCTACTTAGTGAGCAATAGCTTTATATCTAAAAATTAAATACCCTGATTAAAAATATTTTATTACTAAAACAATGCTAACAATCATCTGAATCTTTAGTGAATTATAATCTTTTTTGCAGACCACTGGGTCTTGCCTCAATGTTGATGGTTGCTGACTTATGAGGGCAATGGTTGTTGAAGGTTGAGGTGGCTGTGGTAATTTCTTAAAATAAGACAGCAACGAAGCTAGCCACATCGATTGACACTTACTCTAACAAAAAATTTCTCTGTGTTATGCAATGCTGACCGATACTATTTTACCCACAATAAAACTCTTTCAAAATTGAAGTTAATCTTCTTAAGTCTGCCACTGCTTTATCAACTAAGTTTGTGTAATAATCTAAATCCTTTCTTGTCATTTCAACGGTGTTCACAGCATCTTTACTAAAAGTATATTCCATCTTAAGAAACCACTTTATTTGTTTATCAAGAGAAGCAGATCATCTTGTAAAGATTTGTCATGAGATTGTAGTAATTCAGTCACATCTTCAGGCTCCACTTCTAATTCTATTTCTTTTGCTATTTCTACCACATCTGCAGTGACATCTTCCACTGAAACCTTGAGCTTCTCAAAGTAATCTATGAGGGCTGGAATCAGCTTCTTCCAAACTCCTGTTAATGTTGATATTTTGGTTTCCACCCACGAATCACAAATGTTCTTAATGGCACCTAGAATGGTGGATTCTTTCCAGAAAGCTTTCAATTTACTTTCCCAAGATCCATCAGGGAAATCACTATCTATGGGAGCTATAGTCTTACAAAATTTATTTCTTAAAAAAAAAAACACTTAAAAATCAAAATGGCTCTTTGATCCATGGACTACAAAGTGATGTTTTGTTAGCAGGCATGAAAACTACATTAATCTCCCTGTAGATCTCTGTCAGACCACTTGGGTAGCCAGTGCATTTTCAATGAGCAGTACTATCTTAAAAGGAATCTTTTTTTCTAAACAGTAAGTCTCAAAAATGGGCTTAAATTATTTAGTAAACCATGCTGTAAGCAGACCTGCTGCCATCCAGGCTCTGTTGTTCCATTTTATATAGAGCACAAGCAGAGTAGGTTTAGCTTAATTCTTAGGGGTATGCCTGCATAACCAAGTTCTATTTTTAATTATTTGAGGAATCTTCATACTGCTTTCCATAGTGGTCACATCAATTTACATTCTCCCCAACAGTGTACAAGGCTTCCCTTTTCTCTACCTCCTTGCTAATACTTGTTATCTTTTGTGTTTTTTTAATAGTAGCCATCCTAACACATGTGACGTAAAATTTCATTGTGGTTTTGATTTGCATTCCCTTGGTGATTAGAAGTGTTGAGGATCTTTTCATATACCTTTTGGCCATTCATATGTTTTCTTGAAAAATTATATATTGAGATCTTCTGTCCATTTTTTAATTGGTATTTTTTTGTTTATTTGTCTTTTGCTATAGAGTTGTAGCAGTTCCTTATATATTTTGGATATTAACTCTTTATCTGATATACGGTGCCTTAGTAAGTTTGGGCTGCTTTAACAAAATACTATAGCCTAAGTAGCTTATAAAAAACAGAAATTTATTTGCCAAAGATCTGGAGGCTAGAAGTTTGAGATTAGGATGCCAATATGGTAGGTTTGGTGAGGGCCCTTTTTTGGGGTGGTATCCTCATCTGGTAGAAAGAGGGCAAGAGAGCTCTCTGAAGTCCCTTCGAAAAGTAAAATAATCCCATTCACAAGGGCAAAGCTTCCCAAAGGCCTCACTTTCTAGTATCATCACACGGGCAATTAGCATTTCAACATGTGAATTTTGAGAGGACACAAATATTTGCATATGGTTACCAAGTATTTTATTACATTACATAGGTTGACTTTTCATTCTTTTGTTTTCTTTGTTGCACAAAAAACCCCAATTGTCTATTTTTGCTTTTGTTACTTGTGTTTTTGGTGTCATATCCAAGAAATCATCGCCAGAGCCAATGTTAAAGTTTTTCCCTGTGTGCGTGTTTTTTTTCTAGGAGCTTATGGTCATCTTTTAAGTTTAAATCTAATTCACTGTGAGTTGATATTTATGTGTGGTGCAACGTAAGCATCCGACTTGATTTTATTTTTTGCATATGGATATCCAGTTTTCACAGCACTGCTTGTTACCCTCAGCAAAGAACAGTTGTCTGTAAATTCATGGGTTTATGTCTAGGCTCTCTGTTCTGTTCTATTGGTCAACATATGGTCATATATCACTTAACTGCAGGGAAGGGATACATTCTGAGAAATGCATTATTACATGATTTCATCATTGTGCAAACACTATAGAGTGTAGTTACAGAAACCTAGATGGTATAGCTTACTACACACCTAGGCTATAAGGTATAGCTTTTTGCTCCTAGCCAACAAACGTGTAGCATATTACTGGATACTGAATATTATAGACAATTGTGTAACACAATGGTAATCATTTGTGTATCTACATATATCTAAACATAGAAAAAGTACAGTAAAAATATTGCATCATACTCTCATGGAACCATCATCATTTATGCCATCAGTCATTGATGAAAACATCATTATACAATTTGTGACTATATCTCTTTTTATGATAGTATCATGCTGTTTTGATTATTGTAGCTTTGTAATATATTTTGTAATCAGGAAGTGTGATATCTCTAGCTGTGTTCTTATGATTCAAATTTGCTTTGGTCATTTGAGATCCATACTGGTGGAGTCTAATTATTCAAAACTAGGGAAAACAGACAAACAGAAAAAACTAAGACCAAGTTAGCAGAAGAAAGACAATAACAAAGGTTAGATCAAAAATAAATAATATAGAGAATGAAAAAATTAGAAAAAGTGGACAAAACTACAATGTACTTTTTTGAAAAGACAAACAAAATTAACAAACCCTTACCTTGACTAAAAAAAGAGACTCAAATAAATAAAATTGGAAATGAGACAGGAGACATTACAATTGATGTTAACAAAAAGATCATAAGGTACTATTATGAACAACTATACACCAATAAATTGGACAACCTAGAAAAAAAATGGATAAATTCCTAGAAATACACAGTCTATCAAACTGAAACAAGAAGAAATAGAAAGCCTGAACATACCAGTAACAACCAAGGAGACTGAGTAAATAATCAAAAACCTCCCAAGAAGAAGAGTCTAGGACCAGAAGTCTTCACAAATGAATTCTACCAAACATTTAAAGTATTAATGCCAATCATTCATTCTTATACTCTTCCAAAAAGAAAGAGGGAATATTTTCAAACTCATTTTATGAGGCCAGCATTATTCTGATACCAAAACTACGCAAAAATACTACAAGAACATAAAAACTACAAATGTGGGAATTATCATGTATACATATGCAAAAATCCTCAGTAAAATCCTAGCAAACTAAATTCAACAGTACATTAAAAAGATCATATAGCATGACCAGTGAAATTTCTCCTTAGGACGCAAGGATAAGTCAACATATAAAATTGAATGTGATATACCACTTTAACAAAATGAAGGATAAAAATCATATGATCATCTGAATAGATGCAGAAAAAGCATATAACAAACTTTGACGTTGTTGAGAAATTGAAAGCTTTTCTCTAAGATCAAGAACAAAGCAAGGATGCCCATTCTTGCTTCTATTCAGCATAGTGCTTGAAGTCCTAGTCTGGACAATTGGGCAAAAATAAATAAATAAATAAATAGATAAATAAATAAATAAATATAAATAAATAAATAAAATCCACCAAATTGGAAAGGAAGAAGTGAAATTACCTCTGTTTGTAGATGAGCTGATCTCATGTGTAGACAACCTTAAAGATTCCACAAAAACAAACAAACACACAAACAAACAAAATAGCTAGAGCAAAGAAATGAATTCAGTACAGTTGCAGAATGCAAAATCAGTATACAAAAAGTACTTGTAATTCTATATAATAGCAACAAACTATTTCATAAGGAAATTAAGGAAACAATCCCCATTACAATAGCATCATAAATAATAAATCTTAAGAACAAATTTAACCAAGGAGGTGAAAGACTTGTGTACTGAAAACTATAAAATGCTGATAAAAAAATTAAAGAAGATACAATAAATGGAAGATATTCCATGCCATGGTTTGGAAGAATTAATATTGCTAAATGTACATACTACCCAAAACAACCTGTAGAGTCAATGCAATCCCTATCAAAATACCAATATTTTTTTTTTTACAGAAATGAAAACACAATCTTAACACTATTTAAACCAATTAAACAAACCTATGATTTCAATTTGGTCAAATGTGTTAGAATGGATTTCCTTTTATTGTTTTGAACTTGTCTCTTCCAAATTTCAAAGCCTGGTTCCTAATTTTTACTTGAAATACCAAATAACAAACCCACTTAATGAGCTCTGAGCCAGTTTTAGTAGCCAAACTTGTATTTAAATAGTGTGTTACATATTTGCACAAAAAGCCAACGGAGTCTAAATCAACACTAATTCACATCATTACTAGCAATCTAAAACATCAGATGATAATTTTGCTGTTGTCTTTCAGGCAAGATATTCAACCATTGGTATTAAATGTTTTATATGAATGTGCGGTGTTTTATTTCAGAAACACTTCTCTGAATTCCCAAGGCCTAAGAGCTATTCATCATAGAGGTTTGTGGAGGCGGTAGTTAGACATTTTCTACATGCATAATGTTAATTCATTCAAACATTATAGAAAAAAAGTTTGTAAAGAAGTTAATTTTCAAGGTGACAAAAAAATCAGATTGAATCATGTTTATTTTATTTCAATTTAAACTCGTTGGCTATCTTAGGAAATTCACATTGTTTTTGAAGAATATATGAACAAAGTTTGATTCATCTTATCTATATAAGCATGAGAGAAATACCTAGATGAGAGTGAAAAATGACTAATTTTGTGACCATTGTTATATCATAGATTAACTTGTTCTCTTCTACTTCTAAGCTGTGTGATCTTGAAAAGTCATCTAAACTTCAGGTACCATCCTCACTTGCAAAATGAGGGGAAAAACCCCAGCACCTTTAATATGGTGTTATGTGGATGAAATAAGTTAATATATATTAAGTGCTTAGGTTTCATGCACTTTCTATATAGTATTAATAATATTATTGTTACATTATTATAGTTACATTATTATTTTTATTAATATTATTGGAACATGAATGGAATTGTTGTGGCTCATTTTAAAGATGCTGCAATGGAGACCAAGAGAAATTAAGTATAATAATCCTAGTTAAGGTACAGCCATTTCTAATTACATTTTCCAACTGCTGCTTTTACTCCTAGCACTCACACCAATTCTTCTCATAATCTAATAAATACTGAAATTTAAAACTTATAAAGAACACATAATAATCTTATTTAATTATCACAACAATTTCTGTGGAGTTACTATTAATCCAGAGATGAAGAATCTAAAACTCTAAATTATCAAGCAACTATTCCAGCTTTAAACAACAGTAAAACTGGAATTAAAACTAGAGTTTCTTTATGAGGCCAGTATTACTCTTATACTAAAGCAAGACAACTGTCTCTCTCTCACTCTCTCTTTCTCTCTCTCTGAGACACACACACACACACACAAGCACACACACACACACACCAGATCAATATAACTTATGGATGTTGATGCAAAAATTTTCAAAAAATTAATAGCAAATCGAATCCAGCAGTATTTTAAAGGACTATACACCATGGACAAATGGGGTTTATTCCTGGGATATAAAGTTGGCTAAACTTAATGAAAATCAACCAGTGCAATAAATAATAGTAATTAAAAAAACATAATTATCTCACTAGATGTACAAAAAATGACAAGATCCAACATGTTTTCAATATAAAAGCATTCCACAGACTAGGAATAGAAGGGAACTTCCTCAACTTTACAAAGAACATCTACAACGAAACCACAGCTAACATCATATTTAATGGTGGAAGACTGAAATCTCTGAATATTTTCCCCTAAGATCAGAAAAAGACAAAGAGGTCTACTAATTCTATTCAACATTGGAAAGATAGTTCTAGTCAATTAATCATTAAAAAAAGGCATTTAGATTAGAAAGGAAGTAAAATTACCTCTGGCAGATGACATAATCTTATACATGGAGAACTCCTAGAGATTACATACACACTCACAACTACCAGAGTTAATAAATGGGTTCTACAAAGTTGCAGGATACAATATCAATTCTCAAAAAACACTTGTATTTCTATACACTAGCAAATAACTCTGAAAATGAAAATAACAAAACAATTCCACTTGCAAGAGCATCAAAAAAGCATGAAAATCTTAGGAAGGAATTTACCAAGAATGTACAAGTTTTATGTACTGAAAAATAAAAAATGTCATTAAAAATAGTTAAAGAGAATCTAAGCACATTGCAGTTTTCTGACTCCAGGCCCGGGCTCTTGGATGGCATCTCTGGATCCACTCAGGACCAGGGAGAACTTGTTGCCCTGAAGGGAAGGACACAAGTCTGACTGGCTTTACCACCTGCTGATTGTAGAAGCCTAGGGCCTTCAGGGAACACAGGTGGTAGCCAGATAGCAGTTACCATGGGCATTAGGCATGACCCAGTGCTATGTTGGCTTCTAGTTTGACCCAGCACAGCCCAAGGGTGGTAACCACATGGGTGCTTGTGTCACCCCTCCTTAAGTTCCAGGCAGCCAGCAAAGAGAGAGTGACTCTGTTTGGGAGAAAGTAAGGGAAGAGAATAAAAGTCTCTGTTGGTAATACAAGGAATTCTTCCAGATCTTATCCAAGACCTCTATGAATCTGCAACAGCCAAAGCATTATTAGTTTTCAGGTTTCCCCAGTGCAGATATGACTGCAATGATCAAAAACTTAGATTATAACACTCAAGTCCCATTTGATACCTGAAAAGCTTTCCAAGAAAGATAGGCACAAACAAGTTTGGACTGGGAGGACTACAATAAATACCTAACTTCTCAATGCCCAGAAACTGATGAACATCCACAAGCTTTAAGACCATCCAGGAGGTGGCTGGCAAGATGGCTGAATAGGAACAGCTCTGGTCTGCAGCTCCCAGTGAGATCAGTGCAGAAGGTGGTGGTTTCTGCATTTCCAACTGAGGTACCCAGCTCCTCTCATTGGGACTGGTTAGATAGTGAGTGCAGCCCACAGAGGGTGAGCCAAAGCTGGATGGGGTGTCACCTCACTGGGGAAGCACAAGGGGATGGGGAACTCCCTCCCCTAGCCAACGGAATCTGTGAGGGACTGCCATGAGGGATGGTGCATTCTGGTCCAGATACTATGCTTTTCCCATGTTCTTCACAACCCTCAGGCCAGGAGATTCCCTCGGGTGCCTACACCACCAGGGCCTTGGGTTTCAAGTACAAAACTGGGTGGATCTTTGGGCAGGCACCGAGCTAGCTGCAGGAGTTATTTTTCATACCCCAGTGGTGCCTGGAATGCCAGTGAGACAGAACCATTCACTCTCCTGGAAAGGGAGCTGAAGCCAGGGAACCCAGTGGTCTAGCTCGGTGGATCCCACTCCCATGGAGGCCAGTAAGCTAAGATCCACTGGCTTGAAATTCTCACTGCCAGTGCAGCAGTCTGAAGTCAACCTGGGATGCTTGAGCTTGGTGGAGAGAGGGACGTCCACCATTACTGAGGTTTGAGTAAGCAGTTTTCCCCTCACAGTGTAAACAAAGCCACTGGGAAGTTAAAGTAGGTGGAGCCCACGACAGTTCGGCAAAGCCACTATAGCCAGAATGCCTCTCTAGATTCCTCCTGTCTGGGCAGGGCTTCTCTGAAAGAAAGGCAGCAGCTGCGGTCAGGAGCTTATAGATCAAACTCCCATCTCCCTGGGACAGGGCACCTGGGGAAAGGGGCAGCTGTGGGTGCAGCTTCAGCAGACTTAAATATTGCCGCAAGCTGACTCTGAAGACAGCAGGGGATCTCCCAGCACAGCGCTCGAGCTCTGCTAAGGGGCAGACTGCCTCCTCAAGTGGGTCTCTGACCCCTGTGTCTCCAGACTGGGAGACACCGCACAGCAAGGGTCGACAGACACCTCATACAGGAGAGCTCCGGCTGGTATCTGGTGGGTGCCCCTCTGGGACAAAGCTTCGAGAGGAAGGAGCAGGCAGCAATCTTTGCAGTACTGTAGCCTCTACTGGTGATACCCAGGCAAATAGGGTCTGACGTTGACCTCCAGCAAACTCCAGCAGACCTTCAGCAGACGGGCCTGAGTGTAAGAAGGAAAATTAACAAACAGAAAGGAATAGCATCAACATCAAAAAAACAAAAACAAAAACAAAAACAAAAACAAAAACAGCACATCCGCACAAAAACCCCATCTGAAGGTCACCAACACCAAATACCAAAGGTAGATAAATCCACAAAGATGGGGAAAAACCAGCACAAAAAAGCTGAAAATTCCAAAAAACAGAATACCTCTTCTCCTCCAAAGGATCACAATTCCTCACCAGCAAGGGGACAAAACTGGACAGAGAATGAGTTTGATGAATTGACAGAAGTAGGCTTGAAAAGGTGGGTAATAAACTCCTCTGAGCTAAAGGAGCATGTTCTAACCCAATGCAAGGAAGCTAAGAACCTTGAAAAATGGTTAGAGTAATTGCTAACTAGAATAACCAGTTTAGAGAAGAGCATAAATGACCTGATGGAGCTGAAAACTATAGCACAAGAACTTCGTGCAGCATACACAGGTATCAATATCCAAATCGATCAAGCAAAGAAAAGAATATCAGAGATTGAAGATCAACTTAATGAAATAAAGTGTGAAGACCAGATTAGAGAAAAAAGAATAAAAAGGAATGAACAAAGTCTCCAAGAAATATGGGAATATGTGAAAAGACTAAACCTACATTTGATTAGTGTACCTGAAAGTGACGGGGAGAAAGGAATCAAGTTGGAAAACATTCTTCAGGATATTATCCAGGAGAACATCCACAACCTAGCAAGACAGGCCAACATTTAAATTCAGGAAATACAGAGTACATCACAAAGATACTCCTCGAGAAAAACAACCCCAAGACACATAATTGTCAGATGCACCAAGGTTGAAATACAGGAAAAAAGTTAAGGGCAGCCAGAGAGAAAGGTCGGGTTACCCACAAAGGGAAGCCCATCAGACTAACAGTGGATCTCCCTGCAGAAACCCTACAAGCCAGAAGAGAGTGAAGGCCAATATTCAACATGCTTTAAGAAAAGAATTTTCAACCCACAATTTCATATCCAGCCAAACTATGCTTCATAGTGAAGGAGAAATAAAATCCTTTACAGACAAGCAAATGCTGAGAAATTTTGTCACCACCAGGCCTGCCTTACAAGAGCTCCCGAAGGAAGCACTAAATATGAAAAGGAAAAACCAGTATCAGCCACTGCAAAAACATATGAAATTGTAAAGACCATCAACACTATGAAGAAACTGCATCAACTAATGGGCAAAATAACCAGCTAGCATTATAATGACAGGATCAAATTCACACATAACGATATTAACCTTAAATGTAATAGGCTAACTGCCCCAATTAAGAGACACAGACTGGCAAATTGGATAGAGAGTCAAGACCCAACAGTGTGCTGTATTCAGGAGTCCAATTCATGTGCAAAGATACATATAGGCTCGAAATAAAGGGATGGAGGAATATTTACTAAGCAAATGGAAAGCAAAATAAAGCGGAGGTTGCAATCCTAGTCTCTGATAAAATAGACTTCAAACCAACAAAGATCAAAAGAGACAACAAAGGGCATTACATAATGATAAAGGGATCAATGCAACAAGAACAGCTAGCTATCCTAAATATATATGCACCCAATTCAGGAGCACACAAATTCATCAAGCAAGTTCTTAGAGACCTATAGAGACTTAGACTCCCACGTAATAATAGTGGGAGACTTTAACACCCCACTGTCAATATTAAACAGATCAATGAGACAGAAAATTAACAAGTACATTCAGGACTTGAACTCAGCTCTGGACCAAGCAGGCCTAATAGACATCTATAGGACTCTCCACCCCAAATAAATAGAATATACATTATTCTCAGCACCACATTGCACTTATTCTAAAATTGACCACATCATTGGAAGTAAAAGACTCCTCAGCAAATGCCAAAGAACTAAAATCATAACAAACAGTCTCTCAGACCACAGTGCAATCAAATAAGAGCTCTGGAATAAGAAACTCACTCAAAACCGCACAACTACATGGAAACTGAACAACCTGCTGCTGAATGACTACTGGGTAAATAATGAAATTAAGGCAGAAATAAATAAGTTACTTGAAACCAATGAGAACAAAGACACAACATACCAGAATCTCTGGGACACAGCTAAAGTAGTGTTTGGAGGGAAATTCATAGCACTAAATGCCCACACGAGAAAGTGGGAAAGATCTAAAATCAACACCCTAACATCACAATGAAAAGAACTAGAGAAGCAAAGGCAAACAAATTCAAAAGCTAGCAGAAGACAAGAAATAACTAAGATGAGAGCAGAACTAAGGAGAGAGAGACACGAAAAACCCTTCATAAATCAATGAATCCAAGAGCTGTTTTTTTTGAAAAGATTAACAAAATAGATAGATCACTAGCCAGACTAATGAAGAAGAAAAGAGAGAAGAATTGTATAGACACAATAAAAAATGATAAAGGGGAGATCATCACTGATCCCACAGAAATACAAACTACCATCAGAGAATACTATAGACACCTCTATGCAAATAAACTAGAAAACCTAGAAGAAATGGATAAATTCCTGGACACATACACCTTCCCAAGACTAAACCAGGAAGAAGTCAAATCCCTGAACAGACCAATAACAAGTCCTGAAATTGAGGCAGTAATTAATAGCGTTCCAATGAAAAAAAGCCCAGGACCAGATGGATTCACAGCCAAATTCTACAAGAGGTACAAATCAGAGCTGGTACCATTCCTTCTGAAACTATTCCAAACAACAGAAAAAGAAAGACTCCTCCCTAACTCATTTTATGAGGCTGGCATCATCCTGATACCAAAACCTGGCAGAGACATACACACAAAAAAGAAAATTTCAGGCTAATATATCCCTGATTAACACCGACGCAAAAATCCTCAATAAAATACTGGCAAACCAAATCCAGCAGCACATCAAAAAGCTTATCCACCACGATCAAGTTGGCTTCATACCTGGCATGCAAGGCTTGTTCAACATACGAAAATCAATAAATGTAATTCATCACAAAAACAGAACCAATGACAAAAACCACATGATTATCTCAATAGATGCAGAAAAGGCCTTCAACAAAATTTAACAGCCCTTCATGCTAAAAACTCTCAATAAGCTAGGTATCGATGCAATGTATTTTAAAACAATAAGAGCTATTTATGACAAACCCATACCCAATATCATACTGAATGGGCAAAAGCTGGAAGCATTCCCTTTAAAAACTGGCACAAGACAAGGATGCCCTCTCTCACCACTCCTATTCAACATAGTGTTGGAAGTTCTGGCCAGGGCAATCAGGCAAGAGAAAGAAATAGAAGGTATTCAAATAGGAAGAGAAGAAGTCAAATTGTCTCTGTTTGTGGATGACATCATTGTATATTTAGAAAACCCCATTGTCTCAGCCCAAAATCTCCTTAAGCTGATAAGCAACTTCAGCAAAGTCTCAGGATACAAAATCAATGTGCAAAAATCACAAGCATTTCTATACACTAATAATAGACAAACAGAGAGCCAAATCATGAGTGAACTCCCATTCAAAATACCTAGGAATACAACTTACAAGGGATGTGAAGGACCTCTTCAAGGAGAACTACAAACCACTGCTAAGGAAATAAAAGAGGATACAAACAAATGCAAAAACATTCCATCCTCATGGATAGGAAGAATCAATATCATGACAATGGCCATACTGCCCAAAATAATTTATAGACTCAATGCTATGTTCATCAAGCTACCACCGAATTTCTTCACAGAATTAGTAAAAAACTGGCCAGGCTCAGTGGCTCACGCTTGTAATCCAAGCACTTTGGGAGGCCAAGGCAGGAGGATCAAGAGGTCAGGAGATTGAGACCATGGTGAAACCCCGTCTCTACTAAAAATACAAAAAATTAGCCGGGCGTGGTGGCAGGCGCCTGTAGTCCCAGCTACTTGGAGAGGCTGAGGCAGGAGAATGGCGTGAACCCAGGAGACGGAGCTTGCAATGAGCCAAGATCCTGTCACTGCACTCCAGCCTGAGTGACAGAGCAAGACTCCGTCTCAAAAAACAAACAAACAAACAACAAAAAAAAAAAAACTACCTTAAATTTCTTATGGAACTAAAAAAGAGCCCATATAGCCAAAACAATCCTAAGCAAAAAGAACATAGCTGGAGGCATCATGCTACCTAACTTCAAATTATGCTACAAGGCTACAGTAACCAAAACAGCATGGTATTGGTATGAAAACAGATATATAGACCAATGGAACAGAACAGAGGCCTCAGAAATAACCCCAGACATCTACAACTCTCTGATTTTTGACAAACCTGACAAAAACAAGCAATGGGGAAAGGATTTCCTATTTAATAAATGTTGTTGCGAAAACTGGCTAGCCATATGCAGAAAACTGAAACGGGACTCCTCCCTTACACCTTATACAAAAATTAACTCAAGATGGATTAAAGACTTAAACGTAAGACCTAAAAACCATAAGAACCCTAGAAGAAAACCTAGGAAATACCATTCAGGCCATAGGCATGGGCAAACACTTCATGTCTAAAACATCAAAAGCAATGGCAAGAAAATCCCAAATTGACAAATGGGATCTAATTAAACTAAAGAGCTTCTGCACAGCAAAAGAAACTATCATCAGAGTGAACAGGCAACCTATAAAATGGGAGAAAATTTTTGCAATCTGTCCATCTGATAAAGGGCTAATATCCAGAATCTACAATGAACTCCAACAAATTTACAAGAAAAAAACAACCCCATCAAAAAGTGGGTGAAGGATGTGAACAGACACCTCTCAAAAGAAGACATTTATGTGGCCAAGAAACATACAAAAAAAAGCTTATCATCACTGGTCATTGGAGAAATGCAAATAAAAACCACAGTGAGATACCATCTCACTCCAGTTAGAATGGCGATCATTAAAAAGTCAGGAAACAACAGATGCTGGAGAGGATGTGGAGAAATAGGAACGCTTTTACACTGTTGGTGGGAGTGTAAATTAGTTCAACCATTGTGGAAGACAGTGTGGTGATTCCTCAAGGATCTAGAACCAGAAATACCATTTGACCTAGCAATCCCATTACTGGGCATATACCCAAAGGATTATAAATCATTCTATGATAAACACACATGCACATGTATGTTTATTGTGGCACTATTAACAATAGCAAAGACTTGGAACCAACCCAGATGTCCATCAATGATAGACTAGATTAAGAAAATGTGGCACATATACACCATGAAATACTATGCAGCCATAAAAAAGGATGAGTTCATGTCCTTTGCAGTGACATGAATGAAGCTGGAAACCATCATTCTCAGCAAACTATCACAAGATCAGAAAACCAAACACCACATATTCTCACTCATAAGTGGGAGTTGAACAATGAGAACACATGGACACAGGGAGGGGAACATCACACACCAGGGCCTGTCAGGCAGTGGGGGGCTAGGGGAGGGATAACATTAGGAGAAATACATAATGTAGGTGACAGGTTGATGGGTGCAGCAAACCACCGTGGCACATGTATACCTATGTAACAAACCTGCACGTTCTGCACATGTATCCCAGAACTTAAAGTATTAAAAAAAAAAGACCATTTATGAAAACATGACCTTACCAAAGAACTATATAAGTCACTGGAGACCAATCCTGGAGTGACAGAAATATGTGACCTCTCAGATGGAGAATTCAAAATAGCTGTTGTGAGGAAATTCAACAAAATTCAAGATGACATGGCAAAGGAATTCAGACTTCTATCAGATAAATTCAAAAAAGAAGATGAAATAATTTTTTTAAAAATTCATGCAGAAATTTTGGAGCTGAAAAATTCAATTGATATACAAAAGAATGCATCTTACCAGCAGAATTGATCCTGCAGAAGAAAGAATTAGTAAATTTGAAAACACTCTATTTGAAAATATACAGTCAGAGGAGACAAAAGAAGAAAATTAAAAACAATGAAGCATACCTACAGGATCTAGAAAATAGCCTCAAAAGCATAAATCTAAGAGTTACTGGCCTTAAAAAGGAAGGAGAGAGAGAGAGAGAGTGGGATAGGGGTAGAAAGTTTATTCAAAGGGATAACAATAGAGTATCAGTATTCAAATACAAGGTTATGGAACACCATTCAGATTTAACCCAAAGAAGACTACCTCAAGACATTTAATAACTGAACTCTCATTCAATGGGAAAAGTAAAGTCCTTTCAATAAAGGTGTTGGGATAATTGGGTATGCAAAAAATGAATTTGGATACCTTTCTTGTGTCATATACATAAAACCCCAAAATAGATTAAAGACCTAAGTATAAGAGCTAAAACTATGAAACTCTTAGAAAGAAACACAGTAAATTTTTGTGACCTTTGATTAGGCAATGATTTCTTAAATATGATAAAATATGGTAAAAGCAACAAAAGAAAACATGAATAAATTGGATCTTATCAAAATTTAAAACTTTTTTGCATCGTAGAATACTATCAAGAGTATGAAAAGAAAACCTACAAAATAGGAGAACATGTTTGGAAATCATGTATTTGTTAAGGGATTAGTATACAGAATATATATATATATATATATATATATATATATATATATATATATACTCTTACACCTCAACTATAAAGAGACGAATAACCCAATCTAAAAAAATAGGCAATAAATAGCTATTAGTTCTCCAAAGTACATACACAAATGACCAACAAGTTCATCAAAAGATGCTCATCATCTTTACTCAGGAGGCAAATACAGATTAATATTACAATGATATTAGACATGGATTTGTCATATACAGACTTTATTAAGTTAGATTCCCTCTATGCCTAATTTGTTGAGAGTTTTTATCATGAAGAGATGTTGCATTTTGTCAAATGCCTTTTCTGTGTCTTTTGAGATGATCATATGGTTTTCGTCCTTTATTTTGCTGATATGATGTACCACATTTATTGATTTGCATTTATTGAATCATCCTTCCACCCCTGGGATAAATCCCACTTGATCATGGTGTATTATCTTTTTGATGTTTTTTGGATTCACTTTGCTGATATTTTGTTGAGGATTTCTGCATCTATAATCATTAAGGATATTGGCCTGTAGTTTTCTGTTTTTATGTTGTATTCTAGTCTGATTTTGGTATCAGGGTAATGCTGTTCTTGTTGAGCGTGTCAGGAAGTCCAAAAGACTTCTTCTTTAGTGTTTTGGAATAGTTTGAGAATTGTTAGTTTTTTTTTTTTATAAGTTTGGTAGAATTCAGCAGTAAAGCCATCCAGTTCTGGGCTTTTCTTTGTTAAGAGACTTAAAACACACACAACGCACACACAAAATGAAATATCACTTTCCACCCATTATAATTTACAAAGTGGAAAATAACTCGTGTTGATAAGAATGTGGAAACCTTGAAACCTTCATGCATTGCCAGTGGTAATGTGAAAGAATCTTGCCATTGTGGAAAACAATTTGTCAGTTCCTCAAACAGTTCAACATAGAGTTACTGTATGAAATAATTCAACTCCCAGGCATGCACCCAAGAGCATTGAAAACATAAGTACACACAAAAACTTGTACAAGAACAGTCAGATCAGTATTATATATAATTGGCAAAAAATGGAAACAATCCAAATATTCATCAACTGCTGAATAGATAAAATGTGGCATATCCATATAATTAAATACTATTCAGCCACAAAAATAATAAAGTACGGATAGACACTAAAACATGGAAGAACCTTGAAAATATTAAGCTAAGTGAAAGACATAAGACACAAAACCCAACATTTAAAGGAAATTTCCAGAATTGTCAGATCCACTGAAGAAGAAACTTGAGTGTTTGCCAGCATGTGGGAGGAGAGGAAAATCAGTAGTTATGAGGTTTCTGGAATTAGTAGTGCTGATGGTGACACAACATTGTGAATATACTATAAACCACTAAATGATACCTCTCAAAATGGTTAAAACATTACTGTTGTGTTATGTGAATTTTACCTCAATTAGAAAAGAAAAAAATCTTATCAATAACAAAGAGAAATTTCCACACAAGGTGGGATCGCTTCCACAGTGCTACTCAATGCAGTTTAGCGATTGCATTTGTATTGGAGTAAAAGCATGTCACATTGCTTTTAACATTGGAGTCCAATACATAAACCTCTTTCACCATAACTATATGGAGTTCATTGTATGTATATTTATTAAAATGGAATTAAGATGAATTTCACAACACAATGGATCATTTTTTTTTTCATGTGGAAAATCAGAACACATGCCTTAATGGTTACATGCCCCACCTGCTGCTCACCTAAAAGTAAATTTCCTCTAACTCAGACAAATATGTTATTTTCAAGGAAAAGAAGCCCAGAGAACTGAGATCCAGAAGAAATAACATGTATTGAAAGCACACAGAAGTATTTCAATGAACTCAAACCCAAGATTGTAGAAAACTCTCATGTGCCCCTGGGACTGATGTTTGAAAATACACATATTTTGCTCCTACTCTTTCCTTCCCCAGATCCCACCCTTCAGAGCACCCGACGATAATGGATAGTTTCTAGCAGGGTGTCTGGAATGGGCAAGTACCCCCAAAGTTATAGTTTGTACTGCAAGACTTGAACCCACTCTTTTTCTGCCCTCTATTATTATTTTTGCATTTTAACCATTTATTATTTTGAAAAGAAAAGAGAATTTTTAGAATATGGAAAGAGGAAGTGAATTAATAAAATAGCACACCCTACATAGAGACTGCTAATCCATCTCCAGTCTAAAGATTTAGTAATAGGCAAGAATATACATATCCAGGAATTTCCTTGGTGTTACATAAACAAAGGCGGCACATATGTATATTTTTCACAAAATATTCACTGTTTGAAGAAGGAATTACTCCCTTCAATTGAGTTCAGGCCTGATCAACAAGTAGTGATTGGCCAACAGCTAAATGCAAAGTGCATGCTAAGTCTGGGGATACAAAGATGAATGAGAAAACATTTATGCCCTTAGGAGAAAAACAAATATCTTTATCTCAGAGAATAGAGAAGGAGATTGATTCTCTTTGGGGGAGATGTCATCCTGAAGAGTATAACAAGTTCCCCTATAATTCTACTTTTCAGTACTGTTTAAAATACAACTGGATTTTTTTAAATATGTAAAATTTATATAATTTTACAAATGTCTTTGTTAAGAATTAAAACTATCATTAGTAAAGGACACAGCTGGAAAATTGAAAACATTTTGGTTCTCTACTGTGGAAACAGAATAGAGTAACAGCAAAAAGCGTATTTCTGGAATTGGACCCTGACAACTCTGCTTAAACACTCCACCACTTTCTAGCTATATGACCTTGGGTAAGTTACTTAACTTCTTTGTGTGTCAGTTTCTTCATTTGTAAAATTGGAATAATAGATGCTTTTTTTGAGACAGTGTCTCATTCTGTTGCCCAGGCTGGAGTGCAGTGGCGTGACCACAGCTCACTGCAGCCTCAACCTCCTGAGTTCAAGTGATTCTCCAACTTGAGCCTCCCAGATAGCTAGGACCACAGACACATGCCACCATGCCTGGGTAATTTTTTTTTTAAGTTTTTCATAGAAATAGTGTCTCACTAAGTTGCCCAACCTGGAAAATTGGAATAATAATTCATAAAATCTTCCTCCTAGATTTGTGAAGATCAATTGAGTTAATGTATGTAACGTACTTGGCACAGAGCTTGGCCCATGTAATCTCTCAATGAGTGCTAACATTACTTGTCTCACAAAAAGTTACTTACTTCCGTCTGGCACCAACTCCCTCTCTCACTTCCCACAATCTGGTTACCATTCATTCTTCAGTTCTCAGCTTAAACAATGTCTTTTCCATATGGTTTCATTGACGCCACTTTGGGAAAATAGATGTCTCTTCTGCTTGCATTTTCAGACCTTTTTAGGTGTATACCTTAGGGCATTTGCTTTACTGACCAAAATTATTTGCCGGCTACTCTGTGCTTTTCATGACACACTGAATAAGACAGGAAGAGTGTTTATCTATGCTCAACATAAGATAGGCATATAATGGAAGCTTCGTATATATTTGTTGAATAAAAAACATAAGGGGAAAATATCAGATCTAATAATGCAGGACAGGAGGCAAGATGGAACGGAGAGAACCTTGTCTGAGAAGAGACATAATTAAAACAGGGCATGGGAGGTAATAGAAAGATTGGAGGAAAAAGAGACAGAGAGACAGAAATGTTTGTGGTAATTTGTGACAAGTAGCTTTGATTGTTCATGGCCTAATCTTTTAGGGCATGAGGTTATTTCATTCTCTGTAGCCCACCGAGAGTGCGTACAGTGACACATGTTATGTAAGTCCCCTTTTCCCTTTTTATAAATGTCTAGACCCCCTGTGATTTGAGACTTTTCTAGAAGAATTTAGCTGAAGACCATATTGTTTTTTAAATGTAGTATTTGGAGCCTAGAGGTGCCAGATAACTTCCTGCAAAGCTAATGCATTTATTTTGGGAATATATAAGCTCAGTATCATCATTACCAACAGTGCTCAGACTTGATTTTATTTTCATTCCAACAGCAAAGGAAAGAAAGCAACTTCTTTCATGCTTCCATGCCACTCTGCATCTCTCTACCTTCACAGAGTTTCTCAATAATGGCAACATTTCCAGTTCACCAATGGACTGAGAGATCATTGAGGCTAGACTAGTCTTATTAATCCTTATACCCCAGCTCCTAGCCGAACTCCTGGACACACAATAGATACTCAGATACATTTACTGAAATGCATATAGAAAGTTACACCTGCAAAAAAGATGATCTCTCACCAGGAATAAGAAAATATAATCTGGGACAGCCCATATATGAGATCTCTAAACAACCTACCTATAACCACCAAGAAAAAAAAATACCTGAGTTTGAGATTTATTTTTCCGTCTCATTTTTAATATATTCCAGTTAGTGAAAGAGCTAAAATAAATGACAAGAAAAATTTAATCTAGGTATTTAAACAGAATTATTCTGAATGTTGTGAGCTACATTTCTTTTTTACCTTTTATTTATACATAGTATTTGTATATACTTATACAATATATTTATTTTGTATATATAAATATATTGTATTTATTTATACATGTAAATGTATAATATATTTATTTATACATAGTATTTATATATACATAGTATTTGTATATATTTATAGGGTACATGTAATATTTTGTTACACGCATAGAATGTGTAATGGTCAAGCCAGAATATTTAGAGTATCCATTACCTTAAGTATTTATTATTTCTCTGTGCTAGGAGCATGTTAAGTCCTCTCTTTTAGCTATTTTGAAATGTACATTGATGTTAACTATCATTAACACAGAGTAATTGATATGTATAGCAAATAATATTTGCAGTAGGATATCACATGTTTACTTATTTATTTATTTATTTATTTTTATTATACTTTAAGTTCTAGGGTACATGTGCACAACGTGCAGGTTTGTTACATATGTATGCATGCGCCATGTTGGTGTGCTGCACCCATTAACTCCTCATTTACATTAGGTATATCTCCTAATGCTATCCCTCCCCCCTCCCCCACCCCACGACAGGTTCCAGTGTGTGATGTTCCCCTTCCTGTGTCCAGGTGTTCTCATTGTTTAATTCCCACCTATGAGTGAGAACATACGGTGTTTGGTTTTTTGTCCTTGCGATAGTTTGCTGAGAATCATGGTTTCCAGCTTCATCCATGTCTCTGCAAAGGACATGAACTCATCCTTTTTTTGGCTGCATAGTATTCCATGGTGTATATGTGCCATATTTTCTTAATCCAGTCTATCATTGTTGGACATTTGGGTTGGTTCCAAGTCTTTGCTATTGTGAATAGTGCCGCAATAAACATATGTGTGCATGTGTCTTTATAGCAGCATGATTTATAATCCTTTGTGTATATACCCAGTAATGGGATGGCTGGGTCAAATGGTATTTCTAGTTCTAGATCCTTGAGGAATTGCCACACTCTCTTCCACAATGATTGAACTAGTTTACACTCCCACCAACAGTGCAAAAGTGTTCCTATTTCTCCACATCCTCTCCAGCACCTGTTGTTTCCTGACTTTTTAATGATCGCCATTCTAACTGGAGTGAGGCACTGGTCTGAAAATATCAATTCATTTAATTCTTTTAACAACCTTAAGGGGATATCATGGTACAAATTTAGAGCTTTCTTTTGTGTTTGTAAAATGGATTGATTCCTTTTCCCTACATCCAGCAGAAATATTTGAATTGAAGAGAAGAGTAATACCTAAGAACTAGAAATTCCTTTCTTATGTTTCAAAAGATATCAAAAGATCTAAGGAAGATATTCACATCAAAAATGAGTATTATAATATTTATTATCTATGGTGCACTTGCAAAAAAGAAAACAAGTAATAATCTGAAGATTTAAGTGAATATTTTATGACATTGGAGTACCACATATTTAGAAGAAAGCACCAGAGAAATCATAGATAGAAGGAAATGGAATATTTGTAGGATCAAGATAAATACAGCTTGTCATAAAATAAAGCAGGTATCAGGATAAAATCTTGAAAATATTTTCATTTCTCGTTATTTATAACTTCAATTTACTGTGATGATTAATTGTAGGTGGAAGATTTACGAAGAGAAGACTGAAGTATAGACAAGTTGAAGTGCCACAAAATGAAAGCTAATGACACTGACTACTTAGGAAATAGCAGACTGGGTCCATATTTATAGATTGTCAATGACAAGGAATTTGCAGATGTTAATGAATATAGATCCGAACTTAAGTTGCAACAACCTTTCCCACTTTGAGATGAATAGTGCATGGAAGAGTAAAATGCAGATGTTAATAAATCAGAGGAAGACATCGTGCCAGAGTATAAAGTTGACAGATTTATGCCGATGAACTTGAACAAAGCCACAGAAGGCCTACTTGTCAAATTTACTGGTGACAACAGGTCTGGAGAAATGGCTAATGTTTTGGATAATAGCATTAGAATTTAAGGTCTGTTTAAACTTCAAATTAACAGAATGAAATTAATATATGCACATATCAATTGGGTCTTTTGCTTATATATCATCTCTTAATAGAGCCTTTTTGAACAATCATTTCTAATGTGACCTTTGGGATTTTCTACTCATCATCACCTCATCCTGTTTGGTTTGCATTATAGCATCTATCCCTTCCTAACGTTTTCCCTATGTATTTGTTAGTTTGTTTTTTTTTAATCTAACTTTACTAGAAAGTAAAATGCATGGAAACAGCAACCTGTTTAACTTTGTATCACTAAGAGTGGAAAAATAACCCTCAGGAAATATTTGGTAAAATAATAAAATGCCCATTGATGCCCTTCTCTTAAAAAGAAATTTAATTAGTGCAGATTGGGGAAATACAACAATATTTCTCATAAAATGTGATATCTATACAATAACAGAAGTACTATGTCCCAAAAAGTATTCTATAAATAGAAGAAAGAACAGATGGTTTTGCTGCTGATTAATCCATTTATCTTTCGTAAATCATCTAATTTCCCCAGGAACAGCTTCCTCATCTATTAAAGGGGGTTAGTAATAGCTAAGCCCTCAGGGGTTTAAAAATGCATATGAAATAATTTTATAAACCATAAAGCACAAAACAAATATGAAAAATTATGATTGGAGGAGGGGGTGGGGTAGTTAACTAAATCTCAGTGTAAACCACCAATGTCTTGTGTGTGTTGAAAAAATAATTACATATAAAAACTGGTTGCATCCAAAGAATAATGTACTTTTTGCACTGGCAAGACTCAAACCATATTATTGTTACTTCCTCCCAGTTACATATTTTGCAAGATATTGACAATTGTCTAAAGGAAGACCAAACAGATGTAGGTGGGAGCTACTGTCATTTGAACAACATTGAAAAGAAAAATACTAAAAAAGAAACATGAGGGCATATAAAGGAGCGCTGGGGCTGTGATGTTTATTTTGAATCTGTGAAGCATTGTCATGTGGAAGATTTATTCTGTGTAGCACCAAGATGCAAACTAGGAATTAGAGGTAAAAGTCTCAAAAAGACAAATCGTGGCTTGAGACCTTGGTTTAATGTAAGAAACAGTTTTCTCACCCTTAGAGCACTCCCATAAGGATGGAAGTAGTGAATTGTGGTGGTCACATTCAAGCTAGATGGGGACATGTCAGCAATGTTATCAGGAGGCTTCTACTCTGAAGCTGAAGTTCAGACAAGATTTCCAGGCTCTTCCCAAGTGCAAGATTGTAATTACTTAAATGCAATATTTTTACCATGTTTATTAAGAATAAAAGGATCATGAATTCACATTCTGACAAATGCTAGAATACTTATTATTAGAGACAAAACCAGTGCATGAGAGAATGGCAGGTGACATCAGCCCTGAATCAATGGGAAGAAAGACCCAATGGGATGTGGTATTTACCAGAGAGAGCACTTCTGCTTAGATTGCTACATCCTACAGTGAATGTTTAATATCATTGAGTATATTGGTGGTCTGTCATGCTTGACAACATTAACTATGATCATATTTATGACACTTGGCGTCCTTCAAGAATTTGTAGCTCTATTTCACATGACACTTAACTATCGCAAATACAAATTCCAGCTAAATAGACCCTTCAGTTTAAAAACAGTCTCATTCTCAAATTTTAAGGAGAAAGTGAAGACGGAGATGTCTTAAAGACTCGGCAAGTACTAAGTTGGCAAATGTCAAATGTTAAAATAAGTTTATATTAAATGTTAAAGTGTTTGCCTGGAATGACTTTTCCATTGTCCTGCTTGAGAAACACAGAGGCACCTCCTTATTGCTTTTATATTTGCTTTACAAAGACAAATGTATCAACATGCTCTGTATTAATTGTATGTTGACATTTTTGTCATATCCACAGACTGATGCATGTCTGTGCATGGTTTATAATAAGTGCACGTAAAAATAGAGAAAATAAGTAGAAAAAGAGAGAGATTTAACTCTCACCCCCCACCCCCCAAAAAAACAGATTAAATTAGTTTTCATTACTTTTTTTTTTTTCTTCAGCTTCAGCTCTCCCTCAGCGAGGGAGGAGGCTGTGGGCTGCGGACTGAGTGCTGGAATGAGGAGTAATTGAGCTTCAGCTGAGCCGGACGTAGCTTTCTCCTCCTGGTGTCATTGCTGCAGCCTCCAGTGCCGGGTCCCTAGTTCCTCAGCTGCCTATCTTCCCGGTGCAACATCGCCTGTAAAGACAGCAAAGCCACCGCAGAAGTTGCCCGGCAGAAGACTCCGGAGGCATTGGCTCAGTAACTTTTCACGTCATTTTCTGCTCGGGAGCCCCTTCTAGCCTCTCCGCGCAGCCTTTCCCACCGCAAATCACCAGTGCTCATGGGGCAGGCGGAGAGGAGCTTGCAGCATTGAGCGGAACCGGACTTGAGCCCGTGATGTCCGGCACCAAATTGGAGGACTCCCCCCCTTGTCGCAACTGGTCATCTGCTTCGGAGCTGAATGAAACTCAAGAGCCCTTTTTAAACCCCACCGACTATGACGACGAGGAATTCCTGCGGTACCTGTGGAGGGAATACCTGCACCCGAAAGAATATGAGTGGGTCCTGATCGCCGGGTACATCATCGTGTTCGTCGTGGCTCTCATTGGGAACGTCCTGGGTGAGTCTCCTCCCGGGCAGCCCTCCTAGGGGCTATCACCCCCTCTCCGCCCCGGGCTGAGAAGGCTCTAAAGAGACCCCTCCCTCCCCCGGGAAGCAAACAAAGAGGTCGCTGCTCTCGGATGGGGTTTTCTAATAAAATAATAATAATAATAGAAAGTTTTCTGATTTTCCGAACCGGGACCGAGCCCTGGAAAGGTTATTCCCTGTTTTGCAGGAATAACGGGGAAACCGCGTTTCTTTTTCGAGCACCTAGATTACAAGCGCAGGGAGAGGGGCCGCGGCAGGGATCTCCAGGTGGATTTTGTTGAGTGTGTGTGTGTGTGGGTGGGTAGGTGGGGGAGTCAGTCATCCCTTTGTGTAACGTGGCTGGGTGTTTCAGGGGGGTTGGGACGAGACAGAGCTTGCAGAATACAAAGCTACATCCCTAAGGAGCAAGCTCTCTGTGGCTGTGGAAGTCACAAAGCATTTGTGAGCTAGGTGGCATTGCCCTTTGGCGAGGAGGTTTAGTCTCCAGTCAAGAGGTGGTAATGAACCAGCAGGGAGTGGAGACGGAGGCAAAGCAGGGAAGTGCACTCACTCATAGAAGCTGAATTAAACAGGATCCATGCCTGGAGCAAGAAGGAGGGGCATCGGAGAAAAGTACCACAGAGATCTCAATCATCCATCCATCCATTCATTCTTACATCCATTCAGCCAAATATTTTTTTTTTTCAGTCTGCTTGTTGCCAGGCTCAGGAATTATTCATGTCAACTGTTTGTTGTTGTTTTGTTTTGTTTTGTTTTCTCCAAAGATGAGACTAAGCTTAATGCTAGGCTATTTGTCCCGGTCTAGGTCTGTATGCAAACACGGGTTTCCTCGACCCCTCATCCCCCTCCCCCTAAACAATTTCTGAGGGTTGGGGAGGGGGTGAGATGGCAACATGGTGAGTGCGATGATGGAATGTATTAGGGCAGTTGGGGAATATACCTCCAGAAAAGGGGCTTTGGAAGGGAGGGATAACTTGAAATAAATTGTGAATGGAAGGAGAGTGTACCTTGATGAATGAAGAGTAGAAGGCTGGGAGACTTTTCACATGCAGAGGGCAGTGTGGAGGAAGTCTCTGCTGAAAATGACAGGAGATGGAGGAGGCTAGGAGTTGCTCTTGATTTTCATTTATAAAAGAAGAAGAAGGTGAGTGAGGTGAGATAGGCTGGGAGGCTTTGCAGTCAAAAGCAAAGAACTTGTAGCTGCAATGGGGACTGACAAGGAAATTATCAGGCTTTCAGACTAACCTGATTTTTGCCTTCTCTCCCAAGTGTGTTGGTCTGGGTAGAAATCATCCCGAGTAGTCTCTCACCAACTCAGCAGGCAGAATAGATGATAGTATGTGAATGACAGGAGTTCTCCAGAGTGTTGGTAGAATGTTATTTGAGGAGACAAGAAACCTCTGAGAACTTTAGTACATTTTTAAATATTATTTTTAGACTGTTTTCCTTTGGTTGATTTAAAAGTAAAAATAAAGGAAATCTTTTTGGGATACTAACAAAATGAAACAAAAGTGGAAATACACAAGATTAGGATTCTTGTTATAAGCATAATTCTGTTGATAATAATCCTAATCTTGCTTTCCTTCTTCTTGTTACCCATCCTTAGGATTACATCTCTTAAGACACATGGCTACCAGCATAGCAACATTTTACTGCATTATGCCAACACTTATTGATAAGTGAATAATCAAAATTGAACATATATTGAGTACCTACTGTGTGCCAGAGCCCTTCATGTACATTCTCTCCCTTAAATATCAAAATAACCCACATTAGCCAGAAGAAGAAACAAGACTTAGAGAAATAAAATGACGTATTAAGGGACATAATTTAAATTCAGTTCCATTTTTTCTGACCTCAGATCCAGAATTCTCCATTGTTATTCCACTCTAGAGCTAAAAAGCATATAGAGAATAGATTCTCTGCTCCTGATTGTCTGCAAGTTTATTAGATGTGTTCCTGTTCTCCTCTGCATCAACGCCCACTGCCAATAAAGTACAATGAGGGATTAATGGCACTGTCATTCTCTTCACCAAAAACCTTTCCAGAGAAGCAGTAATTTTTTTATGAATAGCTATCAATAGTAACTATTTGCCTTCCTTATTTTAATTTTCGGCTGAATCTTTGTGGTAAAATGTGCTCTTCTTTGTTGTTATTGCATTTTTACCTTGCATAGACCTTGTAGTGAATAGTCTCCATATCCTAATTGCATAGTTTAGGGATACATGTTTGCTAGCCTGGGGAGTTTTAGTTTCAAGAAGGAAACACCTCTACAGTAAGGCTACTTGTTTCATAATGTCAAGGAAGATAGCACTGTCCACAGCCCCAAGTGCTGAAATGGCCAATTCCATTCAGCCTAAAAAGAAAGATTTACTCAAAGCACTCTGCCTTAAAGAAACTGACAGCTATTTTCCTCAGGACTGAATAACACTGAAATCCTCTCTGGTTGAACTGAAATGCATTCTTTTCTGACATACTGCCTGAAAGTTGATGAGGTTTAGGTTTGACATTTAAACAAACGAGTAGTGTCGTTACTCACAGACAACTTCCTGCTCTTTGATGTCACTGTCAAATTTGCAAAATGAATTAGATTGAGAATTGCTTCTTTGCCCCTCTGGTATAAGTAATTTTGCACATAGAGTGGTAGGACAGGATGTCACATGATTTATGCAAAATAAAGATGCAATATTAAGTATGAAGGTAAAATACCACAGTGTAGGCAGCAGATGTAATCACTGAGCCTTCAGGTCCAGTCACCATTTGTACTTTCATATAACTGCTTGGAAAATCTCAACCTTTTTGGGCTTACAAATATAATGCCATCAGTTAGAAGTCATCTTCTCCACAATGTCCTTTCATGAAGTGATGTAATAGGATATGCTGTGGGTAGCATAACAAAGTCTTGATTGTCCTCATCTCTTTTTCTTCTCCCCATAGTCCCTCTTTATCACTATGCCACCTCTCCACTCTCATATACTCCTCCCAAAGATGGAAAGCAGTTTCCTGGGGGAGTAAAGTTTTAAATAGAATGTTATGAGTATTTACATTCAATGAAAAGCTGTAAGCATGTTTAATGTGAAATTTTAAGTTCTAAGGAAGGAGCATAGGGTAAGGTTCTTTTTGGAAGGAGTATCTTTTCAGTATCTTCAGAATAATGCCACCTATAACCTATTCCTAACTATGTCTTCTACTACAGCTAAGTAGATGTATCAACTTATTCAATTGGTATATTGTGAGCATTATCATTTTTTTAAATTAGTGTGTATATCAGGGGAGCCTCTGGGGAAATGTAAAGAAATGTGACTGATGTTAATTTTTACTCCTGATTCCTTGAATGACAATTGTAGGGAGAAATGTGTTCTAGTCAGTTTAAACATTAAGTACCTAGGGAAAATGATCAATTTTCTGCTTCTCATATCTGCATTCAAAGATATCATATGTTTCATCTGGTATGCTTCTGTCATATCTGTTGTTGTCTCCATATGGAAAATAGGAAAACATCAGTCTAGCTATGCTTCTTGCTTCTTGTGTGCCATTAGCAAGTTATTGAACTATCCAAGTCAATTTTTTTATAATTACAAATTAAAGATCGATAATGACTGCATTATAGAAATAGTATCAGGATATAATGTACGTATACCCTCTATAAAGACATATAAAGGGACACAGGCATATACATATTTTTCTTGACACATAGACACTAATTAATGTCAATTTTTATCCCTTAATTTTCATGACTGAACTTTTTGTGATGTGGTGTATAGCCAGCTTCTGCCTTCATGGGCCAGTCTGTATCTCTGTAGCTCTTTATGGCCTCTGCCCCAGCCTTTTCCTTAATTGCATATTTTCCTAAAAGGTGTGAATAAAATGGTGTTGGCACACATTACTCTCCTTTTCCACACTAGCTCCACCCACCCATCTCCTTCATACTGATTGCTTAACATTGCCTTCTTGCCTTTAAATGAAAGCCATTCCTAACTATTGGAATAGTTTGCTTTCTCTCTCAACTTAAATTTGCCTGTGCTGGGTCCCATTCATTTAGAGTTTTTGAGTTGTTAATAGGTTGTTGATAGGCAGGTCTATCACTACTAGTGTTTTAAATAACACACACATTGGTAATATGTTGATTTAACTCATACATTGTTAAAATACATTGTGAAGTATTCATAGTTAAAATAAATTATCCATTAAGTAATTTACCTAATAACAGTTTACCCAAGTTAGGTGTGTGGAATGGGGAAATATTTGTAATAAGTTTGCTTCCTACAGAGTTAGTCTTGTGTCAGATATGTAAGTGGTAGAATTGCAAGTTCATGTTACTCCTAAGCCTAGAGACATTTATTTTCTGCTTCTCCGAATGCCCATTTTAGTTTCATGGGTGTTTGTAAACCCATCCTTACCTACACAGGAAGCAAAAAGGGGTTATTTCTAAACCCTTTTTAGATATAGAAATAATACATCACTCATCTCGGCCAAGACTCAATAGAATCATGAATAGTGACTGTAAAAGGTAATATTAACTATTAGGCTTTAAACCTATTGTGCATTTTAGTTTTAAAATGCAAACATGCTAATCTGAATAAGAATTAATCTGATGCCTCTACATTTTTGCTAAAATCATAACTGTTTAGTCTTACTTAGTAAAATAAATTATATCTTTGACTTAAAATCCCAATGATAACTTTTAAGATGGCTATTTCATAGATAACAGCAACATTTATCATGGACAGACAATAATGAGAATAACATGTGCAACTGATAATTTAAATGCAATGAGTTATTTCTGTATTTGAAAAAATATATTTGGGAAATGGGATAATTAAAAAATACCAGTTTTCAAGAGACCAAATCTAAAACTCAAACATAAACACAATGCTCCAGTTTTTAGAAAACTGTCTTGATTGTAGTAGTGCCTACATACTAAATTGTATCATATGATTTATATTAATTTTCCTTATTTTGTATTTTAGATTATATTTGAAAATTTTCATGTACTGCAGCTATGTTAGCATCTCAAAGTCTCCATATTCTCACTCCGCTCCGAAACATCCACTGCTGATGTTATTTAACTAGTGAAAGAAGATCCTTCCATGTTTCTTCTTATAGCATTCTGACATCTTCTCCACCCTAAGGAATGCTGGCTTTATTAAGTATGTTTCAGTCAATGACATGTGATTGGTGAAGCTGACGGTATTTGTCTTCAGTTCCTTTTTTCCCTGCAAAGGAAATTTGTTGAATATTTATTGGGTACTATATGCCAGGTACTATATGTCAGGCTCCACTTACATATACTCTATTGATGCCTTACAACAAACTTATAATGAGAAGATTAATAGGTTTTACAAATAAGAAAAATGAATTCAAAGAGCAATGCTAACTTACTCAAAAGTTTAGTCAGGCAGTAAATAGCAGCACTAGGTTTCAAATATGGATTTAACAAATTCCATGGTCCATGCTTATTCCATTACTTCATCCTGCCTCTTTCCTTAGCTTCTAACCCTGACTGGAGATGCATAGGCAAAAAGAGGAAGGAAGAGATACTTAGATGTGCCCTCTAGACAATTTACAGAGTTGTTTGGGCATGTTGCCATGCTGTTTTTCTGATAGACTACAGTTCTTCAGCTCTGAGGATGAGCTCATTTGATAAGCCAATCAAGGTCGGGCTAGGGTTACTTTACAAGAGAAAATTTCAAGGTAAAATAGGTGCTGCCAAAAATGCTTTTACCTGTTCAGGGGGTTGACTCACTGGAAAAAAAATGTTAGATAATTGTGGCCAAGGATTATTTTGTTATTGAAAGTGCTATTTTTAGACACAATTTGAGCCTGAGAGCCTAAACACTTAACACTTCACATAATCTACAGATATTTGTTTATTTTTCTTTTTGTCATGCATTGCCAAATAAATAGTATTTATTTAAACAAATCATGTTGCTATTGATTTTATTAAATAGATGAACTTTTTTTAATTTTTTTTTTTTGAGATGGAGTCTTGCTCTGTCACCCAGACTGGGGTGCAGTGGCACAATCTCGTCTCACTGCTGCCTCCACCTCCTGGCTTCAAGCTATTTTCCTGCCTCAGCCTCCCCAGTAGCTGGGATTACAGGCACATGCCACCATGCCCAGCTATTTTTTTTTTTTTTTGTATTTTTAGTAGAGATGGGTTTCACCATCTTGGCTAGGCTGGTCTTGAACTCTTGCCCTTGTTATCTACCCACCTCAGCCTCCCAAAATGCTGGGATTGCAGGCATGAGCCACTGTGCCTGACGTGAACAGGTCAATTTCTATATCACCGGACAGTGTTCCTGGATCAGAATAATATATTATATGTATGAAGAATCATTACCTATTACATCAGACATGAAATGACCTTTAGATACTGACTTTGAAAGAGTTTGAGATGCTATTGGATGAAACACATGACCCATATGACCAGTCTTTTGAATTGCTGACTCTGAGTATAAAATGTTTTCATTTCACCTTTGTTCACAATGAGAAGTGATCTCTTAACCAAGTAAATGAATTAAATCGATATTTAAAATAACATTAAATTTCTTGCCAGAAAAACTGTTCTTTCATAAACAAAAAACAAATTGCTCAAAATAAATGACTATATCTTTATTTCTAAAAAATGTTTAGAGATTATTATTATTGGGTCTTTACAAGTAATTTGCCTTCAATACTAAACACATGAGAACAATGTTTAATATTTATATAGTATTTTACTCTTCAGAAGATATTTGTCCATATTCTCTCTCAGTTATTCTTCACAACAACATTATGAGGTAGGTCTTTTTTAATGAAAAAAAACTCAAGTGCTTGAAGTGATTTAAAATCACTGTGGAAGAAAAGCATGGGCATACAGAAAAGCCAAGTGGTTGTGTGTCAGCTTGGGAAAAGCTTGCAAATTTCCTGTATTTCAAGAGGCCAGGATGAGGTGTGTAATTATCTTTTACTGGTCTTCAGCTATCCTGTCTTTGATATGTGATTGTGTCAAAACTATGAGGAAAAACTCACATTAACAAACTTCATAAACTTGTTAAACATAAAATAATAATTTCGATGTTTTAATTTACAGTAAGAGTTTATTCTTACAAGTCCTTAAATACCCAAAGTTCTTTCAGTTATCATAGTCTTTTTCAGTAGACAGAAATCCATGTGGACTGTTATTGTTCTGAATAGCTAGGCTATGCCATAGTAGCAAACAAACCCTGAATTTTCATTGGCTTAGTATCACGAAAGTTTATTTCTTGCTCATTTAACATCTGAGGTGGGTTGGAGAGTCTCCTTCATCCAATGACTCACAGTTCAGGCAGCCTCCACATTTTGTGCACTATCCCTAAAAGGTGGACTCTGTGGTAATCAGTTTCCAATATGGCTTCCAATGACCGCCCCCGGGCCCCGGCCCCACTTCCTGATAGTCACATCATCGTGTAGTCCCTTTGCATATTATGCCAGAATTGGTCTGGGTGACCAACAGCTCATAGCAGCAGTGAAACGATGTCACTTTCAAGATTACATAACAGGAGCTTACAGCTTCTGGCTCAAGTACCCACTTTCTCTCTAGCTCTTGGATCTCTTCTTCTGGAGGAAGTAAGCTGCCTTGTGGTGAGCAGCTGTTGGCTGGAGTTAAAATCTCCAGCCAGCAGCCAGAGAGGAAATACGGTCTGTTAACAACCTCATGTGTGAGCTTGGAAGCAAATCCTTCAGACCAGGTTGAGTCTTGAGGTGACTACAACAGCCACTACCCCAACCCACCCCCAGCTTCAGTGCAACTTAGTAACAGACACTGAGTCAGAACTATTCAGCTAAGCTTCTTGCAGATTCCTGACCATTCAGAAGCTATGTCATAATAAATTTTTGTTGTTTGACTTCAGTTTCGGGATAAGTTGTTGCACAGCCTCTAAAGTTGTGAACTAGAAGAAGTATACTGGCTCTTAACCACCTTTGCCAAAAATTAACACTTGTCAGTCATGGTCATATTCATTTGGTCCAAATCAATCATATCGTATCAACCTAACTACAAAGGGGATTGGGAGATGGTGATGTCTCTGTCACAGAATCTATATAATAGTTAAAAGTATTTTTAACTTGCATAGACTCAGAACAAGATAATTTGGAGGAATTCAATGCTTAATGGCATACCACTAAGATAAGCTGATAGATATATCGTTGCGATTTGGGTCTCTGACAATAGAGGCAATTGATAATATTAAGAGACTATGTGCCAATTATTGTGCTTGGATTGAGGGTACAAAGGTAATAGAATCCAAGGAACCTGCACTCTTTTTGAAAGATAGACACATAAACACATACTTTTAAAATAACGTGGTAAGTGCTACTATGACAGATGGTTGCACAGAATGTAGTGGAAGTATTTGAGAAGGACACTTAGCTCTGCTGGGGGATTAGAGAGAGATACAGGAGGAGATGACACCTAAACTGAGTTTTAATAGATGAATTCAAGTTACCCAGGTGAAGAAAATTGGGTAAGGATGTTCTAAGCAGAGGAAACAACATAAGCAAAATCAAAGAGGCGTGAAATAGAATGAGCTATGAAGAAAGTGTTAGGCAATTGGGTAAGTCCAATGTAAGTGCAGATGAGGAGAGTCTGGAAATGAGGCTGAAGCAGTAAATAAGGATTGGCCATAAAAGACCTTGTGTACAATTCTTAAGATCTAGGCTTTGACACTGTTGTTTAGGGGGAGCTGTTAAAGGATTTTAAATTAGAGTACCATCATTGGTTTGCATTTTCCATGAGAGCATTTTGAGGAAAATGCAGAGAATAAATACATGAGGGGAAAGACTAGTGAAGGTTTTCACACTGGGGTTTGCATCCTGTTTTGGCAATAAGCTTGTTTTAATGAAAACAAACAAACAAACTGACAATAAAGAACATAATCCAAATTCTCCAGATAATTACTTCCAGGAGGCTTTCTACGTGCTGCATACAAAACAAAGAAAGAAAAACATAAAGTGAGAAAACGAAGGAAAAACAAGGAAAGAAGAGAAAGAAAGAATACATATTGGAAAAACTGTTGCTGTTTTTGTTTTGCTGAATATTTAAATTTGAGAAGCAATTTCTCTTTTTCTTTTTACTTTTTTTTTTGAGATAAAGTCTCACTCTGTTGCCCAGGCTGGAGTGCAGTGGCGCCATTTCAGCTCACTGCAACCTCCGCCTTCCAGGTCCCAGTGATTCTCCTGCCTCAGCCTCCCCAGTAGCTGGGACTTCAGACATGCACCATCACGAGCAGCTAATTTTTTGAATTCTTAGTAGAGATGGGATTTCACCGTGTTGCTCAGACTGATCTTTAACTCCTGAGCACAGGCAATCCGCCCACCTTGGCCTCCCAAAGTGCTAGGATTACAGGCGAGAGCCACTGCACCCAGGCGCAGGTTTTCTTTATGATGTTTTAATTATATCTTTCTTGGAACATATATGTATGAATCTTGCATGCCATAGGTCTATTAATATTTTCCAATATTCTACATGGTTTTTTACTAAAATCATTTTTATGATTAGTTACTGACTGAGGTTTCAATGCATCACTGTACTCCTAGCTATCTCTCATTTTAGCTTTTACATCACATTTTGGCCTCACACTGAAACACAAAATATTAAAAATTTGAGATCTAATAAACAATTTTCACATTTTCCAACTAAATCCCCACTTCTTTCTAAATTTTCTACAACTTTCTAAACATTCTCACTTGAAAATTTATTTTAAATGACATGTATTTTATTCAAACAATCAATGAAGATGCTACATTGACCCCAAGTGAGCCCTTAGGGAATTTCCGTGAATATTTCCCTACAGGTTGGCATGGTAACACACTTCACAATTTCTAAATCTGTGGATAGTTTAGAAGCTTTTATTTGCTGTTCCTAGTTCACAATGGAAATACAACAATGATTAAAAATTATAATATCCTTTTGTAGATTCTTAGCTTTTATTCCTACTCAGTGACTCTAAAATGAATTTATAAGGCCCATGGTTTATAACCATGTGAGGCCTTGATTTTGTCACTACATTGCTAGAAATGGGGTCAGAAGGCCACCAGCTTTAATAATTTAATTCATCAATTCGGAATGAATTTGATGAGTCAACCACTTTGGTAGAGAACCATATTGCTCATAAATACTGTTTTGAAGGCAATTCGTCTTTCATAAAATGTGAAGATTGTGCTGATCTTTCTGGGCAGGGTTATGGAGGTGTGATTAAATGCTTAAGAAACCATTTTGTTATTATATTAAACCGAATCAACTTTTTATTATTAAAAATAGATAAAAACTTAGCATCCTCAATTATAATACTTTATACAAAAGTTTCCCAATTTTATATAGACTGAAGATAAAAATACATTAACAAATCTTACCAGCTGGTTCAGGAAAATAACTTCATAATTATTGAGACATTTATGTGTTTGGGCTTGATTTATACTTTGGACACAGGAAAACCTAGAGAGATCTGGTTCTTTGAAATCATCAGAGATGGTGATGGTGACTCAGAGATTCCTGAAAATCAGTAAGATTACCCTAGTTTATAGACGTATGTGTTATTTTTTCCCCCAGGCATAATGAACTTTATAACTTGTCATTGACAAGAAGCCAAATCATCTTAGAGAAAAGGGGGAGAATAAAAATTTAAGAACTTAAAAACACATAAATAAAAACATGTACATACCTCACACATGTGTACACACACAGTTTGGGGATTGGATGATATGAATAATATAATTAATACACCCTAATTTTTCATGCAGGATTAAGAAAGTATCTTCCAAACATTAAAAATGCTGAAAACTGGACATAAGGCCTTGAGTTTCCCAAATTCAGGACATATTTTCAACTATCCCCTGAGTAAATGAACTATAACATTTACAGAAGTAAAAATGATAAATACACTAAAGATGAATAAGTCCTTGAATTAACAGCCAAACAAGAAGGCGCATCCTTTGGATGATTGATCACTGTAGCATGATTTCTTTTCCTTGAATAGACAATATTCCTTGACAATCTTTCTGTAAACAGAATACAATGTTTCCCTAAGCAATATATGCGTGCTCTAGAGTTTTCACAATTTCTGATCCTCCTATGACTGGCTCCTGCTCAGCTCACACTGCACTTTCATGGAAGTTCTCTTAGAATGCCAGCTTTGAATCACTGCTCCCTCATGTGCTGTGTGTGATAGCATCCCATTTTAGTTTTGTCATAGAATTGATTACCATTTCAAATTGAATTGTTAATTTATTGTTCATTTTTCTGTTGTCTCCCTTAAGTAAAAGGTAAGCTGCATGAGAATAGTTTCATTTTTTTTCCTGTTTGCCAATGTATCCTCAGTGCCGAGAACAGGTTCAGGAATACAGAATTTTTAGTTAGCAAATGAATTAAAGTGTAAGACTTCCAGCAGGAGGAATTTTTTACATATAAGTACATTTTTTAAATTAAGCATTGCAGGCTTTAAATTTCTTCTATATAAATATTTAAAATAAAGCTTCAATAATTTGAATTGCTTTTGTGATTATTTTGTTTTATACCTTGAGTAACTTATACATCAACTATTTTGTAGTTATTCTAGTAATGATTATGAAAGACCATTTGAAAATCTTTCCCCAGCACTGAGATCTCCTTGACATGACTAAGTGATTTATACTATGCAATTATATTGCTCTTCTCAAGAAAAGCAAAATGAAATTTACAAATTTGGTAGCTTTTTGTTCTTTTGTTTTCTCAAGTAAGATACACCAAGATTTCTTTAAATGATACGCTATATTTCTGCAATAACTGAGAAGAACATGTAATGTGCAAAACTCTTAAACTCTTTTTGTTTCAAAATAATTCTTGGTTGTTTTTATAAAAGTCTAAGCAAATACTTAATGAACTGTGTCCCAAATGAGGTGAAACAGCTGTGACAGAATGTTACTATGACTCTGTACTTTCTATAATAAAAAGGGACAGACATATCCTCACCTGAGCCTTGGGATGTTTCAGGCATGCCCATAGAGCCTAAGCTTTAGGAATCCTCTGTCATTCTTTTCCATTGCCAGTGACTTGTGCCAATTCTAGGGTTCTGGACTGTGCAAACAATGGAAAAAATAATAACACTTTCAGGTGGCGCACAAAACCAATGTTCATAGTAGATGGATAGTTCTAGACACTTTATTTAATAGAGAATAGGAGAAACACTAATCCCATCTAATTCTGCCTTCAAACTCCTAAAATATTCATCATTATGAATTAAAAAAAAAAATCAAAGTGTAACCTCACCCAGAGAAAGAAGACATTGGGGCCAGGTCTGGTGGCTCATGCCTGTAATCCCAGCACTTTGGGATGCTGAGGCGGGTGGATCATGAGTTCAAGAGATCGAGACCATCCTGGCCAACATGGTAAAACCCCATCTCTACTAAAAAACAAACAACAAAAAAATTAGCTGGGCTTGGTGGCATGCGCCTGTAGTCCCAGCTACTTGGGAAGCTGAGGCAGGAGAATCACTTCAACCCGGGAGACGGAGGTTGCAGTGAGCCAAGATGAAGCCACTGCACTCTGGCCTGGTGACAGAGTGAGACTCCGTCTCAAAAAAAAAAAAAAAAAAAAAAAAAAAAAAAAAAAAAAGAAAACGAAAAGAAAAGAAAGCAGATATTGGTAATTCTAGCAGATCCTGGAACAACTGAACCAAATTTATTAATATGTATTATTACTGAAAATCAGTAATGAACAAAATTTACAGAATGGGCTTCTTGGAGTTGTTACATTTCCCTTATTACATAACTCTTCAATAAAAGTGTTTGTCATACCTATTTTAGTTAATTCTACAACAACTAGTGTGATAGGGCTATTATTTGATCTTTTTTTTTTTTTTTTTTTTTTACAGGTAGTGACATTCAGTATTAGACAGCTGCTATTGTGTTAGTTGTCTGAATACCTTTACATATTATCAACTGGCCTTTTCATTCCTGAGTTGTGAGTAAATGCTCTGTCTCCCAGACTGGAGTGCAGTGGCGCAATCTCGCCTCAGTGCAAGCTCCGCCTCCCGGGTTCACACCATTCTCCAGCCTCAGCCTCCCGAGTAGCTGGGACTACAGGCGCACGCCACCATGCCCGGCTAATTTTTTTTTCTTGTATTTTTAGTAGAGACAGGTTTTCACCATGTTAGCCAGGATGGTCTTGATCTCCTGACCTCGTGATCCACCCGCCTCAGCCTCCCAAAGTGCTGGGATTACAGGCATGAGCCACCACACCCGGCCATAAATGCAGTCTTGTGTTCCCCACTTCCATTCCTCCTTTGACAGTACAGCTATGCTAGTCTGCGTAGCAAATTGAAAAAATATGACCTGTGGGATTTAAACAAAACACAGTGTCATACACATTTTCTGGTAAACTTAACCAAAAGGGACTTGGGTTCCATAACTAATCACCAATGCCTCAGTGATCTGTAACTCCTTGTAGGTACCTGATCACAGTTACTAAAGGGAAAGAGGAGCGAGGAATACAAGAGCAAAGTCAAGCCAGACATAGATTTTATCTCTTTGTAAACAGGAGTTCAGAAGACCGCTCTGAATGCTGAGTTAGCATCAGCAATAATAGAAATATATGCAGATTGTTGATTTGAAGTCATGCAAAGATATCTTTTTCATCCAAATGGAGGCAAAAGCATCATAGAGCACCAGAGGGCTAAATCCAACTGTAGCAGCAAAAGGTACACAGAAAAATAAAGCATCCTGAACCAACGCACTGACTTTCTAGGGCTTATCTAATTTGGAGCTATTTCCTTTTCTTATTTCATTCAGCAAATATTTATTGAACACCCACAATGTGTAATCTGTTCTATTACATTCTGTGGAGGAAATACAGAAGTGAATGAGGCATGGTTCTTACCTACAAGGAATTTCTAATCTTGTGGGGGAGACTAACATGTAAACAATAAACTATAGTATGAGGATTACTGAAGAGGCATATGCTAAGTCTCAGAACATTGAAATATAAGAGTTGGGTTTGACATGGGGAAAGAAATACCTTCTTCACTGAGGAGGTAGCATTTTGAGTTATTGTTGACATGTGAATACGATTTTGAAAAGTTCCAAAGAATGAAAAATTCCACCTACATTGGTGAAGTACTAAGATTAAATGCATGATAGCTTGAAGACACAAAAATAATTATTTATAAACCATTCCAAAAATCATTCAGGGAATTCCAATAATACACAAGTTTTTAAACACATTTCTGGGTAATTTTGAGTAATAAGGTCTTAATCTCCTCTACTGCTTTCAATTGTTTTTGTGGCCTTCTTTATTTTGTGGGTATCTGGCCCAGTCTTGTCTGTAGTGTATTATGGTGGATTGGATTAAACATGTTTTGCAATCTCTGGAGTGATTTTAAAATGACTTGTGTTATATCAGAGTTTCCTAAAGGGAGATTAATTTGGCTTAATGGTAAGAACGGATTAAAGTTATGAGATACCAGACACTGGGAAAACAGTTAGAAGCCTGTTGAGACTCTTCAGGGCAGTTGTTGTGAGAATGAAGTTAAGACAATGGGATAGAATATGAAAAAAAATGAAACAAACATGAGAGGCAGTCTGAAGATGGAAGTTGGCAACTCATCAAATGTGAGAAATTTATAGGAACAGAAAAGAACCTGCTGATTAATATAAATTTTCTGCCAAAGAAAGTACAGTGGCTCTCCTCAGCAAACTAACATGGGAACATAAAACTAAACACTGCATGTTCTCACTTATAAGCAGAGCTGAACAATGGGAACACATGGACACAGGGAGTGGGACATCACACACTGGGGCCTGTTGTCGGGACTATGGGAGGGAGACCATCAGGATAAATAGCTAAAGCATGTGGGACTTAATACCTAGGTGATGGGTTGATAGGTGTAGCAAACTATGATGACACACGTTTACCTATGTAACAAACCTGCACGTCCTGCACATGTATCCCAGAACTTAAAATAAAATTAAATTATTAAAAAAAGAAAAAGACAGTGCTTGTCTTATTCGTTTTTTTCTTAAAATGGGAAATATGTAATATATATCAACTGTAGTGTATAGAAGGGTCATGATGAATTGGACAAAGATACGTGGAGTTTGAATTGCTAGAGGAGTACCCACGTGCAGTTGTCCAGCAGAAATCAGGGCTTGTTCCCCAACATGCTATTCACAATCAGTCTACTACTCTCAGGTATTTGTTTTTCTGTGTGGCTATGCAAGCAATAGATACAGTTTATGTGAAAATGTTTTAGAAAATGTCTTCTGGAGTAATTAAAAGCATACAAGGGAATGTAAATCTCTTAATGTGACAAGACCTTTTTGCCACAATAAACAAATTCATTAGTTCAAAAAATATTTATTGTGTGCCTATTGCAGCAAACAAAACAGACGAAGCTCCTTCTTGTAGGGAACTTATACTCTAGTGATATTTAGTATATATTTTGACAACTGAACCAATAGGATTTGATGACGGATTGCCTTATGGGTATAAGAGAAAGAGAGGAGTCCACACTTTCATGCCAGGTAGGTTGATGGAGGTGCCATTTACTGAGATACAGGGCCGTAGAGGAGGAGTGTGTTTGCAGCAGGGAAGGAGAAGACTCAAAATTTGGTTTTGATCATACTAAATTTGATATAGTACAGGTAAGTGTATGGTGGCCATTAGAACATGAAGGTAAGAGTTTAGATAAGGAGACAGGTATGGTGAAATACATCCAATATTTATAACCAATATTATCTTTTGTGTCTGTACCTTTTTATACATTCCCCATATATATCAAAGACTATAGAAGGGACTGGATAGTGAATAAGTGATTATACATAAATTCTTTTTTACAGATTATTTTGCTCTTGATTTCTCCTATGTAAATCATCACAGCTACATTTTTTAAAATCTTAAAAAGGATTACTTTGAACAATGCATTTAAACATCCAGAAAACAAAAACAGGAGTGCATGGTAAAAATTCTGATTTCAGAACGTATGCCTGACTTATCAAGTCAGAATTTCAGGGAGTGAAGACCCTGGAATCTACACTTTAAATAGAGCCTCAGTTCACCAAGTATGAGAAGTCCTGTAACAGGGAAAAGTAACCTCCTGTTATATTTGATGGAGGCCAATTGACAAGCCAAGTAGTTTTCCATTTGACAAAAATTCTATTGTACCAATGAAGAGCTATCAGAGGGGAGTAGATTAAAACACCTCCCTTGAAATGGAATTTGGCAAGAAAGCAAGAAATTACAGCAAAAAGACCAATAAGAGGAATTAGGGGCAATGAAGGAAGGAGCAAAGATGTGGGAACCCAAAAAGTTTTCCTAGTAACAACTTTGAAATTATATTTTTAGTATATTAAATTTAAAGTAGAGTTATTAGTGCGTACATTGGTGTAATTTATTATTATATTAAGCCAACAATATACTTTTAAACTTATACAACTTTGCAAAAAAGTACAAATCAGAAGTCTGGGCTAAGTAGAACGCATAATAGAATCAGTAGTGCAAAATATTGTTCTATATTTTCTAGCTTATGATTTTCTATATAAAGTCAGTCTTTCAGGATTAAAATGAATGTCACTTCTTTTTACCATGTGTCCTTTAAATTATTAAAATCTATACACATATTGCTATACATAGTAAATATAGTTAGTCAATTATGTCATGGAAAGAATTGAAGGGTTGTTATAAATTTAAAGGTGTTTCACTATACAAAAACATTGTGAAATACTGGTGCTGATTTAGTCCTAGTATCTCTGATATATTAAATCATAAATGTCAGGAGTTATTGGTCACAAAATAAACACCAGAATTATATGACAGTCTAAAAACAAAAACAAAAAACTTCAGCAACAATATTGAAGATATGGAAGTGCCAGAAGAATAAGGATTAAGACAATGAATAAAAATCTCTTCCAAGGACTGGTCTACACTAAGAGTTTAGAAATGCATTTTTTTTTCACAGAAATATCCTTAATCCTCTATATAGAAATGAGAAGAAAACATAAGACTTTAGCAAGCTCCATCTAATCCATTTGCAGACATATGGTTACCTATCTTTTCTTCAATATATTGGAGTTTGCAAATATTCTACCTTCAAAGAATAGGTGTTACCAAAACATTGTCTGCAAGATTTCTAAGATTTGAAATATATTTGCTATAGTAGGTTAGAGATGAGACATTTTTACTTTAAATTGCAATAATTCAGACTTAAAATATAAAATGTGTAAGTCTAAATTTTTTTTCTATTCATTGCAAATATATCTTATATATACATAAAATCCTGTGTATACTCATATGAACTTTAAGGAAATATCAGAGGCATCAGTAACAGATAACTTGCATCTCTTTTACATTCAGTTCAAGCTACTCAAATTTTAATCTTTTGTTTTCATTCCAACAAAAAAAATTAGGATCTGCCTTGGCTTTTGCTAAGAAAGTAATTATTGGCTGGACATGGTGGCTCACATCTGTAATCCCAGTACTTTGGGAAGCTGAGGTGGACAGATTGCTTGAGCTCAGGAGTTCAAGACTATCCTGGGTAACATGGTGAGAACCTTTCTCTAAACACACACACACGCGCGCGCGCGCACACACACACACACACACACACACAAATTAGCTGGGAATGATTACACGCCTGTGGTCCCAGATACTTGGGAGGCTGAGGTGGGAAAATCACCTGAGCCCAGGAAGTCGAGGCTACAGTGAGCCGTGATTCCACCACTGCACTGCAGCCTGGGTGACAAAAAGAAAGTCATTATCTTCAACACTGTGCATACACACTTTTCTGCATCTAGATCCCAAATTTTTGTTTTGTATTTACATAGAACATTGATAAGTAAGGTAAGTATTGATTGATAAAACATTTCAAACTCATTTTTCACTAAATCCAATGGCCTTCCTCTTTTGCATGAAGTCTCTAAGAATCATGTTAATCTACATACTCAATCTACGTAACAACTGGATATATCCTGTAGTTGTTGCCCATTTTTCTGCTAAATGTTATCTTTAGCACTAAGCATGAGTATGAGGAAACAGTATCTGTGCTCAGATTTCAGAAATGAAGAAAATGTACTGGAGGTCTTTTGGATAATGGCTACAAGGTCACAGGGACTGACTCCTTTGGAAGCTCAGCGATAACCATTTTCAGAGAGAATATGTCAACATCTTTCAGTCTAGAACTTGATGTTCTGCTGAGATCTAATCTGGGGGTGTCCTACTATTGAATAGGTATAAACTAAATAAAAATAGTGAGAGAACATTCATGTGTTCACTCATTCATTCCTTCATCAAACAAATATTGAAAGTCTATTAATTGGCAAGCACTCTTCTGACATTAGAAGGAGCAAAGATAAAAAAGATATTATCATTAACCTCAAGGACATGACAGCATCATGGGAAGGCCAGAAATGCAATATGTTAAAGTAAAACACAGTGTAGTGTTTACTACTAAAGAGATATAAACAGAGTACTGTGGTCTAAAATCATATATATAACATTTGCTTAATGGATGAGAAGGAAACTTTAACTTCAGGAGGCAGAGCATTAAGAAAGTGAATGACAGGAGGGTCAAAAGAAAAAGCCGACAGTGTTGCAGAGGCAGGGCATAAAGGAGCTAAACCTTTGCTACCTTCAGTTTTTATTATCCACAGAACGACAAAGAAACAACAACAACAACAAAACTTTGGATTTGAGGGTTTTTTGTTTTTCTTTTTTTTTTTTTTCCTCTCATTCCAAGCATCAAACCTTGGGATTTATTTACCTTCTAGCAAACCAAAATTTATGGGGGCATTCCTATGGTCCTCACCTCACCCCATTTTTCTGTTTTACCTATGAAACTTGATCAAAATACTGTCTCCACATTTCTCATAAAATACATTAGTTTAATTTTCTACTATTACTTTCTTTTAGTTGATTTAAAAAAAGGTCATTTATGACCTATTTAGGTTAGCATCATTAATTTTATCAATGTAAGAATATGGTAGTACAGTGTGAATTCCATTAATGGATATGTTGATACCATGGGTTTCTCTGACCTTTCCTCTTCCGCTCCTCCCTGATGATTGGTTCTGAGCTTATTATCATGTCAGCAATGAAACAGAAAAGGGAGAAAAATCTCAAGTAGGTTGTCTGTCTCTTTAACACTGAATAAAGATTTTTTTTTCTCTAACAGACTTAAAAATAGTGCCCTAAAAATGTTTTGTTTCATTTGTCTGAATTCCCATTCTTTCCCGTGATCATAGATAGTTGAGCTAAAAAAAGAAAAAACAAAAAACAAAAATAAACATTGTGTCCTACATTTGTATTAACTTTCTTAGGAATGAGAAGTAGAATCTTAAAAACCTTAGAATGGGAGTTTCCAAGCTAGCTTGCCGGCTTGAGTTTTATTGATAATACCTTTAGGATGCATGTATTATTAGAAACATCAGTTATTTACAAGTTCACCTATTTAAAAGTCTAATAGGAAAAAATATTTCATGTTGCTAAGTATGTGACTTCCCTTTAAAAGATAATAATGCTTTCCCTTTAAACAACAATAGTAAAAGAAGTAGAGTTCCTTTTAAACACATACTTTTATATTATAACCCATTCTGTTTAAAAAATAGCAGGCATATAATCTAGAAATGCAAATAATTTAGTGAAATTTTTAAAATTATTCTACATATAATTAAATATGGATATTTGTTTTCAAATATCAAATAATAAAATATGTCTGAGATGCTGACTAATCCTTAATTATAGGTGTGATTTCTACTTCACCATCAATACTATGGTACTCCAAATCTTAACATGAGTCTGATTTTCTAATAAACATGATGAAAAAAGTTATGGAAAAATTTTGAGATTTACTTTGGGAGGTTCTATTGTGTTCTGTTCAGCTTCATAATATTCAGTTTCTATGAGTTTGGTATTTAATTATGTGTGTTTGTCATTCAGTAGGCTGGAAGTATGACCATTGGGAGATCAAAACGATAAGACATTAATGACAGTGCTTTATCACTGAATCTAGTACTTTTTTTAATGAAAGAGATGTTGGCCTCTTGTATTGTTATAAAACAACACAATTTTATGGCTTTAAATTAAAGTACAATCATAACAGAAGACAAAATTAGATTAAAAAACAAACATGGAGTGACTCATATAAAATATTTAGAAACCAATAATACAGATAGAGACACATTAGTTCCTCTAGACATTGTGTTTTCCAGTAAAATGATCACCAAACTTACCAGGAAAATGATAATTATCAGATTATTTACTTTCAGAATTAAAGGCAGGAAGAGAAAAAAATGAATGAAGAGGAAACACAGTAACCATATAGGACAATAAGAGTGAATGAAGATAAAATGAAAAATCAATAAGATATCGACTTTCTTAAAAGACAAATATCACAATAGGAAACACCTCAGAAAGGGAAATCTCAAGAAAATAATAAACTGAAAGAAGAAAACATATCAAAACAACTTGAGGACTGACAAAGTTTTAAAATGTATTTAGATAAAGATACCATGAGGAAAGTGATCAAGGTGTTCTAGGTAATCACTGAAGATAAAACTAAAAATAGCTTAAATTAAAATCAGATAGAGAGAAGGTAACTGAAACAGGCATAGAAAGAAAGTAAGAAGGAATACAATCCTGAACATCTTAACAATGTCTCAAATGTCAGGAATTGATCCAGTTTTTGGCTGCACAACAGAGTGGCTATAGTTAACAATAATTCACTGTATATTTCAAAATAACTCAAAGAGTAGAATCGGAATGTTGCTAACACAAAGAAATGATAAATTCTTGAGGAAATGGATATCCCAATTACCCTGATTTGATCTTTACACATTGTATGCTTATATAAAAACAGTATTCATGGCCGGGCGTGGTGGCTCACACCTGTAATCCCTGCACTTTGGGAGGTCGAGGTGGGCGGATCACAAGATCAGGAGAATGAGACCATCCTGTGAATGGTGAAACCCCGTCTCTACTAAAAATACAAAAAATTAGCCGGGTGTGGTGGTGGGTGCCTGTAGTCCCAGCTACTGGGGAGGCTGAGGTGGGAGAATGGCATGAACCCAGGAGGCAGAGCTTGCTTGCAGTGAGCTGTGATTGCACCACTGCACTCCAGCCTGGGCGACAGAGCGAGACTTCGTCTCAATAAAACAACAACAACAACAACAACAAAAACAAAAACAGTATTCATAATAATTAAAATAAATTATTTTTAAAATAAAATAAAATATCAGTAATTTAAATTTTTCCTATAGCATAGAGATCTGTAATTAATACTTGTCGATCATTGTTGTTTCTGTCTTCCCAACAACTACACTCCTGTTTCTTCACATTCCCCCTTCTTCTAACAGCACTACATCTTTCTTTAGGAAACTATCCTTTTGCCATTTCATGTATATGGTGGGGTGGGGGAGTTATCAATCACAGTACCCCAGCAGATGGGACCAGAGGCAAAAATGCCTGACCTTCTCCCATCCCCCAACCACAGCAGCAAATGAATTATAATTTGATGCACAAGGAAGTATCGGAGCTTTTGTGTTGGGTTTTACATATCACCTGTGGGAGATAAATGAACTTTTCCCCACCTAACCTTTAGCCACTTGGGATGATTAGACATAGAGGTGCCTAAGATCTTTCCCTTTGCCACATTAAAAACAAATCATCTATGGCACGAGCATACAAGACCAGCTTTCAGAGACACAAAATGATGGAGAGAACCATGATACTAGTTTTAGACCTAGTCACTGAGACTTTCTCTGCTCCTTCCCAGTTACCTGAGCTTTATTTTGTTTACATTCATCAGATTTGAATGGCTGTACTTCAAAGTACTGATTAAAATAGGAACCAACCTATATGATTCAGGTGGTGAGAAGGAAGAAAAAGAGAGAAAATGAGGTTAACAAAAGAGAATAAAGAAAAAGAAAGAAGGAAAACAAGAAACTCTGACTACCTCTCCTCTTTGACATAGTTTACACTTCTGACAGATTGTTCTTCTCTAAATTTATGTAGAGATTAGAGTGAGGATGATGTATGCACTGTAGCATGGGTGGTCTTCCAGGAAGCCTTGACTGAATGAGGCAAGGAGTATGTTGCTCCCTCAGTAACCTCAAATTTACCTGCAAGCCTGATAAAAATCTAACACTAACACTAAACCCAATCTTATCTACAGCCCTAACTGCACCCTAATATTAACAACCCTACCTCTGTACTTCAAAACTAAAACTAATTCTGATTTTACTCCCATCTGCCCCTTTTACCCTAAAACCAACTGTAAAACTAAATTTAACTCTAAACGTAATCCTAAAACTAAGAATTAACTAACAATTTTATCTCTATACCCAACTGTTAACCCCAAGCCTAACTCTAATCCTATCTCTAACCTAACATTAACCACAAACCTACTTCTAACTCTAATCCTAACCATAACCTCAAATCTAACTCTGATTCCAATTGTAATCTAAACACCAACCCACCCTTACCCTTTTATCCCAAATCCATCTGAAACCCTCATCAGAACACAAATTCCAATTCTACTTCCCACCCTGACTCTGACTCTAAACATAGGCCCAAATATAACTCTAACTCGAAGTCAAAAACTTAACAAACCTTATCTTGAAACTCAACCTTTACACTAACCCCAATTCTATCTGTAATCCTAACCCTAATATTATCATCAAACCTATGTCTAACACGACCTCTAACCCAAAACCAAAACTAACCTCAGACCTAACTCTACATCTAATTATAACCCAAACCCCAGGCTGCTACTTACCATAACCCTGAAACTAAGCTTGATCCTTTCTCTTTTTTTTGAGATGGAGTCTCGCTCTGTCTCCCAGGTTGAAGTGCAGTGGCGTGATCTCGGCTCACTGCAAGCTCTGCCTCTCAGGTTCATGCCATTCTCCTGCCTCAGCCTCCCGAGTAGCTGGGACTACAGGTGCCCGCCACCATGCCTGGCTAATTTGTTGTATTTTTGGCAGAGATGGGGTTTCACCCTGTTAGCAAGGATGGTCTCAATCCCCTGACCTTGTGATCTGCCTGCCTCGGCCTCCCAAAGTGCTGGGATTACAGGCATGAGCCACCACGCCCAGCCGACCCTTTCTCTTAACCTACACTAACACTAACTGTAAACCTAGCTGTAACTCTAATTGTAAACCTAACCTGATTACTCACTACAAAGGTCCCTCTAATTCTAACAAGAAACTCAATCCTATCTCAATTCCACCCAACCCCAAAAGTAAATCTAAACTTAAACATAACTCAAAATGTATCTCAAACCTTAACCTTCACGAAACTACATGTAGCACTAATGTAACCCTAAGCCCAATCCTATCAGTAACACTAATGCTAAAACAAACCCCAATCTGTATCTCTACCCCATCACTGACACTACCCAAATCCCAATATTTAATGCTAATCATTAAGTCTCAAACTAACTCCAAACTTATCTTTAACTATATCTCCAACCCTAACCCTAACATTAACCCCAAACTTATCATTAATCATACATCTAGCTCTAAACCTAACCCCAACTTTAACTCTTACCCTAGCTCTAAAATTAACCCCAACACTATCTCAAACTGTAATCCTAATGCTAACGTTCAGGCTACTTTTAACCCTCACCCTACACAAAATCCTGCACCTAAACTCAACCCTAACTTTAAACCTACCTCTAATCCAAACACTAAATTTAAATCTGGATCACGACTTGGGCATACTAGCACCCACTAGTGTTCTGGGTGTCATTTCTTTGCTTCACTCTCATCCAGCTTTCTTTACTAATTTTGGATAATGAATCAGAAAATAGTGGTGTGGAATCAGGGTCTTTGAATTATTGTATTATCCAGAGTTTGTCCTGCTGCAAATGATAAAACACTGAAAATTAGCTTAACAAGGAAAAAAATAAAAATGTGTGTGCAGGGGAGAAGTAGGAGAGTTATTGGCTCAAGGAACAGAAGAATTCAGTACTGAGTTTCACAAATACCTGGATTCCCTAGTCCCCATACTGCCATCAGGATCCAATCTGTCACTCACTCCAATCTCTTCCTCCTCCCTGTTGGATTCATTGTTAGGTTTCCTGTGGCAAGATGAAATGGCCTCAGGCCTGTAACACAATAGGATCAATTACAACAGAAGATAGTATTTCTGTTTTCCTGGTTGCTCAAGCCTAAATTCCAAGATTAGTTTATATCAAACCTAGTTAGTTTTGCTCATGTAAGGGATTACTGCAACTGGGTACACTAATATGAAGAGTGGGAGAGTTGGTTAAGGGGGTTCTCTGAAAGGAGAATTAGGTTACTGTTAATGGGAGAATGAGAAATGGGTATTGTAATGACAAAAACACACACGACTACCACAAATGTTGAGGAAGAATTTTCCTTTATGATCATCTAGCCCAACTTTTTAATTTCTAATTTTGTGGTTTTGACCAGTTTTTTGTTTTTTTTTTTAATGCAGCATGTCATAAAGTTGGGAATACTTCACATTTTGTCTTTGAAAATTTGGAGAGTACTTAAAAAGATTTACAAAGGGGAGGATTGAATTATTTTAGGAATGTAAATGGTGGTCTTCTGTCTCAGGCAATGTAGATGCTTGCTAGAAAACAGCTGACTCATGACTGTTTTCTTTCTAATTCATTAATATGAATTATTTCAAACTGCAAAGTTATCTCCTTTCTTCTCCTAATCTATCCACTTAGAGTATACATGTTCAAATTAATGTATTGAACTAATTTTTCTAGTAATACATTCTATGCATTACAAAAATAGCAGTGGGAAGGTGAAAACAAAATGCAGTTATGCATTTATCTCTAAATGTGTTCAACATCTCTTATGCGTACTTCAAAATAATTACATTTGTTTAATTTCGAAAAAAATATTAACAAGAAGTTGTAATTTGGGGAAAATTTAAAGCTGGCGAAAAAGGCTTCATCATAATTGACAATATGGGAAAATACTGTATTAAAATCCTAGGTTTCTCCCTTGTTTGCATGAAGGAAATGAAAAATATATAAGGGAAGGATTTAATCAGTCAGGCAAAAATCTAAATTCATCACAGGTTTATTCACTGCATACTATCAATGTGCCCAGTACCTGAATGAATATATTAAAGAAATCCACCTCTTGTACAATGAATGTAAATGAGCAGAGTGTGGTGATTAAAGGTTGGTATTTGGTGCTGGGTAGACCCAGCTTTGCCACTTACTGCCCAAGTAAATATTGCCATCCATCAGATATCTCCACCTATCAGACCCACCCTGTTGTAATAACAAGATTAAAATCTGTATCACTAAAACTTTAAAAGAATTTATAGCCGAATCTAGAAATCTTTCACTATAATTTATCTTTCCTTAAAATGTCGTTTTTTTTTCAATTTTACTATATATGTTTTTGTACTTGTTTGCTGTCTTGTGTGTGTGTGTGTGTGTGTGTGTGTGTGTGTGTGTGTGTGTTTTTGAAACGGAGTCTTGCTCTGTCGCCTAGGCTGGAGTGCAATGGTGGGATCTTGGCTCACTGCAACTCCCGCCTCCTGGGTTCACGTGATTCTCCTGCCTCAGCCTCCTGAGCAACTGGGAGTACAGGCGCACACCACCACACCCAGCTAATTTTTTGTATTTTTAGTAGAGATGGGGTTTCACTATGTTGGCCAGACTGGTGTTTTTTGAAAAGACTTTTTCCTGATTCAGAAGGTGGGACTCACAATTGTAATTCTGCTAATGGTTGTCTTTCAGTCTATCAATTGCTTCATAAATGCATCCACTGTTCCTTCTTCTTCTGCCCTGCTTATAATTTTCCATGAGTCCATATATCTTTTTACACTGTCTTTAGTCTTATTCACTAAATTAAAAACTAATTTTTGATATTTGGTATTCATGACAAGACAATTAGTAGAATTTTGATGCTTCTTGTCTGCAATTACAGAATCAATATATTTTCTATATTATTGTATATTCTCTAAATCTTATTTTGTATAATAGCTTTCAGCATGTTCTTTAATTCTGTTTAGATATTTAGAAAGTATTTGTTGTTATTCTGTAATTTATTTCAATATTCAATTATAGTTTAATATTTTGTTATCTAGTGTTGTCTTGATTTTGATATACGTACTGATTTTGTAGATCCAAATTCCTCTTTCCTATCAGAGAATGCAATTTTTTACTTGGATAAATAAGAATCATATCGCCTCTGCTTGCTACCATATTGCATACATTCATGGGTAGAGAAAGAGTTAAGCTGATGAGAGTAGGAATTAAGGTAGACCTGTTTGGTAGGTTCTCCCAGATTTCAGAGGACAGACATCTTTTTTTCCCTGCCTTGGTCATTTAAACTTTTTGGATTTTGGATTAAGTGTAGGCAGGGAAAATATATCAGATATTTTTATTTTTCTTTGGTGCCATTTGTCCTTCTCTGCTTTAGGCAGAGAAGCATATGTAGTCCAAGAATGTGCTTTTCTATCCAGCTACATCAATAATAACAATTAGTAAAATTCTACTTAAACTTAGACCTTTGCTGTTCTCTTTTCTCTGCTTGTGTTAAGTCATGCTCATGATTCTGGCAGTTTTCCACAGTACCATGTACAGAAAGCTTGAATAAGGTACATCTAGAATACTCATATATGTTCACTTCAAAAACACATTTTTGTGGAATTCTAAATGCAAATCTCAATAGTGCAATTCTAATTTACAATGAGAAAAAACTAAGGGATTTTTTCTGGTGATTCTTTTTGCTCATTTATAAATATGTTTTTAAATGATAAGCAAATATATAAATTAAGCTTTTCCTTACGTAGCTACATTGATTTACTAGTGGTGGAAAAGGTTAAGCAAAACTAATTTTCATGAGTGTAAATGAATTAGTAAGTGACATATGCAATGCTTAAGGGGAATTTGCATAAATCTATGACTGATACTCAACCTCTTGCTTAGCGAGAAGATAATTAAAATATTTTATACTTCAAGAAGACCTAGTTTTCCAAATTATTTACATCCACAAACTCAGATTTTATAGCAAGTAAGAAAAGTTAAGTCAGAAGCATATACTATTAACAGCTACTTACATTGCTCAAATTTAATATACGATTGCTGCTTTTGTTGGTTTTGAAATGTTTCTTGACCATGGATCTGAATAATGAAGTTATTCAAGAAGCAACTTTAAGAATGTTATATTCTTAGAAAGAAGCTATAGATACAATAATATTAAAAAATTAAATGTAAGTTCCTGCACTCACAGTAGAGGTAAGTTCAAGGTTATAAGAGAGCTTATAGATTCTGAGATTTGGAAAGAAGAGAATAGAAAAAACTTTTCAGATTAAATAATGTGTTAATTGTGCTTCTAAAACAGCTTTGGTGATCTTAATAAAATAAATATTGTTTTTATTTCCATTTTTGCTTTTCAGACAAGAAATGCTACTTGATGGCTGCATATATTTGTTTTGTCTCTTTTCACCACCTACTCTTGCTAAATACTCTCAACCCACTCATGAAATTAAAGCACATTGGAAAACATTTATCAACTACCTGTAAATACAACCTATGCTCTCTTTTGTGGAGGTGATAGACATTCATCAATGGAATAGTTGATCTAAATCCTAGTCTTCATTATCTTGTTTTATACATTCTTGTCTTAATCAGTTTGGGCTGCTCTAACACAATACCATAGACTAGGTGGCTGATGAACAACAGAAATTTGTTTCCAACTGTTTTGGAGACTGGGAAGTCCAAGATCGAATTTTATGTCTGGTGAGGGCCTGTTTCCTAATTAATAAACATCTGTTGTCTCATATGTCCTCACATGATAGAAGGGGCAAAGGAGCTCTCTGATGTCTCTTTTTTAGAATATTAATCTCGTTCATGAAGGCTCTGCTCTCATGACCTATTCCTTCCCAAAGGGCCCACTTCCAAAGACCATCATATTAGGGATTAGGTTTCAACAAATGAAGCCGGGGGAGGTTGGTAAACATTCAATCTATAGCAATGCCTATCTCCAGGAGCTGCCTGTGGAAACACTTTTATCTGATATGGTAGTTTAAAGCATGGCAGGGATAAGTGGTATGAGGAAAACTCTCCCTGCCACCCAACGCACACATCCCACTTAAGCTTCAGCAGCTCCAATTTTATCTGTGTAATATTTGGTTCCACATCAAAGTTGTTTTGAATATACTTCCATTACCTTAAAAAATGTAAAAACACTGCTTTAAAAAGCCAAGCCTATTCCCTTTTCATTATTCAGAGTTCTTCCAGTTTTACCGTTACATCAAATTAGAACTACATAATTAGGAACCCCTCTCTAAATTTGCCTCTATACAGAGAAAAACTGTGCCTGAAACTTTATTAAAACTCAATAAAGGAAATATGTATGAATGTATATATATAATTTCTCTGAAGGATAGAATTTGTACTTCGTTCCATACATAAAAACTCATTTGACAAATAACAAGCATAGCTCCAAGCTCAAAGAATAGCTTAATTTTTCCTGATTAGTTTATATCTCTCTTATTAATCAATGACATTTAATATTACAACCATAGCTTGGGGTTTTAGTTTATTTGCTTTCTATCTTTTTTATACTGTCGGCCTACCTGTGCCCAACTATGTTATAGTCAGGGGTTGGTAAAATAAAGACAAAACAAATCCTGTCTTCCTGGAGATCACCTTCACTGGGGGTTGAGAAACAATAAGAACAAGTAGTAAGTAAAATATGTACATTAAAATTTTAGATGAAGTTAAGTGCTATGGAAAAAAGTAAAATGGAAGAGGTGTTATGGAGTACCTGTTCGGGTATGGGTTCAATTTACAAGTGGATGGTCACCTTCTCACTGATAAGGTGACATTTGAGCAAAAGTCTTCAGCAGGAAGGGAGAATGCCATGCAGTTATCCTAGGAAAGAACATTTCCAATATAAGTAACAGCCAGTGCAAAAGCCCTGATGTAGATGCATACCTTAGGTATACGAGTAACAGTAAGAAATTAGTGGCACGAAAGACAGATGTACTTGGAAACCAAAAAGAATCTCTGGTAAGAAATTGTAAGTCATTGTAAGGACTTAAGGTTTTTTTTTTTCCTCTCCAAATGAGATGGAGATCCATTAGAAGGGTTTGCGTAGAGAAATAATATGATCTGACTTATATTTAACAGGACTACTCTTTTGCTGAATTGAAAATTGTCTCTAAGGGTGTATATCAGATCTTATATTGATCTTACCCTTCTCTGTTCAATATTTAACACACAAGCCTGTTAAATAGTCCATTCCCAACTTCTGTGACTTCTTGCTTGAGAGCCTTTCTATCCCCTCTCATAAGGGCTGTGAGGGCCTAATCTGCTTACCTATCCAGCAGGCTGGGAATGACACAGAGCACTCACCAGGAGCACTCTCAACCTATGACTCATGGAAGTTGGTAGATGAATACCCCAGCTCTCATATTCCTTGGGTGGAAGAGCTCTGAGATGTGTGTTCTACACCATTACCCAGAGGGCACCCTCTGGATTAGGCTCAAGTTGCTGACAGTAGTATCTTGCTGACTAACATAATTTTTATTAATTTTCTCCCCATTTGACCTTATTTCTCCATTTTTCTAATAGTGTTCATTGGTATCACTTCCAAAATAAATTACCTTTACTTGAATATTTTTCTTAGAATCTTCTATACAAACCTGAGCTAATACTGGGGCAAAGAGTGGAAGCAGGGAAATATTTTGTAGGTGTTGTGGTGATGTAGGACAGAGCCTGATAGCTTGGATCAAGGTGGTAGCAAAGGAGATTGTAGAAGCTATCACACTCTTTATATATTTTGAAGACACAGCCAAGAGGTTTGGTGGAAAAATGGATTGTGAGAAGTAATAAAAAGAGTGGGAGAGAAAGTCAAGGATGTCACCAAAGTTGTCCTAAGCAAGTGGAAACTTAGATTTGGGAGAATCAAAAATCCTAAAATATCCAAATCCTCTCCCCTGCCTTCCCCTCCCCTCCCCTCCCCTTCCCTTTGGAGATAGGGTCTTGCTCTGTTTCACAGGCTGTAGTCTAGTTTCGCGATCTCGACTCACTGCAGCTTCGACCTCCTGGGCTGAAGTAATTCTTCTACTTTAGCCTCCCAGGCAGCTGGGACTACAGGATTGCACTAATGTGCCCAGCTGATTTTTTTTAGTTTTTTTTATTTTTAGTGGAGATGAGGTCTCGCTATGTTGCCTGAGCTCAAGCAATCCACCCTCCTCAGACTCCCAAAGTTCTGGGATTACAGGTGTGAAACACTGTGCCTGGCCCAACATTTTATTTTCAAATATTTAAGTTTTGAATGTCTATTCGATAACCAAGTAAAGAAGTCAACTAGAATATATGAGAATGGAGTTTTCTAGAGAAGTCTGGGTTGAGGATGTACTTTTGGGAAATGGAGCACATACTTGGTATCTAAAGCTGTGAGCCGAGATGAGATCACTAGGTAGGTAAATATAGATAAATTAGAGAAAATATCTAATAATTGAGACATGGAGTACTATCATAAATTTTGAAAAGACAAGAAAATGTGAGAGATCGAGAAGAATGGCTGGGGAAGAAGGAATCTAAGGTAGTGAAGAGATTGAAATGTGTCAAGGAGAGAAGAGAGTAATTAGCTCAAATGCTACTGATAAGTAAAGTGAAATGTAGAATGAAAGTCAACCATAAAATTTGGCATTATGGGGATCATTAATGACCTTAAAGAAAGTGCTTTTAGTGTAGTAATAGAAAGATGCAGAAAGTAAGTAGAGTGAATTCAAATTCAACAGAGAATAGACAGAGAGGAATTGAAGACATTTATACTGACAATTCCTTCCAAGACTTCTGCTATTAAAAAAAATAAAAAAAGAAGGAGAAATGGCAAGTGTTTGGAGGCCAATTTATACTCAAGAATAATTTCTTGAGTTGGTTTTTTGTGTTTGTTTGTTTTTGATTGGTTAGTGTGTTTATTTTTTAGACGGGATTGGAGAAATACTTTCATTTGTGTTTTTACCCATGTTTTCAGCCTTGCCCTGGCTGCCTGGTATAACGCAACTCTATTTGTTATTCTGCTATTATAGTTTCCCTAGCTTGAATTTTTTTACACCCTTATTATAATTGTAGCGTTGCATGCCTATTTCAAAACATCTCATGTACCCCATAAATATATACATCTACTATGTACCCACAAAAATTAGAAATAAAAAAATTTAAAAATTATGATTTTTTAAAATTTGTTAAATAATGTTTACTGACTCTTTTATTTGTTGAAATCATTCATTTTTTGGAATATCAGGTCCAATTAAATATTTAATCAGACTTTGAGAAGGATTTAATAAGACCAATAAATAACCAAGTATTAGTTGAAGGAAATTTCAGATATTTTGGTAGCAGAAGGAACTGAGTTATGGCTCAAGAGCTTTTTAATAAGTGTGAGTGGAGTTATACAAACTACTCATTAAAATCTTTATTTGAATTTGTAATATCTGAAACCATTTTCATATTGAAGAATCACTTAAAATAGTCATAAAATGTAAAATTGCAAGACAATTAAAAACAAAAATATGATTTCACGACTGTGATAGTACCTGAGAAATTTCTTCGTCTCCTTAGTAAGAGAAGTATTACACCTATTTATAGTTATTTTATGAAACTAGCTAAGATGAATTATGTAGAAAAGATACAGATTTTCAAACAGAAACTAGAATTAATGGAAGCTATGTGAGACTATAAAGAGTTTAATAGTTATTTTGATTTTTTTTTATGAGTGCAAGGAGTATAGCGAAAAATAGCATCTACCTATAAGGATTTGCAAAGCCAGTAATCTTTCTAAAAATATCAGCAAACCCAGAATTAAGGCTTATGTTCTTAGCTCATTGTAACTAGATCAAAAATAAAGAAGGCCAAATAAAGGTATGTGACATTTGTTGAAAACCTGAAGTGTCCTATATGCAGAAATATTTTTATCATTTAATTAATTTCAGAAACTTCTTAACATGACATGATCCTCTTGAAAAGATCACATCAAAAAAGGCAAAATAATTGCATAATTATTGTAGAATAATTTTTGTGTGAGTATTTTTGACTTAGTGTAAGTTTCCAAGTTCAGGATTTATCATGCAGTGAAAAAAAATACACTTGTCTAGAAGACAGGAGACTTCATTATATTCCTCTCTTTACAATTAATTAACGTAAGACCATTTAAAATATGCCTAATTTTCCAGGCATTGGTTTGCTTTGCTATAAAATGGGAGGATAGAAAATAACTTTCAAAATATCTTATAAATCTAAGAATCTTTGCATCTTATAAATCTAAGAATCTTTGGAAATTCATAGATTATTGAGATGGAGTCTCGTTGCTATGCATTGTAGCAAAGTTGGAAATAAATTCTAAATTTTATTTCATTTATATTGATCAATAAATTGTTACATTTCACTAATACAATAAGGAAAATTTATTTTACCTGAGTGTATGTCTAGCTTGTGAAATAAAAATGCTCAATTATGAAAGCATTTATTGCCATTTTGAATGAAAAATGTAATATGTAGAACAGAATTTTTTTTGCCTTGAACTCAGTTAAATGTAGAAATTGATAAGGACTTGCATTTTCATGAACTTAATAATTATCTGTCTTTTCAATGGTCTCCATATCAAGTCTGAGAAATATGGATGTGATTTATTTTAAGCCTCACCATTTGAAGTAAATCTAAAGATTCCATTAGGTTATGAGCATATAGGATACAAGGACCATATTGACAGTTTTGTGGGATTGTATTAGGATAAAAGGGTAGGAACAATGGGGAGAAAATTATAGCTTACAATAGGGAAGAACCAAAAATTGTTGCAAAATGATGGAACAGGCTGAAAGAATGATATAACCTCCTAAACACTTCAAATGTTTAAGCAGTTCATTGTACCAGGGCCATTGTAGCAAATATTTTCTGTCTTGGGTGGAAGGTCAGTCAAGGTGACTGATAAAGTTTCTTCTAACGATAAAATAGCACAACTCACTTTTTTTCTAACCTCTAAGAGTATATTAATATCAAAAGAAGGCAAGCAACAAACTACTTCTGAATGTTAATATATATCTGCATTCATTTTAAAAGTCTGCTACAACTACAGATAGAGGAACAGTTTGTAGTATCCGTGATCCTAGAACAAATTTAGCTTTTAATATCTTGTCAACTTTTTTGTTTTAGTATCTCTTCCTTGGAACTAGCTGAGCTTTAATGGCATCATCATGTGATATGACTTGAGATTTATATTTGGAAGAGCTTTGAAAAATCACGGATTGTTACCCTAATGAGGTGTTATTCAGTCTTTTAAACAAGAGCAATTTCTTTACAAAAAGGAGCAGAATTCTTAATTGTATCTGTAAACCTCCATTTAAGAATGAATTACTTGGCTGGGCATGGTGGCTCACACCTGTAATCCCAGCACTTCGGGAGGCAGAGGCTGGTGGATCACTTGAGGTCAGGAGTTTCAGACCAGCCTGGCCCAACACGGTGAAAAACAGTCTCTACGAAAAATAAAAAAATAAAAAAAAAAAAAAAATAGCCAGGTGTGGTGGTGTGTGCCTGTAATGCCAGCTACTCGGGAGGCTGAGGTGAGAGAATCACTTGAACCTGGGAGGTGGAGGTTGCAGTGAGCCAAGATTACACCATTGCACTCCAGTCTGGGTGACAGAGCGAGACTCCACCTCAAAAAATAAAAATAAAAAAAAAAAGAATGAATTGCTCATAAATGTGCCTCACTGATGATTAAATTTAATCCTGCAAGATTATGTCTTTTGATGGAAATGAGAGGGTTTATACAAAGTTTTATTCGTGATGTTATCTATGTCATCTATTGATTTCTGCTCTGATTCATGTGGATGAAGTTACACCTCACACTTTAAGCTGGTGTCAGTCTTCCCATTTTCTGCTGTGATGTGTACTCAAGATCTCCAGATTACATCTGTAATGTAATGCAGCCATGATTGTTTATAGGTACATTTAGATGAATTCAATGATGAGTTATGTTGTAATAAGTGTCAGATTTAGATGAACCATACAAATAAAAGAACCATGCATTAAAATGACAAATGTGTAAAAGCATTATTTGGGCCTTAAGTCAAGGCCCAAATGTGGATACTGGTACTGAGACATCTTTCAGAAAGGAGGTATGAAGTACTGAAAAATATTTACAAAATGAAGACTACTTTTATCTTACTTATCATGATTCTTTTATTACATATGCATTTTCTAAGATAACTATAGTGCATTAGTTTGTACTATGTTAATATAATAATAGGGTAAATCAAACAATGTTTTCTAAATCCATTAAAATAGAGTTCCCTAAGGGAGTTAAAACAATTACGTTCTACTGTATATTATTGGCATGCTTCAGGAGACATGATTTAATCTCTAGACTATCAGAATTCAAGAACTAGTGAGTCATATAACAAAGGAGGCTTAATCATGCCATTTAAGTGTCATGGAAAAAGGTTTATTGGTCAGGAAAAATTAATTAGAAAAAAGTTATAAAATACTTCACTAAGAAAATAAAATGTCAGGAAGCCCACTTAGACAATGAGTGAAAATGAAACAAATTCAAGTTTTTACAATATTTGGTTTCTATAGGATTGCTTCATTGTTTTGGTTTTTGTTTTTCCCCATAAGCTGATCTCAGAAACTTTTCCTCTACATGAAGAGGCTGTCATTTTTTCATGGTGTGTGTTTGTTCACATGCCACACAGACAATCAATTATGAAGAAAGGAGAGACTCGTGGGAGGCAGGGCCAGGCTGTTCACACTTTTAAACTAGGTAGCCACAAATGAGGCTTAGTTACAAAAACTTGAAAACTGGATTCTTCCCAATGTATTATACATCCCCAAAGAAATGATGAAGTTCCTTACTCTCTTCTCTTTGTTTTTGTAAATCTTACCACTTCAAGTGTTGGCAATACTTACTTTAAAGTAGGTTTTCATATTGGCTTAGATTTTTTTTTCATTAACTTGCAATTTGTGGTTGGGAAATGATCTGCTTTTTGTTTCAGGTTGTTTAATGTTTTCCAATGTAATATTCTTCTTGCACTCCAGTGAGTTTATTTACAAAACATTTAATGTCATTTGCGTCTTCGAAGAACAATGTATTCGGTTAGAACAAAAGTGAGCTCCTGCATAGAGCTTATGATGGTTTATAATTGGTAAATTATTACCTTGGTCAAGTTTGTAAACTAATAAAGGGAGTAGAAAACTTTTAGATAAAAAAAACTACCTCATTCAAAGGGACCGTTCACCCACAAAATGCCTTTTTGTTTATCTTTTGGAATGACACCATTGGAAACTCAGTATGGCCACTTTTATGGTAATAATAAAAGTCATATATAAAAAGGATTATTAGAAATGTGTTATTTCTTAGGCAGGTATGCTTATTTAAAGTATGTATGCATACATACTTTAAACTACTAAATACAAATAAATTAGTAGTACAGTCATTAGGATTGCTCTTAGTTTGTTAGTGTTGGAATAGACTTTTGGATTTTCTTCCTAGCTTAGATTGATACAATGTGATGGGGACTTGCTCTCCAAACACAGGAATAGGTGGCCTGCAGACACACTCTGTGATGCTGTAATTCTAATCCTCACTGAATATATCAGGGGTGGACATCTGGCCTGGGGCAATTCAGATACTTTTTCTTAAAATTTATACTACAAATTCAAAAGTGGTAACTCATCTCTGCCATCACTTATAGTAGAATAAGACCCACTGTTGCAGTGGGGAATTGAGAAACCCAGTCCACAGGGAGAACAAACATGGAGAATAAAATAAGTAAATTAGAACAGGAAAAATGCCAAAACACACAGACATGACCCTGATAGTTTTCCATTTCCTGATCACTGTCCCTTCCTGTGGCTGGATAAGGAACTGTCTCTAGGCTCTGTAAGACATATTTGCATCCTTACGACAAATTTCTACTCCTTTTCATAAACTAGACTTGGGTTCTTTAACTTGCAACAGCAACAACAATAAACGATTTTGTTGGGTACAATCTGATTTTATTAACTTCTGGATTTAAAAGCCCTTCTAAATGTTGATTGGCATTGTTTTTACTTCCTAAGAGTACGCTCATGCACCACATAGTGATGTTTTGGTCAACGACAGACTGCATTTACGACTGTGGTCCCATAAGATTATAATACCATGCTTTTCTGTACTTTTCTATGTTTAGATATGTTCAGATACACAAATGCTTATCATTGTGTTATAATTGCCTACAGTGTTCAGTACAGTTACATGCTGTACAGGTTTATAGCCTAGGAGCAATTGGCTATACCCTATAGCCTAGGTGTGTAGTAGGCTATACCATTAGATTTGTGTAAGCATACCCTATGATGTTTGCACAATGATGAAATCACCTAAGGATGCATTTCTCAGCATATATCCCAGTCATTAAGCAAAGACTGACTCTATTATTAGGTCTATTTTATTCTATAGCATTTGATCATGAGATATGTGAAAATAAATATAATTTTTAGAAGTACAATAACTTTCAAATCCTGAATGTTCTGTACTTTCCATCTCACAAGCATTTTGCAAAGCATCAAATGGTATAAGCCAGATTACTGTTAAGGCAACTTGGAATTAATATGCTGCTCAGTTCTGGAAAAGGCATATTCTGTAAATATAGATGAGAGAATATAGACTTTTTCCCTCTCTTCTTACAATCCACATTCTATTCAGTATTTCATTTACTTGAGGGGTTATATGCTACTTATCTTTATCTGTTGTGGAGTGAGGACACATTCCAAATGCCTTGGTATTATTAAAAGCCCTTCATGATGTGGCCCCATCTTTTATGACTTTTCCTTTTCAACTGTGCCCTCTAGCCTTATTTGATTTCTCTCAAATTCTTAAACACAGCATGCTTCACTGACCTTTAAGCCTTTGCACATACAGTGTTGATGTGGAGCTTCCTGACCAACTCCTAATTCTCCTTCAGGCCTCAATTTAAACATCACTTCCTCTGGGAAGCTTTCTATTATTCCCAAGGTACTGGGATATGTTCTTGCACAGCATGCTGTGCTAATGTCACAATGGCTACCTTGTTTTATTGTTAGTATTTGATCAGCGACACCTTGCCAGGGAGCCCCTGAGTATTGTCTGAGCAGAAACTATGGCTATCTTGTCCCCTGTTTAGCACAGGGCTTCTCTAAAAGTGGGCTTCTCTAAAAGTAAGTGCTCAAGAACAACAACAAAAAGTGTTACATTAATAAACACACACACATACATACAAAGAAATACCTGTCTTTCTCCATATCTCAAGATCATGCTGAAAAGCCAGCATTCATGAACAAATTCCTGTGCGAAGATTGAGAATGAAAGATGAATAAGAGGTATCTTTAGAACCCAATTATGGCTGCCGTTGTTCCCTGAGTGTGAGGCTTGCTGTTAGAGTGACAGAAGGAATTTTGACTACTCAAGACCATACAAATTTGGAAATGACTCCAAAGTAAACATGGTTAGATAACTACACATTCCATTCCCCCTTTTTTATTTCTATAGAATCCCAACTTTGTTCAAGTAGTAACATGCCCAGCTTCAGAAATGAGTCATGATTTTTCTAAAGCAACAATATCAATCTTCTTTCCCTTCCCCAGTGATTGGTATGGAAGTGGACATTTCAGCAAGTTTTAGCCAATAACGTGAATTCTGTTTTGAAGCATCTAAGAAAGATTTTGCTTTCTGCTGTAAATCAAAAGCAGAAACAGGAGAAGATTCTTTTGGGCCTCTTTCCCTCTTCCTGGCGTGGAAGTAGTTGTGAGAGCATATGATACCCAAAGTTTCGGTAGACATTTTATAATTATGTGATGAATAACCTAAGGATAATTAAACATATAAAAGAATGGAGAAAGACTGAGTCTGTTTTACTCCACAAGATGCTGAACCAACCCTGAGACATAATTTATCTGGATTCTTAAATAACTAGTGTCTTTGTGGTTTAAGCTGTTCTTTGTAAACAAACATATCATAAGTGATTAAGTGATGTTATCTTCCTTTAAGGCAATCAAAATGCATCTGACAAATGGCCATCTAATTTAAAATTCCAACTATGTAGACATCTCAAACAAAGTCAGTATCTCAAAAAATATACTACAAAAATTCTCATGTGTCCATTGGGGATAACTTCCAATGCTCTTTCATTGGTATTGTAGCTATGGCATTTGATTTCCAATTGTATGTGGATCAGGTAGTTGCAGGGTGACTCTCAAGGGCGAGAAGAAAGTAAGAGTACATGAAAAAAAAGAGGAAGAGAGAGAGCAGACAAGAAGGAAGAACAAGACAAAGTCAAACCCTAGGTAGAAATAAGAAGGAGCTAGTACAGAAAGCAAATGCCTAAGGTGTTGGAGAACATAGAAAGGTAGAGTGGAATGAAAAAGAAAAAAACACTAAATAGCAGCACATAGAATCTTGGGGTTTCAGGGATATTGTTTATGAAAGGTTAGAATAGGCAACAATCTACCTTGTGGCATCTTCTTAAAATTATCAACATATAAAACAAACAATAATTATTTAAATTACCTGTCATATGGGTCTTGTCATTTATTTATAATTTAAGGAGAATTAAAACTGAACTAGTTGCTGGGGAGTGACATCAGCAAGATGGAGATATAGAAATCTTCAGGACCTCCTTCCGTCCATGGAACCACTGACTCAAAAATGACAAATGGAAAAAATTTACTTTCTGAGAAATCAAGAAGCCAGTTAAGAGGCTCCTGTATCTCAGATGAGTGCAAAGCCAGCTGCAACAGAGCCAGCAGAAAATTTGTTGTACTCACTCTTCATGGTCACTTCTGGCATAGCACAGTGCAATCTAGAAGAAATTCTTGGCTCCTGACTACTTTCTTGGAAAAGAAAGAGAAAAATGTACCATATGTCTAATATTCTGATGGGGATGGGGTGTGGGCTGCTCAAAGGACTAGCTTCCGTCATGCCTAAATACAAGTGCTAATTGGGAAGTCCACAATGTTGGGGGCTGCAGAAAACAAGGGCAACAGTTTGGACTAGCATGCACTCATTTGCCGCAGTTCCTCCTCTCACTTCATAGAATGAGTAGAAGAACCCTTAACTCTCAAGGTTTTTTTCCTGGGGAGAGAAAGAGTCAAAGCAATTATACAATATTATGGCTTTGTGGGAGTGATGTATCCAAAAAAAAAAAAAATGAGTTTTTACCACACCAATCTCAGAGTGCAGATGGAACCTAGCATATTCTAGATGCCTGGGGGCCATTGAGAACAAAAGAGAGCTAGGCAACTTTCAGCAGCTCCAGAAGAACTGTGGTACCACAGATAGACACCAAAGGGAGGAAGAGATTACAAGCTCCTGAAAAAAGAAATGAGCAATTCATTCTAATTGAGAATTTACACACACTGGTACAGATAAGATGAATTTGCAAAAAAAGAATAGAGGCCCCAGAATTTCTAGCTGGGTTTTTTGGTGAAGGCCTTTCTCTGTATCAAGCTAGTCCCTAAAGACTGGGTGAGGTGGTTTTTGTTTGTTTTACATTTTTATTTTAAAAGATGGGGATCTCACTTTGTCACCCAGACTTGAGTGCAGTGATGCAATCATAACTCACTGCAGCCTCAAACTCCAAGGGTCAAGTGATCTTTCCACCTCAGCCTCCTGAGTAGCTGAGACTAGAGACACATGCCACTGTGCTTGATTAATTTTTATTTTTTTATTTTTTTTCGTAGAGATGTGGTCTCACTTTGTTGTTCAGGCTGGACTTGAACTATTGACTTCAAGGGATCCTCCTGACTCAGCCTCCCAAATCATTGGGATTACAGGCATGAGCCACCATGCCTGACCTGTTTTGTTTTGTTTTAAAAAACTCAGAAAAATTTCAAAATAGCAATTATAAAGACAATGAGCTTAGAAAACCAATTAATGGACAAAATGTAACTATAAGTAAAGAGATACATGTAAAAAGAATCAAACAAAATTTGCAGTGGAAGAATATGATAACCAAATTGAATATTACATTAAAGGAGTTTAATACTAGATTTGAACAAGCAGAAGAAAGAATCAGGGAACTTGAAGATGGGTCATTTGTAATTATTCAGTCAGAGAAACAAAAAGAAGACTAAAAAAGAGTGAAGAAACCCTAAGGACATCATCAAGTAGACCAATATGTGTTATCAGAGTTTTAGAAGAAAAGGACAGAAAAATAGGCATAAAGCATCATTGACAAAATAATGACCCAAAACCTCCCAATTATGAAAGACAATAGATATTCTGAATCCAGAGCACAATGGCCTGCAACTAAGATGAACCCAGAAAAGTCTATACTTCAGCACATTATAATCTAATTATCAAAAGCCAAGGACAAAGAAGGAATTTTGAAAGCAGAAAGAAAATAGTGACTCATCAGATACACAAGGGCTGTCATGAGAATATCAGCAGATTTCTCAGCAGAAAACTTGCAAAACAGAAATAAGTGGGATTACATATTCAAAGAGCTGAAAAAAAGTCTGCCAACAAAAAATCCTTTATCCAGAAGAATTTTCTTCAAAATGAAGGAGAATAAAGGATATTCCAGATAAACAAAAGCCAAGGGAATCCATCACAATTAAACCTGCCTTACAAGAAATGCTAAATGAAGTTGTTCAAGTTGAAATAAAAGAACGCTGAACAGCAACACAAAAGCATATAAAAGTATAAAGCTCATTGGTCAAAGATAGATATAAAGGAAAAACAACGGGATATTATAATGGTGGTGGGTAACTTACTCTTCATCCTGGTATAGAAGTTAAAAAAAACCACAAGTATTAAAATAACTGTAACTATAAAATTATTAATGAATACACAATGTAAAAATATGTAATTTGTGATACTGATAACATACCATGTGTGGAGGGGAGAAGTCAAAGTGTAGAGTTTTAAATAAGACTGAGGTTAGGTTTTTATCACCTTAAAATAGATTGTTATAATATGTTTGATTTAAGCCCCATGGCAACTACAAAGAAAATACCTACAGGTAATAAACAAAAGAAAATGAGAAAGAAATGAAAGTGTGTCTCAGTCCATTTTTATTTTGCTATAACTAAACATCTGAGACTAGGTCATTTATAGAGAAAATAAATTTATTTCCTGCAGTTCTGGAGGCTGTGAAGTTCAAGACTGAGTTGCTGCCTCTGTTGAGGGGCCTTCTTATTGCATCATAACATGGCAGAAGGCATCACATGACAAAAAAGCAACAGCAAGAGCCAAACTGGCTTTTATCATAGGCCTAGTTTGTGACACCTTACATAGTCCTATGAAAACACATTAAGCCATTAGCCCATTAATCCATTAATTCATGAATAGATTAATACATCCATGTGGGGAAAGCCCTCATGACTCAAACCTTTCTCAAAAAACCCATCTCTTAATACTGTTACATTAGTATTAAGTTTTAACATGAGTTTCAGAGTCTAGAAATATTCACACCATAGCCTTTCACCCATGACCTCCCATAATTTATGTCCTTATCATATGCAAATACCTTCATTCCATTCCCGTAGCCCCAAAGTCTTAACCTGTTCTAGCACCAACTCTAAAATACGAAGTCAAGAGTCTCATCTGAGACTCAAGGCATGATCCATCCTTGGGCAGGTTCCCTTTCAGTTGTGAAATCAAAACAAGTCATATAATTCTAAAATACAGTGCTGGTACAGGAATAAGACAGACATTCCCTTGTCGAAAGGGAAAATAAACTAGAAGAAGGGGTTAATGGTCCCCAAGCAACTCTTTAACACAGCAGGGCACATATTAAATTGTAAAGCTAAAGAATACTCTTTTTTGGGTCCATGTTAAGCATTCTCTGCACAATGTGGGGAACACATTGAGCCACTCTGCCCCTATGGCTTTGCTGTGCTCAGAACACACTTCAGCTTTCTCAGATTGGAATTGCTCATTGGTGCCTGCAGCTTTCCCAGGTGGGCACTGCACACTGCTGGTGTTTCTATAATTCTAGGATCTCAAAGGCAGCTCTGGCTCTCACCCCGTATTTTTACTCAACATTGCTGTAGTGGGGCTCTCAGCCATGGCTCTGTCCCTGTGACAAGTCTCTGCCTGGGTCCCCATGCTTTTAGATACATCCTCTGAAGTCTAGGTGAAGGCCATAGTGGCCCTACAACTCTTGCATTCTGTATCCCTGCAGAATTAGCACCAGGTGGACACTGCCAAGGCTTATGGCTTTTGCTTTCTGGAGCAGTGAGGTAAGCTACACTTGGAGCCTCTTGAGCCAGTTGGAGTGGCTGAGGAATGATGCGCTCACATGAAGGGAGCAGAGGAGTCCTGAGCAGCCCTGGGCAGCAAGCTGTGGAGAGTACCCTGGGCCTGTCCCCTGAAACTATTCTACCCTCCTTGGCCCCTGGGCTTTTCATGAGAGGGGGCAGTCTTAAAAATATGCAAAATACTTTTCAAACATTCTCCTCATTGTCTTAATGAATAACATCTGACTCCCTTCTATCAGTGCTAATCTCTTTAGCAAGCAGTTTTGCTGTTTACATGGCTAAGCAAGCTGCAAACTTTTCAAATCATTTTGCTGTGATTCCCTTTAATTATACATCTGTCTTTAAGTCATGTTTTTGCTCCTGAATTGGCCAAAAGTAACCACACAGCCAAAAGTAGCCAAACAGCATCATGAATGCTTTGCTCCTTAAAAATTTCTTCTATAAGATATTTTACTTTATTATTGTCAAGTCTGGCCTTCTACACAGCCCTAGAGTATGGACACAGTTCCAGTAAGCTTTTTGCTACTTTATACCAAGTATGACCTTTATTCCAGGTTCTGATACCTTGTTCCCCCTTTCTGTCTGAAACCTCATAACGGCCTTCATTGTCTATAAGTTTACTAGTATTTTGGCCATAATCACTTAAATAATTTATAAAATGATTCAGACTTTCCCTAGTCTTCTCATCCTCTGATCCTTCACCAGAAGCACCCTTAACACTCTATTTACAGCAATATAAGATTTTTTTTGCCTGCTCCTCCAAACCCTTCCAGCCTTTGTCCATTACCCATTTCCAAAGCCACTTGCACATTTTTAGGTTGAGCATCAGCCTCACTTCTTGTTACCAAAGCCTGTATTAGGGTTCTCCAGAGAGACAAAACCAATGGGATATACAGAAGGGGATTTGTTAGGGAAATTGGCTCACACAGTTATGGAGACTGAAAAGACCAAGGTCAAGGGTACGTATCTGGTGAGAATCTTCTCATTGTATCATAACATGGCAGATGGCATCACATGCTAAAAGAGCAAGAACAATAGCCAAACTGGATTTTATAACAGACCCACTCTTGACGACTATCCTATTCCTGTGATAAGCCATTAATCTGTGAATCCATGAGTAAATTAATCTATTCATGAGGGCTCTGCCTCTATTGTCCCTTAAAGGCCCCACTTCTTAATACTGTTACATTGGGGATGAAGTTTCAATATGGGTTTCAGAGGAGACAAACATTCAAACCATAGTGATGTCACTACAAAAAAATTAATGAAACACAAAGGAGTACAGTAAGAGAGCAAAATACAGATAAAAGTGCTATATGATATATAGAAAACAATAAAATGGCAATAGTAGGAGTTTATCTGTCAGTAGTTACTTTAGCCATAAATGAACTAAACTCAAACAAAAGACAAAGATTAGCTGACTGGATTTAAAAAATACTATATGCTGTCTACAAGAAGTACAAGGAGCCCACTCCAAATTTGTAGACACACATAGGATAAAATTAAAAGGATGGAAGAAAGTATTCCATGTGAATGGTAACCAGATGAGAGCAGGGCTCATTATACTTATATCGGACAAATAAATTGTAAGTCAATAATTGTCACAAGGAACAAAGAAGGACAATATGTAATATTAAAAGAGTCAATTCACCAGAAAGATATAACAATTTTAAACATATATGTATTCAATCTTAGGGCTTTAAAATATATAAACAAATATTAATGGAACTGAAGGGAGAAAGACAGCAATACAACAATAGTAGGAGATTTTAATTCTCAGCTTTCTTTTTCTAGAGACAGAGTCTCACTCTGTCACTCAGGCTGGAGGGCAATGGTACAATCTCAGCTCACTGCAATCTCCACTTCCCAGACTCAAGTGATTCTCCCACTTCAGCCTGCTGAGTAGCTGGGACTGCAGACATGCAACACCATACCCAGCTAATTTTTTAACCTTTTGTACAGATGAAGTCTCGTATATTGCCCAGCTGGTCTTAAACTCTTGGGCTCAAGTGATCCTTCACCTGGGCCTCCCAAAGTGCTGGGATTATAGGCATGAGCCACCGTGCTCAGGACCCAACTTTCAAAAATTGATAGAACATCCAGACAGAAGATCAATGAGAAGCGGATTGAACAACGTAGACCAAATAAGCCTAACAAACATATGCAGAAAATTCCATCTAACAGCACCAGAATATGCATTCTTCTAATGCACACACATATATTATCCAGAATAGATCATATGCTGTGTCACAAAACATGTTTTAACAAATTTAAAAATACAGAAATCATATCAAATATCTTTTCTGAACACAGTGGAATGAAACTATAAATCAATTACAAAAGGAAACTGGCAATTTCACCAATATGTGTACATTAAACAATAAATTCTTGAACAGTCCATGGGTCAAAGAAGAAATTATAAGGGATATTTGAAATGTTTCAAGATAAATGAAAATGTCTCAAGATGAAATAAAAAGACAACATATCCAAATTTATGGAATGCAACAAAAGTGGCAAGAGTTAAGTTTATAGTGGTAAGTGACTACATTATAAAAGAAAAAAGATTTTAAGTAAACAACCTAACTTTACACCTCAGAAGTGGAAGAAGGAGAAAATACTAAGCCTAATGTTAGCAAAGAAAGGAAATAATAAAAATTAGAAAAAATAAATTAAATAGAAAGTAGAAAATTACTATAATAATTAATGAAACTAACAGCTGCTTTTTAAAGATCAATAAAATTTACAAACCTTTGGCTAGAATAACTAAGAAAAAAGAGAGAAGACTCATAAATAATATTGTAAATAAAAAAGGAGCTATTGCAATCAAAGAGGCAGGAACAATAAAGATTTGCAGGCTATTCTGTATAATTATACACTAACAAATTGGATAACCTAGAAGAAATGTATAAATTCTCAGAAATACACAACCTACCAAGACTGAATCAAGAAGAAATACAGAATCTGAACAGATCTGTAACTAGTAAGGAGATTAAATCAATGATCAGAAACTTCCCAAAAAAGAAAATCCCAGGATCAGAAAACTTCACTGGAGAATTCTGCCAACATTTAATAGAAAAAAAAATGCCAATTCTTCTCAAACTTTTGCAAAAAATTGAAGAGGACGAAGCATTTCAAACTCATTTTATGAGTCCAGCATTTTCCTGATACCAAAATGAGATAAAGATATTACAACGAACACACACACTTTCAAACAAGCTACAGGCCACTATCTCTGATGAATGTAAATGCAAAAGTTGTCAATAAAAAATAGCAAACTGAATTCAACAGTGCATTAAAAGGATCACACACTGTGACCAAGTTGAATTTATCTCTGGAATGATGAATGGTTTAACATATGAATATCAATCAATGTGATACACTATATTAACAGAACAAGGGATAAGATCACATGATAATCTCTATAAATGCTGAACAATCATTTGACAAAGTTTAATACCCTTTCGTAATAAAAATACTCAACAAACTATGAATAGAAGGCATGTACCTCAACACAATAATAAAGGTCACATATCAAAAGCTAACAGATAACATCATACTCAATGGTAAAAACTGAAAGCTTTTCCTCCAAGATCAGGAACTAGGTAAGAATGTCCATTCTTGCCATTTCTCATCAACGTATTACTAGAAGTCTTTGCTAGAACAATTATGCAAGAATAAGAAATAAAAAGCACTGAAATCAGCAAGGAAGAGGGAAAATTATCTCTATTCCCAGATATAATAATCTTATATGTAGAAAATTCTAAAAATCACACAAGGAAACTGTTGCAACTAGTAAGTTCATCAAAATTGCAGAACATAAAATCGAAATGCAAAAATCAGTTATGTTTCTATACAATAGCAGCAAACTCTCTGAAAAAGACATTACAATCCCACTTACAATATTATCAAAAATGACTAAAATGTTTAGTAATAAGCTTAACCAAGGAGGCTAACGACTTATACACTGAAAACCATAAAAGCATTACCAAAAAATAATTTTAAAAGACACAAATAAATAGAAAGATAATTCTGTTTTCATGGGTTAGAAAACTCGATATTGTTAAAATGTGCACACTGCTGAAAGCAATTTATAGATCCTATACAATCTTACCAAAATTATGATGTCATTTTTTTCAGAAATAGAAAAAAAATCTGAGAACCATGGATACTTAGAAAATCTGGAGAAAGAAGAGCAAAGTAGAGGGTCTCATGCTTCCTGACTTCAAAACATATTCCAAAGCCATTGTAATAGAAACAGTTTAGCACTGGCATAAAGACAGATATATGAACTTACAAACCAGCATAGCGAGCCCAGAAATAAGCCCACACATACATTGTAAAATAATATACAAAGCACAAAGACTATGGACAGGATAGTCTCTTCAACAATTGTGTTGGGAAAACTAGATAGCCATATTCAAAGGACTGAAATTAGACCCTACTCAAAAAATCAAGTCAAAATGAATTAAAAATTAAAGATCTGGGCCGGGCGTGGTGGCTCACGCCTGTAATCCCAGCACTTTGGGAGGCCAAGGGGGTCAGATCACGAGGTCAGAAGATCGAGACCATCCTGGCTAACACAGTGAAACCCCGTCTCTACTAAAAATACAAAAAATTAGCCGGGCGTGGTGGTGGGCGCCTGTAGTCCCAACTACTCAGGAGGCTGAGGCAGGAGAATGGCGTGAACCTCAGAGGCAGAGCTTGCAGTGAGGTGAGATCACGCCACTGCACTCCAGCCTGGGGGACAGAGCAAGACTCCATCTCAAAAAAAAAAAAAATACAAGATCTGAAACTATGAAACTCATAGAGAAAAACAGGAGAAAAGTTTTATACCATTGGTTTTGGCAATAATTTCTTGTATACGACACCAAAGAACAGGCAGTAAAAGCAACAAAAAATAGATAAGTGGAACTACATAAAATTAAAAACTGATGCACAGAAAATAAATAAAAAGAAAAAACAGAGTGTAAAAGCAAACCATGAAATGGGAGAGAATATTTGCAAACCATATATCTGATAATGGGTTAGTATTCAAAATATATAAGGAACACCTACAACTCAATAGCAAAAAACTAACCCAATTAAAAATGGACAATGGACCTGATGGATATCTCTCCAAAGAAGATGTAAAAACAGCCAACAGATACATGAAGAGTGCTTAACATCATTAGTAATTAGGGAAATGCAAACCAAACCACATGAGCTATCATCTTACACCTGGTAGGATGACCATTATGAAACAAAAGAAAGAGAATTAAAAAAAAAAAAAGTGTTGAAAGGGATGTGGAGAAACTAGAACCTTTGTACAGCCACTGTGAAAAAATGTTTGGAAGTTCCTCAAAAAAATTAAAAATAAAACTATACGATCCAGTAATCCCACTTTTAGATACTTTTCCAAAATATTTGAAAACAGGAACTCAAAGAGATATTTGCACTCTCATGTTTATTGTAGCCTTATTTACAATAGTCAAGAGGTGGAAACAAATGAAATATATAATGACAGATGATTCAATAAAATGTGGCATGTACATATCATGGAATATTATTCAGCATTACAAAAGAAGAAAATCTTATAATATGCTGCAACATAGACAAACCTTGAGGACCTTATACTAAATAAAATAAACCAGTCACAGAATGACAAATACTGCATGAATATACTTCTATGAAGTATCTAAAGTAGTCAGTCATAGAAGCAGGAAGCAGAACGGCAGCTGCCAGGTCCTGGGAGTAAGAGTAAGAGGAAAGTTGCATTTCAGTGGGTATAGAGTTTAAAGCATGCAAGATGAAAAAGCTCTAAAGATCTGATGTACAATAATATGCATATAATGAACAATATTGTACTGTTCACTTAAATATGTGTTAGGTCCATGTTATGTGATTTTTACCACATTTTTTTGAAAGCAAGTTGCTAAAGAATTTGCCAAATGGAATTATAGTGACACGAGTTCAAATAAAATTAAAAAACGAGAAACAGTAGAGTTTACTTAATTTGTTAATATATCCATATTATCATTTTAGGGAATTTTTACTAAAGCAGAGTATATAAACTATCTTTTTTTGTTCTAATGATCCATTTGTTTTAGTTTGTTTCCCATTTTTATGTAGCTAGACTGCCAGTTAATCTCCTAAAATTATTGGCACCATATTTCCCATTTTTTCTGGCTTTTTTATTAGTAACTGGGATCCTTGCAGCTGTATCTATGTGATGCCAAACAATTAGGTTGATCAATTCTGTGACAACAAGCCATCTGGTTACTTTAGTGAATAGGCCCTTACTTACCTTTCATAAGTTGATTCTATTCTCCTTTGTGCCTTCTCTTTAAATTACCATTATCCTGTAACCATAAATTAAAAATACAGCATCGCTTTTAAAACATCCTGAAGTAATTTTTAACACTACAAAAGAGAAGAAATTTCCTTTGTTTGGTGTTCTTTGACCCTAATTAGCATTTAGGAACAAACTACACTTGCAAAATTATTTTCGATTGGTAGAGGGAAGAAAAGGGTCTTTTTATTACTATGTATTTGTAATTACTTTTGTCACTTATGTTATTCTTGTGTCTAAATTCAACTCTAGATTTATTCTCTGTTGATATTTTTTATCACTTGAGAATATTTTAGTTTTTCAACCTCTATATGGCGGGCTATCACTCCAAATTTAGGTTAAACTGTAGGTTGATTTAAAAATCTGGCTATGATGCAGAAAAATTCGGGCAACTTACCTAGAAAAAAAAAAGTAGTTATATTTCAGTACTTCTTTTACCTAATCAGCCATTTTAAAATAATTTTGTTCATTATCAATATGGAGGAAATTATTTATATGCAGGGAAGTTATTTATATGCAGAGCTGTTAATGGCAGCAATCTGCATGACAAATTTCTACTTAATAAGCAATGAAATAGTTGGATAAATGTGTATTTCTACATGGGTGAATTTCCCAAAATTCACACTTCAAAGACAGTTGCTGACATTTTTTCAATGAGAGATTTTATTAGATAATGAGTCATCTTAGAGTTATCTTGTAAGTATTCTTTAGTCTTAATTTAAATTTAAATGAAAGTCAATTCAAAGTGTTGTATTTTCTTAAATAAATTTTGTTTTATAAACATTAGAAATTAAATAGGACTACCATATGGTCTAGCAATCACACTTCTGGGTATATATCCAAAGAAAATCAGTTCAGTATGTCAAAGAGATGTTTCGTATTCATTGCAGCTTTATTCACAATAGCCAAGATATAGAATCAATCTAAGTGCCCATCAATGGATAAACGTAGAAAACATGGGCTGGGTGCGGTGGCTCACGCCTGTAATCGCAGCACTTTGGGAGGCCGAGGCGGGCAGATCACGAGATCAGGAGATCCAGACCATCCTGGCTAACACGGTGAAACCCCATCTCCACTAAAAAAAAATACAAAAAAAATTAGCCGGGCATGGTGGTGGGCGCCTGTAGTCCCAGCTACCCGGGAGGCTGAGGCAGGAGAATGGCGTGAACCCGGGAGGCGGAGCTTGCAGTGAGCCGAGGTTGTGCCACTGAACTCCAGCCTGGGCTACAGAACGAGACTCCGTCTCAGTTAAAAAAAAAAAAAGGAAAGAAAACGTGGTATATATACACAATGGAATACTATTTAGCCTTTTAAAAGAAGGAAACCCTGTCATTTGCAACAACATGGATGAACCTGAAAAACATGTTAAGAGGAACAAGTCAGGCACAAATACTTAATGATCTCGCTTATATGTGAAATCTAAAAAAGTTGACTTCATGGAAATATAGAGTAGAATGGTGATTATCGGGTGCTGGGAGTTGGGGTAAGATGTGGTTGGGGAAACGGTCAAAGAATAAAAAATTTCAGTTAAAGAGGAAGAATACATTCAAGAGATCTATTGTACATGTTGAATATAGTTAGTAACAATATTTTGTATCCTCAAATTGCTAAGAGAGTAGATTTTAAGTGTTTTTGACACAAAAACTGATAATTATGTGAGGTAATACATTTTTTAATTAGCTCCCTTTAGCCATTCCACAATGTATACATCTTTTAAAACATCATGTTGTACATGACAAATATATACAATTTTTATTTGTCAACTTAAAAAATATTAAAGATTTAATGTAGATAAATGAAAGAAAATTAGGAATTAAGGTACAAAAATTATTTATAGTGTTTATTATTGGTCTATGTTTACATAGTATTTCTTTGTCTCCATTAGTGTGTCATACAAATACCCAACTAGAAACATGACTTTACAAATGGTGTATCTGATCTTTTATGTCCCTAGTTATTATTTTAGCCCTGTCTTTTTTTTTAATAAAACATATTCTGCTTTTTCTTGTCCTCATCCTTCTATGAGTTGAATTAGTGACTCTACTCCAAAGTAATGGTGTTGCTTTCTCAGACCATATGGTGATACAAAGGCA